>NC_000016.10:8760000-9385000 GCF_000001405.40 Homo sapiens
GCGGATATCCTGCAATCCTACTGTCCGTGGGTATTTGCATAGCTCCAGTTCAGGGCTCTTATGAAGACCACTGCTGTGGACGTTCACGTGTGTGTGTTTTGCTGTACCCATTTATGTGTTTCTGTTAGATACGAAGCTTGGAGTAGAACTGCTGGCCATGTACAGCTCCTGCAGATCCTGCCAGACAGTTCTCCAAATCGATCGCACCAACTCCACTCCCACAGCCGGGGGAGGGTTCCAGTCTTGCCACATCCTCGCCAACACGGGGTATCACTGGAAGATTTTTCTTTGACTCAGAGAGTAACATACTTATCCACACATGACAAGGAACTTGATCCCAGAAAGAAATCTAAGAAAGGCAGAAGGAACAAAGACCCAATCCTGGTCAGAAAAGGGGTCCCTAGCCCTAAAACGTACTTCACTTTAAATAAACAGAGTTGGAGCTAATAGGAAAGAACCACATTTTCTTCTGTCTGAATGGGTGTGCCCCGCCTGGGAGGGGCCAGGGGACACTCTTGCCTCCGATTAGTTGAGAGGTTTAGGAGCTGCTGTATAGGGAACTGGTGTCCTCCTGAAGGTGTCTGATGAGGCCCACTGAGGCCGGAGGCTCCCGAATGTGTTTACATCTAAAGCCTGGCTTTGTTTTGAAATGTTGTGCGAATCCCAGATGCCTTGGCAGTTGGTGCTGAAAAAAAATGTGTCAACAAACACATCAGACACATTTGCAGTGTCAACCGCCTCCAGAGGCAGAAGCGTCCTCAACAACACACGACGTCAAGGCCCAGAGATTCCGGCTGCATGTGGTGGCTCACGCCTGTAATCTCAGCACTCTGGGAGGCTGAGGCAGAAGGATCCCTGAGGCCAAGAGTTGGAGACCAGCCTGGGCAACATATCGAGACCCTGTCTCTACGATAACTGTTTTTAAAAAATTAGCCAGGTGTGGTGGTGCATACCTGTAGTCCCAGCTACTCAGGAGGCTGAGGTGGGAGGATCGCTTGAGCCCAGGAAGTCATTGCAGTGAGCCGTGATCTCGCCACTGCACTCCAGCCTGGGTGACAGAGCGAGACCTTGCCTCTGAAACAAAACAAAACAAAACAAAAACATATCCCAGAAAACAAAGGCCCAGGGATTCTGATTTCAGGGACAGTACTACCCTGTCCCTGCCAGGAGCTTCCCCCACCTTCCCTATCCCCCCATCACCTTTCACCTCTCTCTGCCCTCTCACCTCGTCAGGGACTGGTCCTAACCCTCACATCTCCCACTTGGCTTTCTGCCAGCAACCTCTCCCCATCGATCCCTCCCACCTCCCTTCTCACCCCCTCCAAACCGTCCACCAAACTGTGCCGCGTGTGGAACCCTTCCCTGGTACTTACTGCCTTCCGGCTGTGTCCCAGTCTCCTCCACCTCAAATGCTAAGCCCTTGGAGGGCTGCCTCCCACTTTCTTCTTTAGCCTTATTACTTGACATTTGCTCATTCATTGGTTATTGACTGAATGCTTCCAATGTGCCAAGCACTCTTTTTGGTGCTGGGATTTGATGGTGAATCCACGTTCTCCGTCCCAGTCTGGGTTGGGTTGTTCTGCAGAGGAACTGGGTTTGAGGCCTGATGAAAAGAGCACCCTGACGCAGTCTTAGAGAGGTGGCAGCTGACCTCCACGGGCTAAAAGGTTTCCAGCAGGACATGCCCAGGGCAGTAGGCCGGGGCACCACTGGCTGACATCTTGGGTCTTCCGCATTTTTGGCTGGAGATGCACTCAGGTGGTGGCAATGGTATTCTGCTTGTACAGGGCAGGTTCCTGCCAGGTCACCAAAGTCCCAAGAAGGGGTTTATCAACCTTTTTGCACCCAAACCAAACCACCCTGAAACTCCACCATAATTACTTCATGTGACTTCCTAAAAATGAAACCATGTCCCTTAGATCTAATATCTGGATTCCAATTATGATTTCTTTTTTCTTCTTCTTTCTTCCTTCTTCTTCCTTCTCCTTCTCCTTCTCCTTCTTCTCCTTCTTCTTCTTTCTTCTTTCTCTCTCTGTCACCCAGGCTAGAGTGGAGTGGCTGGATCATAGTTCATTGCAGCCTCGAACTCCTGGACTCAAAAGATCCTCCCACCTCAGCCT
Source organism: Homo sapiens (assembly GCF_000001405.40). Classification (NCBI taxonomy): domain Eukaryota; kingdom Metazoa; phylum Chordata; class Mammalia; order Primates; family Hominidae; genus Homo; species Homo sapiens. The sequence continues at coordinate 8,762,121 of NC_000016.10, forward strand.
CCTAAGTGACTGGGATTATAGGCGTGAGCCACTGTGCCCGACCTCCAGTTACTATTTCTTATGTCACCAGGCCCATCTCATTACATTGCCAACAAGTTATACAATAATCATGGACATTGCATGTGCACAGTCACATTGCAATGAATGCACATAGCACAGCAGGCCTGACCAAGTAAGACACCTGCCATCCTATGACCTCTGGGTCTTTCCCTCTGCATAACTCTTCCTTTGAGACTGAACTCCTGCATCCTCTGTATGCCATATCATCTCACTGGCTTCTTACAAGCACCTAGTGAAGAGTCTCCAGTTTGGCAGATGAGAAACCCAAAGCTCAGAGAGGTTAAGTGAGTTGCCCAAGGTTGCACAGCCACTTAAGCCAAAGCCAATTATCTTCATGCTGTACCCTAAGCCTGTTGAGCTGACTGCAAGGGTTTAGAAAGCTATCCTCATTTGATCCTGATACCCAATGTCCCAGATATCTTCTGTTCTTAATGTCACGCTTTCTCGAGCAAGAACATCACCCCCACGTCGTTCCTAGACCCAGACGGCTGTCAAGCTGCCAGCCAGCCCTACCCTTCTGGGAGCCATTTCCCTGCTGCTAGTGAGGGCCAGCTTGCTTCCACCCTATTCTCATGATGTGATTTCTTAGGAGCCCCACTAACAGGTCAGAGCCAGAAGGAAATGTTCCTTAAAGTCCCCTCCAAGGTTGGGCACAGTGGCTCACACTTGTAATCCCAGCACTTTGGGAGGCTGAGGCAGGCAGATCACTTGAGTCCAAGAGTTCAAGACCAGCCTGGGCAACATGGCGAAACCCTGTCTCTATAAAAAAATACAAAAAATTAGCTGGGTGCGGTGGCATGTGCCTGTAGTCCCAGCTACTTGGAAGGCTGAGGTGGGAGGATCACTTGAGTCTCGGAGGTTGAGGCTGCAGTAAGCTGATATCACGCTACTGCACTCCAACCTGAGAGAGCAAGACCCTGTAACAAAAAAAAAAAAAAAAAAGCCCTTCCAGGCAAGCCAAGGTCTCTGGGTTGTGCCAAGCATGAGCATTTTCGGGCAGAGGCTACCTGGAGTATCTGACAGAGAGTGGCATCTAAAGTCAGTAAACCTAGATCCGAGTTGTGGTTCTGCCCCTTCTTGGCTGTGTGACTTGGGGCAAGTTGCTTGACCTCTCTGGTCCTCAGTTCCCCCAACTCTACAATGAGGACAATTAACTTCCCTCACTACTTATCCTAGACCCAACTGAGTGATCGTGAAGCAGAAAAAGCAAGAGGTAGGAATCTGCCAGTTTCTAGCAGCACAAGTCAAGTCCTAAAGCTACTGGGAGAATCATCTCTGGGAACCCCTCTGCCCTTAGGGTGTCCTATACAGTGATGCTGGTTTTTGGATTTGCACTGAGTGCATTACACTGATTTTGCCCAAGACACTCTTTCTCTACTCCAAAAGTCCCTTTTTGTATTTTTAGCAGAGAAAAGGTTTCACCATGTTGGCCAGGCTGGTCTCGAACTCCTGGCCTCAAGCAATCCATCCGCCTCGGCCTCCCAAAATGCAGGGATTACAGGCGTGAGGCACTGCACTCTGCCTGTTTTTTAGCCATTCTGATGGTTAAATATATAAAGAAAGAGACTCACGGGAAGTTGCAAAAACCAGTACAAAGAGCCCCATGTACGCTTCGCTCAGTTTTCCCCAGCGGCAGTAGCATCCTATATAACGCCAATGCAATATGGCAACCAGGACACTGACCCTTTTTTAAAACATCCACAGCAATCCTAGTGGATTTCTCTAAAGGTTTAAGGAAACCGGCCATGCCCCACGCTGACAGAACGTCATCATCCTGCAACCCCATTTGGAGGCTATTTGAACACAGGGGCTATGAAAAGCACCATTTGTGGGCAGGGAGCTGGGTCAGGCCCCCAGAAGTCACCATTTGTCTCTTGCCCTTTTGCAGAGCATGTTTGTCAACAGACCCGCCCTCGGAATCCTGCCTCCGGAGAACTTTGTGGAGAAGCTCCGGCAGTCCTTGCTCTCGGTGAGTTCTGGAGAAGCAATCCCATTGTCTTCAGACGTGGTACTGGCAGGGGAAGGGAAAAGTGGAGACGCCAACAATGAAGAATAAGGTGTTGCTACAGAAATCTTTCTCTCTGAGCTTATTCTTCCATGCAGAGTATTTTAAATTTTTCTTTTAAAGGACAGAAGGGATTCTTTGTGTGCAGGACAAAAGGAGCTGGGGAAATGAATATGTGTCGCATGATAGGAGCCTTGCATATGTCATTCAATCCTGCCCCCACTTCTCGGTTTTAGTTACTACAAACGATTAAAGCCATTGGGAGCCTCAACGTCCCGCCTGGAACGTGTAGGTGTCTTAGACAGTGGCAGGTGCATCAGGAGTGGGCTTTTGCCCCCCTTCTTTCCTCTCTGCCAGCCTCAGGGCCTCCCTGGGCTTCTCCGCCACCCCTGGAAAAGCCTGAGCCCACCCTCCCAGTCCGACACCTTCCAGGACAGCCCTGGTTCTGTCTGTCCCCGGTACGGCCCCTGCGAAGATTCAGCTCCAGCCAGGGGAAGCGGGAGGACAGGAGTCATGATGAGCCTGGGCTCACGGCTATTTCCCTCCCCACAGGTGGCTCCCAAAGGGATGTCCCAGCTCATCACCATGGCCTGCGGCTCCTGCTCCAATGAAAACGCCTTAAAGACCATCTTCATGTGGTACCGGGTGAGGTTTGGGGCACACACACACACACACACACAGGCTCCCCAGCACCCAGCCACACGCTCACCCCTTGTCTGACTGTTCATTCCAATGGGCTGGAGTATTAGACATCAGTACCAGGGTTAAAATACAGGGAGGGCCACTGCTGGATGGTACTTTGAGACGGCACAGTGGGGTATGGTGCAGAGGGCTGAGGCTTTGGCATCAAAACTATGCAATGGGGGCTGGGCGCAGTCGTTCACACCTGTAATCCCAACACTCTGAGAGGCAAAGGCGGGCAGATCACTTGAGCCCAGGAGCTCGAGACCAGCCTGGGCAACATGACGAAACCCCATCTCTACTAAAAAAAAATTCAAAAATTGGCCAGGCATGGTGACGCATGCCTGTAGTCCCAACTATTCTGGAGGCTGAGGTGGAAGGATTGCTTGAGCCTGGGAGGTCAAGGCTGCAGTGAGCCATGGTTGTGCCACTGCATTTCAGCCTGGGTGACAGAGTAAGACCCTGTCTCAAAAAAAAAAAAAGAAGAAGAAAATGCTCCTTAAATTCCCCTCCAAGGTTGGGCACAGTGGCTCACACTTGTAATCCCAGCACTTCGGGAGGCTGAGGCAGGCAGATCACTTGAGTCCAAGAGTTCAAGACCAGCCTGGGCAACATGGTGAAACCCCGTCTCTATAAAATATACAAAAAATTAGCTGGGTGCGGTGGTGCCTGCCTGTTGTCCCAGCTACTTGGAAGGCTGAGGTGGGAGGATCACTTGAGCCTGGGAGGTCGAGGCTGCAGTTAGCTGATATCATGCTACTGCACTCCAACCTGAGAGACACAGCAAGAGCAAGGAGCAAGACCCTGTAAAAAAACAAAAACAGAAACGAAAACAAAAACAAAAAAAACCCTTCCAGGCAAGCCAAGGTCTCTGGGTTGTGCCTCTAGGTTATTTTATTTAAATATTTAAATTTAAATTTATTTAAATATTCTAAATTGCAGAGACAGAGTCCCACTTTGTTGCCCAGCATGGTCTCAAACTCTTGGCCTCAAGCAATCCTCCTGTCTTAGCCACCCAAAGTACTAGGATTACAGATTTGAGCCCGCACATCTGGCCTCCATTCTTCCTGGCAAAACATGCAACGCTCTCAGCAGATCTTAATCCAACAGATCTTAATCGTTGCTGATGGTGCTTAATGCATTATGTGTGTTAGTTTCTTTTGTTGCGAGCACAGTTGGTAGCCTCACGTTTCAGTACAGACCTGCAACAATTAATACATGAGATCCACTCCTGAGAAAGCACTTTCTACTTGTCTGGACTGAATATCGGTTTGGTTGGAAAGATGAAGCCCCGACTACCCCAGAGCATCTCTGAGATTTTGTTCTGTTCTATTGTTTCAGAGCAAGGAAAGAGGGCAGAGGGGCTTCTCCCAGGAGGAGCTGGAGACGTGCATGATTAACCAGGTGAGTGCAGCTGGGCTTGCACCACGTACATCTGGGGAAGCTGCACAGCCTCTCCCGGGCTGTTGCTGGCTGGCTGGCACTGTCCTCAATTAGGAAGGGCCAGGCCAGGCGCGGTGGCTCATGCCTGTAATCCCAGCACTTTGGGAGGCCAAGGCAGGCGGATCACCCAAGGTCAGGAGTTCAAGACCAGCCTGGCTAATATGGTGAAACCCCATCTCTACTAAAAAGACAAAAATTACCCGGGCATAGTGGCACATGCATGTAATCCCAGCTACTTGGGAGGCTGAGGCAGGAGAATCATTTGAACCCAGGAGGTGGAGGTTGCAGTGAGCCGAGATCACACCACTACACTCCAGCCTGGGTGACAGAGTGAGACTCCTCTCAAAACAAACAAAAAAACAAAAACAAAAACAAAAGGCCGGCTGCTGTGGTTCACGCCTGTAATCCCAGCACTTTGGGAGGCCGAGGCGGGTGGATCTCCCGAGGTCAGGAGTTCCAGACCAGCCTGGCCAATATGGCGAAACCCTGTCTCTACTAAAAATACAAAAATTAGCCAGATGTGGTGGCGGGTACCTGTAATTCCAGCTACTCGGGAGGCTGAGGCAGGAGAATCGCTTGAACCCGACGGGCGCGGAGGTTGCAGTAGGCCGAGATCTCACCACTGCACTCCAGCCTGGCGACAGAGCAAGACTCCATCTCAAAAACAAAACAAAACAAAAAAAGTACAAGAGGGTTTCTGGAATCTGTGGGAGGAGTTCTTAGGGTTTTTCCCAGAGGTCTCAGGGAATTGGTGCTCAACCAGCCTGAGACAATGCCAACCTCCTTGAGACTTGGGGGCCCCCACAGTTCCCTCTGAGGCACCTCCAGCAGTTCTGCCTGAATCAGCTGGAAACATGTTTGGATTCCCTTGCTGGGTGAAGAGTCAGAAAACAATGCAAGGAGTTGCAGCTGTGCCATTTGCTTGGGGCTGGAAAGGGACAGGGCGTCCATGCACCCCTCCTGAACCCAAGGCGCAGCTGCCATGGGAGAGTGCCCGGAGAGGGGCTCCCCTCACCCGCTTTCTAGCACCACAGACCCCTTCCAAAGGCCTGGGGGTTTTCCTGCAAGGTGCCCAGCTCGGCCCCTTGCCTTGGTCACCCTGGGATGCAGGCGTGCACCCATCAGCACCTGACCCGCCTGACACCTGAGGAGGCCTGAGTAGTAGGGAGCCAGGGGATGGGGAGGAAGTTGAAGAGCCTGTAGAAAAGGGGCTGAAAACCCAGGAGTCCCCAGCAGCTGGAGGTAGGCGGGCAGTGGGTACTGCTTGGCCACTTACAGCTGCCACAGGAGGAAAATGGGTCCAAACAGTGCAGCACTGGTGAGAAGCCAGAAGTTCAGGTCTCTATGTGAAATTTCTTAGTTTTAAATTTTGCAACTTGTTTTGAGACAGAGTCTCGCTCTTGTTGACCAGGCTGGGGTGCAGTGGCGCGAACTCGGCTCACTGCAACCTCTGTCTCCCGGGTTCAAGCGATTCTCCTGTCTCAGCCTCCCAAGTAGCTAGGATTACAGGCCCCCACCACCATGCCTGTCTAATTTTTGTATTTTTAGTAGAGACGGGGTTTCACCATGTTGGCCAGGCTGATCCCAAACTCCTGACCTCCGATGATCCGCCTGCCTCAGCCTTCCAAAGTGCTGGGATTACAGGTGTGAGCCACCACACCCAGCCTAAAATTTGTGACTTAAAAAAAAAAAAATGTAAGTATGTATGCAAATAAAACGTGTGTCTTGGATATAGACCCCATTGGTCCCATGGGTAACTTTTGCCTGAGAAGGATTCCTGGTTCTTCTGATAGATTTCTGTGTCCCTCTGGACTTGCAGGGGCAACAATACAGTTCCCCCATCCTTACAACTATGACTAATGACTGATATTTCTTGGTTTTAGGCCCCTGGCTGCCCCGACTACAGCATCCTCTCCTTCATGGGCGCGTTCCATGGGAGGACCATGGGTAAGGAGGGACCATTGCGCTCCCAAGGTGGCGTTTAGAATAGTAATAATAACGGCAACAATAGCGGCGGCTGACATTAGCAGTTTACACATATTGTCCCACTGATTGCACACAATCCCACTGCAGAGTGGGGATTATTATTCCTGCTTTGCAGATGGGGGAATCAGTGTTCAGGAAGAGGAAGAATTTCCAAGGCTATTCAGTGACAGAGCCGGGACTGGAACTCTTGACTCTGTCTTCAAAGCCTGCGCTGCATCTGTGATTAATCGCAATGCAAACACATACCCACGCACGCATGCCAATTAAGGGTTCGAGAGTCCCCCTTCAGCTTCCGGATGAGAACTGGGGTTCAGTATCAAAACATCTCATGTACTCCCCAAGTATATACACCTCCTATGCACCCAGAAAAATTAAAAATTAAACGATAAAAAGAACTGGGGTTTCACAGGCAACAGGCCTCCCTGCCCACTGACAGCCTTGCGCTGAAATGTCTATCATCTCCTTTACAAAGACGGTACTGCCTGCTTCCCCAAGCCAAGCGTCTGCTTTTCTGTTTTGCTGAACTCAGGTTGCTTAGCGACCACGCACTCTAAAGCCATTCACAAGATCGACATCCCTTCCTTTGACTGGCCCATCGCACCGTTCCCACGGCTGAAATACCCTCTGGAAGAGTTTGTGAAAGAGAACCAACAGGAGGAGGCCCGCTGTCTGGAAGAGGTAATGCTCATACCCTGCGGATCCTCCCCAACCACCAGTCCTGTTGCTCTTGCCGCCCCAAGACTTGGGGAGAAGAGAAACAGATGAAGGGTTTATCTGGGGATCTGTGCAGTGCTCCCCCAGAGGGAAGCAGGGACACAGAGGCCTTGCGTCCCAAATGTTCTATGTTGGGAGAGTTCGTGAGACACACTGTTTCTGTCACAGCATCCATCACCCAACTCTGATACCAATTTCTGTATCACTTAAGTTTCTTGGAAGACAAGAGTCAATGACTCTAAAATAAGAGAAAACAGATCAGTTGAAAGAATATGGGGCTGGGCACGGTGGCTCCGCCTGTAATCCCAGCACTTTGGGAGGCTGAGACGGGAGGATCACCTGAGGCCAGGAGTTCGAGACCAGCCTGGCCAACATGGTGAAACCCCATCTCTACTAAAAATTAGCTGGGTGTGGTGGCACATGCCTGTAATCCCAGCTACTAGGGAGGCTGAGGCACAAGAATCCCTTGGACCCGGGAGGCAGAGGTTGCAATGAGCCAAGATTGCACCACTGCACTCCAGCCTGGGTAACGGAGTGAGACTCTGTCCAAAAAAAAAAAAAAAAAAAAAAGAGAGAGAGAGAAAGAAAGAATATGGGATATCCCACAGGAAAAAATGGTTCCACAAGATCCTCTAAACCACTGGTTTTGTCTTCTCCTGAGTCTTGGGGCTTTGAGTTGCTGTGGGTCGGGGGATGCTATGGGAGAGGCTGAGGACAGGCAGCACCCCCCTACCCCCCGTTTCCACGTCATCTAACACAGCCCTCTTTAGATCCACTCAGTATATGGGGGTTCCAGGGAAGACATTGGAAGTAATCTGCAGCTGGAAAAAAATATCACTGTTTGGGTATAGATTTGAACTCAAATAAGGCTGCTGGTTTTTTTCTTAGGCACATCATCATTTTCAATCAGTTCATATTTATTGAGCACCTACTAGATGTCAAGCAAGGTGCTAGGTGCTGGGTATTCAGTGGTAAATAGAAAAGACAAGATAATGGCATCAAGTACAGCACTGTCCAATAGAAATATAATGCAAGCCACATATGTAATTATAGCTTTTCCAGTAGTCACCTTTTCTTTCATTTTTACACCCTGCCTGGAAACTGCCAAGGAGTCACATTTGCTTTGTTTTGTTTTGCTTTGTTTTTGAGATGGAGTCTAGCTCTGTTGCCCAGGCTGGAGTGCAGTGGCGCGATCTCAGCTCACTGCAAGCTCCGCCTCCTGGGTTCATGCCATTTTCCTGCCTCAGCTTCCTGAGTAGCTGGGACTACAGGCGCTTGACACCACACCCGGCTAATTTTTTGTATTTTTAATAGAGACAGGGTTTCACCGTGTTAGCCAGGATGGTCTCGATCTCCTGACCTTGTGATCCGCCCGCCTCGGCCTCCCAAAGTGCTGGGATTACAGGTGTGAGCCACCGCGCCGGCCTTCTTTTCTTTTGTTTTGTTTGAGACAGGGTCTCACTCTGTCACCCAGGCTGGAGTGCAGTGGTGCAATCACAGCTCACTGCAGTCTCGACCTCTCTGGGCTCAGGTGATCCTCCCACCTCAGCTTCTTGAGTAGTTGGAACTAAGGCACATGACACCACCACACCTGGCTAATTTTTGTATTTTTTGCAGAAACAGGTTTTGCCGTGTTGCCCAGGTTGGTCTCAAACTCCTGGGCCCAAGTGGTCTGCCCACTTCGGCTTCCCAAATTGCTGGGATTACAGGTGTGAGCCACCGTGCGTGGCCAGGAGTCACGTTTTTTAAAATTACAAAGAAATAGGTGAAATTCATTTTCAGAGCATTTTATTGAACCGAATATATTCAAAATATTATCACGTAAATGTGTAATTAGTATTTTTAAACAATGTGATTTTTATATTCCTTTTTAAAAATTCCTTTATTTTAAAAATTCATTTATTTAGGTCTAAACAAACTAAGATAGTCCTTTTCTTCGTATTCAGTTTTTGAAACACTGTGTGTATTTTACACTTACAGCACAATGCTCTAAAAACAAAGAAAAACCGGGCGCGGTGGCTCATGCCTGTAACTGCGACACTTTGGGAGGTTGAGGCGGGCAGATCACCTGAGGTCAGGAGTTCAAGAGCAGCCTGACTAACATGGAGAAACCCCATCTCTACTAAAAATACAAAATTAGCCGGGCATGGTGGTGCATGCCTGTAATCCCAGCTACTCCAGAGGCCGAAGCAGGAGAATCACTTGAACCCGGGAGGTGGTGGTTGCGGTGAGCTGAGATTGCGCTATTGCACTCCAGCCTGGGCAACAAGAGTAAAACTCCATCTCAAAAAAAAAAAAAAGAAAACCAAGAAAAGTATCTCAGAGCTTCCTTGGGGTGACTGGTGGAGACCAAGGTCAAAATCATATCACCCAAACAGAGGCTTTTTCTTAATTGTACATAATAAAGAAAGCTTTCACTTGTTAGTCTATCTAGGTGTACGGTTTAGGGTTTTTCTTTCTTTTTTTTTTTTTTTTGAGACAGAGTTTCACTCTCTTGCCCAGGCTGGGGTGCAGTGGCACGATATCTCGGCTCATTGCAACTTCTACCTCCTGGGTTCAAGCGATTCTCGTGCCTCAGCCACTGGAGTAGCTGGGAGTACAGGCGTGAGCCACCATGCCCAACTAATTTTTGTATTTTTAGTAGAGATGGGGTTTCACCATGGTAGCCAGGCTGGTCTGGAACTCCTGACCTCAGGTGATCTGCTCGCCTTAGCCTCCCAAAGTGCTAGGATTACAGGTGTGAGCCACCATGCCCAGCCTCTTTCTTTTTAACAAAGACAGGATCTTGCTGTGTTGCACAGGCTGGAGTGCAGTGGTGTGGTCATAGCTCACTGCGATCTCACAGTCCTGGTTCAAGGGGTCCTCCCACCTCAGCCTCTCAAGTAGCTGAGACTACAGGCACGCAGCCACCATGCCCAGCTAATTTCTAAATGTTTTGCAGACATGAACCGCGCTATGTTGCACAGGCTGGTCTCAAACTCCTGGCCTCAAGGTATCCTCCTGCCTCAGCCACCCAAAGTGCTGGGATTGCAGGTGTGAGCCACCACACCTGGCCCTTAGAACAGTTTTTTAACCGAGGATATATCTCCGATTCTGCCCCAAAAGGATTCTCACACCAATCATAGCAATAATACTGTAAGAATAGGAACAATAATAATCAATAATAATATAGTCGTGCTAATCGTAATAGTAGCAGCCACCACTTTATGTGTGCCAGACTCTGCTGTATTTTCTCTCTGTCTCTGTGTGTGTGTGTGTGTGTGTGTGTGTGTGTGTGTGTGTGTGTGTGTGTGTGAATGCTCTCACCTTTATTTCTCTCAATATACCCGTGATGTAGCTATTTCCCACATAACAAGGTTAAGTGACAGGTGCATGTTCCATGTAAAACAGAGGCAGAACCACAGCTAAAACATCTGGCCCAGCAATCAACTCATAGTGCTATATTTTCTCATTCAGTCCTCTCCACGACCCTGGAAGGTGGATTCTGTCAGTGTGCCCATACAACACATCAGGAAAGTGAGGCTTCTGAAGCTAAATTACTTGCCCCAATTTATTAGTTTGTATCCACCCAGGTGCTAGCACCGATTTCAAGTAGGATACATTCCCATCCACACACATAGCTTCTAACAGAGGCTTCACTGGTCTTAGGAAATGCACACAAACACATTTCCAATAAAATTGCATGGGGCTCATCGAACCCCAGATTCCCACCCACGGATACTGGTCACAAGCCTCTGCCATCGGTGGTCACTTTCCCCTTTGGGATCCAGGTGGAGGATCTGATTGTGAAATATCGGAAAAAGAAGAAGACGGTGGCCGGGATCATCGTGGAGCCCATCCAGTCCGAGGGTGGAGACAACCACGCATCCGATGACTTCTTTCGGAAGCTGAGAGACATCGCCAGGAAGGTCAGTGGACAGGGCCGAGGTTGGATGGAGCCATTGGGTTTTCTGGGTTGAGTTCCCCGAGTAACGGGCCAGCAGCACCTCTGCCTTGGAGCTTCTGTCAATCTCCAGACTTGCAGAGGCTGTCTGTCAGCATCAGGGGTGGAGAAGTTGGGGTTGGTGAAAGAATGGGGATTCTTCCCTAAAACTATACACACACACACACACACACACACACACACACACACACACACATATATATATATTTTTTTTTTTGAGACAGAGTCTCACTCTGTTACCCAGGCTGGAGTGCAGTGGTGCAATCTCAGCTCACTGCAACCCCTACCTCCCAGGTTCAAGTGATTCTCCTACCTCAGCCTCCCGAGTAGCTGGGACTACAGGCACACGTCACCATACCCAACTAATTTTTGTATTTCTAACAGAGACGAGATTTCGCCATGTTGGCCAGGCTGGTCTTGAACTCCTGACCTCAGGTGATCTGCACACCTCAGCCTCCCAAAGTGCTGGGATTACAGGCCTGAGCCACCACACTTGGCCTTAAAATCTTTTTAAAAAACCTTTTTGGATACATAATAGTTGCAGTGCGTAATGATCAAATCTGGGTAATTGGATATCCATCACCTAAAATATTTATCATCTCTTTGTATTGGGAATATTCCAAATCCACTCCTATTTTGAACTATGCAATAAATTATTAACTAAAATCACCCTATTGTGCTACTGGACACTAGATCTTATTCTTCTATCTAACTGTACTTTTGTATCCATTAACCAACCCCTATTTATCTCCACCTCCCCATTAGCCTTGCCAGCCTCTGATAGGCGTCATTCGACTCTATTTCTTCATAAGGGAAGTGTTTTTAGTTCCCACCTGAGTGAGAACATGCAATATTTGTGTATGTGTGGCTTATGTCACTTAACATAATGTCCTGTAGTTCCATCCACGTCATTGCTAATGACATAATTTCATTCTTTTTATGGCTGAATAGTATTTCTTTGTGTATATGTACCATATTTTCTTTTTCTTTTTTTTTGAGACAGTCTCACTCTGTTGCCCAGGCTGGAGTGCAGTGGCACGATCTTGGCTCACTGTAACCTCTGCCTCCTGGGTCCAAGTGATTCTCCTGCCTCAGTCTCCCAAGTAGCTGAGATTACAGGTGCACGACACCATGCCCAGCTAATTTTTGTATTTTCAGTAGAGACGGGGTTTCGCCATGTTGGCCAGGCTGATTGGCTCAGACTCCTGGCCTTGGGTGATTTGCCCGCCTCAGCCTCCCAAAGTGCTGGAATTACAGGTGAGAGCCACCGCGCCTTGCCGAGTGTGTATATGTACCATATTTACTTTATCCATTCATCCATCGATGGACAGATTGATTCTGTATCTCGGCTATTGTGAACAGTGCTGCAATAAACATGGGAGTGCAGGTATCTCTTTGACACACTGATTTGCTTTCTTTATATTGTGTGTTTGTTTTAATGTCTTGTGCATATATAACTGGCAATCAAACCGATAAGTTCACAGATAAAAGTTATAAGACGTGAGTTGACTTAACACAGATGCTGAGTTAGAAATAGCCTTGGTGACAAGCAGAACATGGCAGCTGAAGTTTGAGAAGCACATTCGAGGCCTCACTGTTGGACACAGCTCCCTCTGACGAGGTCGAGACCCGAGACTGAAGCCAGATGACATACCGCTCTGTGTTGGTGCAGGGAGTATTTAATGTTCTGGGTTTTTTTGGTCCAGCTTAGCAGTTTTAGGAAACACTCAGATTCAGCTCTGGTTGGAACTGCTCAGCTTAAGTGTTTTGATTAGTTTTTTTTGTGCACAGCTCAAGAACATGGGGCTGGTTTGCTCTTCAGAAAACAAGCACGATGTGTGTGGACCCAGGGTTTGGCAGTTAGCTGGCTATGGAGGGCATGAATTTCTGGCCTCCCACGGGTGTTTATTTCTCCCTCCTCTCTCTTCTCCGGCCAGCATGGCTGCGCCTTCTTGGTGGACGAGGTCCAGACCGGAGGAGGCTGCACGGGCAAGTTCTGGGCCCATGAGCACTGGGGCCTGGATGACCCAGCAGACGTGATGACCTTCAGCAAGAAGATGATGACTGGGGGCTTCTTCCACAAGGAGGAGTTCAGGCCTAATGCTGTGAGTTGGAGCCAACCTTCTCTCTACATCCAGGGCAGAGAAGGGAGCATCCTCTTCTCCTAACTGTTCCTTTCTCACCATCGAGGAGCTGGGTGGGCACTTACTGGGTCGCAGGTTTTCTAAGTCCCAGTTCTTATCAATGCAATTAGCAGTGGTGTGCCCTCCCAGCTCTCTCTGTAAGGCCAACTCTGGAACAGTCCACCATCAGCCTTTTCCTGTTTTCTCTCTGTGTGCACACACAATAATATCATCGACAGCTGCCGCAGCAGACTGAGCATTTGCTATGTGCCTAGTTCTAAGTATTTCTCATATACTTTTAATCCTGAGAACAATCTAACCAAGTAGCTGTTATTTTTATCCTCATTTGACTAATGAGGAATCAGGCACAGAGAGGTTAAGTAATTTGTCAAAGGTCACACAGCCTGTTAAGTGACAAAGCCAGGATTCCAACCCAGAGCCCATACTCTTACCCACTACACTGTGTACTGCCATGTGTGCATACAGATTTACACACACACACACACACAGCCATCAGGGGCCAACGTCCTTTCACCATTCCTACATGTAGTTTCTACCCTCAAGGTTGCCTCATGGTCCAAAATGGCTTCTGATGCTCCAGCCATCACATCTCAATTCTAGGCAGTAGGAAAGAAAAAGAAGGGAAGGACAAAGTGGCCCCCTTCTTGTCTTTAGCAGCCTTTCTAGAAATCTCACATAATATGTCTATTTCCAATACTTGACTAAGACCCAGTCACATGGCCACTTCTAGCCATAAGGGAGGCTGGGAAGGGTGTTTCAGTTAGCCGCATGGCCACCCTAAATCATTCATGGAGGGGTAAAGTGGATGATCTTTGAGGGTCACTGCCAGCAATCCAGTCCCAACTCCATCTGTAAGTCACGTTTGCCTTAGACAAATCACTTAGCCTCCCAGAACCTCAGCTTCCTCCTGTATAAAATGAGGGTTATAGGAGTTAAGGAACTGACTGTCTTGGTTTCCTGGGACTGAGGGATTTCCCAGTGCATGGGACGATTTGGTCCTCCCCATAGCAGTTCCTACATGCAGGGCTGCTGTTGGAAGAATTCAGCAAGATTGGGTGTGTTCTCCTGCTAGCCTCTGGTAGAGAAGAATTCAGCGAGATTGGGTGTGTTCCCCTGCCAGCCTCTGGTAGATGCCCACTAGATTAGTTTCTCTCCTCTTCAAGAGAGGAGGCGGGGCGCCTGGGGTAAGTGACTCCTGCAGGGTGTGCATGTGTGTGAAGCCTTCCAACACCCGTTCCTCATTCCAGCCCTACCGGATCTTCAACACCTGGCTGGGGGACCCGTCCAAGAACCTGTTGCTGGCTGAGGTCATCAACATCATCAAGCGGGAGGACCTGCTAAATAATGCAGCCCATGCCGGGAAGGCCCTGCTCACAGGACTGCTGGACCTCCAGGTAACACCCCCTCCCCTGCCCCGCCCCCACCACCCATGGCTCCCCGCAGCAGCCTCCGGGGCAACACTGGAGCTCTTCGGCATGGTGTTGTGCCTGCTGTTCCAGCAGTTCGTAACGGGCTGTGCTGCTCCTAGCCTTGGGGGCTTTGCACATGCTGTGTCCTCTGCAGGGGATGCCTCCCTATCCCTCCATCCCATTCCAACCCCTATTCCTGAACTCCTGGTTTTCTTTGTTGTTGTTTTTTTTAATTTATTTTTTATTTTTTTAATATTGAGACATGGTCAAGCTCTGTTAGCCAGTCCGGCCTTGAACTCCTGGCCTCAAACGATCCTTCCACCTCAGCCTCCCAAAGTGCTGGGCAGCGCCTGCCGGCACTGGTTATCTTTCTTATTTATTTTATTTTATTTTATTTGTCTATTTATTTTTTGAGACCAAGTCTTGCTTTGTACCCAGGCTGGAGTGCAGTGGCGCAATCTCAGCTCACCGCAACCGCTGCCTCCTGGGTTCAGGAGATTCTCCGGCCTCAGCCTCCCAAGTAGCTGGGATTACGGGCATGTGCCGTTATGCCCTACTAATTTTTTTGTATTTTGAATAGAGACAGGGTTTCACCATGTTGGCCAGGCTGGTCTCGAACCCCCGACCTCAGGTGATCCGCTTGCCTCAGCCTCCCAAAGTGCTGGGATTTCACGAGCATGGGCCACCGTGCCCGGCCCTGGTTATCTTTTGACACCAATTTCAGACATCCCCCCTTTGAGAGTCCCCCAAGCACTCCCTCTCTCACCCCCTCTAGTGTGTTCATTATTCCCGCCTTTGTGCAACCTGTTGCATACTTACCACTCGGCAGCACTGCCCTCCCCTGCTGGAGCTGGATTACTCTCTACCCTCAAGGTTTCGTCATGGGCCAAAATGGCTCCTGGAGCTCCAGCCATCGCATCTCAATTCCAGGCAATAGGAAGGAAAAAGAAGGGAAGGACAGAGTGGCCCCCTTCTTGTCTTTAGCAGCCTTCCCAGAAATCTCACATAATACTTCTAACACTTGATTAAGAGCTGGTCACGTGGTCACTCCTAACCGTAAGGACGTGTGGGGATGTGTGTGTGTGAGTGTGGCAGGCAGGCCTAAAGGGGTGTCTAAATGGAAGAGACTTTAATCTAAACCATCCCAGGGCCACACTCTGTGGGAGAGGGAGGGGTGTGTTCAAACTGCCAGCTCCCCAGCAATTGACAAGTGCAAGGAACATGCTAGAGTAAGTGCTGGAAGGACTTCTGAGCCTCAGTTTCCTTATCTGTGTAGACCAAAGTGAGCCCTTCTTCACTGGCAGGGGATTCAAGAATGTGCCCACTGCCAGGCACAGGGGCTCATGCCTGTAACCCCAGTACTTAGGGAGGCAGAAGCAGGAGGATTGCCTTCAGCTCAACTGAGTTTGAGACCAGCCCGGGCAACATGGTGAGAACCCATACTCCACAAAAAGAAACAAATTGTGCACATAAGTGTCTAACACGGTGCCCGGCTCTGTCACCCCCAGAATAGGACCATGTCTCCAGTTTCTACCAATGAGCTGCCGTGAAATAAGACTTGCTCCCCCAACTCAGCCCCCAGTACCCTGAAATTATTTGGGGTTTTCCAAGCCCTTGTTTGCTGTCCTTCATATGGACAGCAGAGAGTAAGGTGAAATCAAGGTCCTCCAGACTAGGCACCTGCATTTGTTTCCTTGTCTGCTGTAAAAAATCACCACAAACTGTGTGGGTTAAAACAAGAATTTATTCTCTCACAGTTTGGAGGCCAGGGTCTGAAATCAAGGTTTCAGCAGAGTTGGCTCCTTCTCGAGGCTCTGGGGGAGAATCTGTTCCATGCCCCTCTCCACCTTCTCGTGGCTGCCGGGAATCCTTCATGTTCCTTGACGTGTGGAGGCTTCACTCTGCTTCTGGCGTCACTTGGTGTTCTCCCCACTGTGCCTGTGTCTGTCTCCAGATTGTCTTCTTCTTATAAAGATACCAGTCATTGAGCCGGGCGCTGTGGCTCACACCTGTAATCCCAGCACTTTGGGAGGCCAAGGCAGGTGGATCACTTGAGGTCAGGAGTTCGAAACCAGCCTGGCCTACATTGTGAAACCAGTTTCTACTAAAACTACAAAAAAAAGTTAGCCAGGTGTGATGGCAGGTGCCTGTAATCCCAGGTATTTAGGAGGCTGAAGCACAAGAATCTTTGAACCTGGGAGGCAGAGGATGCAGTGAGCCGAGATAGTGCCACTGCACTCCAGCCAGGGCAACAGAGTGAGACTCCATCTCAAAAAAAAAAAACAAAAAACAAAAAACAGTCATTGCATTAGGGGCCATTCTAATGCAGGAAGACTTCATTTTAACCTAACTAATTATTTCTGCGAAGACCTTATTTCCAAATTAGGTCCTAGTCATAGGTTCCAGGTAAACATGAATTTAGGGGGCAGTGGGAGGAAACTATTCAATCCAGTACAGCTCCCAGTCTCAAAGCCCTGAGGGAGGACAGGCATTTCTTCTTCCAGAAGAACCACCTTTCTAGAAGAGCTGACGATGGAGATGGCTAACATCTGTGGAGCATCCACCAAGTGCCCAGCCCCAGGCTTAGGACTTAACATGTGAACCTTATCGTGCTAAAGTCTCACCACGGCCCCAGTGGGGTCAACAGCATTTAAATCCTTCAGTTTATAGCAGGGTAAACAGAGGCACTTGAGTGGCCCAAGGTTATACAGTGAGAGGGACAGAGCTGGGCTTGGTTGTTGTTGCTGGTGGTGGTGGTGGTGGTTTTTTTCCTCCACACAACACACATGTGCACAGCTGGGCTTTGAACCCAGGCCTGAATGTCCCCAGAGCTCTTAACCCCCTGGAGGTCCTGCCAGTCCATGCAGAGGCCGAGGCTGGACCATGGGAGGCCTTTGACGAAGCACAGCCATTAAGCCCAGCTGGTACAC
Source organism: Homo sapiens (assembly GCF_000001405.40). NCBI lineage: Eukaryota > Metazoa > Chordata > Mammalia > Primates > Hominidae > Homo > Homo sapiens. The sequence goes on from NC_000016.10 coordinate 8,779,436, forward strand.
AGGTGATGGGCTTTGACGCCAGCCTTGTCTCCTCCCACTACAGGCCCGGTACCCCCAGTTCATCAGCAGGGTGAGAGGACGAGGCACCTTTTGCTCCTTCGATACTCCCGATGATTCCATACGGAATAAGCTCATTTTAATTGCCAGAAACAAAGGTAAGGGGTCAGGAGTGGCTGCTGAGTTTCATGAGCATCCAGTATCTCCTGCTGTAGCTGCCACATGTTGCTAGGTACTCAGCAATATTTTGTGTGGGGGGCAGGTGGTACACAGGTCTGAAAAGAGCCTGAATGCTCTTTCTCCAAAGAAGAGAACATTACAAATGGGATTTCTTTATCCATTTATTTACTCAACAAGCGTTCGCTGAGGAGGTGAGTTGTAAGTGGACACTGGAGACAGTTACAGTGATGATGAAGACCATCAGAGCCCCTTCCTTCAGGAAGCATGCAGTGTAGCAGGAAGGCATGGCTTTACACATGGCATTTCACAACCAATCCATTGCAATTTTAAGTCCTGGGAAGGAGAAAACGCAGCTAAGAGAGCAGATAGCTGCAGCAGTTGGTGAGGGTAGGAAATCAGGGCAGGCTCCCTTGAGGAAGTAGCATTTTACCCTAAGTCTTGACAAACAGGGATTGGCTGGGTGAAGAAGGTAAGGAAGAGCATTCTGGGCGGAGGGAAGGGTGCATGCGATGGCCTGAGGTGGGATGGAGCTTACAGAGGTGGTAAAAGGGAAAGAAGGGGGCGTGAAGGCGAACGGTTGGGAGGGGATGAAGCTGGGGGAGGAGAGGCCAGGCCCGGGTCGCATGGGCCTGCAGATCAGGCTTAGCACTCCAGACTTCATCCTAGGAGCTGTGGGAAGCCACTGAGGACATGTGTGGCAGGGGTAAGGGCAGACGCTGTGGTGAGATCAGAGCACGTACTCTATGTCAGGCACATTGTCAGTTCTTCTTGTGCCATCTTACAGAATCCTTGCAGCAGCCTCAGAAGGGCAGGGATAATCAACCTCCATTTTAAAAATGAGAAAACGTGGTCTCAAAGGCATAAACAGGCCGGGTGCAGTAGCTCACGCCTGTAATCCCAGCACTTTGGGAGGCCGACGTGGGCAGATCAGCTGAAGTCAGGAGTTCGAGACCAGCCTGGCCAACGGGGCAAAACCTCATCTCTACTGAAAATACAAAAATTAGCTGGCCGTGGTGGCGGCACCTGTGATCCCAGCTACTTGGGAGACTGAGGCAGGAGAATGGCTTGAACCTGGGAGGTGGAGGTTGCAGTGAGTGAGACTGGGTTGCCACTGCACCCCAGCCTGGGTGACAGCGCGAGACTCCATCTCTAAAAAAAAAAAAAAAAAAGGCATAAACAACCTCGACAAGGAAAGGACACCAGCTGTAACTGTGAAGTCACCCTTTAAAATAAGCAGAGCCTGTCCCTCCTCCGTAATAGCTCAGCACCTCACACATGCTTCCGACTCAGCCTGTGCTTTTGCAACTTATTTGCTTACCTATTTTCTTTTCCCACTCCTCCATGACTTTGTGGAAGGCAAGGACTTTATCTCAGGATTTCTCTATCACCAGACCTAGCTTGGGGCAGCAAAGCAGGCACTCAAAGGAGAGAGGGAGGGAGGAAGGGAAAAAGGAAGTGTGGAGGGAAGGAAAGGAAGAAGAGAATGATGGAGGAGATGAATGAGGGGAGAGAGAAAGGAAATGAAGACTGGATGGGTGGGTGGTAGGAAGGAAGCCCGGGCTTCCATGATGGAGGATGATGGATGGATGGATGGATGGATGGATGAGCGTTGCCAACAGGCATCACTTTCCCCCCAGCTCTCCCAGCATGTGACTTTGAGAAACCACGCTCCTCACCTACCTCCTGCCTCTTTCAGGTGTGGTGTTGGGTGGCTGTGGTGACAAATCCATTCGTTTCCGTCCCACGCTGGTCTTCAGGGATCACCACGCTCACCTGTTCCTCAATATTTTCAGTGACATCTTAGCAGACTTCAAGTAAAGAAGCCATTTCCACTACAGTGAGAAAGCCCGGATCCCAACAGTTGTCAAATTGATTAGTTTGCCTAATTCATGTTTTCACTTAAAAGTATCAGAGGTGAATGCACAGTGAAGGGTGATTTGTGGGGAGGGAGCATTTTTGGTGGTCTTGGGGGAGGGGAGGGGAGGGAAGGGCTGGTGTTGATTTTCCTCCCTGCAGAGCCAATGGTGCACATTGGTTTAAGCCCAGAGATCCTGCTTGAGCCCTGGACTCATCTTGGGAAGGGCCATGGGAGGTCCTGGCTAGAGTTCTGCCCAACCTTGACCAACCCCAGCAATTTTTCCAAAAGCCAGTCAAGGGCATTACATTTGTTCCTGGGACTGGCAGCTGGGCCTCCTGGGTGCCAGTCCATCTCAAGTGCCATATTCTGTGATCACGGATGTTGGCTCCCCCTCGCCCTATGCAAGCAAACACACTCTCACCTCCTCTCCCAGCCTCCCGGAGCTCTGAGCACGCCCCACGCATGGTGCAGGAGGGACTGGACAGATCTGAGGAAGGCCGTAAAATGGGGACAGGAGGATTCAGCTCAGGAGTAAGGGAAGAGGTCCTCTGGCCCCCTGAAGATGAGAATCACCCCTCTCAGTGCACCTGGGGATCCCCCTAAACTGTGAATTCTGCCCTGGACAGGGCTTTGCCCTTGGAGGATCCCCAGGTGGCCTTACCCGTGATTCTTACTCGGCATCCTCCATTCCCCAAACTCCCTCCTCCCTGTTAAATGTCAACCTAGACCTGGACCTGGGTGGGAGGAAACTGTAGCCTGAGTGTCCACAGGGACACACGTGAGCCACAGGGCTAGAAGCACAGGCCCGTCACCCCAGGAGGAAAAGCCCAGGGTCTGGGGCAGCAGAGCCATCGCATCATGTTTCCCAGGGCAACTTGAGGTCTGACTTTTGGCTCCCTCGCCCTAAGAGGCTCTTCCTCTCTTTTGCTCATCCACCTTCACACCACTTGTGAGCTGACCCCCAGGAACAGCTTGGCTGTTCCACCAGAGCAGAGGGAATCATTGCTGGACTGGATTTCTTCTGGAGGGAAGCACCATGAATTAAAGGTGCCAGAGCTCCATGCATGGAAAAGTGGCCTGTTGGTTCAACGTGGTTTCCTTGTACTTGATCCTCCTGAAATGAGAGATTTTCCTGAGATGACTGAGTATGGAGATTACCAGGCAGATGATACCGAAATGCTTAAAGGGGCTGTGGCTGAGGCTGTAGCATCTCTGCTGGAGGTGAGACACTCTGGGAACTGATTTGACCTCGAATGCTCCTAAAAGAGAACTTGATAGCCTGACAGCAGAGAAGTATTATTTGGTGGGGAGTCTGAGAAAGCCTGGCTTGTATTATCTGTCCAAAAGGAAGCCTCTTCATCTCCCGGTGCCTTGGTTGACTATTTTGGAAATAGGCATATCAAGGTTCCTGATTCAGCACTTTGCTCTTTTAATAACAAATCGTCCAAAGATCTCAAAGTAAGGGTTTTTTTTTTTAGCTTCCACTCTTCCGCAGACTTGGTCATCGACCTATTTTTGTTGAAGAATGAAAGGCAATGACAAGTTTAACATATACAAATTCGTGAATTCTTGTTCATTTTGCATTCCTGCAGTCAGTGCTAATCCGTCGTTCTTAATCAGGAGTTCTGCCAGGTTTAAGGTCACCTGCACTCCCAGCCAAGTGGTGATGTATGCCTCCCACTCTCTGCAAGGTTTTCCTCATTTTTATATTCATTTATTCATCATTCATTCATTCACCTAACTTTCATTAAATAGCTGCACCATCCCAGGCCCTGTGCGGAGCATCGGGAATACAAAGATGAGATAAAACATTGTCCCTGCCCCCGGGGGCTCACATGCCACTGGAAACAACAGACTCTTAAACTAACAATTCAAGCAGGCGCCAAGTGCTATGACAGAGGTGTGAATAAAAGCATCAGGAAATCGGATGGAGAACCACCATTCACCCAAGGGTCAGAGGAGGTTTCAAAGAAAAGGTGTCATTGGAGCAGTGTTTTGCAGAATGAGCCAGAGTTCACCAAGCAGGCAAGGCAAGGAAGGGTGTTGCAGAGAGGGAACAGCATATGCAAAGGCGTATCAGTTCATGGCATCACATCTTTCACTGGGGAAGCCAGTTTCCACAGGCAGCATCCCAAGGTTCAATAAGGCCTTATTTAACAAGCAAGCAAAATGCAAACCAAACCATTATTCATTTATTGGCTTAAGTATGCTTTCTCCTGAAAACTTTAGCATTGGGTGCAAATATTCAGTATGGTTCTCGGAGTCCAAAGGGTTTTAAGCCAGGGCACAACCAGAAAAGTGGCTCTCTTTGGTAGGGAGAGGGGCTCCAATATTTCGTTCTCTCCCCATGGGGCACTGACAGAGAAATGAAATAGTTTTATCTGGAAAATTCCAGAGCTATTATTTACTCCTTACCAAGGGAAGTTACTTCTTGTAAAAACTTTTAAGCCATTTATCAACAAGTTCTTGTTGACTCAGGGCATAATGAGTTCCTGAGACATGCTCTTTTGGGGGCTGGGGCTTTAGCTAGAAGAATTTCAAGGAAAAGAATTCTCAGCAGAGCTCAAGATTGTAGAAACTCAGCAGAAGCTGGTAAAAACATGGGGAGCCCGGAGGACAGGCTGCTGTCCAGGGCAGAGGCCATGAAGAAGTGCTTCCGTGGCCGACAGTCTGGAAATGAATCCATCATACATTAGTGCCATAGAGTTTAGTAACCGTCCAGCAAGTGTCATCACTTTTACAGAAAACAAGGTCCAGTAATAGCAAGTCTTAGTACATCCTCACTTTTATTATAAATGGGTGTTTTTTCATAATTTTTACTGACGCTCAGTAACCATGCAAAATTGTGTATAGCATTAATGTATCTACATACCTACACCTATCTATATATAAGCTCATGGTAGAAAACCATAGCTAAGTAGCATCGCAGACTTAAGCGTACAAAGTGATCTTGTTCACAAGTAATCTGTTGACAGTGCCAATAAATGATAAAAAAAAAATTAACATGTCACAATGTAACGGATGACCATATGCACAATTCCATGAATTAAATCTGTTTCCTGTGTTAGTCAGTATTCTTAAATAAAATTTATAATTGAAACATGAGTGAATGTGGACTTTTTTGGTGGAAATGGTCTTGTTAAATAATTAGGTGACAAGTACTTATTAAATGCCTGTTATATACCTCTTAGGGATGTCTTGGGGAACACTCTACATGCATAACTCTGCCTTGGGATCAGGAAGCACTGTAAGGCCATGCATTTCATTAAGTAAATCGAGGACATGCTATGTGACAGGGACACAAGGATGGACAACATGTGGTCCGTACTCGCAGCTCACATTCTTTTTTTTTTTTTTTTTGAGACAAGAGTCTAGTTCTTTCACCCAGGCTGGAGTGCAGTGACATGATCTCGGCTCACTGTGACCTCTGCCTCCCAGGTTCAAGCTGCCTCAGCCTCCCGAGTAGCTGGGATTACAGGCGCTCGCCACCGCGCCCAGCTAATTTTTGTATTTTTAGTAGAGACGAGGTTTCACTGTCTTGGCCAGGCTGGTCTCGAACTCCTGACCCTGTGATCCGCCCACCTCAGCCTCCCAAAGTGCTGGGATTACAGGCGTGAGCCACCACGCCCGGCCCCCCTTTTTTTTTTTTTTGGATGGAGTTTTGCTCGTTGCCCAGGCTGGAGTGAAATGGCACGATCTCGGCTCACTGCAACCTCCGCCTCCCAGGTTCAAGCAATTCTCTTGCCTCAGCCTCCCAAGTAGCTGGGATTACAGGCACCTGCCACCAGGCCCAGCTAATTTTTTGTATTTTTAGTAAATACAGGTTTCACCATGCTGGTCAGGCTGGTCTCGAACTCCTGACCTCAGGTGATCCGCCCACCTCAACCTCCCAAAGTGCTGGGATTACAGACGTGAGCCACTGCGCCTGGCCTCGCAGCTCACATTCTAGCAAGGTAAAGAAAAATAAAAAATAAAAATAAAAAAATAACCAAAAAAAAAAAAAACAGTGTAAGGAGCAGGACGTGGGAAAACACTGGATGCAGCAGAGGCACAAAGGCTGGGCCCCTCACATCAGTCAGGGTGGCAGTTAAGCCCCTGAGTTTCATCTTCAAGGCTGAGCAAAAGCTGCTCCAGAGTGATGGAAGGCATTCCACAAGAGAAGAGGTCCACGAAGGCACAGAGACAGGGCGACAGCAGGCGTCTATGAAAAGTTCAGTATCACTAGATCACAAAGAGTAGGAGACTAGAAGAGCCCAGAAAACAGGCAGGAGCTGGGCCCCTCGAGAGCCTTCTGTGCCACATGAGGGGCGTGGGCTTTCCATGCTGGTGATGGAGCCGCCAGAGGCTTGATGCAAGGGAGCAAACCGAGGGGTGTTTTAGAAAGATTGTCCTGGCTGGACGTGGTGGCTCACACCTATAATCCTAGCACTTTAGGAGGCTGAGCCAGGAGAATCACTTGAAGCTGGGAGGCGGAGGTTAAGATGAGCCAAGATCACGCCACTGTACTCCAGCCTGGGCGACAGAGTGAGACCCCGTTTCAAAAAATATATATAGAAAGGTTGTCCTGAGTGTTCACGGTGAAGAACAGGGAGGCAGGGAGGCCAGTTAGGAGTCTATTGCAGCCACGCTCACCTGGTGGCCTGAATGAATTAGGAAAATAATGGGGACGGAGAGAGAGAAAAGTAGAGAATCCAAAGCATCCGGGACGGTGATTCTCAACGCTGGACGCGCTTAGGAATCACCCGAAAGAGCTTTTTGAAAAGTGCCACTGGCCAGGCACAGTGGATCCCACCTGTAATCCCAGCACTTCAGCAGGCCGAAGTGGGCAGATCACCCAGCTAATTTTTTTGTATTTTTAGTAGAGATGCGGTTTCGCCATGTTGGCCAGGCTGGTCTCGAACTCCTAACCTCAGGTGATCCTCCCACCTTGGCCTCCCAAAGTGCTGGGATTACAGGCGGGAGCCACCGTGCCTGGCCATCAAAGGGTTACTGACCTTGAAGTTCCGGTGCCTTCAACTCACCTACCTTAGGAATGTGCATGTCGGAGCTCACACTCAACGCCGACCAGGTCAAGTTGACCTTCCAAGGCTGATGGCCAGGCTGGCCGAGAGAAAGTTCCTTGAGCGATTGACAGTTCCTACCCTCAGCTAGTCCTGAGTTGACTGCACACAAGTGCACATACACTCACATCTGTCCACATGCTAATATTACAGCATCCTTCCACATCAGTGTGTATCAAATCCTAACTTTCAAGTTGTGTGATTGGGAGCAGATTCCCTTAACCTCTCCAAGCTTCAATTTCCTCATCTTAAAAACAGGCATACAAGACTGGGTGTGGTAGCTCATGCCTGTAATCCCAGCACTTCAGGAGGCCAAAGCGGGTGAATTCGCCTGAGCTCAGGAGTTTGAGACCAGCTTGGGCAACACAGCAAGACCCTGTCTCTACTAAGAATAAAATTTTAAAATTTTTATTGGCATGGTGGCATGTGCCTATAATTCCAGCTACTTGGGAGGCTGGGGTGGGAGGATTGCCTGAGCCCAAGAGATTGAGGCTGCAGTGAACTATGATTGCACCACTGCACTCCAGCCTGGGCGACAGAGTGAGACCTTGTCTCGAAACAAAAAAAAGTATACAAATAGTAAGTCTTCACTTAATGTCACAGATAGGTTCTTGGAAATGGATGGCAGGTCCTCGAAAACATCATTTCATTCAAAGTTGTCTTGTTATAACATTGTTTCTTTCAACATCTTACTATTATGATGAGGAAAAAATATTGGTTTCATTGTATGTCGTTTAACTTATAATCAGTTTCCCAAAACTTACTGATGACATTAAATGAGGATTTACTGTACCTACCTCACCCGTCTGTTGTAAAAATTATAAAGCACTGGCCGGGCATAGTGGCTCACTCCCATAATCCCAGCACTTGGGGAGGCCGAGGCGGGCAGATCACTTGAGCCAGGAGTTTGAGACCAGCCTGACCAACATGGTGAAACCCCGTCTCTACTAAAAACATATAAATTAGCCAGGTGTGGTGGCACATGCCTGTAGTCTCAGCTACTTGGGAGGCTGAGGCACGAGAATCGCTTGAACTCAGGAGGCGGAGGTTGCAGTGAGCCAAGATCGTGCCACTGCACTCCAGCCTGGGTGACAGAGCGAGACTCCGTCTCAAAAAACAAAACAAAACCAAAAAAAAATTGTTAAAGAGTCACAGTTTTCTTTTCTTTTTTTTTTTTTTTTTGAGACAAGAGTCTCACTCTGTCGCCCAGGCTGGCGTGCAGTGGTGCAATCTTGGCTCGCAGCAACCTCCACCTCCCAAGTTCAAGTGATTGTCCTGCCTCAGTCTCCCCAGTGACTGGGATTACAGGCATGCACCACCAACCCCAGCTAATTTTTTGTCATTTCTAGTAGAGACGGGATTTCGCCATGTTGGACAGGCCGGTCTCGGACTCCTGAGCTCAGGTGATCCGCCTGCCTCGGCCTCCCAAAGTGCTGGGATTACAGGCATGAACCACTGTGCCGGCCTGTTTTCTATATTCTGTCCTTCCCCTGGGGAGGCAGTGGAATGACCCAGCTCTACTGTTTTCTAGACGGGTGATCGTGGGCAAGTCACTTCAGTTCTCTGAACCTTATTCTGCCAAAAAAGGATGATTATAGTATTGCTAGCTAACATTTATTGAGTGCTTGCCTGGACTGAGCACTATTTTAAGTGCTTTTCATGTAGTAAGTCATGTAATCCTCCCCACAATCCTGGGTAGGTGGTGTTATTATCTTCACTTCACAGAGGAAGAAACCGAGGCAGAGAAAGAGGTTATACAGCTGGGAATTGGCAGGGCTGGAATTCAAGCAGGCAAGAAGTTTGGCTTCAGAAGCCATATGCTTCACCCGAACACTCTACCACCTCTCTGGGGTTCTCCAACTCAAAGTGTTGCTGGCAGATTAAATGAAATCCTATAATAATTGCCCAGCACACAGTAGGCATTTAATACATGCTGGTGTCCTTTACTGCTTCTTCTCCATGAATAGCTGAGTGTGTCTCATATATAGTTCTAAAAGGCAATATTATATTTCTGTGAGAGTTAACTTCCCACTGGTAAATATTAAATCTACTTCACACCATAGGTGCAAGCCCAGCTGAATCTGAGAGTGTATTTCAACTGTTAATCAGTAAAATGAATGTTTGTGTCCTTAGAGTTGGTATGAACATGGCCATACCTAGACGGTACTGGCCTTGCCTGATGGGACTCTAATCAGGCAAGATTTTACAATTGAATGGCGCAGGATCAAAACAAGGCCATTAAAAGTTGGACTCTGCCCGGAGTTCAAAGGGACCCTGTTGCTTTCTATTTAGGAACTCACGAGTCTTGCAGTCATAAAGCAGCAACATAAAGCAAGCTCCCAACTCTAGTTCTCCAGGCAATTCATCCAGGCTGTCCCCTGCAAGCTGCTCAGCCCACCAGATCTGCTTTGGGGAGCGCATTAAACATGGTTATGCAATGATTGGGTGGCGGATGCCATAGACATCTGGCCCTATGACAAGGTAAGTCTCATTTTTGGTAACCAGCATAGGAAGGAGGACAACAGCTACCACTGGGCTGTGCTTCCCACGTGCACACTGGGAGCATCGTCACCAGGTCCCCAGTTGATGCAGACCTCATGTGTGGATGGTGGCCATATGAAAACTGACATGTGGCTGGGCACAGCAGCTCACGCCTGTAATCCCCACCCTTTGGGAGGCCAAGGTGGGCCGATCACTTGAGGCCAGGAGTTTGAAACCATCCTGGCCAACGTGGTGAAACCCTGTCCCTACTAAAAATACAAAAATTGGCTGAGCGTGGTGGCGTGCGCCTGTAACCCCAGCTACTCAGGAGGCTGAGGCAGAGAATCACTTGAACCCAGGAGGCAGAGGTTGCAGTGAGCTGAGATTGCACCACTGCACTGTAGACTGGGTGACAGAGCGAGGATCCATCTTAAAACAAACAAACAAACAAACAAACAAACAAACAGAAAAACAGGCCAGACCCAGTGGCTCACGCCTGTAATCCCAGAACTTTGGGAGGCTGAGGCAGGTGGATCATGAGGTCAGGAGTTCAAGACCAGCCTGGACAACATGGTGAAACCCCGTCTCTACTAAAAATACAAAAATTAGCCGGCGTGGTGGTGGGTGCCTGTAACCCCAGCTCCTTGGGAGGCTAAGGCAGGAGAATGGCTTGATCCCCGGGAGGCAGAGGTTGCAGTGAGCCGAGATCACACCTGTGCACTTCAGCCTGGGCGACAGAGCAAGACTCTGTCTCGAAAAACAAAAAAATAAAACGGACATGCTCCAGACCACCCTAGGCATCTAAATTATTTACATGGCCACAGCATGGCAGGGAGACGGGGGCAAAATCCAGACAAGAAGGAAAGCCACTTGACAAGGGACAAACATGGTTAAATCACAGCTGCTTTAACTGAGTTTTCAAAGACTGCATGTTTCCTTCCATCTACTCAGCTTCTGAGTCCAGAATTGGAATTCATGGTTGAGAAACTTTCCTTTGCCTAGAAAGCTGGTGGGAGGAGAAGGGAATGGAAGAACAGACTGTTTATTACAGCGTTTTTCTTCATTTGCTAGGATGAATGATGTGCTCATTATACCCCTCTCACCCTCAATCCTCTCCCGGGGGTAGCCACTCTTCACAATTTGCAATGTATGTATGTATGTATGTATTTGAGATGGAGTCTCACACTGTAGCCCAGGCTGGAGTGAGATGTTGCGATCTCCGCTCACTGCAATCTCTGCCTCCTGGGTTCAAGCAATTCTCCTGCCTCAGCCTCCTGAGTAGCTGAGATTACAGGCGTCTGACACCACCCCCAGCTAATTTTTGTATTTTGAGTAGAGATGGGGTTTCACCATGTTGACCAGGCTGGTCTCGAACTCCTGACCTCAAGTCATCCACCTGCCTCAGCATCCCAAAGTGCTGGGATTACAGCCACTGCACCTGGCCAACATGTACTTTTTAAAAACACAAATAAGATCACACAGAACTACACTGTTCTGTGACTTGCTTTTTTTTTTTCACTACCTACCTCGTGGTCTTTTCCACAGATACAGTACAATCTCACTCTTTTTAAAGGTTGCATGTATACTACAATATTAATCTACCAACATTTACTTAACCATGTGGCCTACTAATGGAAACTTAGATTATTCCCAGTTTTTACTTTTCTTATTTATTTATTGAGACAGGGTCTCACTCTGTCACCCAGGCTAGAGTGCAGTGGCACAGTGATGGCTCACTGCAGCCTTGAACTTCCGGGCTCAAACAATTCTCCTGCCTCAGCCTCCCAAGTAGCTAGGACTACAGGCATGTGCCACCATATCCAGCTAATGTTTTATTTTTTCTTTTGTAGAGATGGGGTTTCACTATGTTGACCGGGCTGGTTTCGAACTCCTGGTCTCAAGCGATCCTTCCACCTCAGCTTCCCAAAGTGCTGGGATTACTGGCATGAGCCATCATGCCCGGACTAGTTTTTTTGCTATTGGAAATATTTCAGTCAACATCCTTATATGTACACTTCAGTATTTCTGTTAGATTATTGCTATATTCTGAATGTTTATGTCACCCCCAAATTCATATGTTGAAACCTAATTTCCAATGTGATGATATCTGGAGATGGGAACTTTGGAAGTGGATTAGGTCATGAGGGTGGATCCCTCATGAATGGGATTAGTGCCCTATAAAAAATTTCAGAGAGCTCCCTCACCTCTTTTGCCATGGGAGACCACAGCAGGAATAAGCCTGTCTACCAACCAGGAAACAGGCCCTCCTAGACAATGAACCCGCTGACGCATTAATCTTGGATTTCCCAGCCTCCAGAACTGTAAAAATTAATGTTGCTTGAGCCATCCAGCCTACGGTATTTTTGTTACAGCAGCCCAAGTGAACTAAGACAATCATGTTATAATTGTTGTTAAAGGGGGCAACTGCCAATATATCTACCACCCAAATCTAAAGACAACTCCCATTTTCTGAGAAGCTGCTTTGCCATCTATTGTATGGCTTTGGGTGATTCTCAAAACTTGTAGTACTGTGGAATAACCTGGGAAGCATAAACAAACAGATGCCCAGGTTCTACCAGATTCAACAAGGGTTGGGCACACTTAATGTTTTTTTTGTTTTTTGAGACAGGATCCCGCTCTGTCACCCAGGCTGCAGTGCAGTGGCGCAGTCTCAGCTCACTGCAACCTCTGCCCCTCAGGCTCAAGTGATCTTCTCACCTCAGCCTCCCCAGTAGCTGGGAGTACAGGCATGTACCCTACACCCAGCTAATTTTTCACATTTTTAGTAGAGATGGGGTTTCACCATGTTGCCCAGGCTGGTCTTGAACTTCTGGTCTCAAGCGATCTGCCCACCTTGGCCTCCCAAAGAGTTGGGATTACAGGTGTGAGCCACTGCACCAGTCCTTTTATTGCTTCTGTTGTTGACTTTGGTTTTTTGGGGGCAGCTCTCAGGTACTACCCTACTGGTGCATGACAGAAGCCCTAACACATTTCCTGTTATCTGGTGGACATCTGTGATTTTAGCTTAGGGATACAGCGTTAGAATAATGCATTTGCTCTGTGTGCCCTCTGCTGGTACTGCATGAGCAGACCACACATGGAATGCCTGCATGGGTGAGAATCTGGTCTCACCTCCCAGGGCAAGCCCCTTGCAGACTTAACAGAGTGGTGATTCTCCAAAGGCAGCGATGGTCAACCATGTTAGAATCACCCAGGGAACCGTGAAAATAAAAATGCCTGGTCATGGGCTTCGACAATGGGGTTTTTAAAACACTCTCCAGGAGATTCTACACATAAAGCCAGTGTTAAGAACCTATTCTTTGGGCAGAAAATTGGCCCAGGAACACAAAGTCCACAGAACCATGTGTCACTCTGGTGTCTTCTGTTCTAGTAATGTATTTCAGAAATTCCCAGCCTGCCTGAATCTCAGAATTGGCTTCAAGCTGGTCAAAAAAACAGATCCTGGAAATCCACCCCAGACATAATCAGAATATCCTGGGGTGAGGCTCACTCAGGTCATTACTTACAACCCAACAGAGAGAATTTTTGGTTTTAATGAGGTTAAGGTCAAATCATTATGACTTCTTAAGACATTTTTTAGCCACAGGCTTTATCTCTTCATGGGGAAGGGAGTCACAGTCACTGAAGGAACTGACAGGCAGGTGAAGGCAAGGTACAGAAGGAATGAACAGCCACGTGTAACTGCTATGCACATGTCTCTTCTATATAATTGAATCTTCACTACACTTCTTGAGCATAAATAGTAAAACCCTGTTATACCGAGAGGATACTGAAGGGGAGGCGGTTAGTTCTCTTTGCAGGCATCTAGGGAGAAAGCCTTCCAGGCAGAGGGAACTGTCAATGCAAAGGCCTTAAGGCTGGAATATTCTCGATTACTGGAGAACAGCAAGGCAGTCGTGACCTGGGGGAATGATCTCCACAGAGGTGCGGATGAGGGAGGGAAGGGGAGGGTGGATTAGGCCATCAGCCTTCACAGCAGTGACGTGATTCTGTTTTTAAGCATCACTTTGACAGCTGCAAAAACGGACTCAAGTAAAGCAAGGATGGAAGCACAGGACAGAAGCATCGAAGTGAAGGGCCAGGCGTGGTGGCTCATACCTGTAATCCCAGCACTTTGGGAGGCCGAGGCAGGTGGATCCCTCGAGTTCAGGAGTTCGAGACCAGTCTGGCCAACATGGCAAAACCACATCTCTACTAAAAGCAGAAAAATTAGCTGGGCATGGTGGTGGGTGCCTGTAATCCCAGCTACTCAGGAGGCTGAGGCAGGAGAATCGCTTGAACCTGAGAGGCGGAGTCTGCAGTGAGCCAAGATCACACCACTGCAACCCAGTCTGGGTGACAGAGTAAGACTCCATCTCAAATTTAAAAAAAAGGAAAAGTAACCACTGTTGACAAGAATGTAGAGAAACAGGAACCCTTGTCTGTTGCTGGTGAGAATGTAAAATGGTACAGCTGCTGTGGAAAAGTGGCAGGTCCTCAAAAATAAACAGAATTACCACAGGATCCAGTTAATCCACTTCTCAGTACGTACCCAAAACAACTGAAAGCAGGGACTCAAACAGATACTCGTATACCAGTGTTCACAGCAATAGCCAAATGTTCATTCATCAGTAGTCAAAAGGTGACGACAACTCAAATGTCCATCAACAGATGGACAAACAAAATGTGGCACACACAGAGAATACACACTGCACCCGTAAATATATTTAACCATAAAAAAGAAATAGCACTGACATATGCTACAACACGGATGCACCTTGACAACACTACACCAAGTCAAAGAAGCCAGATACAGGCCAGCCGCACTGGCTCACGCCTATAATCCCAGCACTGTGGGAGGCCGAGGTGGGTGATCACTTGAGGTCAGAGATTCCAGGTCAGCCTGGACAACATGGTGAAACCCCATCTCTACTAAAAATACAAAAATTAGCCAGGCTTGGCGTCAGGCACCTATAATCCCAGCTACTTGGGAGGCTGAGGCAGAATCATTTGAGCTGGTGAGGCGGAAGTTGCAGTGAGTGGACATCGCGCCACTGCTCTCTGGCCTGGGAAACAGAGCGAGACTTCAACTCAAAAAAAAAAAAAAAAAAGAGCCAGATACAAAGGGTCACATATTGTATGATTCCATTTATATGAAATATCCAGAACAGGTGAATCCAGAGGGACAGAAAGCAGGTTAGTGGTTGCCAAGGGCTGGAAAAAGAAGGAAATTATTGCTCAATGGGTATATTAGTTCTGTTTGGGATAATGAAAATGTTCTGGAAATAGATGGTGGTGACGGTTGTACAACATTTTTTGTTTTGTTTGTTTTTGAGATAGTCTGGCTGTCTCCCAGGCTGGAGTGCATTGGTGCAATCTCGGCTCACTGCAACCTCTGCCTCCCGGGTTCAAGCTTCTCAAGTAGCTGGGAATACAAGTGCCCACCACCATGCCCAGCTAATTTTTGTATTTTCAGTAGAGACAGGGTTTTGCCATGTTGGCCAGGCTGGTCTTGAACTCCTGACTTCAAGTGATCCACACGCCTCAGCCTCCCAAAGTGCTGGGATTACAGGCATGAGACAGTGTGCCCAGCCTGTACAACATTGTTAATATACTTAATGTCCCTGAATTGCACACTTAAAAATGATTAAAAGGATAAATTTGTTAGGTGTATCTTGGTATGGTTAAGAAAAATGGAAGGCTACACAATAAAAAAAAATATTTTTTTTTTGAGACGGAGTCTCACTCTGTCGCCCAGGCTGGAGTGCAGTGGCGTGATCTCGGCTCACTGCAAACTCCGCCTCCCAGGTTCACACCATTGTCCTGCCTCAGCCTCCCGAGTAGCTGGGACTACAGGCACCTGCCACCACGCCCAGCTAATTTTTTTGTATTTTTTAGTGGAGACACGGTTTCACCCTGTTAGCGAGGATGGCCTCGATCTCCTGACCTCGTGATCCGCCACCTTGACCTCCCAACGTGCTGGGATTACAGGTGTGAGCCACCGCCCCCAGCGATAAAACATTCTTATTGACTTTCGAGTGGCAAAATAATAAAGATCATGCCTTCCTTCCTCTTTACTGTGTTACAAATTGTATAATGAACATATATTATTAATTATGTGGGGCAATGTATATAACTGGCTTAAGTTTATAAAATAACGTACCAGCATCCGGTGCATTTGGCTTTATTACACTGCAGGGCCATCCAAAGCAAGAGCCTCTAGACCTCTGGGTGGTGAACAAATCTCAACTGGGGTTTCGTGCCTACCTGGACGACATCTGCTCGTCAATGTGTAGTTAACATCCTGACAGACCCTTCTGCCGCTGGATATGTGAGGGGCACAGCACAGGGCTCTGGAAGTCCCTGCTGACTGCTCGAAGCCTTTCTCCCTGCTAAAACCTCTGACCAAATGCTTAATAATATCTGCTGTAGGCTGTTGAGTCTGCCACACGTTTGACATTTATTGTTTATTCCCACACCCATCCCATGAAACAAGCAGGACTTTCCATTTTACAGATGTGAAAACCAAGATTCAAAGAGACTCAATAACCTGCTCCAGGACAAATGACAGAACTGAGACTTCTGACTCCAAATCTTACGCTCCCCCGCCACACCTCTTTGCCTTTCTCTTTCACACCAATGGACTCTATGGGTGACCTTGGCATAGGTTCTTCTAAGAACTGGCTCTTAACAAAAACTTCTGGCCATTATCTGACTGAATGTCACAAACAAGTGCTGTAAGAACTTGCTTAGAGCCTTTTTCCTAAACCTGTACACCAGCTCTTGCCTTGTGAATTTATTCACCACAAAACACATGTTCCCAGGGGCCCAGGCAAAGTCTCCAAGTACCCAGTCCCCTTTCTTCAGCCTTGCCCACACCCTCAGCCTTCCTGTTAATCCAGGCGACCCAGGGTTACCCAGAGGTCCAGGTCCCAGTTGTTCACTTGAGCATCTGATGTACCCCAAACACCTGTGTGAAACGCTCTCTGTCCAGGATGCGTCCATAGCGCAGGGTGACGTAGAAGGTCTGTTTCCCACTGTACCGCTGGATACGCACAAACATCTCCTGAGGCCGGTCCTTGGTTTCTGTCAGGGGAATCACATCTGCCATGGGACAGTATGTGTCCTGCCGCCAGCCCCAGAAGTTCAGATGGGCCACCCGCAGCATGGTGCCAGACTCATTCAGATACAGGATACCAACCAGTCTCCGTAAGAAATAGCTCATCCAGCACAGCATGGTCAGGGCAAAGCCCGATATCCCACTCATGAGGCACACGGTGTTGAGAGTGAGGAGGCCCTGGGAGTACAAGTAATAGCCTGGTGGCAAAGCTACCACTGTCAGGGCAGTCTGTGCCAACTTCAGTCGTGACAGGAACCCGAAGGTTCTGATGGCATCAAAACGGTAAAACATCCAGAATTTCTCAGTCTCTGCGTTTGGTAGTTTCTCCTTCGAGATGGGTGAACTGCTGCCCACCCACCTCTTAGGATCCTCCTGCCCACTGCAGCACCACAGCCCATGGAGAGGCCTTTCCCACACAGCTTTTCCCCGAAACCTACGCACAGCTCGGAGAAGGGCAGCCTGAAAGGGAGACAGTAGACCATTTCTCTCATGGAACTCAACCACATTAATCACACGGTGAACATCTGCAAAGCACCATACTCTAAGGCTTCTGCCAATCCTGCAAGGTAACCGTTATTGCCAGACGAGGGAAGGGTAAAGCCAGATGCTATCTCATGTGGGCATCACAACAGCTATCTAAGATAGTTATCACTATTTCCACTTTACCACTAGGGAAACTAAGCCCAGAGAGGGTAAGATATTTACCAAAGATCACACAGTCAGTGAGTGCAGCAGAGTCCTCCTTCCACCAGGCAATTCCAAATAAATACAGGAAAGGAGGTGCGGCCGTCATTAATTCAAAACATATCCAGGGAGGACAAACTCTGGGCTGGACAATGTATCCACAAGGGGGTGTGAACATTTCCCCAAGCAGGAAACTAAATAATCAGTGTCTTAGTGGGGAACTCGAGCAACAAATCTGTGAGATATTTATTCCAATAAACTTTCTAATTCTCTGTTTGATTCATATGCTATCTTGGGTGCTGGAGGGAACTGCTGCTTTCTCTTAGCCTAGTCTGGGGAAGGGGAAACAGCGGAGAAGGAGAAGGAGCGAGGCAGGGAGGCCCCAACACGTAGCACAAGGGTATTACTAGGTGGGTAGTGAAGCAGTAAAAGCTCTTATTCCAATTCTGGCTCCAACAGTAATTTGTGAGCAAATTACTCCACACCCCTGAGATTCGGTTTCTTCGCCTTTCAAAATGGGGACTCAGAACACAGTGAACCAGAGGATGGTTTCAGAGTCCTCAACTTAGTACCTAATGCACTGTGAGAGCTCGGCGAGTTTTAGCTACTACTACTGTGCGCATGTGACCCAAGGAGGGCAAGAGAAAGCCCGGGAAAAGCGAACTGTAACACACGCCAGAGCTTCCTCCCACGGATCCTCGGAGTCCGAAACCCGAGCGTCGGGCCTGCCCGCCCCAGCCCTGACCCCGACCCCAAAGAGCATCACCCCCTCAAGGCTCGCCACCCGCCTCCTTACCATGGCCCCACCACCTGCTGCCGGAAGTAAATCCCACCGGCCCCCGGAACCCCTAAGAGCGCATGCTCGAATGTACAAGGCGGGCGTGATCTGCGTTGCACCCTGGGAGTTGCGGTCCAGGAATCGTGGCTGCCGCTACTCCCAGGCGTTATGGGAACGGAGTCCCCTCCTCTTCCCGACGTGCCCTGCGACTCAGCGGCCGAACCCGGAAGTTCCGGGCCGAGTTCCTCGTGCCAACGTGTCTTGTAAGGTGCGGCTAGAAACTGGGGACATGGCAGCGCCTGGCCCAGCGCTCTGCCTCTTCGACGTGGATGGGACCCTCACCGCCCCGCGGCAGGTAAGTGGCGGCCGGCGGGCTGCTGGCAGCCGACGCGGAGCCCGTGCTGTTCCCAGTTGGGGCTATCGACCACCCAGGGTAGGCGCCAAGGGGTGGCTAAGGACCGCCTACGTCCTCACGGCGCTGAACCCTATTCTGGGTGCACTGGAGGAATGAGAGGGAGGCCCTAACCAGCTCTTGAAGAGCTCTGGTGCTTGGAAAGATGAGACGGGGCTGAAGAACTCTTAAGAGCAGGAAACTTGTGCTAGGTTGGAAAATGTAATCTGGACTCACCGCTAGTGCTCGGGACTGATAGACCAGGATTTCAACCCAAGATCAGGCCCCCTTATCAGCTATGTGTCGGCCCCAATCCTGTAACCAATGGGCTGTGCCGTGAGTCATGATATTAAAAACAGGTTTCCAGGTCAAACCGACCTAGTGGAGTCTCATCTTCACCTCTTGACATCTGTGTGACCTTCAGCGAGTCATTAACCTCTCTGAGCCTCAACATCTACAGCTTTAAATGGGGATGTTACCTGTTCCATATGGTGTCTGTGAGGATCAAATGAGATTGTGTAAGTTCTTGAAAGTATGTTGGACACAACACACTAGGCCTCAGTAAATAGTAGCCACCTCCACCACACCCATCTCCAGCCCCTGCAATGGACTAGGGAGATGGAGGAGCCCTAGGTTATTACAGGCTGCCCGCTGAGAGCCTCTTTGGGCCCTTGGAAACTTGCTTTCCACTTTCAGATTTTGCTGCTACAGGCACAGATAAGTTTCAGTTACGATCAGCCTTGAGGTGAGGCTCTCCTGGCCCCTTTTCAGAAATTGGCCACTGAACACTGGCCATTTCAACTTGAGACTGGACCCCAATGGTCTCACTATCCTCAGCTTCTACCCTCACCCCTCATAGTTTTCGCTTGGTGGTAACAATGGTGTGCTCCAGAAGTCCAGGTCAAATGCGTGTGACCTTAGACGTATCATTTTGCCCTTCTCAGCCACAGGTTTGATTTACCTAGTGATGACGCTCAACTCCCAAGTTCTTCAAAGGCTTTTTCTGATTCTGAAATTCAGTGATCACACACTTGGGTTTGTTAAAAGCCCATAGTGGTCTAAAACTCCGGTCCCCAATTCATTTTTTGTAAAGGGCCATATAGCAAATACTTCTCTGTCTTTGCTGACTATGTGGTCTATAGTAACCACTCAACTTTAGTGCAAAACCAGCCATAAACCCTATATAAATAAGAGTGGCTGTGTACCAATAAAATTTTATTTATTTATTACAAAAACAAACAGCTGCCCAATGTGGTCTGTGGGCCATAGTGGTCTAGGGTTTACATTGCCACCCTTTTTCATATCACTGAACCCTCTCAACCTTCCTCCATCTTTCTTCCCAGGTAGGATAGTTGTTATTACCGTTTTAAACATAAGGAAACACACTCAGTGAAGAACTAACCTCCTCAGTTTCACACAGCCAACCTGGTACAAGTCTCTGGGCCTCAGGATATTGGTTCCTGTCAAGTTTGCCATTTCCTATCTGTGCTAAGGTGGAAGCTGTTCTAGTCACTGGGTATGCCATTCAGGAAAGTGCTTCTGATTTTCTGATTTTCACAGTTCTGACTCTTTTTTTTTTTTTAAGACAGAGTCTCACTCTGTCACCAGACTGGAGTGTAGTGGCCCAATCTCAGTTCACTGCAACCTCCACCTCCCAGGTTCAAGCAATTCTCCTGCCTCAGGCAACCAAGTAGCTGGTGCTACAGGCAGGCACCACCACGCCTGGCTAATTTTTGTATTTTTAGTAGAGATGGGGTTTCACTGTGTTGGCCAGGATGGTCTCTATCTCTGGACCTCGTGATCCACCCGCCTCGGCCTCCCAAAGTGCTGGGATTACAGGCGTGAGCCACCGTGTTCTGACTTTTAAAGGCCACTCCTCCAATTCTAGATTCTGTCTAATAGGTCCAGATTCCACTGTGAGAGTAGAAAAGATTGCACTCTATTACAAACCCTTCTGTACAATTTTAATCACATTCATGTATTACTCTAAAAAAGTTTTTTAAAGAAAAATCATTGAACTCCAAGTGTTTATATACTGAGGTTGAATTAAATGGTTTTTTGTATTTTCTAAATTTCTAGTAAAAAGATATTCAGCCGGGCACGGTAGTTCATGCCTATAATCCCAGCACTTGGGGAGGCTGAGGCGGGTGGATCACTTGAGGTCAGGAGTTCGAGACCAGCCTTGCCAACATGGTGAAACCCAGTCTCTACTAAAAATACAAAAAGATTAGCCGAGCATGATGGCGGGCGCCTGTAATCCTGGCTACCTGGGAGGCTGAGACAGGAGAATCGCTTGAACCCAGGAAGTGGAGGTTGCAATGAGCCGAGACCACACCATTGCACTCCAGCCTGGGTGACAGAGCACGACTTCGTGTCAAAAAAAAAAAAAAAAAGACATTCAGTGTAAATGTACAACTGAGATTGCTCAAAGTGCTGAGTTATAAGACTTGTAAAAATACATTGTGATGTGTCTTAATGTAGGGCTATTTTTTCATCTTAGTTTATAACTTTTTTAAAATTATCACACAGTTTGGAATTTACCATAAGATTATACCACTAAGACCACTCTTTCTAGATAGGAGCTTTGCTTTTAGAAGAGACTAAAAAATCTAGTTATCTTACTCTTTTACATTTTTGTTTTGTTTTGGGTGATTGCAATAAAATCAATTCTAAGCTTCTCCTTTTTTTTTTTTTTTTGTTTTGTTTTGTTTTGTTTTGAGACGAAGTCTCGCTCTGTGACCCAGGCTGGAGTGCAGTGGCACGATCTTGGCTCACTGCAACCTCTGACTCCCGGGTTCAAGTGATTCTCCTGCCTCAGCCTCCCGAGTAGCTGGGACTACAGGCGCCCACCAGCGCGCCCGCCTAATTTTTGTATTTTTAATAGAGACAGGGTTTCGCCACGTTGGCCAGGCTGATCTCGAACTCTGACCTCAGGTGATCCACCCGCCTCGGCCTCCTAAAGTGCCGGGATTACAGGCATGAGCCTCCATGTCTGGCCCTAAGCTTCCTCTTTAATTTCATTATGTTGTTTTATTTTAAAATCAACAACTTAAATCCATAAATGGAGTATAGTGTAGCATTTAAAAGGAATGATGAGCTAGATCTGTGTTGGCATGAAAAGATCACCACAGCATAGTGCTGAAAAACCAAAGTCCCTGCACAGGACATGATTCCATTTATGTTTCAAAAATAAGACCTATTTGTATATGTGCCCATAGATGGGTATATAAATGCATAGAAAAATAGCTGGGACAGTGCACAACAGCTACTAACATATTACCTGTGTTTAAAATTTGGTAAAAATAACACTTAAGTTTATTCTGGTAAAGATGCCCCCCCAGTTACAACTAAAATATTTGAACTATGTACAGAGCTGGTAACTTAATTGGCATGTATGAAAATAAGGCTTATAGACCTGGCTTATACCTGTAATCTCAGCACTTTGGGAGGCCAAGGCTGGTGGATCTCCTGAACCCAGGAGTTCCAGACTGGCCTGGGCAACATGGCAAAACTTAGTCTCTACAAAATATAAAAAAATTAGCCAGGTGTGCTGGCACATAACTATGGTCCCAGCTACTCAGGAGGCAGAGATAGGAGGATCACCGGAGTCCAGGGAGGTCGAGGCTGCGATGAGCTATGACCATGCCACTGCACTCCAGCTTGGGTGACAAGTGAGACCCTATCTCAAAAAAAAATTTTTTCTTTAATTTTTAAATAAGAAAATAAGACTTATGTACTTGTGTTACCCTTAGAGTTTTGGTCTCCTGATTATTGTGTGGCTTATGACTGTTGTATTTTCTTTCTTGAAATTTAGAAAATTACCAAAGAAATGGATGACTTCCTACAAAAATTGAGGCAGAAGATCAAAATCGGAGTGGTAGGCGGATCGGACTTTGAGAAAGTGCAGGAGCAACTGGGAAATGATGGTAAATGATGGGTTGCTAATTACATCTGGTAAAAGATTAACTTCTTATGAGGATATTGTTGCCAAGTATCATAGGCTGCCCTAAAACCTTGTCCCCATATGGCGGGCTTTCTGCTTCCTTTTTTGGGAAACATTTTCTTGGCCTTTGCTTTTCCTCTGCTTTTAATCCAGTACATTTCTGGAGTTACTGATGGAGAACTGGGTACTCAGATGTGTGAGTAGATTCACCTAGAAAGGTCAGTGGCTGTATCTGCACATGATAATCTCTCTGCCTGGAATACTTCTTGCTTGTACCCGTTGACAGCCCTTCTAGCCCCAGTCAGACCGGTCTTCATATTGTCCCTCTGACAGCCCCCCTCACCTCCCCATCACTGAAACAGAATCTCCAGCACAGGACCCCGAAAAACCAGAGAGGCTTATTGACCCCTTCACTGGAGAGTCTGACTTGATAGGTCTGTGGAGCCTGGGAATCCTATTTCAGTGAGTACCTCTGAGAGATTCTAGTGTACAACCTTGCTAATGTAGCATTCTGTAATTATTGTAAACTATCCGATTATATGTTTTTGAAGAGCAGGAGTATGGGTTATTCATCTCCATAGCCACAGGGCCTCCTGGCCTGTAAGAAATTGTAAGTGGATGCCAGGCGCGGTGGCTCACGCTTATAATCCCAGCACTTGGGGAGGCCGAGGCGGATGGATCACCTGAGGTCAGGAGTTTGAGACCAGCCTGGCCGACATGATCAAACCCCATTTCTACTAAAACTACAAAAAATGAGCTGGGCGTGATGACGGGCACCTGTAATCCCAGCTACTCAGGAGGCCGAGGCAGGAGAATTGCTTGAACCCAGGAGGCAGAGGTTGCAATGAGCCGAGATCACACCATTGCACTCCAGCCTGGGCAATAAGAACGAAACTCCGTCTTGGAAAAAAAAAAAAATTATAAGTGGAGAGGTGGATGAATTGATTGTTCTTTTAACCCCTGTTGTCCCCAGAGTCCTCACATCTTGGAACCAGCTCCTCTAGAGCAAGATTTCTCACCTTCGCACTATTGATATTTTGGACCAGTTAGTTCTCCATTATGAAGGCTGTCCTGTGCATTGTAGGGTCTTTAGCAACATCCCAGGCCTCTACCCACTAGATGCCCACAGCATACACACACGCACACATACGGCTATGACTACCAGAAATGTCTCCAGACATTGCCAAATGACCTCTGTGTAAAATTACCCCCGTTTGAGAACTACTGTTCTCAAAGATGTAATATGTTACAGTCCAAATCTGTATGGACTGTATTTATAGGATCACCATTACTAGAAGAGTAATCTCTGCAATCTCTTTAAAACTCTCTCTTCCACTTCCACTTCATTTTCCTGGTAGATCTCCTACTTAGAAATGCTATAAACCGCATACTGGGGATCACGAAGCCCTGAAAATCCTGTTACCTGCTCATGATCGCCCTTTCTGCATCTAGTTGTGTATTTAACCACTTGCTCAGGGAAGTTTTGTGTAGTGTAGCATAGTGTCTGCACCTGTCAGAGACATGCAACAATAGAATCAAAACATTCACAGGCCAAAAGACAGTTGAAGGCCCACCTGTATCAGAATCACCTGGGAAGCTTATTAAAATATGAGTGTGGGGTCCCCACCCAACACATAGGGGATCTGCATTTTAACAGGTACCTGAAGTTTGAGAATCCCTTCATTAAGGTTGACAACATGGATAGTTTCCAAACCAAACTGATTATAAGAATCACTGAAGAGCTTTTTTTAAAATTTATTTTATTTATTTATTTATTTTTATTTTTTTGAGACAGTCTTATTCTCTGGTGCAGTGGCACAATCTTGGCTCACTGTAACCTCTGCGTCCTGGGTTCAAGTGATTCGTGTGCCTCAGCCTCCGAAGTAGCTGGGACTACAGGCGCCCACCAGCACGCCCGGCTAATTTTTGTATTTTTAGTAGAGACGGGGTTTTACCATGTTGGCCAGGCTGGTCTTGAACTTGCGACCTCAGGTGATCTGGCCACCTTGGCCTCCCAAAGTGCTGGGATTACAGGCATGAGTCACCGTGCCTGGCCACCAAAGGTCTTTTAGTGCTTTGTTTTTTGTTTTTTGGGTTTTTTTTGTTTTTTTTTTTTTTTTTTTTGACGTTAGACAGAGTCTTGCACCGTTGCCGAGGCTGGAGTGCAGTGGCACAATCTTGGCTCACTGAACCCTCTGCCTCCTGGGTTCAAGCAATTCTCCTGCCTCAGCCTCCGGAGTAGCTGGGGTTACAGGCGCACACCACCATGCCTGGCTAATTTTTTGTATTTTTAGTAGAGACGGGGGTTTCACTATGTTGGCCAGGCTGGTCTGGAACTCCTGACCTAGTAAAACCCCGCCAGCCTCAGCCTCCCAAAGTGCTGGGATTACAGGTGTGAGCCACACCGCACCCGACCCAAAGAGCTTTTTTAAAAATATATTTAGCCTGTCCCTCAGCAATTCTGATTCAGGAAGCGAGAGAGCAAAGCTTGGAAATCTGCATTTTCACACTGCCCTGGTTGCTGCTGGTGAACCATCAGCATCATGGACGAGTATCTTCCTCTACAGACAGTCAGGCTGAAGTCAGGGACATAAGATAACCTGTCACCAAGTCCCTAATCTCCTGCCCAGTCATCATCGTTTAAATGTGTAACCAAAAAGAGCCATTAAAAAAACAAGGAACTTTTTTCCATACTCTTCTCTTAGTCTGTAAGATGAGATAGTCTTTCACAGTCCTTGCTGGAGTTTAGCGGTTTTATTGGTGGTCATTGTTAATCAAGGAGTAAAAACACAGGTTTTGATTCTTTGCATTCTAAGTGTTTTTTTGGTTTTGATTGTAGTGGTTGAAAAATACGATTATGTGTTTCCAGAAAATGGCTTGGTAGCATACAAAGATGGGAAACTCTTGTGTAGACAGGTAGGTTCTTGAGTATCTGAATTACTATATACTATTAAAAGTGTTTTCTAAAAGGGCATTTCACAATGAATGCCTCTAGGAAGATGAGGAACGGGTAGAAATGAATCTTTACTCTGTATTTTTTGTTTTGCATTTTGAACCATGTGACTATTACATATTCTACATTGATAACTAAATTTTTATACTTTTTAAATCTAATATTTCTCTCTTTTCTTATTTTGTTTTTGAGACGGAGTCTTGCTCTGTCACCCAGGCTGGAGCTGGAGTGCAGCGGCACGATCTCAGCTCACTACAACCTCCGCCTACCTCCGCCTCCCTGGTTCAAACAATTCTTACGCCTCAGCCTCCCCCATAGCTGGGATTACAGGCACACGCCACCACACCCAGCTAATTTTTGTATTTTTGGTAGAGACAGGGTTTCACCATGTTGGCCAGGCTGATCTCTAACCCCTGACCTCAAGTGATCCGCCCACCTCAGCCTCCCAGAGTGCTGGGATTACAGGCATGAGCCACCACACCCAGCCTTTTCTTCTTGTTTTAAAAAGATGGGGTCTTGCTGTGTTAACCAGGCTGGAGTGCAGTGGTGCAATCCCAGTGGCCTAGAACTCCTGGGCACAGGTGATCCTCTGCCTCAGCCTCCCACGTAGCAGGGACTACAGGCACATGCCACCAAGCCTGGCTTTAAATCTATTAATAACATTTCTATGATGATAAAACTAGAGCAGACTGCTTCACTATAAGCATTTTTTTTTTTCTTTTTTCTTTTTTCGTGGTGGAATCTCACTCTTGCCCAGGCTGGAGTGCAGTGGCTCAATCCTGGCTCACTGTAACCTCTGCCTCCTGGGTTCAAATGATTCTTGTGCCTCAGCCTCCCTAGGTGGGATTACAGGCATCCACCAGCATGCCCGGCTCATTTTTGTATTTTTAGTAGAGGCAGGGTTTCACCATGTTTGCCAGGCTGGTCTCGAGCTCATGACTTGAAGTCATCCACCTGCCTCAGCTTCCCAAAATGCTGGGATTACAGGTGTGAGCTGCCACGCCTGGGCACTATAAGCATTTTTAAGAGGTACTGTGTAGCTCTTAGTAGTAGTAAGATCATTCTATTCAGACATAAGAGAATGCCGAAGTGGAACAAATATATTGTCTGTCAATATCTGGAGATATTTTAATTGAATAAAAGTGGCAGCAGTAAGCTCTTTGGACCTTACAGGAAGCATTTGAACAATAATGAGTACAAAAATCTTGGGTGATGAAGCAGAAAATGCTTTTGACTAAAGCTTTTCTGGCTTGCCTAATGCTTTTGACCAGAGAAATAAGAGAAGGAATTAAACAGACAGTGGGGCATGTCACCATCACTGCTACATCAGCCTACTGATTTTCAGCAATCGTGGCTGAAGACCCTGGGTTTGCTATGAAGCTGTTTTGAAAATGCTCCTGCTAAATCAAGTAACTCAAGTATTTTCTTCATCTAGAATATTCAAAGTCATCTGGGTGAGGCCCTAATCCAAGATTTAATCAACTACTGTCTGAGCTACATTGCGAAAATTAAACTCCCGAAGAAGAGGTGGGTTTGCTTTTAACAAAGAGGCGTCACAGGAACATAGCGTAGTGTCACATGGTGGGCTAATGTGGGCATTCTCCAAATAGGATTATAAAAATCACCTAAAGAGTTTTAAAAACAAAGTCTGATATTTAGCCCGCCCCTTGGCAATTCTGGTTCAGAAAGCCTGAGAGCCGAGCTTGGAAATCCACATTTTCTCTGGCTGCCCTGGTGCTGCTGGTTCACAGCAGGGTTCAGTAGCCACCATGGGCCAGCGAATTTAAATCCGAATCCCAGCACTTAGTAAGGAATAATTGGAAACAGTCCACAAAGCCAACAGTACAAGAATGATTACGTAAATGATGGCTTATCCACATGATGGAAATTTATACAACCATTGAAGACCATATGCTTTCAAAGGCTGTCAGTGAGAGGAAACAGCAGTGAAGCAGCATGTACAAAAAGCAACAGAAACCCTAGATCGGGAAGTCTGAGACAGGAAGCCTTCGGGCCAGATCCACGTAAAACCCAAATCTGGTTGGCCTGCAGTGTTAAAGAAAATCGGATTAATTGCCATCATGTAAAAGTCTGATTTTATGTTTGTTTTATTTATTTATGAATTTATTTTTGAGACCGAGTCTCACTCTGTGGCCGAGGCTGGAGTGCAGTGGCAGGATCTCACAGCTCACTGCAACCTCCGCCTCCCAGGTTCAAGCAATTCTTCTGCCTCAGCCTCTCGAGTAGCTGGGATTATAGGCGCACACCACCATGCCCAGCTAATTTTTTTTTTTTTTTGTATTTTTAGTAGAGATGGCATTTCACTCTGTTGGCCAGGCTGATATCGAACTCCCAACCTCAACTGATCCACCCACCTTGGCCTCCCAAATTGCTGGTGTCAAAGGCGTGAGCCACCTTGCCCAGCCTGATTTTATGTTTTAAACATCTGGATTTCTGGCTTCTGTTGGCAAATCTGAGACCTGGCTACTCCGGCTCCCAGTTCCCTGCCGGCAGGTGCCACCTGAGCAGCTGCCACCTGACTCATGGACATTTGTTCCAGTCACAGACTGCTTCTCTCATTTTCTGTCTCCCTAGGCTTTCTTTTTGTTTTTTGTTTTGTTTTGTTTTTTGAGAGAGAGGATCTCGCCCTGTTGCCCAGGC
The DNA here is from genome assembly GCF_000001405.40 of Homo sapiens. Lineage (NCBI taxonomy): Eukaryota > Metazoa > Chordata > Mammalia > Primates > Hominidae > Homo > Homo sapiens. The sequence continues at coordinate 8,807,542 of NC_000016.10, forward strand.
TGGAGTGCAGTGGCATGATCATAGCTCACTGCAGCCTCAACCTCCTTGGCTCAAGTGATCCTCCTACCTCAGCCTCCTGAGTAGCTGGGACTACAGGCACATGCCGCCATGCCTGACTAATTTTTTAATTTTTTGTAGAGATAGGGTCTTGCCGTATGGCCCAGGCTGGTCTCCAACTCCTGGCCTCAAGCGATCCTCCCACTTCACTCTCCCAAAATGTTGGGATTACAGGCATTAGCCACTGCCCCTGGCTTTCATAAATGTTTGGTTTGGGGACCTACCTTCTGCCATGGGTACAATTATCTCAGTTCCATTTTTAAAATAATAGTAATAATAATAATGATGAACATAAATGCCGACAGTAAATTTAAAGACTGGCAGGAAATAGACCCAAATGTTAACAGTGGCTATTTCTTGATGGTGAGGTTGCAAGTGATTTCTTTGAAATCCTTCTCATTTTTACCCCCAGTTTTCAACACTTACTATGTAACACCTTAATCATCAGGGTTGGAATTAAGTGGCAATTCAATTTCAGGGCTGGGTGTACTTCAGAGGCTGCTTCACACTATTAGGATTCATAACCTGAGCGCCTCCTGCTCAGCATCTCCAGCCAGAGTGCAGGAATGTCCCTTAGCCGAGGGGGAGGCCTGCATGAGACAGGCTGGACATGGACTTGGTTATTGTTGCAGCTGGGTAATGAGCACATGAGGACTTATCCTATTCTGTTTACTTTTGTGTGTGTTAGAAATTTTCCATGGCGAAAAGATAAAATATACAAATATCCCAGGTCAGTTCCATTTTTACTTTGGGCTGAGCACTAAGGGAGGATTTAAAAAAAAAAAAGGCATAATCCTGTCCTCAAAGAGCGTATCATTTAGCGAGGGAGAGGGATGTGGAGAGCCATAATTCCAGAACAGTAGAAGAGACCTGGTGAATCCAGGAGGCAGAACTGAGACCCACCTTGATCCACATTTGTCCACATTTGCCTGACAACACTAACTACATGCCCCACAACGGCCAGGCAGATGCAGTAAGACTTCAGAGAGCCCAGGTCTTTAGGGCGGAACTGATTGCTTAGTAAACCACCTTCAGCCTTGTTTTGGGGAAGGCTTTCTAAACTGCATCAACTTCTCTCTGTGCCTTGGAAATGAGAAGAAGAATATGTCCTTGAGTGGGGGGGCATTAATTGAGCTCTTTTTCTGATCATTAGGACCTTTAGCCCTAGGGTCACCCGGGGCACGGTCACCCGTCCCCTAGTGCCTCAGTGCTCATACACACGTGGTAGAGGACAGGCTGGGCCTCTGCCAACTCCGGGACGGCCTGGACATGGGATTATTGAGAGAGATTTTTAGGCTCGCATATTTTGTTACATCATTTGCCTCTTTCTCTGCAAGTTGAGCAAAATAGGAGAGAGGATCCAGACGATTGAGATTTTGCTGTTTTTACTTTAATGAGTATTCATTGCTTCCCAGTTTACAAAGTACCTTTACATAACTGGCATGTTTGATTTTTAACAAGGCCCTTTGGAGGTAACCAGAGCAAGTGCCATTAGCCTTTCTGTAGGTGAATAAGAGGAGGCTTGGAGAGGTGCCCAGAGCCACACAGCCTCCTAAGAGGCCACACTGACATGGAATCAGGTCATCAGCCCTGCACGTGGCATGTGGTCTCTCGGTATTTCCAATGGCCAGTGCCAGGACATCAGGTCTGTGAGATTAAAATAGTAGAAAAAGATGAGGGAAAATGTTTCATAGGGTTCCCAGGCATCAGCGTTTAGAACTGGAAGACACTTTTCACTGCATAGTTTGTCAGAAAATGCTTAAATTTCATTGGTCAGAATGATATCTAGCTTACAAGTTATCTGAACTTTTAAGAAACTGGGTGGTTTTCTTTTTTTGGTTGTGGGGTTTTTGTTTGTTTGCTTGTTTTGTTTTTTTTGAGACAGAGTCTGTCTCCCAGACTGGAGTGCAATGGCATGCTCTCAGCTCACTGCAACCTCCGCCTCCCGGGTTCAAGCGATCCTCCTGCCTCAGCCTCTCAAGTAGCTGGGACTACAGGCATGCGCTACCATGTCCCGCTAATTTTTGTATTTTTAGTAGGGACAGGGTTTCATCTTGTTGGCCAGGCTGGTCTTGACTCCTGACCTCAAGGAATCCGCCCGCCGCAGCATCCCAAAGTGCTGGGATTACAGGTGTGAGCCAAAGAAACTGTTTTCAGACTCAAACTGGAAACCGTGGAAAAAAACTCTTTGTTTTTTGTTTTTTATTTTTTGTTTGTTCGTTTGTTTTTTGAGACGGGGTCTCCCTCTGTTACCCAGGCTGTAGTGCAGTGGTACGATCTTGGTTCACTGCAGCTTCCACTGCCCGGGCCCAAGCAATCCTCCTGTCTCAGTCTCCCAAGTAGCTGGGAATACAGGCATGTGCCACCATGCCCGGCTAATTTTTGTATTTTTTGTAGAAACGGGGTTTTGCCATATTGCCTAGGCTGCTCTCAAACTCCTGAGCTCAAGCCATTCACCCACCTTGGCCTCCCAAAGTGCTGGGGTTAATAGGTGTGAGGTACCGCGCCCAGCCAAAAGAACATCTTTAAACATCGTCATTTGAAGTGACTAAACTAATGTTAGCTTCTCATTTTCTGTGATCAAATCAAACATTTAGGAGCTGTCTGCTACTGGGTAAATTGAATTTCCTCAGTTATTACTGAGGCTCGTTGGACAATTCTCAGAGCCTTTTTCTGTGTAGCTTTGCTTGGTACTATCAGTCTGTTCAGAAGCTCCGTAGCAAAATAGATGTCTGGTACATGTATTTTCAAACTCTTCTAGGAAATGACTGCTGTTGCCAGTGCTGGAAATCATTTTCATAGCTCTTTATTAACCACAAAATTATCTGCCCAGTAGCAGCACTGTGCAACAGAAATAGAAAGTGAGCTATGTATAATTTTAAATTTTCTGTAGCCACATTTTGAAAGAATGAAAAGGAAGAGGTGAAATGAATTTTAATAATATATTTTATTTAGCCTGATATTTCTAAAATATGACTTTTTTTTTTTTTTTTTTTGAGACAGGGTCTCACTCTGTCACCCAGACTGGAGTGCAGTGGTGTGATCTCAGCTCACTATAACCCCTATCTCCCAGGCTCATGGAATCTTCCTGCCTCAACCTCCTGAGTAGCTGGGATTATAGGCATGCATAACCATGCCAGGCTATTTTTTGTATTTTTTGTAGAGACAGAGTTTCGCCATGTTGTCCAGGCTCAAAATATGAGCATTTTAACACAAAGTCAATATACAACATGATTGATGCAATTACATTCCTTTTTCATACTAAATCTTTCAAATCTAATCTCAATTCATATTAGCCACATTTCAAGTCTTAATAGTCACAGTAGTTCATGGCTACCATATTACATAGCACAGAGCTGAGAAACATTGACCACACTAGCCTCTGCTTTTTAGAATTTCCCAAGATTTTAGGCTGTTTATCTATGTTGCCCAAATGAATAACGTGTTTTTGGAGAAACTCTGTCACCCTTTCATTCCCAGGGGTACTTTCATTGAATTCCGAAATGGGATGTTAAACGTGTCCCCTATTGGAAGAAGCTGCAGCCAAGAAGAACGCATTGAGTTCTACGAACTCGATAAAGTACGTCTTTCTGAAATATCTTTGGTGAATGGCTGGGTTTATGGAAATAAGATATGGCCTGGTGTGGTGGTTCATGCCTGTAATCCCAACACTTTGGGAGGCCAAGGCAGGAGGATCACTTGAGCCCAGGAGTTCAAGACCAGCCTAGGCAACATAGTGAGACCTCATCTCTACAAATAATAAAAAAAAAAATTAGCTGGGCATGGTGGCACACACCTGTGGTCCCGGCTATTTGTTTGGCTGAGGTAAGAGGATCACTTGTGCCTGGGAGGTTGAAGCTGCTGTGAGCTATGATCATGCCACTGCGCTCCAGCCTGGGCAACAGAGCAAGACCCCCATCTCAAAAACTAAACAAATAAATAAATCAATAAGATAATCCTACCTTTGTGGCCAGTAGTTAAAACTGTGCTTTCTAAACTGCAATACAAGAAACAATTGGTATCTTTTTGTTTTTCTCAGAAAGAAAATATAAGACAAAAGTTTGTAGCAGATCTACGGAAAGAGTTTGCTGGAAAAGGCCTCACGTTTTCCATAGGTATTGTATATATTGCCTGTGTTCCAAACTTGGATACCCATTTCCCAGAGTTTGTTGTGGGCCAGTGAGCTATTGATAATGAAGTATGTGCAGTTTTAGGTGGGCAGGAAGATTAAATGAGCAGTCCAGTCTATAGACAAAAACCAACCACTCTCTTTTCTGCATAATTAGCCATAATAGGACTTGCCTAGTCAAGAAACAGCTTACACGCTGTTGGGCTTGGTTCTAAATTCTTACCCAACAGCATTCTTCCTACCTGGACTCCTCTCATCAAAAGAGGAGCACTTTGATTACTAAAGAGTAGGAACTTCTCACACCTTTGGGCAGAAGAGAAGCACTATAGTGAACTCCATAAGGGAGACATGGAATTGAACCCCTTAGGTAAACTAGACCGATGTTTTGGAATCATAGAATGTTTCAACAGCAAGGAACCTTAGGGGCCAATTGGGTGGCTTTTACAGATCAAGAAACTGAGGCCCAGAAAGGAGAAGAGACTTGTCCAAGTTCACAAAGCTGTTGTTTACACAGCCAGTGTGTGAACGTTTCTGGTGTCTAATGCAGAGTTCTTCCTGCAGCACGGACATCTCAGGCTTGTCTTTTGTTAGAATATTCCTGCCAAATGCTTTGCACACCGATTTCTCTTGTCAGTGCTAATGAGTCATTGCTCAAAGCCTCCTCATTTTACTAGCTTTCATCAAGGTAGAGGTTGTAGGAAAACTGGAATGGCAAAGGGATTATATTTAACAGATGAGTGGGTGGGTTTTTTGTCTTCCTGAACTGTGAGATGGACATCTTTCTGACAAAGCTTTGAAAGGGTTTTTGTTGCCCGTGAGCACTGCCTGTAAATCACCTTCAGTGAAGATTCTCATTTTTCCCGCAAAATATGCCGGATGCAACCTGCTTCCGGGCATTTCCCCCTGAGGGTGTGTTAAAGCCCGAGACAAGCACAGCAGAATGAGGCTGGTATCCGATTTTTCATAAGCATGCTTCCTTTAAACCACACGCTTGACAGGGCGCTTAAACGCAAATGCATTTCTCACTCTGAGTTGGCATTCTGTGCCTCAATTTTAGACCTATGTGAAATAATGCTGGAAAAAAACAATGTAGAATTAATTTCTAGAACCTATGCATGAAGTAGTCTAAGTAGCAAACTAGAGTACTGAAAATCAACCTTGGCAACCCACTAACTGACAAAAGAGTAAATTGTTTTTTTCAGTGACATATCATTAGCCCCTTTTTCACCTTTTGCCTTTGTGTGCCCCGTCCCCACCCGGCAGGAGGCCAGATCAGCTTTGATGTCTTTCCTGATGGATGGGACAAGAGATACTGTCTGCGACATGTGGAAAATGACGGTTATAAGACCATTTATTTCTTTGGAGACAAAACTATGCCAGTAAGTAGAGAAGTGTTTGTGCACCTTCATTGTTGCATTTGCGCTTGATGGGGGAAATTGACAACTGGGCTGTTTTTCCTGTACCTACACTTTACCCACCCGCCCTGCTCAAACTGAGCAGTGGCTTCTGTCCTGGAGAGGTGGGTGATTGAGCCACCTTCCCCTCTAAGCTCAGACCCCCGACGCCTCTGTGGAGGCAAGGATCACACTGCATGTTAGTTGAACCTTTTCACCTTGGCTTTGGAATTAAACGTTGGCCACCCTATGTGCCTTCCAGAATACCAGTCCCCGGTGCCACTGTCAAACCCTCTGCGTTTCAAAGCTCTGGCTGTTTCAACCTCATTTTTCCACTGTATTTGTCCACCCGAGGCATTCATTCTAAGTTGAACACGAGGGGCCATGAACGATGGGAGGATAGGGAATGATCTCATGAGCCTGAAACAGGAGAGGACACCAGCAACAGCAAAGAGGCCAAGTGAGTCCCAGGCATCACACACGGCGGGTGCTTGGAGCTGCCCCCAAGGGATGTCAGAAATCTCGAGTTCAGGGCCAAATCTAAACTGAGAACTGAGAGCAGAGCCCAGTGTTAAAGGCCAGGGCCAGCAGGAGGAATACATAGAAGAAATGCCCCCAGGTGTCCTCTCCGTGGGGCAAGGTGGATCCCCAGGAGGTCAGAGAGGCGTTGCTGCCATCAAAGGCCCAAGAGGAGGCTCATCACCACCCAGCTTTGGGCCAGCTCCTTTTCTTTCTCTTTTTTTTTTTTTTTTTTTTTTTTTCTGAGACAGAGTCTCGCTCTGTTGCCCAGGCTGGAGTGCAGTGGTGCAATCTTGGCTCACTGCAACCTCTGCCTCCCAGGTTCAAGCAATCCTTGTGCCTCAGCCTCCTGAGTACCTGATATTACGGGCATGCACCACCACACCTGGCTGATTTTTGTGTTTTTAGTAGAGATAGGGTTTTACCATGTTAACCAGGCTGGTCTCAAACCCCTGGGCTCAAGTGATCCAATCAACTCGGCCGCTCAAAGTTCTGGGATGACAGGTGTGATTTTTAGTACAGACAGGGTTTCATCATGTTGGCCAGGCTGGTCTTGATTCCTGGCCTCAAGGAATCTGCCTGCCTCAGCGATCCACCCACCTCGGCCTCTCAGTTCTGGGATGACAGGCCGCGCCCAGCCCCATCACCTTTTCAGTTACTCCCATCCTCTGGGCCCCTCTGCCTCCCTCCCACATGCAGGCTGGGGGTGTTGGTTACCTTGCCATCAGCAGGCCCGTGTCAGGCTTTCTCGCCATCCTGCACCTAGCAGGTGCATCATAAATGCTGCATATTCAGAGTTTCTCATCCCTCTGATCTCTGGTCCACTCCAAAATCCTTGCTGCACTGCTAAGATCTACCCATGAAAGATTTGCTTTTCAGCAGGGTCCCCACGTCACAGTCTTCCAGCATGAGGGGTACACAGTGGTAGTAGAGGCTTGTTACTTATTTTCAGAATGATAAAACTGAAACCCATAAAGGGTAAGGGATTTGCCGAAGGTCACACGGCTAATGACAGAGCTGGTGGCACCAGAAGAAGTCTACCTGTTCTTTGTATGTTTTAAATAGCTTTATTGAGGTATAATTGATCAGCAAAAGCTGTACATATTTAACGCTCACAGTTTCGTGAGTTTAATCATTGTGCCTCTTTGGTTTTGGGGGCGGTTTGGGATTTTTTTGTTGCTATTGTTATAAGAACACTTAACATGAGATATTCCCTCTTAACAAGTTTCTAAGTGTACAATACAGTATTGTTAACTATAGGCACTTCTGTTTGTCCAACAGATCTGTAGAACTTACACATCTTACATAACTGAGACATTACACCCATTGAACAACAACTCTCCATCTCCCTCCTCCACCGCCCCGTCCCTGGCAACCACCGTTCTTTTCTCTGCTTATATGACTTTAGCACCTTTAGATATCTGATACAAGGGGAATCATGCAGTATTCATCCTTCTGTAAGGGGCTTATTCACTCAGTATGTCTTCTCAGTTTACTCATGCTGGCACAAATGGCAAGTTTCCTTATTTTTTAAGGCGGAATAATGTTTCATGGTATGAATACACTATATTTTCTTTCTTTTTTTTTTTTTTTTCTTGAGGCAGAATCTCGCTCTGTCGCCCAGGCTAGAGTGCAGTGGCACCATCTTGGCTCACTGCAACCTCCACCTCCCTGGTTCCCTGGTTCAAGTGATTCTCGTGCCTCAGCCTCCCGATTAGTGGCTGGGATTACAGGAGCCTGCCACCACGCCCGGCTAATTTTTGTATTTTTAGTAGAGACAGGGTTTTGCCACATTGGCCAGGCTGGTCTCGAACTCCTGGCCTCAAGAGATTCACCTGCCTTGGCCTCCTAAATTGATGGGATTACAGGCGTGAGCCAGCGTGCCCGGTCAGAATATACTCCATTTTCTTGATCCATTCTTCTGTCAGTAGACACATGAGTTGTTTCCGTATCTTGGCCATTATGAATAATGCTTCAGTGAACACGGGGGTACAGATACCTCTCTGAGATCCTGACTTCGTCCTTTTGGCCATCTACCCATGGATTAAAGACTTAAACACAGGACCTGAAACTGTAAAACTCCTAGAAAAAAAACATAGGGAAAAAGCAATGATATTTTAGATGTGACACCAAAAGCACAGGCAACAAAAGCAAAACAAACAAGTTGGACAACGTCAAACTAAAAAGTGTCTGCACAGCAAGGGAAATAATCAGAATGAAAAAGCAACCTACAGAGGGGAAGAGAATATTTGCAAACCATATATCTGATAAAAGGGCTAGTATCCAAAATGTATAAGAAACTCCAACAACTCAATGGCAAAAAAAAAAACAATTTAAAACATGAGCAAAGGACTTGAATAGACAGTTCTCCAAAGAAGACATGCAGATGGCCAGTGGGTATATAAAAAAAGGCTCAACATCAGTGTTCAGGGAAATGCAAATCAAAACTACAATGAGATAAACCTCACACCTGCCAGGATGGCCATTTTATTTTATTTTATTTTGAGACGGAGTTTTGCTCTGTCACCCAGGCTGGAGTGCAGTGATGCGATCTTGGCTCACTGCAACCACTGCCTCCTGAGTTCAAGCTATTCTTATACCTCAGCCTCCCGAGTAGCTGGGATTACAGGCGCCCGCCACCATGCCCAGCTAATTTTGTATTTTTAGTAGAAATGGGGTTTCACCATGTTGGCCAGCCTGGTCTCGAACTCATGACCTGAAGTGATCCACCCACCTTGACCTCCCAAAGTGCTAGGCTTATAGGCGTGAGCCACCACACTGGGCCAGGATGGCTAATTTTGTTTTTTTTAATGTTGGTGGCTGGGTGCGGTGGCTCACACCTATAATCCCAGCACTTTGGGAGGCCAAGGTGGGCGGATCACCTGAGGTCAGGAGTTCCGAGACCAGCCTGACCAACATGGAGAAACCCCGTCTCTACTAAAAATACAAAATTAGCTGGGCATGGTGGTGCACACCTGTCATCCCAGCTACTTGGGAGGCTGAGGCAGGAGAATTGCTTGAACCCGGGAGGTGGAGGTTGCAGTGAGCTGAGATTGTGCCATTGTACTCCAGCCTGGGCAACAAGAGCGAAACTCGGTCTCAAAAAGATAAAATAAATGTTGGCGAGGGTGTGGAGAAATTAGAACCCTTGTACACTGTTGTGGGAAATGTTAAATGTCATAGCTATGATGGAAAACTACATAGTGGTTCCTCAAATTAAAAATAGAACTGCCATATGATCCAGCAGTTCCACTTAGAGATATATATCCAAAATAATTGAAATCAGGATCACAAAGAGATACCTGCTGTTTAAAATAAAATAAAATAAAGACAGGGTCTTGCTGTGTTGCCCAGGCTGTACTCCAACTCCTGAGTTCAAGCAATTGTCCCGCTTCAGCCTCCCAAGTAGCTGGAATTAGAGGCGTGCACTACCACAGCTGGTGATACCTGCTGTTTAAATGAGTGTGCTTTCCACTACGATAAGCTCTCTCTCAGTGGGGTAGAAAGATCTTGTTCTAAATCCCAGATGAACTGGGTACTTTGAAGGAGGTGTAGCATTCAGGTTTGTTCTTAATGACAGTTACATATGGTTTTATAACCACATCCTTTTGTTGAAATGCTTTTGATGCAGAAATGCTTTCAGTGCAGGCTTTGAAAAAGATCACCGTCTGACTTCATGTCTTTAAAAAAATTAAGCTAATGAAATGACACCTAGGATCTAAGGGATGCCCGGAAGCTTCCTCAGTCCTTCTCTAGCTTGGTGCCATTTCTTGTAGACAGAGAGGAGAGCTATTAAGACACACGACAGCAGATTGTTCTGTAATGATGACATTCTTGCTTCATGTAAATAGCCATTTAGAAGCCTCAGTTGGGACTTTGCAGAATGGAATGCAGTTCTTGGATAATCAGAAAATGACTTATTTTGGGAATTCTTCATTTGGGAATTAGAGGGTTTTCTATTCTGTTTAACCATTGCATTACCATGCCTGGATTCTATTTTTAAAATCTTACCTACGTTTTAAAAAATGAGTATTATTTAATGGAAGCTTTCCCCCAATTGTAAATTAACCTGTGCATTCATTATAGAAAATTAGAGAAAGTACGAAGAAGAAAAAGAAAGTCACCTATAATCATCCAACAATGTCCCAGCCTTTCTATGTATATGATCCCAAAAGTGGGATCCTTACATGTTGTTTTAGTTTTAGTTTTCTTTCTCTTAACGTATTTTATTTTTATCATATTAGTGAATATTCTTTGCAAAGAAGATTTTTTTTTTTTTTTGAGACAGAGTCTTGCTCTGTCACCCAGGCTGGAGTGCAGTGGCGTGATCTCGGCTCACTGTAAGCTCCACCTCCCGGGTTCACACCATTCTCCTGCCTCATCCTCCCGAGTAGCTTGGACTATAGGTGCCCACCACCACGCCCGGCTAATTTTTTGTATTTTTAGTAGAGATGGGGTTCACCATGTTAGCCAGGATGGTCATGATCTCCTGACCTCGTGATCCGTCCGCCTCGGCCTCCCAAAGTGCTGGGATTACAGGCGTGAGCCACTGCGCCTGGCGCAAAGAAGATTTTTAATGGCTGTATAATATTCTCTCATTAGGCATCAGTTACTCACCTCCCTTGCAGAGGCACGTTGGGTGGTTTAAGGGGTTTTGCTATCATAACTAATGCTGTGGTGAACATTCTTGCACGATTCTTTGCCCCCATCCCTGATCCTTTTCGTCAGCGGTTTTCTAGAAATGGAAATTAGCAGTCCAGCCATGTAAACCTTCAAACAACCTATCAGTTCTTGAAACTTCAGGTGCAGAGCAATCCAAATACTAGCCTTACACTTTGCATTTTCAGTGATAGACATTTAGAAAGCTGGGGTTTTTTCCTTTCCTAATGAAGTTTGATGTTTTTGCCGGCGTCCAGGGAAGTGATCCTGAGCTGAGGCTGTCAGTAAAAAAGCCATTTCTCAGCCAGGCCCTGAGGCTTAGCAGCCTCTTCCAGCAGCACAGCCTCCAGGAGGCAGAGTCTGGTGTTACATAAAGGGTGCCATCTGCTTGGAGCAACTCGAGAGCAGAGTGAGGAAGTGTGGCGTTGGCCGTTGCTTTTCAAAATATTTGCCATCTTCAGAAACCCTGTCATTCTTCCCATCAGCCACAAAAGCCAGTGTTTCTTAAAATCTGGCTCTGAGTTCAGCATGGAGGCCCTGGGCCTGGCATGGAGTACCTTGGTTTGTTGCAGAGAGAGAGAGACGGCAAGGGCAGAGAGCACACACCACACATGGCTCTGCATGGCTTTCCAGAAACCACCCTGGCTGGATCACCCTCAGCCACTCTGAATTCGCAGGCAAGAGAACCTGTACTTACCCATGCTTTCTGTAAAAGTCATCTTGGCTTTAAGGCAGTTGCAACATGAAAACATTCTAACACTTCATGAATATCAAGCAGCTGGTTTGGTTTTTGACTTGACGCTTCCATTTTGGGTAATTTGGCTATCAGTGCACTCAAGCATGTGTGAAAGACTCACGCAGAGGGTTCAGGGTTGGGGACAGCCCCGCTGCTCCTCAGGAGGCTGGCCACATGACAGTGGTCTGTCTCTGCACTGGGATGCCATGTAGCTGTAAAAAGAGTCCATGTGGACCCATCTCTAGGGCTTTTTGTTAGGTGATCAAAGCAAAGTGCAGGACAATATAAGTAATGTGCTGGCTACATTTTTGTCTAAAGAGGGCAAAGGAATTTCTCTTTTTGTTAGCTTATAAATGCATAAAAGGAGTCTGAATGGATGAAATTTACAGAGGTTACTGTGGGGGTGGGGAGGACAGGAGAGAGAATTGCCACCTAGGTCTTAACTCTTTCTTAATATGTTTGAACTATATGAATGTGCTATCTATTGAAAAATAAAATTTTTAAATCAACTTGAGAAAAGGATCTGAGTAATCCCTGTAATCCTGGCTACTAGGGAGGCTGAAGTGGGAGGATTACTTGAGCCTAGGAGTTCAAGATTATAGTGAGCCACGATTGCGCCACTGCACTCCAGCCTAGGCAACAGAGCGAGACCTCGTCTCTTAAAAAAAAAAAAAACAATAAAAATTAAAAATTTTTAAAAATTGAAAAAAGGGAGGAAATGTAAATCTTCCAGCACTTCCTCAGTGTCAGACCCTGAGCTGGACACTTATGTTGTACATGCTCCCAGGGGAGACAGCAGCATCCTCCCTCTTACAGAGGAAGCACAGTGGGAAGTCCAGGGTCTCAGCTAGTCAGAGACTAAGCTGGGATCTGAAAGCCTCGCCTCTGTCATTCTCCTACATCGCTTCTAACATGCTACCTGCCTTCCTTTTAAGTAAATTGTGCAACATTTTATTCTCCAGAAATGTTAATAAGGAAGATCTGCCTTTAAAATTAGCTTAAAAATACAAAAATTAGCTGGGCGTGGTGGCGCATGCCTGGATCCCAGCTACTCAGGAGGCTGAGGCAGGAGAAGCGCTTGAACCCGGGAGGCGGAGGTTGCAGTGAGCTGAGATTGTGCCATTGCACTCCAGGCTGGGCAACAGAGTGAAATTCTGTCTCAATAAACAAATAAAGAAAAACAAAATTAGCTTAAAAGAGGTTTGTATCAGTGTGGACCATGTTGACCCAGATCTGGCCCCACCATTCACCAGTGACCTTGTGACAGTGAGGACAGTGACAGTGACCTCGTCAGCCCAGTGAGGACACAGTTCTTCTTTTTTTTTTTTTTTTTCCTGAGACAAGGTCTCACTCTGTCACCCAGACTGGAGTGCAGTGGCGCAATCTTGGTTCACTGTAATCTTGAACTCCTGGGCTCAAGTGATCCTCCCACTTCAGCCTCCTGAGTAGCTGGGATTACCGGTGCCCACCACCACGCCTGGCTAATTTTTGTATTTTTAGTAGAGACGGGGTTTCACCATCTTGGCCAGGCTGGTCTTGAACTCCTAACCTCAAGTGATCCGCCCACCTTGGCCTCCCAAAGTGCTGGAATTACAGGCGTGAGCCACCACTCCCGACCACAGTTGCTCTTCTGAAGGAGTCATATGAGAATGAAGTGAAGGCATCTGAGGAAAGTGGGTGACGCAGGGCCTGACTCAGGAAAGGCAGCTGGGACATGCATCTTTGGCCTGGTCCACAACCAGCGTCTGCTTCCTTCACTTTCTAAGAAAGTTATTCAAAGGCTCATCTGTTATTGAGATTTTCCTAAGAGATTGGAGCCTGCCAAGTCCCTCAGTGAAGGGCCATCCTTGTGAGTGAGCACCTTCCTACACACCTTCCAACAGTTCATTAGAGCGTGAATTAGTGAACCATGTCCTCCTGTCCTCAGGTTCCAAGTTAGGCTTTGGATGGCAGTTGGCCTTTGCGATCCTGGACTTAACCATGCCTAGCATCTGTAGCTCTTTCAGGACTCAAGGCTAAGGAGGGCACAGAATGGATTCTGTGGATAGATCTGTCTTACTACTTATTGCTGGGACCACATGATTTGAGACCCAGGTCTTCTTGTGTGGCTGGTGGCAGACTTAGCTTCTTAACATGTGAGTCCCTCACTCCTGGAGGGACCCTGAGTGAATTGCCGCTCCCACAGTCAGCTTCCAGAACTGACTGGCAGAAATTGATGAGAGGTTCTCAGCCTGGTGGAGATGTCCCACCCGCTCCTGTGTGGGAGGCCAGGAAGCAGGGTGTCATGCATGGGAGCCACGAGCTTCAGATGTTCCTGCTAGCCCACCTTCCTCCTGAGTGCCAGACTCCACAGAGTCCATGGCCCTGGGTGTTGGTCCCAGGAATAGGACTGTGGCTAACAACCAGCCCACAGAGTGAGCATCCCTGCCTGTGTCTGTGCTGAAGCTCTTTCATTCAGGGAGACACTGGCTTCAAACCCCTGGAGTGGGGCTGGCCTTCCAGGGAGCCCCTTGATGTCCGCAGAATCGGCATCTCCTGTGGGCATTCCAGGCCCAGATCCGTCACAGAGCTGTCTCCTCTGCCCTTGAAGGCCGGAGAGGTGAAATGAGAGGGCTGTGCTCAGAGCCGTCAACAGACCCAAGGGTCACTCGCCCTAGGGCCACTAGCCCCTTGGCCAGCTCAGGTTCCACCCTCGCCCCCAAGCCAAGGGGTGTTTTTTCCTAGATTCTAAGTCACTGGTGCTCAGCCCTGGATATATATTGGAATCACCTGATCACTTTCAAAACATCATGACCCTGGGCTTGGGCCATGCCCCAAACAAGCATTTTTAAGGCATCCCCAGGGACTCTAGCCAGGGAGAGCCACTACTGCTCTACGCCATTTCAGAGCAGGCTCTTGTCTCATTGGCCCTGTAACTGCCCAACAGGTTCTCCTTGCCCACTGCCTAGACAAGAGCCGATTTATCAAGACAGGAGAGTTGCAGTAGACAAAGGGTAATTCACGCAGAGCTGGCTGTACAGGAGACTGGAGTTTTATTATTCCTCAAATCAGCCTCTCCAAGAATTTGGGGATCAGAGTTTTTAAGGATAACTTGCTGGGTAGGGGCTTGGGAAGTGGAGATTGCTGATTGGTCGGCTTGGAGATGAAATCATAGGGGGTGGAAGTGAGTTTTTCTTGCTATCTTCTGTTCCTGGTGGGATCAAAGAGCTGGTTGAGCCAGATTACCTGTCTGTGTGGCATCAGATACTGCATCAGAACACAGGGTCTACAAAATATCTCAGGCACAATCTTAGGTTTTATGACAGTGATATTATTTTCAGGAGCAATTTGGGGAGGTTCAGACTCTTGTAGCTAATTTGTTAGTCCTACAAAGGCAGACTGGTCCCCAGGCAAGAAGGGGGTTTATTTCAGGGAAAGGGCTGTTACCGGCATTGTTTCAAAGTTAAACTATAAACTGAATTCCTCCCAAGGTTAGTTTGGTCTGCATCCAGGAATGAACAAGGACATCTTGGAAGTTAGAAGCAAGATGGAGTCATTTAGGTCACCATCATAATTTTCTCAGTTAAAATTTTTGCAAAGACAGTTTCAGTTCCTCCTGTTGGGTTTTATAATACCTTATTCCTAATACTTCATACTGTGGGATATGAAGATGGGAAAAGAGTGATAACCGCTCTAGCTTCTTTCTGCTGACAGGGAGCGTAGTCAGGGTAGGTGTTGACCCAAAGGTAGGAGGAGTGAAACCACTTTGCAGCTGTCTGCTTCTACTCAGGGGTTCCTGGTTAGGGTTTGAAGGCCTGCATGACAAAGGCATTAGTATTCTCATCTATAGTTTTAACAAATGAGTCCTAGGATAAAGAGTGAAAGTCCTGGCTTCAGAAGCTTTTGTAGAATTGATCCTAAGCTCTGAGGGACCCAGGTAAATAGCTCCAAGAACCAATCAGACATGGGGTTACTAGCAGAGAGAGATTTGGGTCAGAGGTTGTTAGACAGACAGATTGGGGTAGACAGGAAAGAGGAAATTTAAATATACTCATCCTTATCTTTTTAGTCAGTTTTCCTAGTCCTAAGACTAGATCAGTTCAGTTAAACAGCTGTTTCCATTATCAAGAGATGGCACTGGAGATGGGCTAGGCATCTTTAGTTATAGAGGAGGAAGGCAGTGGCAATTTGACATGTTTTTGTCATCTGTATTACAAAGAATAAGCTTCAGCTTGCAGGGCCTCAGGAAAAAGGTAGTAGCAATTTAATTGAGTCCAAGTCAGAAAAGTGGGAAAAAAAAATTGAAAGCATTAGTTTGGGAATTGTAGCCCACAGAGAATTCAGGATTTAGTCCAAATTGCAGGAAATAATAAAAACTCAAGAACAAAGGACAAGACTAGAATCTAACAGCAGGGTGTATCATAGTTTTTTGAAACACTTTTTTCCCTCTCCCATCCTTATTTTTATTAAAGACAAACCGTAGTAGGACAAGTTTACTTGCAAAATAAGTCATAGTCTTATTAAGCTTGGCCTGATTATTTGTATAAAGTAAAGCAAGAATAATTGTTTGCCAGATAGGCTGTTTTTAAAATTGGCTTTGCTGAAACTTTGTTCCATAAGAAATCTCAGGTTAGACTTTTTTAAAGCCTCGAGCCCAGCCATGGATTTATCTACTATACCTGCAAAGATAAACCTGTATGAGTTGGGTGAAATTTTTTCTTCTCATGGTCCTAAGATAATTTGGGGCTCCTGGGCCTGTCAAAAAGTGACGGTCTTTATTTACCACAGTTCAGGAACCCCGTACAGGGACTGTGTAGACAAGGTATGAGGCCAGCTTTTCCAAGGGACTTCTATTGGCTCTGTTAGTCAACTTTGTTCCTTAAAGCAGTCTGTTTATATTTGAAAGTATGTCGTACCAGTCAAAGCCTTGGTAAAGTAACCGGCATCTCTAATTGTATCCTATTACAAAAGAAAACAGATTGTTACTGCCCTTGCACAAATAATTATACTGCCATAAGTTGAGAATACTCACAAATAGTTTCCAAATTCTGGAGAAATCAGAGAGAAGGCAATATGCTCTAAATTTTGCTCACAGAAGTATACTTTAACTCAATTGTTAAAGTTGTAAATAGCTCAAAAGAAAAATAGTTTTCTGGACTCTGAAAAACAAAAGGATTAACAATGTTTAACACATCAGCTCTCCATGAGGATCCTAGAAGTTTTTTTTCCTCCATTCCAATGGCACAATTTGTAAAGTTATCAGAGACCTGCATTCAAGAGTACCCATTAGAGTACTATATCTGATTATAAACTGCCTTTTGAAAAGGATAAAACCAAGACAGCAACTGCCTGTGGGTAACAAAAGTCTCAGGACAGCCGTAGTTAAAGATGCAGTCAACAAGGAAATCTGGTCATCTCTGTGACACACAGTTTAACAGAACAGTTATAATTATTACTCATAACATATACTGAGACGTATCAGAATTATAGGAGTCTTACACAATTTTGTAACACATACTAATAACATAGTTATACGACTATAAACCCAAAGAAAGTTAAACACTTTTTTATATTTGACAGTGCTTCCTACATAATTTTAATACACCAAATAAGCCAAATATGCCTCTTTTGGACTTTAGGGGACTTTTTTTTTTTAACTTAGAATTTGATCTTGGGAAGTTTGTTAAATATCAAAGGTTTGAAACACTAGATATCACAAAGTAGAATCCCAGGTCACCATAAGTAATTCATTTAGCCACAATGATAACTCAAACATTTTGTAACAGGAAAAACCTTTACTCTGATAGAGAGAAGACTCAGCTTTCTAAACAACAAAACCCAGTGAAGATAGCATGAGGCCAACTGAATCTTTCTTTTATTTTTTTTAATAGTTTACTCCAAAGCCAAATAAAAATCTTTCATTGTCTCTCTCTGTCAATATTACATAAAAATATTCTTCAAAAGAGAAAACCAAATTTTATCTCGCATTAGTGCATCTTTAATGCTAAAGCTAGTTTTGTTTTTGTTGTTGTTTGAGGTGGAGTCTCGCTCTGTTGCCCAGGCTGGAGTACAGTGGCACGATCTCAGCTCACTGCAAGCTCTATCTCCTGGGTTCATGCCATTCTCCTGCTTCAGCCTCCCGAGTAGCTGGGACTACAGGCGTGTGCCACCACGCCTGGCTAATTTTTTGTATTTTTTAGTAGAGACGGGGTTTCACCATGTTAGCCAGGATGGTCTTGATCTCCTGACCTCGTGATCCACCCACCTCGGCCTCCCAAAGTGCTAGGATTACAGGCATGAGCCACTGTGCCCGGCCTGTTGTAGTTTTGAGACGGAGTTTCACTCTTGTCACCCAGGCTGGAGTGCAGTGGCATGATCTCGGCTCACTGCACCCTCCGCCTCCTGGGTTCAAGCGATTCTCCTGCCTCCCAAGTAGCTGGGATTACAGGCACCCACCACCACTCCTGGCTAATTTTTGTATTTTTTAGTAGAGACTGGGTTTCGCCATGTTGGCCAGGCTGGTCTTGAACTCCTGACCCCACGTGATCGCCCACCTCAGCCTCCCAAAGCGCTGGGATTACAGTTGTGAGCCACCACTCCTAGCCAAAGCTAGTTTTTAATAAAATTTTACAAACAAATGTATCCGATTTTAGTTTGACTGTAGGGTAACATTTTCGTAAACCTTTTATATAACCCTTTATAATTGTTTGTTAACAAATCAGTGTTCAAAAATAAAACACTATTTTTTTTTTTTTTTTTGAGATGGAGTCTTGCTCCATTGCCCAGGCTGGAGTGCAGTGGCACATTCTCAGCTCACTGCAACCTCTGCCTCTCAGGTTCAAGCAATTCTTCTGCCTCAACCTCCCGAGTAGCTGGGACTACAGGCGTGTGCCACCACGCCCGGCTAATTTTTGTATTTTTAGTAGAGACAGGATTTCACCATATGGGCCAGGCTGGTTTCGAACTTCTGACCTCGTGATCTGCCTGCGTCGGCCTTCCAAAGTGCTAGGATTACAGGCATGTGCCACCGCATCTGGCATAAAACCCTATTATTTTGATATATGGGCCCAGATTCTGGCCCTGCATCAGTATGCTTTTAATATTTAATTTATGGAAAAAATTAAATAATACCCTTTCGATTTTAGCCAGCTTGCTCACACACAGAGTTGTTCACAAAGTTAATTTTTCACAAACCTACAATTTGCTTAAACTTTCAGTTTTATTTTGTCTTTCAACCAAAAATAATCTTTAAACTCTCTAAATTAGAGAAGATTTTCTCTTTTAAAAAAACCCATATTCCCATGTCTTTAAGCAGTTTTAATTACATACCAAGTGCAGAGCCTAGAATACAGGACAGAACTGCAGATAAAGTCTGACTCTCTCTGGCCTAGCTAGGAGTCATGGCTACCTCCATATGTCCCCAGGCCTTATCTGGAATCTAATGGCTCTAAAGTAGGTAAATTGAACAATTACAAAAGTCACAGAAGCCACTTATGACCTTAAAGCATCCAGCAGAAACAGTATCTGATCTGCCTAATTCAGACCAAATGAAGACAGTTTTATTTCATCAATAATCTTTAAAACTATCTTTATTTACCAAAGATTACTAACGTCATGTGAACTAAAATGCATTAGAGTTGCTATTTCTTTGAAAAAATATTTAAGTGCTTATTTTTTAAGCCAATTAATTACAGCTCTTAAACATCACACACACAACATTATAAATATATAGACCGAAGAAGATGCATTAGTTAAGATTTTTCATTTGCTGATTTTTTAGGGGTTTTTTTTCCCCATTTTACAAATCTTGTCACGACTCACAGAGACCATCTATGCCATGCTTGGACTGTCTGACTTGTCCTATGTGTCCCTCTTTCGTGAATAATCAGTCGTTCTATTTTAGGACAAGAATTTACCATACAAGATCTTTTCTCATATAAATTTCTTTTTTTATAATCATCCTTACCAAAAATACATCTTTATAGCCTCAACTTTTTTCACATATCTCTCTCCCCTACTAAAGTAATTCCTGATGCCCTCAAAAGTGAAAAAGGCCAAGTAATGTGATTCAAAACAGAACAGAGCCTTAGATTTTGAGAGGGGTCTGTCTGCTTACACTTCTTGGGGTTTTATGAGGAAAACAGAGTTTCTCCCAAAACAGGGTCTGTGGAGCCTTCTCTCTTTTTCCCAAGGAGTCCCCAGCTGTCAGAAAGTACCTTAGGTCCTCTCATGTGGGCATTCAGAGTGGCAGGAAGACAGACTGGGGAAATAATTCAGTTGACTGAGAAGAAAGACAAACAAAAACTCATTCCTCGAAGAAAAAAAAAAAATCCAGGAAGAGAAAAAGCACAAAGGCCTTTTTTTTATTTTTTTATTTTTATTTTTATTTTTTTTTGAAATGGAGTCTTGCTCTGTCACCCAGGCTAGATAGAGTGCAATGGCATGATCTAAGCTCACTGCAGCCTCTGCCTCCCGGGTTCAAGTGATTCTCGTGCCTCAGCCTCCCGAGTAGCTGGGACCACAGGCACACGCCACCAGGCCTGGCTAATTTTTGTATTTTTAGTAGAGACAGGGTTTCACTATGTTGGCCAGGCTGGTCTTGAACTCCTGACCTCAAGTGATCCCCCTGCCTCAGCCTCTCAAAGTGCTGGGATTACAGGCATGAGCCACTGCACCCAGCCCACAAAGGCCTTTTAAATGTGTGCATATATATATATATATATATATATATATATATATATATATATGCACACATTTATATATATATATTTATATATATTTATACATATTTATATATTTATATAATATATATTATATATATTGTATAATATATAATATATATGTTATATATTATATATATGTTATATAATATATGATATATATGATATATATTATATATATTATGTTTTATATATAATATATATTTATAAATATATATATTTATAAATTTATATATATATATAAAACTTGGATATCCATTTTTAATTAAGCAGATTTTAACTGTAGAACTCTTTTTTTTTTTTTTTTTTTTTACAAAATCTTTTTAAATTTCTTATTACCAGACTCTAGCCAGGATAGACAGCCAGTATTTCTGGCTTTTGAACTTTACCACAGGTAACCTCCTAGCAAAATTAATAAGTCTTATCTAAGATTATGACTTAACTACAGAAGTATAAGATGTCTCAAAGGGATGGTAAGCAGTTTTTTGTTTTTTTCTTTTACAAGATTTAGAATCTCCCCAAACGTAGTTTAGAGAAAAGAAAATTTAAGGCAGATTTCAAGGCAAGCTGTCCATGGTGGGGAAAGAATCAATAAATGGCACACAAAAAAAACTTACATAAATAACAAACCAGAGAGCACCCATTCCGTAAGCTGGGAACCAGACCCAGGCTACCACTGTGAAATAGCAAAGCTTCAGCTACTGAGCTAAAGCTGAAGGCTGTTACACTGGTCTTCCTGGGAATCCAGGACTTTACTCAAGATAATTCTTAAGGCTAGACATGACACTGTCACATGTCCTCTCAGACCAGCTACCGACATGAACCCAAAAATTCATGCCCTCTGGATGCCGGAGACCAAAAGAGGGTACCCTGACATGGTCCCAAAGTCAAGTTTTTCAGGACGTAAAACAAGAGAAGAGGGAAACCTTATCTGGTTTTTGTTGGAGCAAAGTTTGGAACTGACCAGTCTGCCAGGCTGGATTGAACAGCGGGCTTAGAGGGGTCCTATGTCCACATCCTATTCTGTGGTCCTGCTCTCCATGACAGAGGATGCAGCTGTGAGTGGGTTTGGTTTGCGCTGTATCTCCAGCTACTAAAGCAATGCTTGGCAGGTAGTAGGTGTTCTAGAAAGGTGTGTCGTATTAATGTGTGAATACTGACTCCCCCTCCTAAGTCACTGAGTGAGGAGAGAGGATGTGTGATTCATCTGAGGCATGTGAGAGCTGGTTGTGCCTTTGTCTTTGTTTTTCTTTTTTCTTTTGAGATGGAGTCTCACTCTATTGCCCAGGCTGGAGTGCAGTGGTGCGATCTTAGCTCACTGCAGCCTCCACCCACCGGGTTCCAGTGATTTTCCTGCCTCAGCCTCCAGAGTAGCTGGGGATTTGTATTCACAGCACAGAGTGCACCAGATTCCCTACAGCCTAAGTCTAGGCTCATAAGATTTTTTCTATTAATCAGACCCTTGCAGAGGAGACAAACAGTGATGTTTTCCATTCATACACGGCGAGAGGGGCCAGAAGCCTGGCTGGTAAGAAATGTTTACCCTTTTTGCCTGCATGTCAGGTTTCTGGGTTCCCATTCTCTGTAGCTTCCAGAAGAACGGAGCAGCTCTTGATGACCCTGATCGCTGCACGCTAGCTGTGGGCGCCAAGTCGCATTGCAAAGGAAAACCATCCGTTTCTGTTTTATGGAACCACAGGCAAAAGCCTCTCAATTTTTCAAGATGCTGCCCAATGGGCTGCATGGGGAACTGAATTAACATTTTCCATCCTGGCCAGAGCAGAGTACACATGACAAAACTAGTCACTATGCTCAGTGCCCAGCATCAACTTGGCAAGGCTCACACTTGCTCCCGTTGGTCTCTGTCATCTTTGATCCACTCCACTCAAGGTGGGAAGGGACGCCTTCCACCGGGAATTCAAAGGATGGTCTCTGAGCCAGATGGAAGAGCGGATGGTCACCCTCGAGGCAGCCCTGTCAAACTTCCGAGCTTCTGCTGACAAGTCCTTCAGGGTTCAGTGAATGTGACCAACCAGACAAACTAGGAGAGCCTGATGGACTTCCTTCAGCAATTCCCTTAGACATCTCCTCCACATATACAAACACATACAGCAAAACACCTTCCAGAAAGAGTTTCCAGACTAAATCACAAACCAAGAGTATTCCTCCAAACAAGTCCCCTATTCTCTGTACAATTAGGGCAGATACCCCATGCTGGGGCTACAAACAGATACCACCTAATAGAGCTAGAGATGCCCCATGATGGGGCTACAGGCAGACACCCAATGATGGGGCTACAGACAGATACCCTGTGATGGGGCTACAGTTACAGGACGTCTCCCCAGGACTGTTTATTGCAGTTAAATCCATACACCATGGGTTGGCAGCACCCCATTAGTAGAGATGGTGCCAGTGTCAGCCCCCAGTCGAAGAGAACTAGGTGGCCGCCTGGGCTGGCCTCTGGATCCATCACCAGTGAGGGGGGTTGGGGAGGCTACTGAATCGCTGGAAGATAGCCACAAGGGAGATCACAGATGAGCCCCCAAATTTGTAACCCCCTCCACAGGTTCTCCTTGCCCACAGCCTAGACAGCCAATTTATCAAGACAGGAGAATTGCAATAGACTAATTCACACAGAGCCAGCTGTGCAGGAGACTGGAGTTTTATTATTACTCAAATCAGTCTCCAAGAATTTGGGGATTTGAGTTTTTAAGGATAACTTGGTGGGTAGGGGCTCTGGAGGTGTGGATTGCTGATTGGTCAGCATGGAGATGAAATCATAGGGGGTAGAAGTGAGTTTTTCTTGCTGTCTTCTGTCCTTGGGTGGGATCAAAGTGCCGGTTGAATCATATTACCTGTCTGGGTGGCGTCAACTGCTGCATTGGAAGGCAGGGTCTGCAAAATACCTCAAGCACTGATCTTAGGATTTACAAGCGATGTTATTCTCAGGAGCAATGTGGGGAGGTTCAGACTCTTGCAGCCAGAGGCTCCGTGGCTCCAAAACCATAATTTCTAATCTTGTAACTAATTTGTTAGTCCTACAAAGGCAGACTGGTCCCCAGGCAAGAAGGGGGTTTATTTCAGGAAAGAGCTGTTATCCTTTGTTTCAAAGTTGAACTATAGGCCGGGCAGGGTGGCTCACGCCTGTAATCCCAGCACTTTGAGAGGCTGAGGCAGGCCGATCACTTGAGGCCGGGAGTTTGACACCAGCCTGGTCAACAGGGTGAAACCCCGCCTCTACTAAAAGTACAAAAATTAGCCAGGTGTGGTGGTGCACACCTGTAATCCCAGCTACTCGGGAGGCTGAGGCAGGAGAATCACTTGAACCTGGGAGGCAGAGATTCCAGTGAGCCGAGAGTGTGCCACTGCACTCCACCTTGGTGACAGAGTGAGACTCCGTCTCCAAAAACAAAAAAAACAAAGTTGAACTATAAACTGAATTCCTCCCAAGGTTAGTTCAGCCTGTGCCCTGGAATGAACAAGGACAGCTTGGAGGTTAGAAGCAAGATGGAGTCAGGCCAGATCTCTTTCACTGTTAACATTTTCTCAGTTATAATTTTTGCAAATGTGGTTTCAGTCCCTGCATCCATAATACCTAGAAATTTGATAAATACTTGTTAAACAACCAAAATAAACATCCATAGCAAGAATCGACTATAAGGCATGGTGGTGCACACCTGTAGTCCCAGCTACTCAGGAGGCTGAGGTGGGAGGATCGCTTGAGCCCAGGAGGTGGAGGCTGCAGCAAGACATGGTCGCACCAGTGCACTCCAGCCTGGGCAAGAGTGGGACCCTGTCTCAAAAATAAATAAGAGTCCCGACCACGAGCTACAGAGAGTCCATCTGTGCTATAGGAGGCATCCACACAGCACACACCCACTGCTACCAGCGAAGCAGTTCACGCAGGCTGTGATAGATCACACTGTTCCTCTCTTTGGATGATTGGGGTTCACTGCTACACTGCACAGGTCAGCAACAGCATGTACAGAAATGGGCTGCGGTGGGGAGACTCATCAGCCCCCTGGCATCTGAACATGGCCAACACTATGCCTTCTGTTTCATCCTCAGACTTTGGGACTATTAGGGATTTAAATATTAATGCGCGGATTTCACTGAGCCCTGGCCTCTCTTTGGTGCCTGTCAGGTACACTATAATGAGAAATTGGATCGTTCATTCTTCCCTCCCCCCTTCCCTCCCTTCTCCAGGGAACAGGGTTTTTGTTCTTGGAGCTTGGGAGGTGGCTGAGTTCCCCAACTAGAATCAAGTAACCTTTAGTGCATATGCAAATCCAGCATTTGAAATTTCCGGTTCTCTAGCCTTATTATTCTAGAGGGCAGCCAGCTTTCCTTTCATTTCATTTGGGGTCCGCTTCACTTGCTTTGCAGCTACTCTGGTATGCAAGCTCGACACAGCCCCAAGAAGGCTGCACCCCAGGAAGGAGCCCACCATGCTCTGAGAGTCACAAAGAAAGAAGCAGACCCTTGGCGGGAGAGAAAGGAAGGCCTGAGGCAGGTTGTGTTTGTGATGCAGATGCTCCTGCGAGCCGTGCGGCTCTCTGAAAGCGGGTGGAGCTGAGAAGCAACCCAGAGAGGCTCCTGCAGCCAGGGTCGGGAGGATTTCACCTTCCTGGATGGGAATTGATTCTCCAGACCTAGCTTTATTAAGTGTCAGCGAGTTACATGCACACAGATCACTCAGATTCCACAGACACCTCCCCACCAGCCCCCAGCAGGACCACGGGAGGAGACTCGTGCCGTTAGGCCTCTGTCCCTGCATGTGACATCTGCAGGGAAGGGCAGGCCTAGCAACTGTCAGGGGACTAGCATAAACCCTTTTTGCTTCAGGGGTCTCTTCCCAGGTAATGGCCTCTGTCCTCTTTGCACCCTGGCCGGCTGCAGGAGCCTCCTAACTGCTCCCTTCAATTGCGTCCTCACCCCGCACCCGTTCTCCAGAAAGATCCTGTTGTAAAGTAATCTGATCATGGCCCGGGCTTGCAGGCTTCAGGCGGCTACCCGTGAAATCCCAGGTGCTTACCACAATCTGTGAGGCCCGCTGTGGCCCGGCCCCAGCCCCTGCCCATCCTCCCTCTTCAGCGTCTTCTCTGATGGCCACATGGCCTGTGCCCTCACGTCCCTCAGATGCCAGGGTTCCCTCACCCTCCAGGCCTGGCAGCCCTTCCCTCCCTTTGCTCAACAAGGCGCCCAAGAGCTGTCTGTTGATGACTGGTCTCCCCAGGGCAGCTGTGATGTGGTTTTGGTTTGCGCCGTATCCCCAGCTGCTAAAGCAATGCCTGGCGGGTAGAGGGTTTCGTGCGCGTCCGTGTGAAGAGACCACCAAACGGGCTTTGTGTGAGCAACATGGCTGTTTTTTTCACCTGGGTGCAGGCGGGCTGAGTCCCAAAAGAGAGTCAGCAAAGGGTGGT
This sequence comes from Homo sapiens, assembly GCF_000001405.40. Taxonomy (NCBI): domain Eukaryota; kingdom Metazoa; phylum Chordata; class Mammalia; order Primates; family Hominidae; genus Homo; species Homo sapiens. The sequence goes on from NC_000016.10 coordinate 8,833,158, forward strand.
GGATTATCATTAGTTCTTATGGGTTTTGGGATAGGCGGTGAAGTTAAGAGCAATGTTTTGCGGGCAGGAGTGGATCTCACAAAGTACATTCTCAAGAGTGGGGAGAATTACAAAGAACCTTCTTAAGGGTGGGGGAGATTACAAAGTACATTGATCAGTTTGGGTGGGGCAGAAGCAAATCACAATGGTGGGATGTCATCAGTTAAGGCTATTTTTACTTTTGCGGATCTTCAGTTACTTCAGGCCATCTGGATGTATACGTGCAAGTCACAGGGGATGCGATGGCTTGGCTTGGGCTCAGAGGCCTGACATTCCTGCCTTCTTATATTAATAAGAAAAATAAAATAGTGTTGAAGTGTTGGGGCGGTGAAAATTTTTAGGGGGTGGTATGGAGAGAGAATGGACGATGTTTCTCAGGGCTGCTTCAAGCGGGATTAGGGGCGGCGTGGGAACCTAGAGTGGGAGAGATTAAGCTGAAGGGAGGTCTTGTGGTAAGGGGTGATATTGTGGGGATGTTAGAAGAAACATCTGTCGTATAGAATGATTGGTGATGGCCTGGATACGGTTTTGGATGAATTCAGAAACTAAATGGAATAAGAGAAGGAGAAAAACAGGTATAAAAGGTCTAAGAATTGGGAGGACCTATGACATCTGATTAGAGAGTGCCTAAGGAGATTCAGCATAGTCCTGCCAGCAAAGATTATTTATTTACCTCAAGAGTTTAGAGTGGCAGTTTGGGGATAGCACCAGGAGATATCAGCTGTGATGGCTTGGAGAAACAGTGTAAACCGGCAGTGTAAACAAGAGCAGGGCATGTATGAGTAGTTGAGAATGGCGAATAGGAATATGACTAGACAGGAGATAGTAGGGATGACAAGTTTTGGGGGGCACAGTCTAAGTTGGTCTGGTGTCTGGAATGAGACTGGGGCCTAATAAAAAGGAGCGTCTATACAGGAGCTTACATGGGCTGTACCTTGTAGCATTCTGAGGACAGGCCTGAATTCTGAGAAGGGAAAGTGGTAAAAGTATTGTCCAGTCCTTTTTAAGTTGGAGGCTGAGCTTGGTGAGGTGTGTTTTTAAAAGACCTTTAGTCCATTCTACCTTTCCTGAAGATTGAGGACTGTAAGGGATATGAAGGTTCCACTGAATACTAAGAGCCTGAGAAACTGCTTGGGTGATTTGACTAGTAAAGGCTGGTCCGTTATCAGACTGTATAGAGGTGGGAAGGCTAAACTGAGGAATTATGTCTGACAGAAGGGAAGAAATGACTGCGGTGGCCTTCTCAGACCCTGTAGGAAAGGCCTCTACTTATCTAGTGAAAGTGTCTACTTAGAGTAAGAGGTATTTTAGTTACCTGACTCGGGGCATGTTGAGTGAAGCTAATTTGCCAGTCCTGGGTGGGGGCAAATCTTCAAGCTTGATGTGTAGGGAAGGGAGGGGGCCTGAATAATCCCTGAGGAGTAGTAGAATAGCAGATGGAACACTGAGAAGTTATTTCCTTGAGGATAGATTTCCACGATGGAAAGGAAATGAGACGTTCTAAGAGGCGGGCTAGTGGCTTGTACTATAGCATAGCCTGCCTTTGCTGCTATGTGGCGATTAGGCCTGGTGGAACCGCCATCAATAAATCAAGCGTGATCAGGGTGAGGAACAGGAAAGAAGGAAATATGGGGAAATGGGGTGAATATCAGGTGGATCAGAGAGATACAGTCATGGGGGTCAGGTGTGGTATCAGGAATAATGTGGGAGGCCAGATTGAGGTCCGGGCCAGGAACAATGGTAATTGTGGGACTTAACAAAGAGTGAGTACAGCTGAAGGAGCCGGGGAGCAGAAAGTATATGCATCAGGTATGAGGAAGAAAGTAGATTTTGGAAGTTACGAGAAATGTAGAGAGTGAGTTGAGCATAGTTTGTGATTTTTACGGCCTCTAAAAGTATTAAAGCAGCGGCAGCCGCTGCACGCAGACATGAGGGCTAGGCTAAAACAGTAAGGTCAAGTTGTTTGGACAGAAAGGCTACAGGGTGTGGTCCTGGCTGTTGTGTAAGAATTCTGACCGCACTAACCATGCCTAGGAAGGAAGGGAGTTGTTGTTTTGTAAGGGATTGAGGTTTGGGAGATTAATCAGACACGATCAACAGGGAGAGCACGTGTGTTTTTATGAGAATTATGCCGAGATAGGTAACAGATGGGGATGAAATTTGGGCTTGACTGAAGTAGTGGGGGCTGTCTGTGAAGCCTTGTGGCCGTACAGCCCAGGTAATTTGCTGAGCCTGATGGGTGTCAGGGTCATCTAACTGAAAGCAAAGAGACGCTGGGATGAAGGGTGCAAAGGAATAGTAAAGAAAGCATGTTTGAGATCCAGAACAGAATAATGGGTAGTAGATGGAGGTATTGAGGACAGGAGAGTATATGGGTTTGGCACCACGGGGTGGATAGGCAAAACAATTTGGTTGATAACGCGCAGATTCTGAAGTAACCTGTAAGCCTTGTCTGGTTTTAGGACAGGTAAAATGGGGGAATTGTAAGGAGAGTTTATAGGTTTTAAAAGGCCATGCTGTAGCAGGCGAGTGATAACAGGCTTTAATCCTTTTAAAGCGTGCCATGGGATGGGACATTGAGTGGGGTAAGGGTGATTAGGTTTTAATGAGATGGTAAGGGGTGCATGATTGGTTGCCAAGGAGGGAGTAGAGGTATCTTATACTTGTGGGTTAAGGTTGGGGGATACAAGAGGAGGACACAAAGGAGGCTTTGGATTGGGAAGAAGGGCGGCAATGAGATGTAGCTGTAGTTCAGGAATACTCAGGGAAGCAGATAATTTAAAGTGTCTCGGCCTAATAAGGGAACTGGGCAGGTGGGGATAACTGAAAAGGAGTGCTTAAAAGAGTAATGTCTAAATTGGCACCAGAGTTGGGGAGTTTTAAGAGGTTTAGAAGCCTGGCCGTCAATACCCACAACAGTTACGGAGGCAAGGGAAACAGGCCCTTGAAAAGAAGGTAATGTGGAGTGGGTAGCCTCCGTATTGATTAAGAAGGGGATGGACTTACCCTCCACTGTGAGAGTTACCCGATGCTCGGCGTCCGTGATGGTTTATGGGGCTTCCGAGGGGATTGGGCAGTGTCAGTCTTCAGCTGCTAAGCCGAGATCTGGGAAGGAGTCAGAGAGCCTTGGGCCAGAGTTCCAGGGGCTCTGGGGAGTGGCTGCCAGGTGAGTTGAACAGTCTGATTTTCATGGGGTCCCGCACAGATGGGACGCGGCTTAGGAGGAATCCCGGGCTGTGGGCATTCCTTGGCCCAGTGGCCAGATTTCCAGCACGTGTAGCAAGCTCCTGGGGGAGGAGGTTCTGGAGGAACGCCTGGCTGCTGCGGTTCAGGCGTTTGGAAGTTCTTGTGTGCTGGAGATGTGGCTGGGGTTTGTCTCACAGTGGAGGCAAGGAATTGCCACTTTTTTCTATTACTGTCCACCTTGAAGGTGAGGTTAGTTAAGTCCTGTTATGGGGTTTGAGGGCCAGATTCTAATTTTTGGAGTTTTATTTAATGTCGGGAGCAGATTGGGTAATAAAATGTATATTGAGAATAAGACGGCCTTTTGACCTTTTAGGGTCTAGGGCTGTAAAGCGTGTCAGGGTTGCTGCCAAACGAGCCATGAACTGGGCTGGATTTTTATATTTGATGAAAAAGAACCTAAACGCTATCTGATTTGGGATAAAGAAAAAGGAGCATTAACTTTGACTATGCCTTTAGCTCCAGCCACCTTTTCAAGAGTAAATTGCTGGGCAGGTGGGGGAGGGCCAGTCACAGAATGAACTGTAAGCTGGTCCAGGTGTGAGGAGGGGAGGTGATAAAAGGATTATAGGGTGGAGGAGCGGAGGCTGAGGAAGAATTGGAACCTAGCTCAGCCTGGCGAGGAGGAGAGGTCAGATGGGTCTGTAGAAAAGGAATATTAGAAAGACTCAGCGACGCTTGGGGTTGCGACTGAGGGGACAGGTGGGAGGGAAAGAAGGAAGATTTGGGACGAGTTGCACTGGGCACAGAGACTAGGAAGGGACTGATGTGTAAAAGAATGCCTGGACATCAGGCACCTCAGACCGTTTGCCCATTTTACGACAAGAATTATTTAGATCTTGTAGGATGGAAAAACTGAAAGTGCCGTTTTCTGGCTATTTGGAACTACTGTCGAGTTTGTATTGGGGTCAAGTGGAATTGCAGAAGAAAATAAGGCATTTATTTAGGTTTTAGGTCAGGTGTGAGTTGAAGAGGTTTTAAGTTCTTAAGAACACAGGCTAAGGGAGAAGAAAGGAATGGAAGGTGGAAGCTTGCCCATAGTGAAGGAGGTAAGCCCAGAGAAAAGAGTAGAGACACGGAGAAGGGGTGGGGGGTTCTTGCCCTCCAGAAAAGCAGAGAAGGGGTTGGGGCACGGAAATAAGGGATTGGGGCACAGAGATATAAGAGATTGGGGCGCAGAAATAAGGGATCGGGGCGCAGAGATACATGGGGTTGGGGTACTTACCCCTCCCCTAGAAAAGCAGAGAAGGGGTAGAGACACGGAGAGAAGGGGTTGGTGTACTTGCCTCTCCGCCAGAAAAGTGGGACTTGCCGCTAAGGGTGAAGGACCAAGGCAGGCGTCCCTGCATGGTCTGACACCTTTGAAACGTGGGTAAATAATCAGGCGTCCCTGCAGTGATTAAACACCAAGGGAAGGCTGCCTTCCCAGTCTCTGACCGGCGCCGGAGTTTTGAGTCCACAGATAAAATGTGTCTCCTTTGTCTCTACCAGAAAATGAAAGGAATTGAAATTAAGGGAGAGATTGAAGTGTTTCATGCGCGTCCGTGTGAAGAGACCACCAAACAGGCTTTGTGTGAGCAACATGGCTGTTTATTTCACCTGGGTGCAGGCGGGCTGAGTCCGAAAAGAGAGTCAGCAAAGGGTGGTGGATTATCATTAGTTCTTATGGGTTTTGGGATAGGCGGTGAAGTTAAGAGCAATGTTTTGTGGGCAGGAGTGGATCTCACAAAGTACATTCTCAAGAGTGGGGAGAATTACAAAGAACCTTCTTAAGGGTGGGGGAGATTACAAAGTACATTGATCAGTTCGGGTGGGGCAGAAACAAATCACAATGGTGGAATGTCATCAGCTAAGGCTATTTTTACTTCTTTTGTGGATCTTCATTTACTTCAGGCCATCTGGATGTATACGTGCAAGTCATAGGGGATGCGATGGCTTGGCTTGGGCTCAGAGGCCTGACATTCCTGCCTTCTTATGTTAATAAGAAAAATAAAATAGTGTTGAAGTATTGGGGCGGTGAAAATTTTTGGGGGGTGGTATGGAGACAGAATGGGCGATGTTTCTCAGGGCTGCTTCAAGCGGGATTAGGGGCGGCGTGGGAACCTAGAGTGGGAGAGATTAAGCTGAAGGGAGGTCTTGTGGTAAGGGGTGATATTGTGGGGATGTTAGAAGAAACATTTGTTGTATAGAATGATTGGTGATGGTCTGGATACAGTTTTGGATGAATTGAGAAACTAAACAGAAGATCCAAGGTCCAAATAAAAGAAGGAGAAAAATGGGTATTAAAGGACTAAGAATTGGGAGGACCTAGGACATCCAATTAGAGAGTGCGTAAGGGGGTTCAGCGTAATTACTTGCTTGGTTGGCAAGTTTTTGGGCTCTATGCTTGAGTTTTTTTATGTTGTCATACATCAGGCCAGATTGATTTAGGTAAAAACAACACTCTTCATTTAAGAATATGCAGAGTCCTCTTTTTTCAACAGTGAGTAAGCAAGGCCTCGGTGGTTTTGGAGGACAACTGCAGCTAAAGAGTCAACTTGGGCCTGGAGGACTGATAAAGTTTGTGACATGTCTGTGATGCTAGCAGAGAAGTCATTAGACAGGCTACGGAAGGTCATGACAGAGGTTGAAATGCCTGCTATTCCAGTACCGAGAGCAATAGTGGAGGCAGAAAGTCCTAAACCGACCATCAAGGGAATTAGTGGAATGACTCTTCTTTGTTGTGTCGGTGTCATGAGGGGAACAGGGAGCTCTTCGTTCCTATTTGCAAATTGAATTTTGGGAGTAAGGAAGACTAGTGTGCATGTGCCTGTCCAATTAGCAGGTAGACACATGTTAGGTAAAGGATCCACAGAGGAAGAAGAGACCTTGTGCGAGGCAAAACTGGAGATGTAAAGTAAAAAGATGAGGAGTGCTGCAAGGGGTGTCTTGTACCTAGAGTCCTAGGGATCCAGCTAGGGCGGCAGCTGTCAGAGGTTGTAATGGGGACTGATGGGGTAACTGCATAGAGGGGGAGGTTCGATTTTCATGGTGTATGAGAAAACGTTGAGTATCTACAAGCAACCTTTCACTATTATTTTCGGGGCTGGGTAAAAGTAAACAAGAGGAGGGCCTGGGAGGAAGAGTCTGATGAGCAAGGGGAAAGTAGCCAAGGATGGAGTGAAATACAGGGCAAGTGTCTTCCTAAGCAATAATTACTGCTAATGTTTTTAAGTTTGTCAGTATTGATAGCGGGCTTGTCTGTAATATGGAGCTGGAAGGCTCCCATTGTTTGAGTGATGTGTGTAGTTGGACTTTGGAGATGAAGAGTAAAGGAACATCGAGAAGGTGAAAGATTACCTAGGGGAATTCCAGTGGGTCTTTGCCGAGAGATACATATAGGAGCGGCCACAGGCATAGTAGTTTGTGTTGTGAGAGGTCCGAATATGGGGGGAGAAAGGAGAAAGGAGAAAGGTTTTTTAAATAAGTGTGAAGGAGGGCGGCAGCTTGCTGATGTGAAATGTCTGGGGAAGTCTTGCTGGACCTGTCTAGAAAGTAAATGAGTTCTTCAGGAGGGTAAAGGTGAGGGCTGTTACAGGAAGTTCGGAGGTGTAGGGAGATGGGAGATGTTGCCCAGTCTGTCTGTAAGGTGGGGACAGCTGTGTAGGCACTGGAAGAAAGGGAAATGCAAAGCCAGCAGTTGTTCACTAAGGAGGGATTAGAAGCGGCTAGGAGAGAATGGGTAAGGTTGATAGTGTGGTGGAGATAGCTGGGGAGAGGTAGAGGGTGGCATAAGAATGGGAATGAGAATAAGAGTGAGTATAAAAGTAAAGAATAGAACTTCATCAGGGTGGAAATATTGGAGGGTGCCTTGCCAGCAAAGATCATCTATCCACTCTAAGAGGGAGTTAAGAGTGGCAGTTTGGGGATAGCACCAAGAGATATCAGCTGTGATGGCTTGAAGAAACAGTGTAAACCGGCCGTGTAAACAAGAGTAGGGCATTTATAAGTAGTTGAGAATGGAGAATAGGAGTATGACCAGACAGAAGATAGTAGGGATGACTAGTTTTTTGGGGCTCGGCCTAAGTGGTGGGGGTGACTTCGTAAAGCCCTGTTGCAAAAAGTAGGGTAAGGACGAAAAACCTAATAGAATGAAGGGATGTATTAGGCTCATAAGGGTTATGACTGTTCTTCGAAATACGACTGAGTTTAAGGGAAGTAGGGGAGAGTACTTGCAACTTCCAGGAGGAAGAGGAGGGATTAGGCTGGCTGTCCGATGGACACAGCTTTATTCTGGAACGGTGAGCCTAGTGGGGAGGATCCTGCAGGCGGACAGCAGTCGGGGTACTATAGATGACTAAGTAGGGTCCGGTCCATCGAGGTTGTAGAGTTTGAGGAGTCAGATTAACAAGAACTGATCGTCCAGCTAGGGTGTCTTCATATGGCTGGGGATCTGGAGTAGGCAAGAGAAGCTTAGCAGCCTGGCGAATTTCCTGTCTAGCCTGCTGGAGGACTGGAAGACAGTCGCCTAGAGGGCTGGTGTCTGGGATGAGGTTGGGGCCAAGCAAGAAAGTGCGTCCATATAAAAGTTCAAATGGACTGTACCTACCCTGTAGCATCTCGAGAACAGGCTCTAATTCTGAGAAGAGCAAGAAGTAAAAGTACTGTCCAATCCTTTTTAAGTTGGAGGCTGAGCTTGGTGATGTGTACCTTTAAAAGACCATTAGTCCGTTCTACCTTTCCTGAAGATTGAGGACTGTAAGGGATATGAAGGTTCCACTGAATACTAAGAGCCTGAGAAACTGCTTGGGTGATTTGACTAGTAAAGGCTGGTCCGTTATCAGACTGTATAGAGGTGGGAAGGCTAAACTGAGGAATTATGTCTGACAGAAGGGAAGAAATGACTGCGGTGGCCTTCTCAGACCCTGTAGGAAAGGCCTCTACTTATCTAGTGAAAGTGTCTACTTAGACTAAGAGGTATTTTAGTTATCTGACTCGGGGCATGTTGAGTGAAGCTAATTTGCCAGTCCTGGGTGGGGGCAAATCTTCAAGCTTGATGTGTAGGGAAGGGAAGGGGCCTGAATAATCCCTGAGGAGTAGTAGAATAGCAGATGGAACACTGAGAAGTTATTTCCTTGAGGATAGATTTCCACGATGGAAAGGAAATGAGAGGTTCTAAGAGGCGGGCTAGTGGCTTGTACTATAGCATAGCCTGCCTTTGCTGCTATGTGGCGATTAGGCCTGGTGGAACCGCCATCAATAAATCAAGCGTGATCAGGGTGAGGAACAGGAAAGAAGGAAATATGGGGAAATGGGGTGAATGTCAGGTGGATCAGAGAAACACAGTCATGGGGGTCAGGTGTGGTATCAGGAATAATGTGGGAGGCCAGATTGAGGTCCGGGCCAGGAACAATGGTAATTGTGGGACTTAACAAAGAGTGAGTACAGCTGAAGGAGCCGGGGAGCAGAAAGTATATGCATCAGGTATGAGGAAGAAAATGGATTTTGGAAGTTATGAGAAATGTAGAGAGTGAGTTGAGCATAGTTTGTGATTTTTACGGCCTCTAAAAGTATTAAAGCAGCGGCAGCCGCTGCACGCAGACATGAGGGCTAGGCTAAAACAGTAAGGTCAAGTTGTTTGGACAGAAAGGCTACAGGGTGTGGTCCTGGCTGTTGTGTAAGAATTCTGACCGCACTAACCATGCCTAGGAAGGAAGGGAGTTGTTGTTTTGGAAGGGATTGAGGTTTGGGAGATTAATCAGACAAGATCAACAGGCAGAGCACGTGTGTTTTTATGAGAATTATGCCGAGATAGGTAACAGATGAGGATGAAATTTGAGCTTTGGAGGGGGATACCTGATATCCTTTGGAGAGTAAATGCTGAAGGAGCAGAAGTGTGTCTTGTTGAGAAGATTCAAAGGAGGGGCTACAAAGAAGAAGGTCATCAATATATTAAATAAGGTGAGAAGCGGAGGGGTGGAAAGAAAGTAGATCATGAGAAAGAGCTTGGCTGAAGTAATGAGGGCTGTCCCTGAAACCTTGTGGCAGCACAGCCCAGGTAAGCTGCTGGGACTGATGGGTGTCAGGGTCAGTCCAGGTGAAAGCAAAGAGAGGCTGGGACAAGGGGTGCAGGGGAACGCTGAAAGAAGCATCTTTAAGATCAAGTGTGGAATAGTGAGTTGTGGAGGAAGGTATTGAGGATGAAAGAGTGTATGGGTTGGGCACCACAGGGTGGATAGGCAAAACAATTTGGTTGATAAGGCGCAGATCCTGAACTAATCTGTAAGACTTGTCCGGTTTCTGGACAGGTAAAATGGGGGGATTATAAGAAGAGTTTATAGGTTTTAGAAGCCTATGCTGTAGCAGGCCAGTGATAACAGGCTTTAATCCTTTTAAAGCGTGCTGTGGGATGGGATATTGGCGTTGAGCGGGGTAAGGGTGATTAGGTTTTAATGGGATGGTAATGGGCATGTGATCAGTTGTCAGGGAAGGAGTAGAAATGTCCCATATTTGTGGGTTAAGGTGGGGGGATATGAGAGGAAGACGCAAAGGAGGCTTTGGGTTGGGGAGAAGGGCGGCAATGAGATGCGGCTGTAGTCCAGGAATAGTCAGGGAAGCAGATAATTTGCTTAAAATATCTCGGCCTAATAAGGGAACTGGGCAGGTGGGGATAACTAAAAATGAGTGCTTCAAAGAGTAATGTCTAAGTTGGCACCAGAGTTGGGGAGTTTTAAGAGGTTTAGAAGCCTGGCCGTCCATACCCACAACAGTTATGGAGGCAAGGGAAACAGGCCCTTGAAAAGAAGGCAACATGGAGTGGGTAGTCCCCGTTTCGATTAAACAGTGGGTGGACTTACCCTCCACTGTGAGAGTTACCCAAAGCTTGGCGTCCGTGATGGTCTGGGGGCTTCCAAGGCGATTGGGCAGCGTCAATCTTCAGCCGCTAAGCCAAGGAGTCAGTCAGAGAGCCTTGGGCCAGAGTTCTAGGGGCTCTGGGAGTGGCTGCCAGGTGAGTTGAACAGTCCGATTTCCAGTGGGGTCCCGCACAGATGGGACACGGCTTAGGAGGAATCCTGGGCTGCAGGCATTCCTTGGCCCTGGTAGTCAGATTTCTGGCACGTGTAGCAAGCTCCTGGGGGAGGAGGTTCTGGAGGAACGCCTGGCCGCTGCGGTTCAGGCATTTGGAAGTTCTTGTGTGCTGGAGATGTGGCTGGGGTTTGTCTCACAGTGGAGGCAAGGAATTGCAACTTTTTTCTATTATTGTACACCTTGAAGGTGAGGTTAATTAAGTCCTGTTGTGGAGTTTGAGGGCCAGATTCTAATTTTTGGAGTTTTATTTAATGTCGGGAGCAGATTGGGTAATAAAATGTATATTGAGAATAAGACGGCCTTTTGACCTTTTAGGGTCTAGGGGCTGAGGAAGAATTGGAACCTAGCTCGGCCTGGCGAGGAGGGGAGAGGTCAGATGGGTCTGTAGAAAAGGAAGATTAGAAAGACTCAGCAACGCTTGGGGTTGGGACTGAGGGGACAGGCGGGAGGGAAAGAAGGAAGATTTGGGACGAGTTGCACTGGGCACAGAGACTAGGAAGGGACTGATGTGTAAAAGAATGCCTGGACATCAGGCACCTCAGACTGTTTGCCCATTTTACGACAAGAATTATTTAGATCTTGCAGGATGGAAAAATTGAAAGTGCCGTTTTCTGGCTATTTGGAACTACTGTCGAGTTTGTATTGGGGTCAAGCGGCATTGCAGAAGAAAATAAGGCATTTATTTAGGTTTTAGGTCAGGTATGAGTTGAAGAGGTTTTAAGTTCTTGAGAACACAGGCTAAGGGAGAAGAAGGAGGAATGTAGGAAGGTTGCCCATAGTGAAGGAGGCAAGCCCAGAGAAAAGAGAGCGTAGAGACATGGAGGGAAGGGGTTTGGGGGTTCTTACCCTCCAGAAAAGCGGGAAAGGGGTTGGGGCATGGAAATAAGGGATTGGGGCACAGAGATACGAGTTTGGGGTACTTGCCTCTCCCCCAGAAAAGCGGGACTTGCCGCTAAGGGTGAAGGAGAAGGGGTTGGGGGGTTCTTGCCCCTGCCCCAGAAAATCAGAGAAGGGGTAGAGACACGGAAAGAAGGGGTTGGGGTCCTTGCCCCTTCCTCAGAAAAGCGGGACTTGCCGCTAAGGGTTATGGACCAAGGCAGGTGTCCCTGCGTGGTCTGACACCTCTGAAACGTGGGTGAATGATCAGAGGCGTCCTTGCAATGATTAAACACCAAGGGAAGGCTGCCTTCCCAGTCCGTGACCGGCGCCGGTTTTTTGGGTCCACAGATAAAACGTCTCCTTTGTCTCTACCAGAAAATGAAAGGAATTGAAATTAAGAGAAGGGAGAGATTGAAGTGTGGCGCCTAGATTGAAAGGAGAAAGACGGTGAGGGATAGGGAGGTTGGAGAAGAGAGTAAAAAGAGGCTGCTTATTGGATTTGAAATTGGTGAGATGTTTCTTGGGCTGGTGGGTCTGAGGACCTGAGGTCGTAGGTGGATCTTTCTCATGGAGCAAAGAGCAGGAGGATAGGGGATTGATCTCCCAAGGGAGGTCTCCCGATCTGAGTCACGGCACCAAATTTCATGCGCGTCCATGTGAAGAGACCACCAAACAGGCTTTGTGTGAGCAACATGGCTGTTTATTTCACCTGGGTGCAGGCGGGCTGAGTCCGAAAAGAGAGTCGGCAAAGGGTGGTGGATTATCATTAGTTCTTATGGGTTTTGGGATAGGCGGTGAAGTTAAGAGCAATGTTTTGCGGGCAGGGGTGGATCTCACAAAGTACATCCTCAAGAGTGGGGAGAATTTCAAAGAACCTTCTTAAGGGTGGGGGAGATTACAAAGTACATTGATCAGTTCGGGTGGGGCAGAAACAAATCACAATGGTGGAATGTCATCAGTTAAGGCTATTTTTACTTCTTTTGTGGATCTTTAGTTACTTCAGGCCATCTGGATGTACACGTGTAAGTCATAGGGGATGCGATGGCTTGGCTTGGGCTCAGAGGCCTGACAGTAGGTGTTCTAGAAAGGTGTGTTGTGTTAATGTGTGAATACTGACTCCCCTCCTCAGTCACTGAGGCGGGGAGGGTGTTTGGCTCTTTTGAGGCATGTGAGAGTTGGTTGTGCCTTTGGTTTTTTGTTTGTTTTTTTTTCTTTTGAGTCTCGCTCTGTTGCCCAGGCTGAAGTACAGTGGTCTGTTCTTGGCTCACTGCAATCTCCGCCTCCCAGGTTCAAGTGATTCTCCTGCCAAGCAGCTGGGATTACAGGTGCGCACCACCACACCCAGCTAGGTTGTGCCTTTGTTAGGTTCTCTGTGACTTTTACCCACTGTGCCATTCCTGAAAGAAATCTTTTTTTTTTTTTTTTTAATTAGAAGAATTACTGGAACTAGCTTGGCACTGTTGGACACAGTCTTTGTCTCAGCTACTCGAGAGGCTGAGGCAGGAGGTTCGCTCGAGCCCAGCCTGGGCAACATAGCAAGACCCTATGTCCGAAGGAAAAAAAAGGCAAAATCAGAATTACCAGAACTGATTTCACATGTGTAGGTAGCAGATGGTGGCCATGCAATTCAGGTCTGTCTGAAGGCCCCCAGGCCTGGTACAAAACTGTGTAAGGCCAGTACAAGGCCCTGACAGGTTCCCAAGTGGCTGGACTGGAAGAGATGCCAAGTTCATGGCCTCCTAACCTGACTCCACCCAGCACTCCCTGGGCCCAGCGACGTTCCCTCCTGAAGCCTGAAATTCACCTCCACCTGAGGAGGCCATCTGCCTGGGGATAGGTTCTTGCAAAAATGAAAACACTCATTTCCAGAGGCAATTAATTCTTTTAAAGGATGTCAGATTTTTGGTACAAAATCATGGTTTCCACGTTGGCTTCATGCTCGGTGCTTTATGAGAAAAATCCCTTTTTTCTACGGTTGTGTTCATTGTATTGTAAAGCAATCGTAGATTATTTTAAGGTTTTGAGTTAGAGTGATTATCCAATTTTATGAGGGAAATAAAGGAATTCCATGAGAAAAACGGGGGCTTTCCTGCAGGGCTCGGGGTTGCGGGAGCGGCAGATAACCTGATTCATTAACGTGAGCCCAGTGGGATTGGTGGGGGTGATGGGGACACAGATGGGAGCACTCAACTCAGGCACAGGACCCCAGCAGAACATGCCCAGGTCCTCCTAGACATGGGCCCTTGCAGACTTTCTGAGGCCTCGGTTTCGTCATCTTACCAAGGTGTGACCCCAACCATCATCTCCTGAACTTCTGGCCACAGAGCTGTGAGCAAGCTTCCATCATGACCCCATTTTGGAGATGGGGAGTTGGCGCAGCCACACTGCTGCTCAGTGGTAGAACCAGCATCTGACCCAGGCCACCTGTTCCAGAGACCCTGCTTTTAGCCAGCAGCTCAGACCCCAGTCATGTGGGGCCATTTATTTATTTATTTAAGATAGAGTCTCCCTTTGTCGCCCAGGCTGGAGTGCAGTGGTGCGATCTCGGCTTACTGCAACTTCCACCTCCCGAGTTCAAGCAATTCTCCTGCCTCAGCCTCCCGAGCAGCTGGGATTTCAGACGTGCGCCACCATGCCCAGCTAATTTTTGTATTTTAAGTAGAAATGGAGTTTTGCTGTGTTAGCCAGGTTGGTCTCAAATTCCTGACCTCAAGTGATCCACCCTTCTCAGCCTCCCAAAGTGCTGGGATTACAGGCATGAGCCACCATGCCCGGCCCACGTGGGGCTGTTTAAATTAAAATCAAATTAACTGAGTTCCTCCATTGCATTGGCCACGTTTCAAGTGTGCAGAGTGACACATGGCCAGTGGCTGCCATCACCGCTGATGTCGCCACGTCCCTCATCACAGGAATATCCCTGGCAGCCCTGCTCCCGGCCCTCTGCCCTCCTGACGCTCCCTTGTGACTTGTTAGAAAAGCGTAGGTACAGCTAAAAAAAAAAAAAAAACTGATGGCTGTGAGAATACTGTCACTCGCTGATGCCTTCTGTGTAGAAAAATAAGCCTTAGACAGATCTTCGCAAGAACATCGTGATGGCTCTCATAGGCATAATTACGTGTTCCAAGCCAAATTGCAGTTCAAGAGAAGGTTATAAATCTCTTCTTAATAACAATTGTACTCACGTTCCTCTCCTGGAAACTAAGAGGAAGGTAGCTGAAGAAACTCTCCCTGCCCAGTTAAATCTTGTTTTTTGGGTACTTTTGGACTCCAGGGTCACATCAGCAATGGCCCGGGACAGACGAGGGGGAGCCTTCATCTGTACTTCGTGTCTTTCCAGGGTGGCAATGACCATGAGATCTTCACAGACCCCAGAACCATGGGCTACTCCGTGACAGCGCCTGAGGACACGCGCAGGATCTGTGAACTGCTGTTCTCCTAACGTGGGAGCGGGAGGGGCGGGGTCCCGGCTGACAAGCCAGCATAGGGCATTCGGTGGCCAGAGCCGAGGGTCCTCCCACACGTGCTCACCCACCCGCAGCCTAGGCAGGCTCTGCATGCTATGCCAGGCATGTGCAGTCTGGACTTCCACCTCCAGTGCCAGAAACTTCCAGAAGGAAGGAGAAAACTCTTGTCAAGAATGGCCCAGAGGAATGCCTCGCACAAAAGGTCTTCCCCACCCACCCCCAGCCCCCTAGTCTAATACCCACCCTGATACGTGCAATCATGTAGTTTTGGCGGAAATTTCCCCATCATTCTAGGATGATACAGAAAGAAAAACTGTGCCTGGACCCTCCCTCTTGGTGGGTCTGTGGAAACATAAGCGGTTTTTTTAATGGGCCCCTGCATCAATACCAAACATGGGGGTTTGGTAATGAGAAACCAGGACAGGCCATCTGCAGTGACCCAGCCCAGGACGAAGTTTACAAACACCTCCTGGAACGAAGCTCCCGCCTGCATGTCACCTTGATGGGGGCTGTGAGTGGGGCAGTGTGATACCCAGTGACTAGACGCACTCTGCGTTTTCCCGTGTTTGGGGCTGAGGCCTGCTGGACAGATGGCTGGCCAAGTGGGAGCAGACCCTAGGGAGTTTGCACCTCGGCTGGGCCGGATTCGGACCGGCTCTGTGTTCACTACACTCAGAATAGCCTGGCTGCTTCTCTGTCTCCGAGACCGGAGGTAGTGGGAACCAACAGCTGGGCTGGAGAGTTGGTGCTGGCAAAACAGTCCTTGCCCTGGGGCCGGTTCTTACCCAGGTCCAGAGAAACCAACGCGGGATGTCAGACTTCACCAAAAGGACTTTCTGGTTGCCCCTGGCTGGCTTCCTGGAGGCGTTCGCCTCTAGTTTCTCAGGGATGGAGCGAGAGCCCAGCCAGAGAACAGTAAGAGGAGCTGCTCTCCTATCTGCACTCACCCAGGCCTTCACCCAGACTTTACCACGGAGGCGGCTGAGTGCAGCTACAGCTAGGTCCGCGTCCCTCACTCTTTTCATCTTCTGCACGTTCTTCGTGAAACTGGAAGGATCCCGGGTCTCAGCTAGAACACGGTGGAAGAGAACTTTCCTAGGAAACGGTTCATGTGTCACTTTTCAGGATGTGGAAACACTGAGCCATACACCCTCCATTGCTTGGTGCTGGGGTTGTGTGGCCTCCACTGGGCACTTGCCGACCTGAGTCTGGGGCCAGGGGAGCCCAGGCTGCCCTGCACTCCTGCCTCCCAGCCCACAGCCAGGTGCTTTCATCACAGCTAAACCTGGTTCCCTCCAAACCTCCCAGCCACTCGGGCTTGTAACTGTCTGAGCCCCGGATCCGGTGGGGTGAAAGCAGCCAGCTCATCCCAGTGACTCACAGGACACAGCCATCCAGCGGCATCTTTCCTTGTCGAATGATACTGTAATGACCTTCCAAAGTGAAGAGTAGCACATTAAAGTGATTTTATTGTTTCCTGTTTCTCATTCCGATTTCTTTTTCCTCCTATGTTCCCAGATTCTGGAATGGAACCCCAGCCCTTCCAGGTCTGAGAGCCACTCTTTCTTTACTCTGGATTTCTGTCACATCGGGGGCCCCTCCCTCTGCGGAGTTGCATGTTGCTGTTCCTGATGCACAGACTCCTCCCCCGCTGCTTTTCTGCCCACTGGGTCAGGATCTGCCATTCTTTACAAGTTTCCTTAACGTATTGCGTCAAAGCGAGACAACCGAGTCTTACTCAAACTTGTTTTAACCGGAGATGGAGGGTTGCTGCTGTGTCACCGCCTGCACAGGGCTGCCCTCAGGTGAGTACCCCGAGTCTGCCAGGCTGGGTGCTGATGCGCGGAGGTTTGGGCCGTCCCTGCCCCAGTTCCCACAGTGGCTGCTTGAGACCCTCCCCAGGCCCCTCGAGCCCCTCCTGCACTGTCTGCTGCCTCCCTTCTGCAGTCAGAATTGACACTCCCCTTCCACCTTCTTTGTCATCACATTGCATCCCAGGCCAGCTTCCTGGGGCTTACTCCAAGGGCATCGGCTTGCCCCGCACTGTGGTGGGATGTAAAGTGATAACAGCTAAACGACGCATGCACAACATGTCCTGGTGCCTTCTGCGTGACCCCAGAGCAGCAGGTTCTGCACATGGCAGGTAAGAGCACAGCTGCCAAGACCCCAAGCCTAGTTCTGCTGCTACAAGCTGCTGCGTGACTTAAGGTGAGTTCATCTTCGCCTCAGTTTCCTCCTCTGTCAAATGGGATAGTCCTTACCGTGTATGGAATTTAAAGCACTTTGAACAGTGAGTGTGAGCCATTACTAACTCAAGTAATACCCCTTCCCAACCCAGAACCCTATAAGGCAGGGACAGTCAGTCCCTCTCTCTGCTTTAGGGGGTTGCAGGATAAAGACACCGTCACAAGAAATTTAAACACAGTAGGTAAATTTTGAGCCACAGCAAAGCACAGAGGTTGCATCCAGGCCAGCTTAGCACTGTTGAAAGTCACCATCCCCAGCACTGCAGAAGCTGACCCTGAACTCAAGGTCACCCAGGGCTTAAGCCTCAGAGAAAAGGCCTGGGTTGAACCTGAGCAGTGGGTGAGTGCAGGGCAGGCCTCTGGCTCCCTGGAGGGAGAGGCTAGCCAGGAAGTTGAGCTTGAACCTGATCCCGAGGGAGAGGTGTGGGGCATGCTCATGATCTGTCCGGGAAGGTCTCTCCAGCTACTGGAAGGGGAGTGCCCACAGGGGCCAGGAGAAGGCAGTTGGGCAGATGTTGCCGTAGTCCGGACACATCCAGGCATACGTGGTTTTGAATCACTTCCTCTCCAAGGGCTGCTGCTTCCTCTCCACCCCTCCCAAGTGTTCTGGCTCTGGGCCCCAGCTGGCCACCTCAGCCCAGGCAGGCTCCTCCAACCTGAACGACAGGCAACCTCCACGCTGCCTGCCACGGCACCCCAAAGTCAAGACGTAGAACTCATTCCACCTCCTTCACCCGAGGCTGCTTTCCCAAACGTCTTCCCAGTCCCACCTTCAGTTTTGTTTTTTGTTGTTGTTGTTGCTATTGTTTTTGAGACAAGTCACTGTTGTTGCCCAGCCTGGAGTGCAATGGCACGATCTCAGCTCGCTGCAACCTCCGCCTCCCCGGTTCAAGCAATTCTACTGCCTCAGCCTCCCGAGTAGCTGAGATTACAGGCCCCTGCCACCATGCCCAGGTAATTTTTGTCTTTTTAGTAGAGACGGGGTTTCACCATGTTGGCCAGGCTGGCCTTGAACTCCTGACCTCAGGTGATCCACCTGCCTTGGCCTCTCAAAGTACTGGGATTACAGGCATGGGCATGAGTCACCATGCCCGGCCTTTTTTTTTGTTTTTGAGACAGAGTCTCACTCTGTTATCCAGGCTGGGGTGCAGTGGCACAATCTTGGCTCGCTGCAACCTCTGCCTCCAGGTTCAAGTGATTTTCCTGCCTCAGCCTCCCAAGTAACTGGGATTACTGGTATGCACCACCACGTGCAGCTAATTTTTGTATTTTTAGTAGAAACGGGGTTTCACTATGTTGCCTAGGCTGGTCTTGAACTCCTGACCTCAAGTGATCTGCCCACCTCGGTTACCAAAGTGCTGAAATTACAGGCGTGAGCTACCACGCCCGCTCCCCACCTTCAGCTTTTGCCAAACCCTTCCTTGGCTACCCATGTAGTACTCCATATAGTAAGTAAGTCAGCAAATCTCATTGTTTTGAGCTAAGTGCCTACGTTAGGCTCTCCCTAAACAGGTTTGATGGGCTGGTTTTTTCCCAATATGCTTTGGAAATCATTGTATAATACTGACAAGAAAAGTGTCCATCTCTGCACCACCCAAAATCACTGCCTCCCTTGGGAGACACCGGCCAGAGCAAAGCCTTCCCAACAGAGCACAGCGACCCCATAGAGTGGCCCCTGCCTGTCACTGCTCTCCTGGAAACCAAGAACAGGAGTTCTTACACCTGCCCACCTTCTGCCCTCACTCCCACTGCCCCAACAGCAAACCCTTCCTCCCCTGCTATGGACCTTGAAAAGCTCTCCGTCCTAGGACTCTGCCAGCCCCGGGCCCTCAAGCCTCATCTGCTTCCAGCCCCTGACTTCATGCCTGAAGAGCAGCAAGCTTTTTTTTTTTTTTTTTTTTTTTTTTTTGAGACTGGGTGTCACTGTCACCCAGGCTGGAGTGCAGTGGTGCATTCACAGCTCATTGCAGCCTTCACTTCCTGGGCTCCAGCAATCCTCCCACTTCAGCCTCTGGAGTAACTGGGACCACAGGCTCATGCCACCATGCCCAGCTAATTGTATTTTTGGTAGAGACCATGTTTCGCCATGATGCCCAGCTGGTCTCAAACCCCTGAGCTCAAGCCATCCACCTACCTCGGCCTCTCAAAATGCTGGGATTACAGGCGTGAGCCACTGTGCCCAGCCCTAGCAAACGTTCATCAAATGTCTATAGCAGTGGCCGGGTGCTGTGGCTCACACCTCTGGTCCCAGCACTGTGGGAGGCTGAGGCAGGAGGATGGTCTGAGTACAGGACTTCGAGACCAACTTGGGCAATGTAGCAAGTTGCTCTCTACAAAAAATTTAAAAATTAGCCAGGCATGGTGGCATATGCCTATAGTCCCAGCTACTCAGGTGGCTGAAGGAGGATCACTTGAGCCCACAAGGTTAAGGCTGCAGGGCAACAAAGCGAGACCTTGTCTCAAAAACACAAACAAAAAACACTTCTATAGCAGGAATGAGCCAGGGACTGTGGACAGTGTGCCCCGAGGCCCGTCCTCTCTTCCCACAGCTGATGGGGATGAGGTGTAACTCACACATCCTAAAAGCTTCAACAGGGCACTGGAGCGCCGCTGACCAAGTTACTGGCATTTTCTATTGCCAGGAAGCCGCATTCTCCTCTCTGCTAAGCTTTCTCATGCTAGAGAATGATGACTAAAAAACAGATGATCCCATCTTCTTATTCACCATCCCCTAAAAAAAACAGACTGCCACGTGGAATGTGTCAGCCTCACCTGGGGGAGACACCCTTATCTGACGACTTAAAAGGAAAAACTTGGTGAGCCAGCCTCCACACAAACACACGCATAGCCTTGCACAAAACAAAAATTTATTGGGAGAAAGATGGCTGATGGGAGGCAAGATCTGGATTCAGGAATCCTCAATTTTAGCTCTCGCTCTGTCACCAAAACCCTCCGTCCCTCCCAGAGCCTCGAGGAGTTTCCCCTTGTGTAAACCGGTATCGCGTCCCTTCCAGCTCTGACATCCTGCGGTTCTAGAATACCCATTGATTGAAAGAGCTGTGGCCAAACAGGAAGGACAGAGTAAGAGCCGCTGACAAAGGATTCTGCCAAGACAGAATCCCAGGGTCACAGGAGAGAGGCTTGGGGCAGTGAAAGCCCTCTCGGGTCTTGGCTGTGGAAGTGTGGACTGTACCAGCAGATGGGCCCTTGGGAAGCCAACAGGGAACAATTCAAGGCTGGAGAGAAAAGGCCACCTTTGACCCAGCAGAAGGCAGAGGCGGGAGAGGAGGGTGAGGATGTACAAGGAGCATCGCAGGCGAGGAAACAATGGCCAGGACCTAACTGTGGTGGGAACTGCCTTTGTCTCCACACACTCGCAATCAACATGCGTATTTGCTATTCTCAAACAACTCCCTTCCACCCCCTTAGGCTGAAAGGACAAACTCATCAGAGTTGAGGAGTACCTACCTGATGAAGCTGTTCATGCTTCCAGCATCAAACTGGACGTTTACTGTCTGCCCAAAAGCCAGTTTCCAAAAGGTTTGCTTGCCTCTGTTCAGTGGATTCTTGACTACATATAGGTCATATATTTCAAAAAATAATGCCTAGCTATTTCTACTTTGAAATCATGACTAAAGCCAAACCACAACCACAGCAAAGATAACCTAAGGATTTGTTTACCAGAAATACCTACAAAAAAGTTTGCAGGCCGGGCGCGATGGCTCACACTTGTAATCCCAGCACTTTGAGAGGCCGAGATGGGCAGATCATCTGAGGTCAGGGGTTCAAGACCATCCTGCCCAACATGATGAAACCTGGTCTCTACTAAAAATACAAAAATTAACCGGGTGTGGTGGCGCATGCCTGTAATCCCAGCTACTCAGGAGACTGAGGCGGAATTGCCAGAACCCTGGAGGGCAGAGGTTGCAGTAAGCTGAGATCGGGCCACTGCACTCCAGCCTGGGTGACAGAATGAGACTCAGTCTCCCACCCTGCCAAAAAGTTTGCAATGTCGGCAGCAAAGTGCAAACAGAGCCGGCTCTGGGTGAAAGCTTTAGTTATGAAAAATAAGAAAAAAAAAATCCCTAAGCATTTCTTAACACTAGTTTTAAAGAAAACCCCCTCTCCAAAGGTATGTTTCTCCTTCAACTTTCTTGACTTTGCCAGGCTGTCAGGATGCAAGCTACCTACTCTTTTCTGGATGGATCGGGACAAAGTTTTTAAACAAAGACTGTGTCCTCTCCACAAGCCCTTCCCACCACCACCACCCCAGCCCCCCGCCGCCATAATTACAGGGGCTGTGAAATGGCTGTTGAGTGATGGTCACACAACCAGAAGGCAGATGAAAAGGTCAGGCTCTAAGAGGGGTTCAGCCTCCCAGTACCAGCCTGCTGTGCCCAGGGGTGGGAGTGCTGGGAGAACTGTCTTCCCCAGACAGGCAGCTATGCCGCCTCCCACTGCAAAGGCACCAAAAGGCAACATCCGTCCAATCCAAAGACCGCCACCCCCGCCTTTCCCCACCCACTTCAAGCCAGCTCCCCTAGAACCAACCAAGCCAAGAATTAGAAAACTGCTTTGCCCAGGCCCCAGGAGAGGCGCAAGGGGCACTTAGGTGGAAATTTGCCTTGGAGAAGTCACGCAAGGTCCCTGTCAGGCTGCCAGGGGGCCAGATCTGGGAATCTGGGGCCTCCAGCTCCAGGAGGAAGAGGGATTCTGTGGGTTGAGCCCATGTGTCTGAGCAGCTGGAGAAATACCACCCTTGATCCACTCCCTGGGATGGGGTTGGAACCTCCACTCAGCCACCAGTGGGCACCTCTCCTTTTTAAATGCTTTTAATGCTCTTCAGATGGTGAGAGGTTGTTGCAATGGTCATAGGCTGTGCTGATGGCCGGGAACACCCCACACCCCACACCTGCCCCCCATACCCCTTCCTCCAGGAGATACTTGAGAGGGACCATGCCCGGCTGAAGCCCCGTCTCGTGTGGAAGAATGTCATCTCCAGTGTCTGCTGCCTCCTCCCTGCAAAGTCTCCCACAAGCACAGGACAAGGGGTGCTTCCACCATCTCCTAGGAGCTGATGACATGTCCAGACCAGGTCTCATGCTTGGTGCCTGGTGCCAGGTGAGTGATGACGACCTCCACGGCCTGCAGCTTCTCATTCTTGGGTGGGATGGAGCACATTTTATAGGTGACCTCGTCGCCTTCCACTGGGACATACTCCCCTTCCACACTACGGGGGCATAAATAAAGCAGTCAGGGCTCACACCGGGACACAGCTCCCTTCCCCAAGACACCAGCCACCCTTCTGGTCACACAGCCACCAAAGCAGGCACCATCTGACCAACCACCGGGAACCTCTTTCCAAAGAACTGCCCCTCCACCAGAGGGAGCTGCCACACTGCCCCCAGCCTCTGTCCTAGGCAAGGAGGCCCTGGCCCAATCAGCTCCTTCCCTGGGACTTTTGATGCTGGAACTGAAAGAGTTCAGCCACCTGTGGGTGCTCACATGGTGACATGAAATGTGGGAGGGAGCCTGGGCTTGTGACTGAAGAGTAAAGACAGCCAGTCCAAGCCAGAGAGCCAGAGAGAAACAAGGCCATCATGGAGTGAGAATCCGAGTTGAGGGGTGGCCTGGGCAGGGCTTTCCTGAGGTCCTCAGCACTGCAGCCCCTGGTTCCAGGAGTCTCAGAAACCGCACCGTGTCTTTGTTCTCAAATTCCCCAGTTTCCCAGCCTGCCTTTTTTTGAGACAGAGTCTTGTTCTGTTGCCCAGGCTGGAGTGCAGTGGTGTGATCTCAGCTTACTGCATCCACCTCCCGAGTTCAAGTGATTCTCCTGCCTCAGCCAAGTATCTGGGACTATAGGCACCACAGCCAGCTAATTTTTGTATTTTTAGCAAAGTCAGGGTTTCACCATGTTAGCCAGGCTGGTCTCAAACTCCTGACCTTAAGTGAGCCACCTGCCTCAGCCTCCGAAAGTGCTGGGATTACAAGCGTGAGCCACCACGCCTGGACTCCCGGTGAGCCTTCAAGAAGGTCCCTTTGGTGCATGAAGCTAGTTCCTGGAGGGGCCTCTCCCTGTGACCACCCCCAGGAAGGTTCCCTTACTTTCTAGGGGACATGAGTCACCCTCTCACATGAGACTGGCATCTTGATGTCCCCTTGATGAAACCCCCCCAGAGGAAAACCCCCTTCAGATGCTAAATGCAAGGGCCAGCCAGCTCCCCTAGTAACTGGTTTGTTTTGATTGGAGAATCGTATGGTGAAGAGTGTTTCCCTCTTTGATCTGGTCACGAGGGAGCTCAGAAATAAATCTGCAGCCTACTTCCAGCAGCAGAACCAGACATCACAATATTTCCATCTTCCTAAATATTTCTTTGCCCCAACCTCTATGTTTTCCTTACTGATTCAAAATCCTTTCTGGGACAAGGCAGTATGGAAATACCCTTACACATCCATGTATGCATGCATATGTGAAATGCGTCACCTTGGTATTCTCCTGCCTGCCGATCTGATAGGTAAGCATGGGGCGGGGGTGGGCAAAGGAGGGGTAACTCCCCCATTGCAGTGGGCTCCTCTTTTCAGAAATGTGGTTTCCGTGTTAGCGGGTATGCTGTGCAGAGTAGGACTCTGTCTGCCCCTGCCTGAAGTAAAAGACTTGGGGGTGCTTAGGCCAAAGAAGCAGGTAGGGACAAGGGTGCAGATCGAGGGTCCTCCCCTGTCTAAAGGCTGCCCAGAGGATCAGAGGTGAAGCATGGGGGGCTGGGTGCCTTCCAGCCCAGCCCTAGGATGTGTGCGCCCCACCCCCGGCTCCCCAAGGGTTTTCAGACACTCAGGAAGGAAGGACGTCAGTAAGCATGCAGGAGGAGAAAGACCCACCCCAAACTTCCTTCCTGGAGCAAAGGGGCAGGACAGCCCCCAGCCTCACCAGTCCACCTCCCCCAAAGGAGGGCAGGAAGCTGGACTGGTCCCCAGGCCAAACAGGGCTCCCCAGCCTCATGGGGTGTCCTTGGCCAGATATAATGGGCACTCGGACTCACCCCAGCAGTCCCTGCTGCTCACACACATGCACCATGCACAGCTGACACCACCCTGTCTCCCACAAGCATAGTCGGGCACCCCCAGATCCATTTCCATCACTTTCTGGCTATGTGATCTTGGGCAGATCTGTTTTTTTTTTTTTTTTTTTTTTTTTTTTTTTTTTTTGAGATGGAGTTTTGCTCTTGTTGCCCAGGCTGCAGTGCAATGGCGCGATCTCGGCTCACCATAACCTCCACCTCCTGGGTTCAAGTGATTCTCCTGCCTTAGCCTCCGAAGTAGCTGGGATTACAGGCACCCGCCATCATTCCCCGCTTTTTTTTTTTTTTTTTCTATTTTTTTGTATTTTTGTGATGACAGGATTTCACCAGGCTGGTCTTGAAGTCCTGACCTCAGGTGATCCGCCTGCCTCCGCCTCCCAAAGTGCTGGGACTACAGGTGTGAGCCACCATGCCCGATCCTTTTTTTTTTTTTTGAAATGGACTTTCACCCTTGTCACTCAGGCTGGAGTGCAATGGCGAGATGTCGGCTCACTGCAACCTCTACCTCCTGGATTCAAGTGATTCTCCTGCCTCAGCCTTCCGAGGAGCCGGGATTACATGCACCTGTCACCACGCCCTGCTCATTATTTTTTTTTTTTTTTTTTTGAGATGGAGTCTTGCTCTTGTTGCCCAGGCTGGAGTGCAGTGGCGCAATCTCGGCTCATTGCAAACTCCGCCTCCCAGGTTCACACCATTCTCCTGCCTCAGCCTCCCGAGTAGCTGGGACTACAGGTGCCCGCCACCATGCCCGGCTAATTTTTTTTGTGTTTTTTTAGTAGAGACGGGATTTCACCATTAGCCAGAATGGTCTGGATCTCCTGACCTCGTGATCCACCCACCTCGGCCTCCCAAAGTGCTGGGATTACAGGCGTGAGCCACCACGCCCAGCACACACAAAACCTTACACACCCATTCACAAAGACACACCCAGGGACAATCACAAGTACCGTGTCGCCCCCAGCCTCACATCCCCCAACACAGCTCCGTAGAGTCTCACAACCCCAACCCAACACACACACAGGAGCACAGCTGGAGCACCAGCCACAGGCAGAGTCACACAGGCCCAGCCATTCGTCCTCACACCCAGCGCCCATCAGAGTCACACACCATCCCCACCTCCACAGGGCCAAGGAAGCGCCCACCCCAGCCAGGCCACCCAGACCTGCCGCTGACTCACTCAGAGATGTGCAGGAAGATGTCGGGGCCGCCATCAGCTGGAGTAATGAAGCCATGGCCCTTGGACCGGCAGAAGCATTTGCAGACTCCTTTGTAGACGGGGCCCTGTGAAGCCCGCACCGTCCTGACAGAGAGGGGGAAATGTCAGGGGCCCCATCAGCGCTCCTGGGCACACAAAGCTCATTCCAGCCCCTGCCCACAGCTGTGCCCCATCAAGCCCTGGCCAGGACCGCCATGTACAGTCACACAGGCTGAGGACTGCACAACCCTCAACCCTGGGAGCCGCTCACAAAGACGCTGGGGGAAAGGACTCTTTGGATGACCCTGGCCAATTTTCTCGGGCCTGTTTTCCCTCCTGGAAAGAGGGAGTTGAACTAAAACATCACTGAACATCCCTCCAGAAACTAATGATTTACTATTAATAACACAAGCATCCTCCACTCGCAAGGCCTGAGACCTGCATCTGCCAGGCATTATGTGGGTCCTTTGCAGCCCTGGTGCTGTGCCCATTTTGCAGCTGCAGAATTCACAGTCTCACAGGGAACCAGACTCTCATGTGTGGTTAAAGCCCAGCGATTCTGACCCCAGCAACTGCCCACCCATTGCCACTCCCAGCTGGTAACAGGTTCTTCTGGGCTGGGCAGTACCCTGAATTTACAAGGCGCCTTCCTAGTTTCTCACCCTCAGCCCACGGCCCAGCCCCAGGTCTGCCTATTTGGCAGTCCGGGACATAGGCCCAAAAATGGCCAGAGACACAGTGAATCTCTGGCCTCAGGCAAGAGATCCATCTGAGAACGCGTCCCCAGCCTGCTCCAGACTCACGCCGAGAAGGTCCTCGTCCGGCGAGTGGGCAGTGGGCTTGGGACCACGTTGCCCCGCAGAGGGGATGGTGAGCGCTCACGGCTCCGAGGGGTGTCCAGCAGCCCGACTGAAGCTTGATGGGTGGGGGGCTGTGGTGGTGGGGGAGGCTCAGATGACATGGCTGACCTGGAAAGAGAAGAGGCTGTCAGGGGCTCGTGCCTTGCAAGGTAGGGACCCTGTGCTTACCCCCATGTCCACGTCTGACAGTCCAGTATCTGAGGCTCATTCCTCTCGGGCACCTCAGCACCATTGTCACCTTGTCTGGGAGCACGCCTGGCAGGGTCAGATGCCTACTCTGGGCTCCTGAAGCAACCGTGGGGCCCCCTCGATCATAGCTCTTCATGAAAATGCCACATCCTCCCCCATGACCAGGATGGCATCGGTCCCCTCTGTGTCCCCAGCACAAGGCATGGATCCCGGCACATTTGGGACACATAGTATTTGTGGGAGGGAAGGAGGAAGGTGAGCAGAAAACCCAAAGCCAGGGGCCGGGCGCAGTGGCTCACA
Organism: Homo sapiens; assembly: GCF_000001405.40. Classification (NCBI taxonomy): domain Eukaryota; kingdom Metazoa; phylum Chordata; class Mammalia; order Primates; family Hominidae; genus Homo; species Homo sapiens. The sequence goes on from NC_000016.10 coordinate 8,859,717, forward strand.
CCTGCAATCCCAGCACTCTGGGAGGCCGAGGCAGGCGGATCACTTAATGTCAGGAGTTCGAGACTAGCCTGGCCAACATGGGGAAACCCAGTCTCTAATACGAATACAAAAATTAGCTGGGCATGGTGGCAGGCACCTGTAATCCCATCTACTTGAAGGCTGAGGCATGAGAATTGCTTGAACCTGGGAGGCGGAGGTTCCAGTGAGCTGAGATCGCACCACTGCACTCCAGCCTGGGCTACAGAGCAAGACTCTGTCTCAAAAAAGAAAACCCAAAGCCAGGGAGATTTTAATGCCAACCACCTAGATCCAAACTCAGCCACTCCACGGACCCTCCCTGACGCTGCTGGGAGCCAGACACCACAGGGAAGCAGGGGCAAAAACTGACCCTCACGCAGTGTCCGCCTCCAGGGAACTGTGGAACACGTCGCAGAGAGCTCAAGCGCCACGTTTGGATCCCTGAGCAGCTGTCACAAGCCTGCACCCAGGACTGGGGGGCCTGCTGCGAGAGCCCAAAGGGAAAGGGAGAATTTCCAAGGCTGCATCCAGCTCCATCAGGCCCAGTGAATTTCCACACAGCCCGGGTCACCACGCTGTTATGAAATCAAATTCCTTCTGTGACCCCTAGTATGTACCGGTAAATCCAGCTGGAGGGCGGGAATTCCCTAGCTGCTGCTGTGCTTTTGACAATTTTTCAAGAGCAGGACACTCGCTGTACACAATAATCACTGAACATTGAATATGAAGGTGTCGGCTCTAACGTGGCCTCAGCTCGAGGTTCAGGGGAAAGAGAAACAGTCCAGCAGTCAGAGGCCCTTGGGTAAGTCCTTTCCCATCTCTGGGCTCAGTTTCCGAATCTGCAAAGTGGGGCAGCTGGGTGGGCATCACTTGGCACCTGCGCAGGGCTGGTGATGGGGGTACGAGATGAAGTAGGGAGAAGCCTAACTAACTCAGGACGCCACTCAACACCACACAGCCGGGAGGGACAGCAGCAGCCCTGGATCGGTTTGACTCAGGTCCCATGGGGTTTTCAAATTTAGATTTGAAGCATGGGCCAGGTGCGGTGGCTCACACCTGTAATCCCAGCACTTTGAGAGGCAGAGGCAGGTGGATCACCTGAGGTCAGGAGTTGGAGACCAGCCTGGCCAACATGGTGAAAACCAGTCTCTACTAAAAATACAAAATTAGCTGGGCGTGGTGGTGGGTGCCTGTAATCCCAGCTACTCGGGAGGCCAAAGCTGGAGAATTGCTTGAACCAGGGAGCTGTGGGTTGCAATGAGCCGAGATCACACCACAGCACTCCAGCCTGGGTGACAGAGTGAGACTCCGTCTCAAAAAAAAATAAATAACTTTTATTTTTTTGAGACAGTGTCTCACTGTCACCCAGGCTGGAGGGCAGTGGCATAATCACAGTTCACTGTAGCCTTGACCTCCATGCCTAATTTTTTTTTTTTTTTTTTTTTTTTTTTTTTTTTTTTTTTTTATAGAGACAGGGTATCACTATGTTGCCCAGGCTGATCTCAAACTCCTGGGCTCAACGGATTCTCCCACCTCTTCCTCTCAAAGTGCTAGGATTACAGGCATGAACCACCATGCCCGGCCTGAACTATCTTAAACATCCCAGGGGGTTTCCTCAAAATCCAGGTTTCCAGCTGCTCATGGAAAGAAATGAAGCTCTCACAACCTTCAACCTCAGTTTGCCCCCCCAGTCCCCTCATTTATAGGAGTCTTCAACCTACATCACCCAAAAATCCCACCGCACCCCCCGAACCGCCTTCAAGCATAGCCACCCAAGAACCAGGCCCGACTGCTCAGAGGAGAAGGGATGCCCCATCCCTGAAATGTCAGAACCCCTCCCCAGACATTGCTGCACTCTCCCGTTGGGCCTCAGTTCTGTCGGGCTGGGAAGCTGGTGGCTGGCTTGCCTTCTGGAGGAGGTGGCATCCTACCTCCTGTCCCTTCTCTCAGCTACAGCCGCGGCCAAGGAGGAACTCCTGAGTCCGGGGAGCCCCCACCTCAAAAAGGCCCCAGCTGCTGGCCTGGGGGCCAGGGCCCCCGCATGACCTACCAGCACAGGTCATAGAGTCCTAGAATGTTCAACGCCCAGAGTTCCAGGAAAGAGGCTGGCCCTGGGAGGGGAGGGCCCTGTCCAGGCCTCCCAGGACAGCAGATGGGAGCAGTGGCCTCGCAACTCCACAGTTAGAGACACTGCCCTGCCTTGTTCTATCCAAAGTCTCCCTCCCTCCTTTCTCCTGGAGTCAAGCATAGCTGACTTTTTTTTTTTTTTTTTTTTTTTTTTTTAATTTGAGATGGAGTCCTGCTGTCGCCCAGGCTGGAGTGCAATGGCACAATCTCGGCTCACTGCAACCTCCACCTTCTGGGTTCAAGTGATTCTCCTGCCTCAGCCTCCCAAGTAGCAGGGGTTACAGGTGCCCGCCATCACGCCCGGCTAATGAAGCATAGCTGACTTCTAATCCTACCCCTTGCCTGCTGTGTGGTCTTGTACAAGTTACTTAATCTCTCTGGGCCTCAGTTTCCACATCTGGAAAATGGGAATTATAATAGTCCCGATTTCACACCATCAGGCTGAACTGAAAACAAAATAATACACACTAAGCACTGGGCACACTGTCCGCCCAGGTCCAGTGAGCAGTAATTGTCAGCTACGACTGTTGTTATAATTGTCATCATAAAGGCACTCAACAGACACGTGCCCAATACCGAGCCCTGTTCAAGGCCCCAGAGACAAAGGGCTGAACTTGAAGCCAGAGAATAAACAGTTAAATAAACATAAACCAGATCATTACAGATCCCAAAAGGGCTGTAAAGAAACAGACAGAAGGGGATAGGGGGAGAAGGGTGGGAATACACACGCTAATCAGGGTGCCTGCAGGACCCTGAACAGCAAGAAAGGGGTAGCCATTTGCAAAACGGAGGGAGGCTGTTCCAGGTATAGGGAACAGCCTGTGCAAAGGCCCTGAGGGCCCGGGTGGGACTGAGGCCAGTGGGGAAACCATGTGATGGGTGGGGGACTAGGAATGGGAGGCAGGAAAGGCGGTGGAAAGGGTAGGGCCCGCTCAGGAATCATGCCGCGTCATCATCATCATCACTGTCATTGTCACCATCGTCGTCCTCCTTGCATCTTCCATTTGTCACACCCATTTTCCCCTGGGTGAATGGCACAGACCCAAAATGGGGGCCCCCTTCTTTCTCCACCCAAGCCCCCTCAACACCCCAAGTGCACCCAATCCTTCAGAGATGCCACTGGAAGCTCATGGCCTGTAGGGGTGAGGAGTCTGAGGGCAGCACAGGGCCCCTCTGTGTCCCAAGGGCCCAGCACAGGCACTGGCACAGAGCAGGGTCTCCAGACGGTCCAGGAATGGCCACAAGGATGGCTTTTTTTTTTTTTTTTTTTTTTTTTCAGATAGGATCTCACTTGGTCACCTAGGCTGGAATGCAGTGGCGCGATCATGGCTCACTGAAGCCTCTCAACCTCCTGGGCTCAGGTGATCCGCCCACCCCAGCCTCCTGGGTTGTGGGACTACGGCCACGTGCCACCACAACCAGCTCATTTTTTGTAGAGACAGGGTTTCAATATGTTGCCCAGGCTGGTCTTAAACTCCTGGGCTCAAGCGATCGGCGCACCTTGGCTTCCCAAAGTGCTGGGATTACAGGCGTGAGCCACCACACCCAGCTTCCAAGCCTCATTCTTTGCCAGCATTAGGACCCAAAGCCCCAGCTGGCTGCCACTGCATTGGTGTGCACTCAGCACCATGCCCAGCCCAGCAGGAGGTGGCTACATTCCTGCTCACCTGATAGTGGAAGAAACTGAGGCACGGAGCAGACGTGACTAGGGGCGGGGGCAGTGCCAACTGGGAGACCCAGGAGCTTTATCCAGCCTCTCATGGCCCATCTGGGCTGAAGCCAAGCTGGGGTGGCCAGAGTAGGCCTGGCCAAGGGCCACTCACTCCCCAGTAGGCCCAGCAGAGAGGAGTGAATGGCCTCAGTGCGGGGGAGGGCCGGGCAAAGTCCAGCTGGAAAGAAAACAACTGGGGGGCGGGTAACCAGGCACCCAGAAGCCAGCTCTGAGGCCCTGGCCAGCCTCTGCTGTGTCCCCTCCACAATACACACATACACAAGGATGGGGCCACACAGCAGCCCCGCCCACCAGCACAGTCCCAGCTTCCAGCCAGCCACTGCTCTCCCAGCAATACCAGGCATGGCCTTGGAGTGTCCCCAGCAGAAGACAGGGCCTGCCCTCTGTGACTAGCCTTCAGCTCCCCACAGCTGGGGGAGGGAGGAAGGCTGCAAACAGATCCGCCACTCAGATGAGCTTCTGGCCTGCAACAAACTTCGACCAAATGTCACGACCAAGGTGTCATGACTGCCAGGCTGCATGTACATGTGTGCTCGTTTGTGCACAGGTATGTAGGTGTATGCACATGTGTATGTGTGTGCTGTGTATATACGCATGTGTACACATACATATGTGCCCACACATGGCTGTCTCTGCATCTGAGCGCATACACGTGTATGCATGCGTGAACTTGTTGCCGTCTGTATGCACACGTCCATGGAGCGGGGAGCCTCACCTCACCGCACAGCACGCTGGGCACCTGTGCTGCCACAGGGGACCTTGATGAACTCTGCCACTTCCTATTGAACCAACAGATAAGGGAGTGGGACAGACCATGACTACCACCACCACAGCAGTGTCCTGGGGCCATTCTGCTTACTACTTTACAACACTTCACACAGCCCAGCTCATTCTATCCCCATTTCACTAATGGGAGAACGGAGACACAAAGAGTCAAGTAACTTGCCCAGGGTCGCCCGGCTAACAAAGACCCTGGTGAAATACGGAGTAAGTCAGACAGCAGAAATGCTACGGAGAAAAAGCCAGCAGGGTAAGGGGGAGAGGCTGCACCAGGAGGTGCCCAGCTGGCCATGCACCCCCTTCCCCAGTCAGCCCCCAGGCTCTGATGAGTGCCCGGCCAAGGGAGGGAGCCCAGGGTGGTGGGGGCAGGAAGCCACGCCCACCCTGACTGCCCCAGGGATGGGTGTGTCGGCTGGGAGAAGGGGGCCTCGGCCGAAAATAGCCTGGGAATTTTCCGTAGGCTCTGCAGCTCCTCCTGGAAGGTTCTGGAGTTCAGCTGGGTACCAAGACTCTGGCTTTCCCAGCCCCTGCTCAGCCTGCCCGCATGTCTGGAGACTTACGGCCCAATCATGCAGCCCCCATTACCCACTCCCCAACTTCCTGCCCTCCTGGCCTGAAAACCCACCACCCACATCAATGGGAGCCAAGCAGCCCTGTGCTTACTGCAAGGAGGGCTTTAGCAGTGCTATCAGCCATTTACACTCTAGTAAGAGGGAGCTCATTGAAGGAGACTCCATTCATTTTTGTTTTTGTGAGACAGAATCTCCCTCTGTTGCCCAGGATGGAGTGCAGTGGCACAATCTCAGCTCACTGCAGACCCCCGCCCCCCAGGTTCAAGCGATTCTCCTGCCTTAGCCTCCCGAGTAGCTGGGACTACAGGCATGTACCACCACACCCAGCCAATTGTTGTATTTTTAGTAGAGACGGGGTTTCACCATTTTAGCCAATCTGGTCTCGGACTCCTGACCTCTCATGATTTACCCGCTTCAGCCTCCCAAAGTCCTCGGATTACAGGCATGAGCCACCGTGCCCAGCCAGAGATTCCATTCTTAATAGCTTCAGCCCCTTTATTGAAGACAGGATGATAGAAGGCAGGGGGATAAGAGTTCAAGTCAGACACCTCACTCTTGGCAAAGCGAGAACCTCTCCAAGCCTGCTCTGCAAAATGAGGGTGTCTTGAGCCTTCCATGGGATGCTGGCTGGGGAAGGCCAGGGTTGGGCATGGTGTTGGGGCAGCTTCCAGCCCGGAGCCAGCCCACTGCTGGCAGGTGTGGTGGGTAGTGGCCCGCACTATGGGGATGGGGCAGGCTGTAGTGCTTTCATACACCCTACAGCCACTGTCCACAGACTTCTGCGTCAGGCCCTGTTGGGGGATTACAAACATCAACTACATGCACGTAAACATCGACCCAACAGGGGAGGCACTTTTAGCAGCCCTGTTTTACAGATGAGGAAACTAAGGCACAGAGTTAAGCCAGTGATTCTACTTCCTACTTTAATGCAGTCAGGAATCTCTGGGGATCTTGTTCAAATGCAGATTGCCATTCAGCAGGTGTGGGGTGGGGCCTGAGATTCTTCATTTCTTTTTTATTTTTTTTGAGACAGGGTCTTGCTTTGTTACCCAGGCTGGAGTTTGGTGGCACAATCATGGCTCACTGCAGCCTCAACCTCCTGGGCTCAAGGGATCCTCTCACTTCAGCCTCCCAAGTAGCTGGGACTACAGGCGTGTGCTACCACACCCAGCTAATTTTTTTATTTTTTGTAGAGACAAGGTCTCACTGTGTTGTCCAGGCTGGTCTCGACCTCCCAGGCTCAAGAGATTCTCCCACCCCGGCCTCCCAAAGTGCTGGGATTACAGGCTCCAGATTCCTGGCCAAGATTCTACATTTCTAAGGCGCTCCCAGTGAGGCAGCTGTCCCTGACCCAGGGAACACGGCAGTAGCCGGGCTACACTGGCCCATCTCACAGCCCAAGGCTTAACAGTGCAGGAGGTGGAAGGGAAATGGCGCAGGGATCGGGGTGAGACTCTAGCAGAGTAGCGAAGTTACCTTAGTGCACCTGGGTTCCTCCTTTGTAAACAGACAGAGACACTGAGCTGACCCATCCCAGTCTCCAGCGCAGCTGAGCCCCAGCCTGGGAGAACTGCCGGCACGTGGGCCGAGAGGCGGGGCGGGTCAGCTGAGCCCAGATAGAAGGGTCCCTGGAAGCGATAGAGGCCGAGAACGAGCCAGAGGTTGACGCAGCAGCGTCAGGCTGGCCTAGCCACATTCCCCTCCATTGTTCCGGGGAGAGCGGGGGGTCTGGCGAGGGAGGAGCAGAGAGAGAGGAGGGGGAGGGACACGAAGGGATGGGGGTTGGAGTGTCCAGGGGGAGGGACGGGAGGCAAAGGGGAGGGGGCAGCCAGGCCGGAGTCAGCCCTCCGCTGGCTAAGGACCTGAAGCCAACAGTCACAGAGAAGTGCAAACAGGCGGGCAGGGAAGGTGCAGCCCGGCGCCTACGTCTGCCCAGAGCCCCCTCCCAGGCCCCGCCAAGCTGGGAATAGCTCTTCCGCCCTCAGGAGCCCCTGAGTGCTGGGAAGAGGCCGGAAACCCGAGGAGTGTACCGGGAACCCAAGGGGGCCTCCAACATTGCCATTGCCTGTGCCCCCATTAGCACCCCTGGACGGCCTCGACCGGACGGGCGACCCCACCCAGCAGGGAGACGGTCACCCCACCGCCACCACCCACCTGGGACCCTGCGCCCGCCCCAGTTCTCAGCCTGGACTGCCCCTCCTGCGGGAAGCCCAAGCCCTCCTTCTCAACAAGAACCCTACTCTACACGCCTCCCCCACTCAATCCCTCCATCCTTCCCTCCATTCTCGGGGGGCTTTGGCTCAGACCTGAGATTGAGCCCTGACTGGTCCCCACTCCCTCTGTGACCCCTGCCAGGCGATTTCACCGCCCCACCCGAGTTTCCTCATCTGTCAAAGGGGACAGGAGCGGTGCTGCGTCGCAGGGCTCGGACGCTGTGCAGATGGTGCCGCGAAAATGCCAAGCGCACGGCGGGCTCAGTCCACAATAGTGCGGCTGATGGTGGAAGTGTCAGGCACGGGCCCATCTGAAATCACCTTCCCTCCCATTCCTGCCCCTGCTGATGGAACACAAACCAAATGCGCTGGCTTTGCCACTCGGTGGAACAAAGACCGATCCCCTACCTAGGGGACCCACCGTCAACCACCCTCAACCCCACCCCATGGCCCCACGCCAGGCCTAGCTCAGCTCATTGAAAACATCTACTCCCAGCCGGGCTCTGCGCCTCTTTCTTGCCCTGAAGGGACCAGCATCGAGAACTCACGGTCATCACCGAGGCCACCCAGGGAGTGCAGAGGGCGGTGGGGTCTCCAAGGAGGACCCCGAGCCCAGAGGAGGGCCAAAGGCCCGAAGGGAGGGAGAACAGAGGCAGAGAGAGGCTGGAGAAGGTAGTGGCGGAAGATAACAGGAAGCCCTGCTGAGAAGTTGGGGACTTAGACGACAATGGGACTTCGGTGGACGATTTTCAGCGTGGGGTAGATCTAAGCGGATTGTTTTTCTAAGTTCCCTCTGGCTTCAGAGTGGCAGCAAATGACAGGGGCAAGCAAGACTGGGCACAGAGAGACTGAGAAATATCAAAACAGCAAGTTAAAAAACAGTAGCTTACGTGTCTCCCGGCACGGGGCTAGCTGCCTCCTTTTACTCTCACACACCCTCTCATGCCAGAAGAAGTCAGAGCCCAGTCTGCAGATGGGGAAACTGAGGCTCCGAGAGGCCTCCTATTTGGCAGAGATTTCCCCACCTATTAAGACCCAAGGCCCTGCCTGGAGCGGGACGTCTCCGCCTCCCCCAGCACACACATCCACTCCAACCCCAGAAAACCATAGGGCCGGAGGCTTCCTTTTTAAAAATCAAAAAAGAACATTTCACTTCCGGCCTGCAAACCTGAACCGCCAGCGCAGCCTGCGGAAAGGGGGCCTGTGGGCGCGGGTGAAGTTTTTCTCCAGCGCCTAAGGCACCCCCACCCCCATCCGGGCGCAAACACCCGGGCCCAGCGCGCCCGGCGGCTCCTCCTCCCCCAGATGCGGCTAATCGCGCGGCGCCAGGACGGCTCCCCACCTCCCCCGCCGGGCCTGGCCGCCGTCCCAACCTCGAGCCACAGCTGGCGCGGCCAGGCCCGGCGGGGGGTGGCTCTGCTTCCCGCGTGCGACGCCCCCCGCGCCTCGCCCCACCGCCCGGCGAGTCCCCCGTCCAGGGCTCCCGCCCAAAGGCAAAAGCAGCGGGGAGGGCGGGAAGAGCTTCCCCTGCACGCAGAGAACAGGTGGCCAGGCGGGAAGTACTACCCGACGTCCGCCTAGAATCCTTGCCGCTGTTGCCACACCCACCCCTTCCCCTGGGGAGGAGCAACCCGCGTTCCCCAAACAGGCCCCGAGAAACCCAGCCCGGAGCCCTCCTCTGCCGAGCTAGAAGACCCTGCAGGATGGGGGACGATGGAGGCAGAGGAGGCCGAGGCCCCACCCCTGCGGCTCCCGGGGCCGCGGGCCAGGGGCGCCTATCCTGGGGTCCCCGAGAAGAGCTCCCTACCCTGCAATCCGTTCTGCTCCGCCAGCCGCTTCGCTCCGACTGAGAGCGCGGAGCTGGGGAGGGGGCGTGGCCCGAGGGGGGGTGGGGCGCCGATCCCCGCCCCCAGGAGCTCCCGGCCAATGGGGCTGCGGGAGGGAGCCCGGGACGGTGGGGGCGGGCGGGGCGGGAGTGGCCCGGACAGGACCTTTGTGTCCGCGCCTTAGACTGGCGGGAGAGCGGAACGCAGAGCGCGGGACGTAGGGGCCGGGGCGGGGCGGGGCGGGGCGGAGCTGGGCTGCACCCACCAGCAGAAAACGCCCCTGCAAAGTGGGGGAACTGTGTCCCTGCGCCCGTGCAGTTCCTTCCCCTCGCCACGCGCGCCAGGTGCGGCTCCCACCTGCCTTTGGCTCTAAAATCTGTATAATCCCGGAGGGTGTCACTTTTAGCAGAAAGGAAATAAAGGAATGAAAAGAGAGACGGAAGAAAACAAGCAAAAAACAGAAAGGAGGAAAAGGGAAAGAAAAAATACACACGCACACACACACCAGAAAAACAGGGTTTTGTTTTCTCGTTGGGGATTTTGATTTTGTTCTCTTCTCTTGTTTCATTTCTAGCCTTCCTTGAGTCCTCTGTTTTTGGAGGTAAAAAATGTTACCTCTGTTTTGCAGGAGAGGAAACTGAGGCACAGAGAGGCGACCAGCCCATGGGCACGGCCAGTCGAGAGCAGCCCCTGAAGGCGAGCCTAGATCCCGGGACCAGGGTCAGCTTGGTATTTGAGGGGCGCGGGGAAGGAGAGAGGTCCCCGGAGCTCGCCCGGGACAACAGGGCCCCCGGAGGCGGCGGTGAGGACTGTGCCTGCCTCACTCTGCAGCCCCTATTGGGGCCACTGGGGAAAAGGCCCAGCAGCGAAACCAACTAGTCCAAGCCAGGCAAGGAACCGTCCTAGACGGCTGGTGGGAACAACCGCGCAGCTGCTGTGGAAAAAGCCCGGCGGTTCCTCAAACCACGAGCCCTGGAGTCTCCATAAAACCCATCAACTCCACTCCTAGGTGTCTGCGCGCCCAAGAGAAATAAAAATGTTTGTCCACACAAAAATTTACTTGAGGCCGGGTGCGGTGGCTCACGCCTGTAATTCCAGCTCTTTGGGAGGCCGAGGCAGGAGGATCACTTGAGCTCAGGAGTTGGAGACCAGCCTGGCCAACATGGCGAAACCCCGTGTCTATGAAAAATACAAAAATTTGCCGGGCTTGGTGGCGGGTGCCTGTAATCCCAGTTACTTGGGAGACTGAGGCAGGAGAATCACTTGAACCCGGGAGGTGGAGGTTGCAGTGAGCCAGGATCATGCCACTGCACTCCAGCCTGGGCGACAGCGAGTCTCCGTCTCGGGGGGGAAAAAAAGTTAAAAATAAATAAATAGGCCGGGCGCGGTGGCTCACGCCTGTAATCCCAGCACTTTGGGAGGCCGAGGCGGGCGGATCACGAGGTCAGGAGAACGAGACCACGGGGAAACCCCGTCTCTATTAAAAATATTAAAAATTAGCCGGGCGCGGTGGCGGGCCCCTGTAGTCCCAGCTACTCGGGAGGCTGAGGCAGGAGAATGGCGTGAACCCGGGAGGCGGAGCTTGCAATGAGCCGAGATAGTGCCACTGCACTCCAGCCTGCCTGGGCGACAGAGCAAGACTCCATCTCAAAAATAAATAAATAGATAAATAATGATTTACTTGTTGGGCTGGGCGTGGTGGCTCACGCCTGTAATCCCAGCACTTTGGGAGACCGAGACAGGAGGATCTCTTAAGCCCAGGAGTTTATGACCAGCCTGGACAACATAGTAAGACCCCTTCTTTACCAAAAAAAAAAAAGTTTTAATTAGCCAGGAGTAGTAGCACCCACCTGTAGTCCCAGCTACTGGGGAGGCTGAGGTGGGAGGATCCCTTGAGCCCAGGAGATCGAGGCTGCTGTGATCCGTGACTGCACTGCTGCACTCCAGCCTGGGTGACAGAGTAAGATTTATAGCAGTATTACTCATAGTAGCCAAAAGGGAGAAACAGCTCAGATGTCCATCAAGTGATGAAAGGATAAACAAAATGTTGTGTATCTATACAGTAGACAACTATTCACTCATCAACAGGAATGAAATCTTGATGCAAGCTACAACATAGAGGAACCTTGAAAATATGCTAAGAGAAAGAAGCCACACAAAGGCCGCACTTTGTGTGATTCCATCTGTATGAAATGTTCTGAATGGGCAAATCTCTAGAAACAGGAAGTAGATTAAGGGTTGCCAGAGGCTGGGGGTGGGGGTGCGGGCTAGACGGTTGATACTTAAAAGGTACAGGGGTTTCTTTTTGAGATGATGAAAATGTGCTGAAAGTGATGGTGGCGATAGTTGCACAAGTCCGTGGATATACTAAAAATCATTGCATTGTGTGCTTTCAATGGGTGAACTGTATGGTGTGTGAATTATGACTCAGTTAAGCTGTTTTTAAAAAGTCAAGGCCAGGCACAGTGGCTCATGCCTGTAACCCCAGTACTTTGGGAGGCCTGGGAGGGCGGATCACTTGAGCTCAGGAGTTCACAACCAGCCCAGCCAACATGGTGAAACCCTGTCTCTACTAAAAATACAAAACTTATCCCGGTATGATGGTGCACACCTGTTATCCCAGCTACTCGGGAGGCTGAGGCATGAAAATTGCTTGAACCTGAGAAGTGGAAGTTGCAGTGAGCCGAGATTGTGCCACTGCAGTCCAGCCTGGGCGACAGAGCCAGACTCCACCTCAATAAATAAATAAATAAACAAATAAACAAGCGGGGACACTGGGGTGGGGGTGGGGGGAGGCCATGACCAGGAGGGGCACAAGGTGGGATTCTAGGATCTGGTAAACTTCTGTCCCTCAGTCTGGGTACCTGGGTGGGTTCACTTTATGAAAATTCATCCACGGCCAGGTGCTGTGGCTCATGCCCATAATCCCAGCTACTTGGGAGCCCAAGACAGGAGGATGCCTAGAAGCCAGGAGTTCAAGACAAGCCTGGGCAACATAGCATATTTTATTTCTAAAATTAAAAAAAGAGGAAGAAAGAAAGGGAGGGAGGGAGGAGTGAGAGAGAGAGAAAGAAAGAAAAAAGAAAAAGGGCTGGGCACAGTGGCTCATGCCTATAATCCCAACACTTTGGGAGTCTGAGGCAGGCACATCATGTGAGCGCAGGTGTCAGAAGTTACAGTGAGCTATGATCATGCCACTGCACTCCTGGGCAACAGAGGGAGGCCCTGTCTGTAAACAAACAAACAAACACGGACTTTGCTTTTTAGGGCAGTTTAGGTTTACAGCAAAATTGAGCAGAAAGGGCTGGGCCTAGTGGCTCACACCTGTAATCCCGGCACTTTGGGAGGATCACCAGAGGTCAGGATTTGAGACCAGCCTGGCCAGCATGGTGGAACCCTGTCTTTACTAAAATAACAAAAATTAGCTGGGCGTGGTGGTAGCGCCTGTAATCCCAGCTACTCAGGAACCTGAGGCTGCAGAATTGCTTGAACCCAGGAGGCAGAGGTTGCAGTGAACCGAGATCGCGCCACTGCACTCCAGCCTGGGCACCAGAGTGAGTCTCCATCTCAAAAAAAAAAAAAATAGCTGGATGTGGTGGCACATGCCTCTGGTCCCAACTACTTGGGAGGCTGAGGCAGGAGGATACATTGAGCCCAGTAAGTCGAGGCTGCAATGAGCCATGATTGCACCACTGCACTCCAGTCTGGCAATACAGTGAGAAATCCCGTCTCAAAACAAAACAAAACAAAACAAAAAAACTGACCAGGCGTGGTGGCTCACACCTGTAATCCCAGCACTTTGGGAGGCTGAGGCAGGCGGATCACCTGAGGTCGGGAGTTTGACACCAGCCTGAGCAACATGGAGAAACCCAGTCTCTGACAAACTACAAAATTAGCTGGGCATGGTGGTGCTTGCCTGTAATCCCAGCTACACGGGAGGCTGAGGCAGGAGAATCAACCGGGAGGTGGAGGTTGCCGTGAGTTGAGATCGCACCATTGCGCACCAGCCTGGGCAACAAGAGCGAAACTCCATCTAAAAAAAAAAAAAAATGCTGAGCAGAAAATACAGGGATTTTCCAAACACTCCTGACCAGCACACACGCACAGCACCCCCTCGCTATCCACATCACACGCCCGAGTGGTACATTTGTTACAGTGGGTGAACCTACACTGACACGTCATCGCCCAGAATCCGTGGTTTAAATGCGGGTCACTCCTGGAGCTGTACGTTCTATTTGTTTGAACAAATGTATAATGGCATGGATCTCCCATTACAGTGTCATACAGAGTTCTTTCACTCCCTGAAAAATCCTGTTTTCCAACAGCTTTATTGAGATATAACTGACATCCAATTAAATGCACACATTTAAAGTGTATAGTCTTTTGTTGTTGTTGCTGTTGTTGTTGACATGGAGTCTCATTCTGTCACCCAGGCTGGAGTGCAGTGGTGCGACCTTGGCTCATTGCAACCTCCACCTCCTAGGCTCAAGCCATCCTCCCACCTCAGCCTTCCCAGTAGCTGGGACCACAGGTGCGCAACACCAAGCCTGGCTAATTTTTTTCAATTATTTTTAGTAGAAACCGGGTTTTCTATGTTGCCCATGCTGGTCTCGAACTCCTGAGCTCAAGCAATCCACCTGCCTCTCTGCCTCCCAAAAGTGCTGGGATTACAGGCCTGAGCCACCGCGCCCGGCCTCGTGTACGAGTCTTTGTAGGGACAAGTTTTCATTTCTCTTGGGTCAACACTAGGGTTGGAGTGGCATTTATCACAGCTAGGGGCAGTAGAATCCATACGAAGTTGTGAAATATGTATTCATGTGTAGTGTGTAAAGATTTTACTATAAATTGCTTTTTATTTTTCTTTTATGTTACCATTGGGGCATTACATTGAACTTTTTTTTTTTTTTCCCGGAGATGGAGTCTTGCTGTTGTCACACAGGCTGGAGTGCAGTGGTGCGATCTCAGCTCACTGCAACCTCCACCTCCTGGGTTCAAGCGGTTCTCCTGCCTCAGCCTCCCGTGTAGCTGGGATTACAGGTGCCCGCCACCACACCGGGCTAATTTTTGTGTTTTTAGTACAGACAGGAGGGTTTCACCATGTTGGCCAGGCTGGACTGGAACTCTTGAGCTCAAGTGATCTGCCCACCCTGGCCTCCTCCCAAAGTGCTGGGATTCCAGGTGTGAGCCACTGTGCCCGGCCTTGAATTTTTTTTTTGAGACGAAGTCTCACTCTGTTGCCCAAGCTGGAGTGCAGTGGCACAATCTCAGCTCACTGCAAACTTCACCTCCTGGGGTTCAAGTGATCTCCCTTCCGAATAGCTGGGATTACAGGCACATGCCACCACGCCTGGCTAATTTTTGTATTTTTAGTAGAGAGGGGGTTTCACCATGTTGGCCAGGCTGGTCTCAAACTCCTGACCTCAAGTGATCCACCCGTCTTGGCCTCCCAAAGTGCTGGGATTACAGGCATGAGGTACTGTGCCCAGCCTGAACTTTCTCTTAACATGTGTGTTAAGAAACATAAATTTCTATGGATTTCATCCCGGGATGGCAAAGGGCCCACTGCAAATGTTTCTTAGAGAACGGGGATCTGGTGGCTGGTAGGATGAGAAGTAAAGCTCAGAGTTTATGCCAGAAAACACCCGAGAGGCCCAGGCTTGGCTGGAGCTCTTCCTGTTGCAGAAGGTGGGGAGCAGGCATAGGCAATGGGTGGGATGGGGCTGGGGCTGGGGGGCACTGCCTCTCTCTGATTCCACGTGGTCAAACCTGCTGACCCTCTTTCCCTTTGCGGCTTCTGGGGTATTCACCCCACCCTGCTCACCCTGCTGACAAGGTCAGACATATATTCTGCACCGTTTCCTGTTTCTTTCTTTCTTTTTTATTTTATTTTTTTTTTGAGACGGAGTCTCACTCTGTTGCCCAGGCTGGAGTGCAGTGTTGCGATCTCAGCTCACTGCAAGCTCCACCTCCCGGGTTCACACCATTCTCCTGCCTCAGCCCCCCGAGGAGCTGGAACTACAGGCACCCGCCACCAAGCCTGGCTAATTTTTTGTATTTTTAGTAGAGACGGGGTTTCACGATGTTTGCCAGGATGGTCTCGATCTCCTGACCTCATGATCCACCCACCTCAGCCTCCCAAAGTGTTGGGATTACAGGCGTGAGCCACCGCGCCCGGCCTTTTTTTTTCTTTTTTTTTTTGGAGATAGGGTCTTGCTTTGTTGCCCAGGCTGGAGTGCAGTGGCGTGATCACCGCTCACTGCAGCCTCTACCTCCAGGTTTAAGCAGTCCTCCCGCTCAGCCTCCCAAGTAGCTGGGACCACAGGCATGCACCACCACACCTGGCTAATTATTTGTATTTTTATTATTTGTAGAAACAGGGTCTCACATTATTGCCCAGGCTGGTCTGGAACTCCTGGGCTCAAGCAATCCTCCTGCCTTGGCTTCCCAAAGTGCTAGAATTACAGGCAGCAGCCACCGTGCCCAGCCTCCTGATTCTATCTTATTCTTTGATCTGATTTTTTTTTTTTTTTTGAGGCGGAGTCTCACTGTATCGCCCAGGCTAGAGTGCAATGGCACAATCTCAGCTCACTGCAACCTCTGCCTCCCAGGTTCAAGGAATTCTGCCTTAGTCTTCCAGGCAGTTGGGATTACAGGTGCCTGCCGCCACGCCCAGCTAATTTTCGTATTTTTAGTAGACACGAGGTTTCACCATGTTGGTCAGGTTGGCCTCAAACCCCTAACCCCAGGTGATCCACCCGCCTCGGCTTCCCAGAGTGCTGGGATTACAGGTGTGAGCCACCGTGCCTGGCCTCTTTGATCCTTTTGAGAAGCCACTTTACATCTTCTGAAAGGTATTTGGGTGAGTTGGATGAGGAGGGATCCCATTCAGCTGTGCTGGGCTAAGAGCACAGGCTCTGGGGACAGGTGAGGAGGTGGGGGTCTGACTCTGCCACTGGGTTCCTTGACCAGGTCGCTTCTCTGCTCCGCACCTCCGTTTCTTCATCTGTAAAATGGAGACAATGTCAGCACCCACCTTGATAGTAAAGCTGTTGTGTTGTGGAAGTGGAAGAGCGTGTATAGAATGCTTAGTGGGCAGCCTAGCACATGGTAAGCAATGATTAATGCTGTTACTTGATTTTCAAAACACTTCTTGCTGAAGTCTGGGTGGGGCCCCGGTAATGACAATAGCCTCAAAGTTCCAGGCCCTTGTGGAGTGCCAGGCACATGTTAAAGCATGGTACAGATAATTTTTTTTAAATTTTTAAATTTTGATTATTATAAATACATAATAGTTCTGTATATTTGTGGGGTATATGTTATTTTTGTTTTTGTTTGATACAGAGTCTCACCCTGCCGCCCAAGCTGGAGTGCAGTGGCGCAGTCGCAGCTCACTATACCCTCCACCTCCCTGGTTCAAGTGATTCTCCCACTAATTTTTGTATTTTTAGTAGAGATGGGGTTTCACCACGTTGGCCAAGCTGGTCTCAAACTCCTTACCTCAGGTGATCTGCCTGCCTTGTCCTCCCAAAGTGCTGGGATTGCAGGTGTGAGCCACCGCACCTGGCCAAGGATCTCATTCTTCTATGGCTGAATAATATTCCATCATGTTTAGGTACTGCATTTTCTCTACCCATTCATCCACTGATGAATGACATTTAAATTTATTACTTTTTGTTTGTTTGTTTGTTTGTTTTTGAGACAGAGTTTCACTCTTGTTGTCCAGGCTGGAGTGCAGTGGCAGGATCTCGGCTCACTGCAACCTCCGCCTCCCAAGTTGAAGCGATTCTCCTGCCTCAGCCTCCCAAGTAGCTGGGATTACAGGCATCTGCCACCACGCCCGGCTAATTTTTGTATTTTTAGTAGAGATGAGGGTTCACCATGTTGGCCAGGCTGGTCTCGAACTCCTGACCTCAGGTGACCCACCCACCTCAGCCTCCCAAAGTGCTGGGATTACAGGTGTGAGCCACGACGCCCAGCCTTAGATTGCTTCTTAATCTTGGCTGTTGTGAATGGTGCTGCGGGGAACGTGGGCAGGAGAGTTATTGTCCCATTCTACAGATGGGGAAATGAGGCTCGGATCAGCTCCCCCCAAACCATGCAGCAATTGCGGGCCAGGCTAGGACTGGAACCTGGGCCCCTGTGCTGCCCCACTGCGCCCCCCACAAGCCGTGTAGATGAAGCCCCCTCCCCAGGAAGCATCCTTCTGCCAGGGGTCTCAGAGAAGAGGGGGCTGGGACCTCAGGCTCTGGGCACACTTGCTTCCCCTGTACAGTGTCCATGCTCTCTGTTAGGGCCACTTCCTTCTGGACAGTCACCTCCTGTCTTTGGCCCAATCCCCGCCACTGTTCCTCTGCACAGTAGACTCGGGGGTCCTGTCAGAACAGCAAGTGGATCTTGGCACTTTCTTTTTTTTTTTTTTTTCCAAGACGGAGTCTTGCCGAGATTGCGCCACTGCACTCCAGCCTGGGTGACAGAGCAAGACTCCATCTCAAGAAAAAAAAAAAAAAGAAGAATGTGTCTGGCATCTGTTTCCTTCACTAAAATGTGGGCTTCTTGGGGTAAGTAAGCACCTCATCTGCCTTGCTCAGTTTTGTGTGCCTGGCATATATTAGGTGCTCAATAAATGCACGTTAAAGAATGAGGGCGGGCCGGGCACAGTGGCTCACGCCTGTAATTCCAGCATATTGGGAGGCCAAGATAGGAGGATCACTTGAGGTTAGGCGTTCGAGACCAGCCTGGCCAACATGGTGAAACCCCATCTCTACCAAAATACACAAATTTAGCCAGGCGTGATGGTGCATGGCTGTAGTCCCAGCTACTCAGGAGGCTGAGGCAGGAGAATCGCTTGAACCTGGGAGGTGGCGGTTGCAGTGAGCTGAGATCGCCCCACTGCACTCCAGTCTGGGTGACAAGAACAAGACTGTTTCTAAAAAAGAAAAAAAAAATGCTGCTTGACACACAGACACTCCACACACCCGACACACACATCTCCCACACAAATACACGCAGGTGGAAGCACACACAACCACATTCTCCCATCACATCCACACCCTGAGGCTTTCTCAATCTGGAGATAGCCCTTCCTCCTCCACCAGGCAGACCTCCAGGCTCTGAGGGAACGGGACGCAGGGATGGATAGATGGACAGACGGCAGCTGCTGGGGAAGAAATGGCCCTGAAACACCCTCTTCCCTTCAGCTGGGGGTCCTCCATCAGTTCCTGGGAACGAGAATTCCTCCCCCTACTTTTCTCTCCCTGAGTAAGCAATGTGGCTGGAGTAGGGAGGGTGGTGCCTACAGCAGCCCCTATACCTCATTCACCCCCATCCTGCCCGACCCATCCACTCCCCACCACAAGCTGGCAGGTAAGGCAGTCTGGGAGGTTAGCAGAACCGGAAATTCAACCCAGAGAGGTTAGGGGATGCCCCAGTATGACCCAGCAAGTCCCCACCCTAGGACTCCAGGGTCCACATGCAGATGAGATATATGGGACCCCACTGCTGAGCCAGAGTGAGGAAGGCAGGGTTCTGGGGGCAGCCAGCCCCTCCCCAGGCAGGAACAAGCCACTGCCCCATCTCCAGGCCCCTCTGTAATCCAGGCCCCTCTGTAACCCAACCCCCCACACGGATTGTGCAATAATTACAGGTACAGCTCATTCCTCCAATTCCTTCTTCCTTATTATCTCATCGCCTCTGCTCAAGCTGGGCCCTTCTGGGAAAAGAAGATGAGTAGGAAGGAAAAAATGTCCCATCTCCTTTTCCCATAAACAGCCCTGGCCACAGAGTCTTCCTCATTGCACAAAAGAAAGCGTAGCCCAGAGACGGGAGTCCGGTGCCCTAAATCACATAGCAGGAAAGGCCCCACACGGGACTCCCCAGGTCCCCAGCTGCCAAAACTCCAGGCTCATTGCATTCCTGGGTGGCCTGCCCCCTGCCCTGGCCTTTGTGACTCTGCTAATTGAGTTGATTGTCATGGTTCTTGTTAATATGTTAATATTAATTGCCAACTTACTGCAAGCTTTCCATGTGCCAAGTATGGAGGTAAGTGCTTCACGTGGATAACTTTCTTTTTTTTTTTTTTTTTGAGACAGAGTCTCACTGTCACCCAGGCTGGAGTGGAGTGGTGCAATCTCGGCTCACTGCAGTCTCCGCCTCCTGGGTTTAAGCGATTCTCCTGCCTCAGCCTCCCAAGTAGATGGGATTACAGGTGCATGCCACCACACCCGGCTAATTTTTGTACTTTTAGTAGAAATGGGGTTTCACCATGTTGATCAGGCTGATCTCGAACTCCTGACCTCAAGTGATCTTCATGCCTGGGCCTCCCAAAGTGTTGGATTACAAGGCTGAGCCACTGCGCCCGACCCATGGATTTCTTTCATTCTTCAGTCATTTAAGCAATCTTTTTTTCTTGTTCTTTTCTTTTTTCTTTGAGACTGAGTTTTGCTCTGTTGCCCAGGCCAGAGTGCAATCTCAGCTCACTGCAACCTCCTCCTTCTCCTGCCTCAGCCTCCCAAGTAGCTGGGATTACAGCTGTGCACCACCACACCCAGGTGATCTTTGTATTTTTGTAGAGACAGGGTTTCGCCATGTTGGCCAGGCTGGTCTCGAACTCCTGACCTCAGGTGATCTGTCTGCCTCGACCTCCCAAAGTGCTGGGATTACAGGGGTGAGCCACCGTGCCCAGCTCATAACACTCTCAGCAGAAGGTATTATTTTTGCAGGGGAGGAAACTGAGGCTCACCGAGGAGAAGACACCTGTTCAGAGTCATACAGCTCGGAGAGAGCCCACAGTTTGACCAACTTCATCCTCCTCTGTGCCAGGCCTTATTTGGAGGATGAAGAGGTGTTTTTTTTTTGTTTTGTTTTGTTTTTTTATTGAGACGGAGTCTCGCTCTGTCGCCCAGGCTGGAGTGCAGTGGCGCGATCTCGGCTCACTGCAAGCTCCGCCTCCCGGGTTCACGCCATTCTCCTGGCTCAGCCTCCCGAGTAGCTGGGACTACAGGCGCCCGCCACCACGCCCGGCTAATTTTTTCTATTTTTTAGTAGAGACGGGGTTTCACCTGGTTAGCCAGGATGGTCTCGATCTCCTGACCTCGTGATCCGCCCGCCTCGGCCTTCCAAAGTGCTGGGATTACAAGCGTGAGACACCGCGCCCGGCCTGGGGGATGAAGAGGTTTAAAAAAAAACACAAAAATCCAGTCTTCCAGAAGCCCTGACCCATGCAGCTTCCTGGTGGGGCACTGTGCCCTGGGTGCTGAGGGCCTGGGGTCTAGTTCAGCTCTCCCGCAGCCGTGCTGTGTGACCTCGGCTGGCTTTGCCACCTTTTCCGGCCGGGCCTGTGGGTTATGGGGTGGGAGAGAGGAGTCCTCGCCCCATGGCAGGGTTTGGGGCACAGAACCTGAAGAGGGAGAAATTGAGGCGGACTCATGGAAGCCCGGTGCTGCCCCCTGGTGGCGATGGCCGGGAAGGGCAGCGCCAGAGAGCATCCCCCCATCAGCTCCCTCATCCATTCACCCTCAAGGCTTCCCCAGTTCAGACATCACGCCTGGGGTCCCGACGTGTGTTAGGGGGACCATCGCTTCAAAATCCCCAGGGAAGGAGGCGGTCCCTAACCCTTCCCAAAATGTGTAACTTCAAGTCTGTACAGGAAGCCCAGGCCTGGAGCAGTGGCTCACGCCTGTAATCCCAGCACTTTGAGAGGCTGAGGCGGGCAGATCACCTGAGGTTGGGAGTTTGAGACCAGCCTGACCAACATGGAGAAACCCCATCTCTACTAAAAATACAAAATGGGCCCAGTGTGGTGACACATGCCTGTAATCCCAGCTACTTGGGAGGCTGAGGGAGGAGAATTGCTTGAACCCGGGAAGCAGAGGTTGCCACGAGCCGAGATCATGCCATTGCGCTCCAGCCTGGGCAACAAGAGCAAAACTCCGCCTCAAAAAAAAAAAAGGATCTGGGGTAGCATCAGATTGGTGTCCCACAGCTGCATCTAATCCTGACTTTGCCCTTCCTGGCTGTATCCTTGTGTAAAGCCCTTGGCCTGCCATTGGCGCAGAGGATGAGGTCTATAATTGGGAGTTCCTCTTCTGAGCCATTGAAGCCATTTGCATTTTACAATAATAATGCTGGCTTCATTATGAAGGGAAAATGAAGCAGGCAAAAAAAAAGAATGCTGGCTTCATGGACCACATCAAGAGCAGACCCCTCACCTGGGTTATGTCATCTGATTTCACAACAACCCTATGAGCTTCTTATTACCCCTATTTTACAGATGAGGCAGGGAGGGGATGGAGGTTTAAAGAAAGGTGGGGGCCAGGCATGGTGGCTCACACCTGCGATCCCAGCACTTTGGGAGGCCGAGGCAAGAGGATCACATGAGGCCAGGAGTTCAAGACCAACCTGGGCAATATAGTGAGACCCCATCTCTACTAAAAATAAGAAAAAATTAGCCAGGCATGGTGGTAAGCACCTGTAGTCCCAGCTACTCCAGAGGCTAAGGTGAGGAGGAAGACTTGAGCCCAGGAATTTGAGGGTACAGTGAGCTATGATTACGCCACTGCACTCTGGCCTGGGCCACAGAGCAAGACCCTGTCTCAAGGCAAAAAGAAAAAAGTGGGACCTTGCCCAAGCTCATAAAGCTGAATAAGCAGGAGGCAGACTGGACTTTTGAGCAGGTAAACACACACACATTTACACCATGAATATGTGTGGACATATGAACCTATACATACCTACATTTCTTCTTTCTTTTTTTAGATGGAGTTTCACTCTTCTTGCCCAGGCTGGAGTGCAGTGGCGCGATCTGGGCTCACTGCAAACTCTGCCTCCAGGTTCAAGTGATTCTTCTGCCTTAGCCTCCTGAGTAGCTGGGATTACAGACACGTGCCACCACGCCCGGCTAATTTTTGTATTTTTAGTAGAGACAGGGTTTCACCATGTTGGCCTGGCTGGTCTCAAACTCCTGAGCTCAAGTGATCTGCCTGCCTCGGCCTCCCAAAGTGCTGGGATTACAGGCGTGAGCCACCGTGCCCAGCCACATTCCTAAGAGGACATGAACATGCTACAATTAGATCTTCACATACATCTGGTTAGCTCCCTCAGGATAAATTCCTCCAAACAGAATGGCTGGGCTCTAACAGGACTATATTTCAGACCCTTGATCAGTTTCCCCACCCAGCCGTCAGCAATCTCCCACCCACCCACCATGTGGGGCCGTGGAAACATGGAGCAGGGCCATCTCCAAAGGCTGTTCAAGCCATGCCCACGGGAAGCCCCTGCCCTCCTCCTGCAGGAAGTGAGGATGAGGCCACAGTGAAGGCACACATCACAATGGCTGTTCTACTGGAGCCAGGCCCAGCAAGAGGTGGACAGGTGTGGCCCCAGCTCCTCACACCTCCTGGCAACCGGGCCTCCTCATGAGAATTCCTAGAAATAAGCACATGAGCACTCGGAGCTCAGAACACGGTGCTGCCCAGGCACTGTTGCTGGGACAGAGGCCCTCCAGAGCACCAGGATGGAATCATCCCCGGGTGAGGGCTCCCCTCATTCAGGGGCCAGGGCTGGCAGGGACCGGGAAGAAGTCTACTCTGGAGACCGCAGGAAGCAGAGAGGAGACGAGGGTCCCTGTGCTGAGCTGGGGGCTGCCCTCAGTCCTCACCACCCTTCCCCGAAATCCTACTGTCCCCACCAATCAGGGGGCCACGGAACCCAATAGAGACCATTGGGCAGTGGGGCTTTCAACGTGCTGTACTCTCCCTTAAAGTGTTGCAAGGAAGTCGCCAAATGAGACTAATGACTCCCCCACATCAGGTATGACGCTCCTGCCCGTGGCCAGAGACAACCGAGGCTGAGCGTGGAGGCAGCAGGAGGCAGAGGCTGTCCTGGCCCTGGGGCTGCCTGGCCATGTTGGTGTGGAATTGGGAAAGTTACCGAATCTTTCAGAATCTGTTTTCCAAGTGATTCTCCTGCCTCGGCATCCCGAGTAGCTGGGATTACAGGCGTGCGCCACTGTGCCCGGCTAATTTTTGTATTTGTAGTTGAGATGGGGTTTCACCATGTTGGCCAGACTGGTCTCGAACTCCTGATCTCGGGTGCTCTGCTGCCTTGGCCTCCCAAAGTGTTGGGATTACAGGTGTGAGCCACTGCATCCGGGCCTAAGTTTTGAGCTAAGTCCCTGGCATACAGTGAGCCCACTGATCTGAGGGTGCTTTTCTTTCTCTCTCCTAAAGATCCTTATCCTGCTGGTCCCCCTCCTCCCTATGGTCCTCCTCACCAGATGTACTTTGAAGGCCCCCAAGTTGTTCAGGTAGGTGAGTGCCCCTGCCGGCCTTCCCTTGTCGCTTTCTGTCCCCTGCTCGGAGCTGCCCAGAATATTCTCTTTCCTGACCTCTGACCAAGACTCTGCCCAAACAGCACATCCTCTGGCAAGTTCTCCTCCCCTGACCCCGTAGCTGTGGGACCCCGCAGCTGGCCAGCTGCCCCTGCTCCCATGCTGGCTGTGTTGCCAGTGGCCACCGAAGCATCTCTCTCCAGAGGGAAATCACTGGTGGATGGGGCCTGTATACAGTAGGCACTCAGGAAATTTTTATGGAGTAGACTCCCGTTCTCTACTCTGCAAACACACCACCCCTCAGGCCACAGAGGAGGGGAAGGCCGAGCCCCCCAGGTGGGGCCTGGGTTTTGGGAATTTAAACAAATTTTCCAAGGAATTCTCAGGCAGTCTCCAGATTCAGAACTGCTGGGTTGGATAGATTCCTGGAGGGCACAGTGAAGATGACGTCACCATTGAAAAGCACCCTTTAGGTCAGGTGCGGTGGCTCAGGCCTGTAATCCCAGAACTTTGGGAGGCCAAGGCAGGTGGATCGCATGAGGTCAGGAGTTCAAGACCAGCTTGGCCAACATGGCAAAACCCCATCTCTACTAAAAATACAAAAATAAGCCGGGTGTGATGGCACATGTCTATAGTCCCAGCTACTCAGGAGGCTGAGGCAGGAGAATCGCTTGAACCCGGGAGGCGGAGGTTGCAGTGAGCTGAGATCGCACCACTGCACTCCAGCCTGGACGACAGAGTGAGACTCCGTCTCCAAAATAAAAAGAAAAAAGAAAAAAGCACCCTTAGAGCCCACTGGAAACCCCACTTCCAGCTAAGAACACTTCTTTCCTTAGTTTCCTCCAAACCGGGGTGGGGGAGCCACACCACACCCCCACATATCAGGTCCCCAGTCTCCAGATCCCAGCATCTCCCCATCTCAGGTGAGCACCGACAGCCCATGGGAATTGAGAAGCCACAGGGGTCCTGGCCCCGGGGGGTCCCACCTGCTTCCCGCTTCCCACTCCCACAGCTGTATGCCGGCATGTCCGTGGTGGGGACGTCCATGCCGGTGCAGGCCGTGTGTCCCTACTGTGGAAACCGCATCATCACGGTGACGACCTTTGTCCCGGGTGCCCTCACCTGGCTGCTGTGTACCACCCTCTTCCTGTTCGGGTGAGTGGCCGCCCCTCCGCCGCTGCAGAGGCCTGAGCATTGGTAGGGGTGGGTCCGGGTGGGTCCCTGCAGGGTAGGGGGAGCTTTCGGGGAAAATAGCAGGACCAAGCATAGGGGAGGCCAGTTGGGTGGGGCCATTACCTCC
The DNA here is from genome assembly GCF_000001405.40 of Homo sapiens. Taxonomy (NCBI): domain Eukaryota; kingdom Metazoa; phylum Chordata; class Mammalia; order Primates; family Hominidae; genus Homo; species Homo sapiens. The sequence goes on from NC_000016.10 coordinate 8,884,611, forward strand.
TTGAGAGGAGGCGGCAGCCCTCTGACCCAGGGACCTCCCATGAGAACAGCAGGGAGTGGAGGGGTGAGTGATGCCTACAAAGCAGCCAGCTTAGGACACCCACGGCAGCTGCTGCTGTCACCAGCAGCCAAGAGCTTGCGGGTTCAGGATGGCTCTTACCTCTCAGCTGTGGAGTTTTGAAACACACAGAGGGGCCAGGCGCGGTGACTCATGCCTGTAATCCCAGCACTTTGGGAGGCCGAGGTGGGTGCGTCACTTGAGGTCAGGAGTTATAGACCAGCCTGACCAATGTGCTGAAACCCTGTCTCTAACTCTATTAAAAATACAAAATTAGCCGGGTGTGGTGGCACGTGCCTGTAATCCCAGCTACTCAGGAGACTGAGGCAGGGGAGGCAGAGGTTGCAGTGAGCCAAGATCACGCCACTGCACTCCAGCCTGGGATACAGAGTGAGACTCTGTCTCAAACATACACACACACGCCCAGGCCCCTCCCAGACTCTGCCTGGGTCCCAGGTGCGTCCAGCGTACAGTGAGAGGTGGCCCCGCTCACGCCCAGCCTCCGCTCCGGGGCTGCAGGTACGTCCTGGGCTGCTGCTTCCTGGCATTCTGCATAAGGAGCCTAATGGACGTGAAGCACTCGTGTCCCGTGTGTCAGCGCGAGCTCTTCTACTACCACCGCCTGTGAGCCCCCAAGAAATAAATGCCAGGGGTGCCACCTGGGCACACCCGTGTCTATGTCCTTACCTTCTGCTCTGTCAGCCCAGGAGATTGGGTGGCCGCTGGTGCTCTGGGAGCCCACGTTGAGTGTGTGGGGGCCGCGCCGTCCTGTCCACCGTTCACCCTCTTTTGACTCCTTAGAGCCACAGTCCATAGTTCAGCCCCATCTTTCTGGGCTCCCTCCCATCAGCTCAAGCCTCTGCCTCTTTGGGAAAACTATCTCCCTGCAACTCCAGCCGGAAGGAGAGACCTGTTCTCCCTGATAGCCACATCCTCACCCACTGCATGCACCTCAACCCACAACCGGGCTTACTCTGGGCCCTGCCACTGCCTTCTTGACCAGTGGCTCCGTTGCTAAGTGCAACATCCTACGTGCACTTGCTCCTTCGCTCCTACCTGACTGGGTTCTCTGTAGCCCTTGGCACTCTCCCTCCCTTCCCCAAAGACCCCATCTCCTGGGCTGCAGCAGCTCTCCAGCCCCTGCTGGTGGGTTTGTCACTTGGCCAGTGCTCCTCAGGGTCTGGCCTTGGCTCCTCCTGTCACACCCGATGCTTCCGTCGCCAGCTCCTGCATCCCACCCACAACCTTCTCCCTAGGATGCTTGAGGCCCTGCAGAGCCAACAGGTCTCACAGTAACTCCCTCCTCTCTCTTCTCCTGGGCCTAGTAGCTGGGACAAGAGTGGGTGGCAGTGCCCCCTCCAGGGCAGCCCTTCAGTCCTGTCCTTCTTGCCCTGCAGTGATTCATTTCCTCTGCTTTATCCCCTCCTTGAAGGAGGCAGCAGCCCCGGGTTTCCCTATCGAGAGTCTCTCCTGCTCCTGCTGTTCTCCAGCAGCCAGTGGCCGGCACTGAGCCGGTGATTCTTGTGGGTGAGGATCTGGAATTGCTCGGACTATGCCCGACACCTGCCGACAAAGTGCCTCTCTCAGCCCAAGTCCACATGCTTCCCCTGGGGCCCCTTGAGGCCATCTGTGAGCTGGCTCCAGCTCCCCTGCCCACCCCAGCCAGATAGGACCGAGTGCCACTCCCTCACCACCCACCCGACCTCCCCAGGCTGCTCCCAGCAGCGTCCAGCCCTCCAATCAGCCCCTGCCCTGTCAGTCTGGTCACCCGCTCTCTGGTGTGTCACTTTCCCCAGGTGGTTTGTGAGGTCTTGGCTCGCCTCTGTATCCCAGGGCCTGGCGGGGACAGGCGGGTTATAGAAGCTAGGATGGGGCAAGTCTGCCCTGATCTGTCTGGCCTCCCACCAAGAGGTTTAACCCTTAAGACTCCCGTACAGCTGCAGCCTTACAGGACTCCCGGCAGAGCTGCTGTGGAGGAAGGTGGACATTAACAAGCCCCAAATAAGCTGATGAATAGGACCCCTTTCAGGGTCTGCCTGCAGACACGGTCAGGAGGGGGACGACGGGGTAGAGGAGAATCCAGTGTCACCACTAAAGGACTTAAATTTTGCAGAATAGGCTGGGCACGGTGACTCATGCCTGTAATCCCAGCACTTTGGGAGGCCAAGGTGGAAGGATTGCTTGAGTCCAGAAGTTCTAGACCAGCCCGGGCAACATAGCAAGACCTCGTTTCTACTGAAATGCGGGGCCGGGGCATGGTGATGAGTGCCTGTAGTCCCAGCTACCTGTGGGGCTGAGGTGGGAGGATTGCTTGAGCCTGGAAGGTCGAGGCTGCAGTGAGCCCTAACCATGCCACTGCACCCCAGCCTAGGTGAAAGGGTCTCAAAAAGTTAATAAATTTTGTAAAGTAGAAATATTGTTCTACTCGTCATGTTTTCAAATAAGATGAATTTCACAGAGGGGAGAAAAGAAGTAAGGGAAGAATTGGGGGAAGAAGTAATTGGGAGCTGGGGGCACGTGAAGCCGTCTTCACTAAAATGTGGCTGGGGGAGCTGTAAGGCTCACACCGATGGGGTATTGACCCATTATTGCCCCAACCTACAGATGCGGAAGCTGAGGCTGAGTAACTAGATCAGCGCTGGAGACATAGGTCTGTCCTCAGGGTTCAGCATCAGGGAGGAAGGCACAGAGGTGAGGGGTGCATGTGTGTGTGGCTGAAGGCCTGGAAGGAAGGGTGTGTGTTTATGTGTGTACGCGCATGTGTGTGGCTGAAGGCCTGGAAGAAAGGGTGTGTGAATGCATGTTTGTACGCGCGTGTGGCTGAAGGCCTGGAGGAGGGGGGTGTGTGTGTGTGTGGCTGAGGGTCTGGGTGTGTGTGTGTGCACGTCTGTGGCCAAAGGCCTAGAGGGATAGAAGGGAGCATTACCTGTCTTCCATCATGTGGTCTTCAGCAGGTAGAGGTTCCGGGAAGCCACAGGTCAGGCAACAGCCATCTTGGCCAAAGCCTGGCATGATGGGGCTGACAGGTCCTTAGGTCACACCAGCCCCGGGGAAGGACAAGTTCTGGGACAGGTTTCCCTGGAGTAAAATGCCCCAATGCCTGTGCCTTTGCCACCACCCAAAGGCCTGGCTAAATCGGGAGAACAACTTCCCGGTCCACACTAGCTGCAGGCCCCAGAGCCTTCATTTCCACTTCAGAGACTCAGCAAGATTTTTAGGGTTGGATGGTGAAGTTTCTGACACAAATTAGGCAGCTAGTACCTGGGAACCCCAGTAAGTCCCTGAAGACAAAGGAAGCAACCTCTCATTTGTAATAAATGAGGACACGGGCACCAGGTCAACATAGGGAGACAGAAAAGCCCCTGGTGGACGAGGCGGGTGGTCATCCATCCAGGATCTATCTCAAGGTGAGGCGTGAGGGTCTCACCTAGGACGAGGGCCCAGCCACCGGGCTTCCACCATCCAGAGGGAGAGATTTGATGGCTCTGCAGAGCAGCCAGGCTGTGGCAGGCGACAATCGGGGGCTGCTCGGTCTTGCTGGCAAGGCCCATCTACAGCCTGAACCCTCCATCTGCAGAGTTCAGCTGGAGCCTCTCGTTCTGATTCCACCCAGACTGTTGTCTTTCACTCGGATTCCCAGATGGCTCCAGAGACATGAGCGCCTGCAGTCCAGGGACAGTGTCCAACCACGGCCAGGCTCTGCTCACTCAGTGTGGACTGGCTGGGTGCCAGGTCTTCCTCAGTCACAGGAGAGCTTTCATCGGCCTGAGTCAGTCACCATTGTGCCTTCAGAGGTGGCCAGGTCCTTGGCATGGCTGCAAGCTTCTGCTATGACTCTATGGATCAGTCCCCAGGCCTTCTGGATGCAGACTGCCCCGTGTTAGGAAAACGTCACTTGCCAACTCTTAGAAATAGGACAATTCGTATAGAAAATCCAGGATTTTCAGCTTGGCGAGGTGGCTCACCCCTGTAATCTCAGCATTTTGGGAGGACAAGGCGAGAAGATCACTTGAGCCCAGGAGTTTGAGACCAGTCTGGGCAACCTACGGAGACCCTATCTCTACAAAAAATTAAAAAATTAGCCGGGCATGGTGGTAACACCTGTGCTGCCAGACAGTTGGGAGGCTGGGGCAGATAGATCGCTTGGGCCCAAGAGGTCAAAGGTGCAATGAGCCATGACTGCACAACTGCACTCCAGCCTTGGAGATGGGGTGAGACCCTATCTCAAAAAACTAAGACAAACAAAAATACACATTAAAAAAAAAAAAAAAGTCGAGGCTTCTCAAGTTCCGCTGTCTGAAGGTGTAGGTGCAGAGGAACTGGGGTCTTGAGAGGCTGCCAAGTGGGGCGGGACTTCATCTGTCCCTTGGCCCAGTCCCCTGGAATACCCCCAGACCCAAGCCTCGGGGTGTCTGCAGTCACTGCCTTAGACAACAGGACCTGAGCCACTGTTCTAAGCCTCTCGGTGTTCATGTGTCTGAGGCTTTGTCCCAGGGAAGCCTCAGGTTCTCCTATGCCAAGACCTTGCCGCAGGGCCAGGCTACGGCAGGGCCGGGGCTTCCTTCTCCTGCACCCCTTTCCCTGACCCCTTTCCACGCCCAGGGCCGGCCTCTTCCCCAGCTTCGGGGCCTGTCAGAGGGGCGGCCCACCACTGGCAGATGAGCTTGGCAAGTTGCTGAACCCTCATTTGAAACTGGGGACAGCCCCCATCCTACCCCGCATGGAGGGCTGAGCTAGGGCTACCTGGAACAGGGAGGTGAGGCGGGCAGCCAGTGGGGGTCTGAATGCCTGCTCCACACTGAGCAAGGCTCAAGCCCCCATGGCTCAGGGTTCTGGCCTACTTTGGGCCACCAGACGCCTCGCTGCTGACCTCTCAGGGCTGGCTCACTGTGCACAATGGTTATCACAAAGGGTTTCTTGCTACTGTCCCTCCTAATTAGCCGGAGGCAAGAGTCAGAACAGCCCCCACCCCACCTTCTCACAGGAGCCCAATGGGCAGGTGTGGCACTGGCACCAGCTCGTGGGCAGAGTTCGCTGGTGGCTGGTGGCCTTCCTCACAATGCCACCCATACCATTTCCCTACTGGAGTTCTCAGCTCAGCCAGGGCAGAAAGATGCGCCAGGTGCACGTGGCCTCGAGCCACGCCCTGTGGGATAAAGGCGTGGAGGGGCCATCAAGGCCAAGCTGGGAACCTTGAGCAGCTCCTGGACTAACCCTCACCACCAGGGAGGGGCTGGCCTTAACCACCTTTCTCTGCCTCCTCGCTGCAAAACCAGCTTTGCAGCAATGAGCTTCAAAGGGCTGAGTGATGCTGAGTACGGGTGGGGAAGGACAGGAGGTGCCAGTCTCTTACTCCTGGGCACTGGACTTCAAGGGTGGTCTGAATCCGTAACTTCTTCCCTCTCCCAAGTTGTCCACGTGCTGTGCAGGCACTGTGCTGTGAACCCCCAGATCCAGTCATTGACAGGTGGCAGCATGTAGGGGGTCAGTGACCCCTTGGAGCTGATGGGAGGGGGCCTCCCTTTGGAACCTGCAGTTTTGCTCACAGACCATTCATGGCCTCCAGCTCCCAGGCCTCACTCAGTTAAAGGCTGCGAAACGTAAGTCAGCAGAAGATGCACAGGCACCCATCTCCCCCAAAGCCAAGACGCAGGGATGGGGAAGTCTGTCCTTAACTGTTCTCACGCAGAAAACCAATGTCCCGAAGGCTTTAGGGAGTAGGCCATAAAGAACGCCCACTCCAACGCCTGTGCTTCACGCAGCACTCAACAGCCCTCGAGTTAGTCACTGTAACTCCCGAGGTGGGGAATGTTTTGTTAGAACTGCATACCCAGTAAGGAAGACATCAGCCACATGTGCAAATTAGAATAAAATTAAAATTCAACCCCCTCTGCCACTTAAGCCACATTTCAAGTGCTTTATAGCCACAGGTGGCCAGAAGCTCCACCGCGACAAAGTTCTGATGAACACGACTGGGTGAGGACAGGGTGGTAGCAAGGCTGGCCGGAAACACTACCCATTACTCCCTCACACAAAAGTCTTAGGGATGTAGTCCAATGGGGTTGGCAAGGTCTGGTTGTTATCTTGACTCCCCTCCTCCCCAGGGGACCTACCTACACCACTAGGAGGTAGTGACTCGGCTATCTAATCTGAAGCTCTCTTGGCCCAAGAGGCCCTTATAGCAAGCCATGAAGACAGATCATTTCCCTGCAATCCAGGGTTGGTAAACCTACAAAAGGGGTTTTTAAAAACAAAGCTTTGTGGGGACAGCCTCGCCACTCAATTGTTGTCTGTGGCTGCGTTCATGCTATGTTGGCAGAGCTGAGAGTCCCAACAGAGACCATCACACAATACCTACTCTGGCCTTTTACAGAAAGTTTACCAACTCTGACCCTAGCCTAAGCCCAAACCACAAGAGAGATGTCTTACTTACACACCTCACCTTAGTAATTCAAGGAACCTTCAGGTGCTATGGCTTTGAGACGGAGTCTCCCTCACGCTGTCACCCAGGCTGGAGTGCAGTGGCACGATCTCAGCTCACTGCAACCTCTGCCTCCTGGGTTCAAGTGATTCTCTGGCCTCAGCCTCCCGAGCAGCTGGGACTGCAGGTGTCTACCACCATGCCCGGCTAATTTTTGCGTTTTCAGTAGAGACAAGGTTTCACCATGCTGGCCAAGCTGGTCTTGAACTCCTGACCTCAAGTGATCCACCGATCTCAAGCCTCCCAAAGTGCTGGGATTACAGGTGTGAGCCACCGCATCCGGCCCAGGTGCTATAGGTTTTATCGCATTTGCTTTAACTGTGAAGGTGGTTTCAGAGTTAAGACTTTAAACTACTCACAATTTCCATCCCTGGCACCATAAACATTTGCCTCACAGCAAATGAGTGATGTTATGTATGACGCCAAATGTCCTTGCCGTCTGGTGAAAGAGAAGCTGGGTCAGGGCCTCCATCAGGAAGCGATGGTGTCTAGACGTGGCTTCTCGCCCTGTCAAGGCACCCACGTTGCAGGGGACTCTGCCAGGTCCCATAGTGTCTCCCTTGGGCTTTGCTCACAGCACGAGCCACCGCGCCTGGCTGCTCTTCTCATTTTGAAACAAGACTGCTTCAGCTCGCTGCTCTTGTGTGTGAGGGCGTGGGAAGGGCCACTGTGACCGCAGGCCCTTGCTGTCACGCAGTGGTTTTCAGGGCTCCCCGCTGTGAAGACTCCGAATGCTGTCAACAGATGGCATCCACACCCCACAGAGGGAGAGGACACAATAGTCCCAGGGGTTACAGTGAGGCCGGAGAAGGGGAGTTCATTTTTCTTTCTTTAAAATTTCAGCTTGTCTCCCCAGAACCAGTTTAACAAACTCAAACTCCTGACACTGTAACTGCGAGTGAGTGGAAAAGGGAACGCGGCAGATGACGGAAACATTACAACACGTTCTTTGGAAAAAGAGTCATTTAATACCTTAAGGGAGAGTAGGAACTTTCAGTTACCTAAGACTACAGCCAACCCCCAGCCCAGAACAAAAACAAGACACCTTAATGTTTGTTCAAAGACAAACCCACAGCGAACGGCTCTCGCACCCCTGCTCTAACTCCTCTTTCTGGGGGAGGAAGGAGGGAAGGGCCAGGTCCGCGGGGACCCTCACTCCCTGCTTTCTATCACACGGGTCACAAGGCAGCTCTCAGAGCAGAAGGCACACACACTGCAGTGGAAGTTGAGAAAGGAAGTCACTCCAAGGTACACACTGGCCCAAAGACCAGGAAACCGTGCCACGGAGCTGGAAGGCAAGGCCGATGGGACGGTGCAAGGACCACGCCCACGATAGCGCCTGCCGCCCCGAAGGGCCTCGTGACACATCAGGTCACATCTCCAGTCACCTTATTTGTACACAGTTCTCTCCTGGAAAACCTTTCATTTCTTAAGAGTAAATGTGACTAGTTAGAGGCTAAAAAAAAAAAAAAAAAAAAAAAGAAACAAGAGACCCTGCCCCCGCAAAACGGAATTAGAAGGAAAAGTACATCTCAGTGAAACCTTGTTACAAATGCCAAGGTTTCCCAGGCCTGTTTCCAGGGAGAGTAGAAATCTTCCTCCACTTCCACGTAACTCACTGAATTATAATTTTTATAGAAAATTTTATTCAACATACAACATTTTCCAGCAAAAAGGCAATATACAGGAAGAGTTGGTGTACACTGCTCCCACAGAAACAACCCAAAAAATACCGGAAAAGGATGAAAAATAAGAGTGATTTGCTGATTCTATTTTACTGCACTCAAAACTAGACACGCAGCTGGCATTAGCTCCAAAATAAAAGGAAACGGGGCTGGGACCGAAATAAAACTACACACAATGAATATCAACATCAGTGAAATTCACTTGCAGACTCACCCAACAAAAAGGAACCTCCTCCCAGTGGCAAATTGTACATGTTCATTCATTAAATATACAATTCATTTTTCCTTTTTTTTTCATTTTTAACTTTTTTACAAAGTCGACAGCTTACTAACCACTAGTGAGCATGCCCTCTTGCTAAAAGGCTTTCTTGTCGTCTGTTCCACTTTAACGAAATTCTATTTATAATCCTTTCACCTGCTCGTATGAACTGTTGAGATCGTAAGTCTGCCAAGGCAGCAGAGTAAACCTTAATTGAATTTAACAATGTTCTTGATTTAATAAAAAGACCCCCACAATGTCTGTCCGGACTGTATTCAGTGCATCCACTTTGCAAAGGGGCTGCAGACAGTAGTGGCTGACGAGGTGAGACAAGTTTATTAAAAAGCCCCCAGGCAGCTGGAGGAGGAGAACCCGAGGAAGGGCCGACAATGCACACAATGAAGGGAAGAGCGCTATTTATTAGGTTGTGAGTTTCTCTGTTTTGCCTTAACAGATGCACAAAAGGTCATTGAAAGTATAACTGAAGGAAATAGGTCAGACGAGCCTAAACACAAGACTTGCTAGCTGCAGGGCTGGTGCACGGGACCCCAGGAAGGCAGCCGAGCCACTCGTGCCCACTAGGGACAGCCCAGAGACCTTGAGCCAGGGACCCCCGATCCACTAACCTCTTCTCCCCCATTGCGCTGACAGTTGCCTTGCACTGTGGTTACCATAAAATAACTCTCATTGGCATCCAAGCTTTATAAAAACATCTTCATTTTGCTCAAAAAGGGCAGTCAATAGATACAGAGAAGCCAAACTGAACAGCCTCAATAAAATAAAATTAACACCAGCAGCGAATCCTCTTGCTGAAGACTTCGGCTAGAGGGCACGTGCACCAAAGTTCTAGGCTGTTAAGGGGCCACCCACACACCGTCCTCGCCTTGAACACACCAGCTTGGAAATCAGTTATGGATTTTAATGGCCTTTTCAAGGTAAGTGTAGCGACTCCTCTTTGGGGCTTTGTTGAAGTGGTCGAGCCCTAGCCAAGGCCGAGGATGAGACATATTACCTGGTGGGGATGAAGAAAAGCAAGTGAGGCCACAGAGCAGCCCTGGAACCCCTCAGCGGGGTGGTGGCCAGTGAGGCATGCATCCCTGTGGCTCCCCAAGGGGTAAGTTCGCAGGGAAGCCAGGACCTGAGCTACACGCCCACCTGGAGCTAAGGAGGCCCACACCCTGACTGCGCCTCAGAGCCACTGCCCTCACAACCCTGAGTCTCAATCACCCTGCACACATATCCAAGCTTCTCTCCTTGAAGATCTCACAGGTTACAAAGGATGTAAGGACCTGTTAAGAACTCGTAGGTTATGGAATGCTATTGCTCCTGGTTCCACAGGTCGGCCAGTGGAGAGAGAGGAGCTGGCACTTGACCCTGGGGCTGCCCCTCCCAGCCCCAGACCACTTGTTTCTTAGTCTGAAACCCACACCAGCCCCCGGGGGGGGGAGAACCCTTACCGGGCTGTGGCTCAAAGTCTTTCAAATTTACTTCATACTCGTCTTCATTTATGTACTGGTGTCGGCCCATCATTACAATTGCAAATTTAAACTAAAAGAAAAAAAATTAAAACTCCTCCGTTATTTCTGTATATCAGCAAAACTCACATCTCTGGCAAAAAAGCCTAGGCCGCTACGCTAGGCAAGGCTTGAGCCTATGGCCCGCCAAGCCCCCAGGAGGCCCCAGCTGCACACCTTCTCAAACTCCTTCTCCTGGATGTCCAGCAGGCTCTGGATTCGCTTCATCACTTCTCGAAAATGCTCGCCCTAGAATGGCAAAGGACATGTGCTCACACAGTCACTCCCAGCACCCCCAGGCCACGTCACGTGGCAGCCGCCAAAACCAACGCCTAACCCCAGCAGGAGCGCAGATTCGGCAACAGCGGCCACTCAAAGGCTCCAGGTTTTGACGTGAGCCACTCGGCCAACCACAACAGCATACCTGGTGTATCCTCAGCAAAAACGGGATTCCGAACGTTCCGAAGACCTCTTTGTGGAAATGCGCCACTGTGACAAGCATCTCATTCTCTTTGTCTATGTCCACCTGGTCCAAAGGGATTTCCTGGGGACACGGACAACAGACACAGTTCTGTAAGTGCAAGTGATGTGGTCAAAGTGTCCACATCTCAATTCTCACACTACTCTAACCCGGAGGGTAAAGCCTATTTTTGCTAAAAAAACGCCACACCTGGATCCAGCCAGAGTGATGGGCACTCATGGGAGTCTCAGCCAGAAGATATCCAAGTTTCTTCCCCCTCCCCCAAAAAACTGAATTTTAAGAGGCCAAATACTGTATTATCCCAGTTCCTGTGGAAATGTCAACAGCTCTAAATTCAAGTGATCCACAGTTTCTGTCTGGATTGGGTTGGTAACCCAAACTGAGGACTAATTTCTGTGCAAAAACACTGTAGGTCCACTCATGGAATCATATACCTCGATTACTGGTATAAAAACACAAATCAAGCTACTTGTACAACTTGCTGTGATATTTAAATATGCAGCAGATGGGGCTCATGAATTCTCTCTGGTGCCAACAGTATCGGGGACAGATACCTCTATTCGAAACGTCCGGCTCGTTGCAGGAGATAAACATTCTAATAGTTCATCTTCTTGATGAACACCAATGATTTTGTAGCTTACAATTTCTAGCAGCCTGAACAGAGAGGAAAAAAAAATAGGGCAAAATGAAGTATATATATTCACATAAAAATAAAATGGTTTTCTAGAAAGAAATAAAGTTACCACGATATGTTTTTTTTTTTTTTTTTGAGACAGTCTCAATCTGTCGCCCAGGCTGGAGTGCAACAGCATGGTCTCAGCTCACTGCAACCTCCGCCTCCCGGGTTCAAGCAATTCTCCCACCTCAGCCTCCCGAGTAGTTGGGACTACAGGTGCGTGCCACCACACTGGGCTGATTTTTGCATTTTTAGTAGAGACGGGGTTTCACCATGTTGGTTAGCCAGGATGGTCTCGAACTCCTGACCTCGTGATCCGCCCGCCTCGGCCTCCCGAAGTGCTGGGATTATAGGTGTGAGCCACCATGCCCAGCTTTTTTTTTTTTTTTTTTTTTTAAAGAGGATCTGAAATATCAGAAACAGAGACCGGAGGCAAGGCACGGAGAGGGGGTCCCCTTGAAGCATAAGATTAAAGGGCTCTGCTGGACAAAGTGGAAATGGCCACATTTGGGCACAGAGATGTACAGACTGGGCCTCCGAAAGTTGCATAAACCTTTCCCACAAGGAATTCACATTCAGCTGATAGTGGCGTTTTCCTCGCTTACTCTTATTAGGTAATAGATTAGGGTCTCACTGTTTAATAATTGTTTTATTAAAACTAAAGAAAGTTTGGGAACCAAATGGCTCCAAAAGCCATTTGTCCTCCAAGCGACTACAGGGCAAAGTAGTGAGAATCATGCCCATCTCTCTGAAATAAACAATCAATTCAGGGGCTTCTTTCTACAGCCCAAATGTTGGCTAGATGGAACAGAAGTGACTCAATCTGTCAAATACAAAATCAGGAGTCACCCCTTCCAGTTTCAGTTCATCGTTCAAATGGAATCGTATCCTTCCTCTGTTTGGCTTTTCTATGGGAACTGCGCCTTTTTACTACAGCTAATGTTATCAGAAGATACAAGGGGAAGGAGGAAAAACGTGGCTTAATTGTGAAACACGCATAACCCTCTGCACCACAGCGGCTTGAGGGTTACCCCTGAGACTTGAAAAACTGGAGCAACACTGGGTCTGTGTTGAGCTTCTGTGCAACTGTCTTTGCAATGGAGGCACACCCCACTGAGTCTGGGAATGACGCGCATGGATCCCAGCTGGGTGATTTCCACCAACGCAACTGCAGAGGTCAGCGTTAACTGCCACCCCTAACTGAACGTCCACAATTGGGCTCAAGAAATACTTGCCTAAGTTTCCCTGATGCTTTCTCCCCAAGCTCCACGGCCTTTTTACATTCTTCTAACAGGTCCCGGACACACCCATGCTTGTCTGGATATAGTGTTATTTCCTAAGTAATGAAAAGATAAAATAAGTGCTTTCAAGAAAGCATAAAAGGTCTGCTACCACAAAGGAAGAGAGGAGAAAGTTGCATCATTGTTCTCAACTGTCCCCAGCTGGCCCCCATGTTCTTGCTCTCATTCCCACCCCAACTCCCTCATCTGTGAATTCACTCACAGTGAGGACACTGGCCCTAATCTAGGACCAACCAAATACTGACGGGAGGTTAACAAAAGTGGCCTTGATGCAAGAAGCCTGTCATTTACAGAACACCTTCTCAGGAAATGGTCCCGAGGGGTCACCCAGGGCCTTCCCAACTCTCAGCACAATGAGAAAGGAATGCTGGTCCAGATACAAGACCAGAGGCAGACTGTGGGCCTTCAGGGAGCTCAATTCTACAAAGGTGAGGCTATTTATGTCTCGAATTTTCCCTCTATACTTGTAGAGCTAGAAAGGGTGAGAGATCTAGCATCTAAATAGGCATGCAGACTTTTTTGAAGAACCACCTAATGCCTGTAATGCCAACACTCTGGGAGGCTGAGGCAGAAGGATGCTTGAGCCCAGGAGCTCAAGACCAGTCTGGGCAATATAGTGAGACCCTGTCTCTACAAAAAAAAAAAAAAAAAAAAAAAAAAAAATATATATATATATATATATAAATGAGTTGGGCGTGGTGACATACACCTGTAATCCTAGCTACTTGGGGGGCTGAGGTGGGAGGATCACTTGAGCCCAGGAGGTCTACGCTGTCGTGGGCTGTGATGGTGCCACTGCACTCCAGCCTGGGTGACAGAGCGAGACCCTGTCTCGAAAAAGAACCACCTAAAATGTGGCTGGATGCGTCTTCTGTTTGGAGCAAGCAGGTGACACTGGAGCTGTCTACACTAGCAGCTTGGGGAGTAAGCGCAGAGTCATGGACTGCTCCGTTCACAGGCCTGCTGGACTCCCTGAGATCAGGCCGCGGCAGGAAGAGCTGGAGAAGGATCCTCCTCCTCAGCCAAGTGGCAATGCGCAAGCATCACAGTGGGACCCAGAAGGGAAGGGTTGGCTGCCGAATGGTTCCTTAGCTCCACATGTCATGCACCCCAGAGGCCTCAGGAGGTCCTGCCAGGAGGCAGGAAAGACTGGCCCAGGGCTCCCCCAGCCCCCATCATGTGCTGTTGTTTAGAGTGTTTTTCTGTGGTGTCTTAGTTTTCAATGTCTGGGGACAGGTAGAAACAATAAGCAAGTTCCAATAAAAATTAAAATTCATAGTATTAAAAAAACTTACCTCTTCCCTAAATTGGCTGTTTAACCATATACATTTAAAACTTCGCCTGTTCTCAAAGTCTGTGATTTTCATCTTAAGCTATTAAGAAAAGAAAGATTCACATCAGATACCGTCACCAAAACCCCGAGCCTTCTCTTTATGACCCATAGTTACATTAATTTGGACTCATACCTGCTGATAGTAAAGTTTCTTAGGTTGTCTAGGCTTGAAGAACTGTAGAAGATCTCTTAAAGTACCTTCATAATTATGTCTAAGAGGATTACCTGGGCCATCCCTATAACTACACAAGAAAACAGCATATAAATAAATGACTTGTTTATTTGCCTAAAAACAAATATCTGTGAGTGAGCATAAAAGCAAACCGCTGGCCTTACACCTGGTCTTGAAATTTGGACCTAGCATGGGGTTTAACTTAATACTCCTGTTTCCCAAGAACTAAGTCCCACTCGCTGTCACACTTGAATGCTCTCTGCAATAGTGACAAAACACACAGCAGCCTGGCAGGACTGACCAGCTGGACACATGGGAGATGCACTGAGGATGTATCTAAAGTCAGTCTGGCTTTGGATGAGGCTGTCAATTATTTTAACATCTCAGAGTAATGTGGTCAAGATGTGAGTGGTGACAATTCTGAAACTAAGCAAGAAATGGACTGTCAGGTGAAATGGCGAGCTAATTATTAAAATTAGTTCCAAGATGTTTCAATGAACTGTGGAAAGCATGCAGTCAAGACCAAGCAAGTGTCCACACATGTGACCTACCCTTGAGACTTGAAAAACTGCAGCAACATTGGATCTGTGTTGAGCCTCTGTGCAACTGTCTTTGCAACCTAAGACACAGAAAGGAAGGTTCACATTTTGGGGAAAAATTGAAACTTGGTCATAAACTTCATGCTTAATTACTTAAAATGTGCCATGAGCAGCCTGAATTTAAATTCCCTAGAAATTTATTAAACAGGAATAAACTATATTATTCCTTAATGAATCACCATGGGAGTAGCATATCTGATGAAGATAACTTTGGAAAGGGTTTTCACTTTTAATGGTGAGGTCTACAGGTTCTTTTCTGATGGCGATTATTCTAGCTCCCAAGGCAGAGAGCCTGAATCCATCAGTGGGAGATTTCCTCGGGCATAGCCCCTTCTGAACCAAAACCATGAGATAGCTTCTTCAACAAGCATTTTAAGAAAGAAATTTGTCTTTCTGGAGTGGGATCTGAAGAGGAAAGGAGCATTTATTAAATACCTGAAAATAATTCATTCTATTTGATAACGTAACCACAAATCCAGGATCATTAGGGATTGTTTTATCACAGAAAATGACATCAACGCGGTGGTAGAGATCTCGGAAATACTCCTTTGCGGTGGGTAATTCACTGTTATCATTTTCAGGGTCATCCCTGGTGGAGGGAGAAAGTTTGCAGTCTGAATCAAAGTCCATGGCAGGGGGTAGCTGGTAAAAATGGCATCATCTTTTACACAACAGTGACACCAACAGGCTCTCTTGCAAGATAAATTCAGGTTCCCCTTTGAGGGGGCCAGGCATCTGCCTGAGCTCCCTCTGTAAGCGAGGCAAGTATGCATGGGGATGCACTGAGCCAGGCGCAATGTAGTGGCTTTACATTCTCATCCCACTACAAAACAAAACCCCCTTAGGTAACAGCACCTGCTCTCCTCTACAGGAGCAGACCCAGACGCAGTGTCTTGCCCACAGACCTGACAGGTGGTGGAGCCCAGTCTCTGACCGTGAGTCAGGAAATCTGGGCTTTCGTGTGCCATCGAGCCACTTTCAGACACTGAGTGTCTAAGACCAAAGACTGGCTGGTTTACATGAAGACAGACTGAAATGAATTACCCAAGTAGGTACATTCTAAGGAGTTTCGATTTCATAAATCTCAGGGGAAGGAAGCAATTGTTCCCACTCTACTAATAGTTGCCACGTGCACTTGAGACATTTTAAGGAATTTTTAAGAAATTGAGAAGAGCTTTATGAGATGAAAATGTTCACCACACCTAATTTCAAAACCCAGAGAAAGCCTCTCAACAGTTACATTAAAAAAAACAAAAACAAAAACGTGGCTCGGGATCTAGGTACAAATGTTTCTTGGTTCTACAACTTAAAAAAATCCTGAAATTAGTACAAAGTGATACAATCCTTCACAAAGTACATACTTCTGAAATACTATGATGTCACCATCCATTAGTTCATCAAGGGCTTTATCAAGAGACACGTCATAGTCCTGAATTCTCTCTGTTAAATTCGGTTTAACTTCCTACAGTGAAAGATATAAAATTGTTACACTGCAAGTTTGTCTAACGTTTAATATGGCCAGATAGTCTTCCATGTACTTAAGTATTTTCTCTACACCCAATTCTATCCACCTTTTAAGTTAAAATGTTAACAGGAAAAGCTAAATGAATAAATCCACAAATATGTAACAATCAGATTTGATTCTACAACAGGTAAAAAAAAAAAATTCACAAATCTAAATATGTCATTCTCAAGATCATCTGAGGCCCTGAGTTAGCTGGTAGACCTAACACTGTAACAAATTCGGGGTAAAAAGAACAAACAAAACCCTCCACAAACTACTAAGAATATACTAATTATGGAAAAATAAACCATCCAAACCTCATAGAGGATAAGGCTAGTATCTTGAATAAATCCTGCTCTGTCACACATAACTGGGAGCAAGTCACCTAGGAGAAAGAAGATATTTTAAATGTGTAGCTGTAATGTACTGAGCAAAATCTACTCAGAAGGTAAGTGCACGAAGGACTTACGTATTTTACAGGATATTGGTGTGTAGATATGCCCACAGTAATTCAAGCTCCGCGTTTTGGGATCATACATCTTCAAAAATAACATTACATCATCTACAAGGTTAATAAACAAGTTTTGTTAAGATCCAAACACTCAGCACAATGCTTAAAAAACAAAAAAACAAACAAACAAAAAAACGAAAAAAAAAAAACAGTAAGCTGAATAGCTCAATGACAAGTGAAATGACAGCTTAAGGTACCTAAAAGTTACTTCAGATGTGGCTTATTCACGAAGCTGAGGCTATTACCGCTGAGTTTCCAAACATCAGACCCATGGAAACCCACTACATTTAGACAGTCAAGACGGTACTGAGTGCAGCAAACTTAGAATTCCTAGTTCTGAGACCTGGACTGACTGGCTGGAAGAGCGTTGCCACGGGAAGATTGCGCATGGTCTTGTGTCTTTGCCAGAAGTGACCACTCACAGCAATAAAAGTCTGTCATTTTATAGCAAGGGTCAGCAAATTCCGATCCACCTGTTTTGTCGATAAAGTTGTACTGGAAGACAGCCAGCTCGTTCATTTATATAGTCTTTGTGGCCGCCTTAGTACAGACAGAAAGGCCTGAAACGCCTGAGATATTGCCTATGTGGTCCCTGACAGACAACGTTTGCAACCCTGCTCTTTAGGATCTGACCAACGTGATTAGCACAGCACAGCAGCTGAGACTGAAGACAGAACAGGACGGCCCCACGTGGCTGCTACTGTCTCCGGGCCTCACAGGAAACTCGCAGCCAAGTCAGTCTTATTTGACTTCATCAGGAAGTCTAGTGAGCTTTTGTGGAATTGATCAACACATCTTTCTGCAAGGGAAGAAGGCTTAACCCTGTGTGTTTAGAACAACAATCCAGGAATCCAACGCTACTGCTCTAAGTGCAGGCAGGCGTCTCGTGGGCACTTACGATCTTTATCAAACTTGGGTAAGGTCGCTCCACTAGCAGCCAGCTCGGGATCAACTGTTTCCAGGAATATTGTCCAAGGGTTTTCATTATCACTGAGCTCAATCATCTATTTCCAAAAGAGACGCTGATTTTAGAAGAGTCTAATGGCTTAGGTGACAGAGCGAAAAACTACAGTCAAGTATTGAAGAAAACGTCCAATTCTAGTTAAGTGGACCAAAAGGGAAACAAGCTGCACTAAGTGCAGAGGACTAACGCCTTCTGCACGGTTCCAAACCAGATACGCTATTAACAATATTTACTGTTTTATTGCCGTCGGCTTCATTATCTAACATTGCTGGTCGTTTTGTTCCATTACTCCTTGCTTGCATGGGCCACAATCGAATTTGATCTTGTGGAAATCCCTGAAAAAAATATTAAGAGTAGATTAAAATAAAAACACGCTCATATTTTAGTCCTCTATATTACACACACATATGTATATACATATACATATATATATATAGTCAATGTTAAGACTGTGATCGTAGGCCAGGTGCTGTGGCTCTCGCCTGTAATCCCAGCACTTTCGGAGGCCGAGGCAGGTGGATCACGAGGTCGGGAGTTCAAGACCAGCCTGGCCAACATGGTGAACTCTCGTCTCTACTAAAAATACAAAAATCAGCTGGGCCTGGTGACGGGTGCCTGTAATCCCAGCTACTTGGGAGGCTGAGGCAGGAGAATTGCTTGAAACCAAAAGGCGGAGGTTGCAGTGAGCCAAGATCGCGCCACTGGGCAACAAGAGTGAAACTCTGTCTCAAAAAAAAAGAAAAAAAGACTGTGATTCTAAGAAAAAGAATTCTAATTCTTCCCCGGTTGATTTGGACAACTGTGACTTATCCTTCAGGATCGAATGCCCATTTACAAAAATAAAGAGGGGGTAGGGGTGCAGGGAGTGGAGTGGGAGATGAGGAAAAGGGGTGAAAACATGTCTGCAAAATCCTGTGGGTTCCCCTGTGCAGGAGTCAGGGGCTCAATGGTTTTCTTGCACTTTCTCAGGCAGGAAATGTTCCTGGGTCACACTCCTCACTGTTAGGCAGTGGCTGGACACAGCACCTACCCCCAAAGGCAATCAGTATTTTCTAGTGACACGGAAGGAAGGTGGACGTTGGGAGCCACGGTGGGGTATATCCACGGGACCGGTACGCACCATGGTCTGAGAGAGGCTCTGAACAAACTCAGCAAGCGAGGAGTTCTTCAATACTTTGAACACAGTGTATTTCACTTTTTCTTCATCGTACATGTCATTCCCTTGGTGGCCACAAAACTGGTCCTCTGCGACTATCTGAAAATATGTATGAAAGCACAGAAAAGACTTGACAACTGACAAAAAATGAGTCCACACTGAACACATTTAAACACTAAAACGCTGAAAACTCATTTTTTGTTCCAAAGAAACTTCTTCAGAAGACCAATGAAGAAAAACCGCATAAAATGACCAAAACCTAAATCAGGTATTTATTTAGAAAAGGAGGCTGTGGGCAGGGCACGGTGGCTCATGCACTTTGGGAGGCCGAGGCGGGCGGATCACCTGAGGTCAGGAGTTCCGAGACCAGCCTGACCAACACGGAGAAACCCTGTCTCTACTAAAAATACAAAATTAGCTGGGTGTGGTGGCACATGCCTGTAATCCCAGCTACTAGGAAGGCTGAGGCAGGAGAATCACTTGAATCCAGGAGGCAGAGGTTGAGGTGAGCAGAGATCGCGCCACTGCACTCAAGCCTGGGCAACAAGAGTGAAACTCTGTCTCAAAAAAAAAAAAAAAGGAAAAGAAAAAAGAAAAGGAGACTGTGTTTCACTGCAATAACTTAACTCACCTATAAATTGGACCTAGCTAGACAGCCAACGGTGAGATGACCTCCTCCCTTTCTCCAACCCCCTCAGTACTTTTTGAAGCAACCTGACGTGCACTTAATCACTTCTCTGTCTGGTGGCCTGACTTCTGACAACCAAGTCTTTACTCCTGAACTGGCTCTGCCCGCCACCAACAGGGCCAGGTGTTACAAATACTCAGGCAGCTGCCCAGGGCAGCTCAAGGCACAACAGTCCCGGTTTGTGTATCAGGAACTACTCTGGGACTGTGACCAAGCTCAGGAGAGCACGTGGAGCAGCTTCTCTCTGGGCAGCTGCCCTGCTGTGCAGTGACCCAAGGGGTCCCAGAGGAGTGGGGACTGACCTGCACTTGCGTACAGAGATGGATGCCCTGCTGCATGGTGACCTGGGAGTCCCAGAGGGGTGGGGGCTGACCTGCACTTGTGTATAGAGATGGGTGCCCGGCTGCATGGTGACCCGGAGTCCCAGAAGGGCGGGGGCTGACCTGCACTTGCATATAGAGATGGGCTTCCTGCCGCTCCTTCCGCTTCTGAGCCTCGATCCTTTTCTCTTCTTGTAATCGCTCCACCAACTGCTGAGGAATATCATGGTCGGTGACCGCCTGTAAAACTTCACCTGCAGGACAAAGGCATCCTCTTTGACCCCTGCAGATGGACTTTCCCCTCTTAGAAGCTCCCGATTCTAGGTCATCATTAATAAAATAATCTATTAGGCCGGCGTGGTGGCTTACGCCTGTAATCCCAGCACTTTGGGAGGCTGAGGCGGGCCGATCACGAGGTCAGGAAATCAAGACCATCTTGGCTAACATGGTGAAACCCCATCTCTACTACTAAAAAAAAAAATAAAATAAAAATAAAATAAAATACAAAAAATTAGCCAGGCGTGGTGGCAGACGCCTGTAGTCCCAGCTACTTGGGAGGCTGAGGCAGGAGAGTGGCGAGAACCCGGGAGGTGGAGCTTGCAGTGAGCCGAGATCGCGCCACTGCACTCCAGCCTGGGCAAGAGCAAGACTCCGTCTCAAAAAAATAAAATAAAATAATCTATTAACATGAAATTACTTGGTACCATAAGTCTGCATCGAAACGCGCAAGCCCAACCCTGCTCATTTCTGCGCTGCTGTGAATACAATGGAATAAGCATAAAATGTGTTTGGACAGAAAAGGATATTGGAGATTCATGGTACAAATGTCCAAGTCCACCACAGTAAAGAACAGAACAAAAGTGAACACTACTCACTCAGTTTTGATTCCCTGATGTAGACTAACATGTAAGCATTAGTGCAGTGTCGAACAGACAGGTCGTCATCGTGACCCCCATAATTGTGCTCAATTGCTTCCTCTTTAGTACACCTTGACACCACGTCGTCATCAAATTTACACCACTGCAAGGAAAACAACACACACCAGCAGCGATCAAGCACTGTGACAAGTACCCAACACTAGAAGGCAGCGTTGTTCTAAAATGTGTGAACTTCTAGGTATGCCCCTAGTTGAAAAAATATCCATGTGTGTTCTTATACAGGCACACAATCTGACGGTGTGCTAGGCAGGCAGCGCCTCAGGCATCCGCTCATACAATTCACCAGGACCTTCGCAGTCCCCATTCAACATTCTGTGGGCACTGCTACCATTCGCCCAATGGCAATTTTTATAATCTACTGAAATAGCCCATTTTCCACTTACATTCAATCTACTGACACTACCAACTCTTTACAGAATTAAAAAGGCCATACTGAGCACACCAAACGAGAGTTCAAATTTTATCCTTTAGTTATCAAACTAAATGAGCTGTTTTATCCTATCCCATGGCATTTTATGGAAGCAAGTTAAGGGCCA
Source organism: Homo sapiens (assembly GCF_000001405.40). Lineage (NCBI taxonomy): Eukaryota > Metazoa > Chordata > Mammalia > Primates > Hominidae > Homo > Homo sapiens. The sequence continues at coordinate 8,905,786 of NC_000016.10, forward strand.
GACTGAAGTCAACGTAGCATGTTCCTAACAGTTATCTTCCCATCTGCGTTGTGGATGCAGCCACATTAAACAGTGATGAACGCTGCTGTTACACGCACTCTTCACTGTTCTCTCGTGCTGTCGGGTCCCTCCACCAAATCCCCTTGGCAGGAGCTCGGTGCTGGCCCTGTGGTCTTGGGGGTAGATTCCAAGACCCTCATCTGCCAAATGAGTATGGCGCCCTCTACACTCCCAAGAGTGGTGGTGAAGACTGCATGAGATCCCCATGAGAGGAAACAAGGTAGGACCAGGGGGCACGCAGAGGGACATGCGACCAGCCAGCCTCCCCGACTGGGCCCACCGCATGGGTAATTATCCCACGAGCATTCAGAAGAAAATATAAGTGTCTCATATGACATATAAGGGATTCTGTAGGGCCCAACATTGATTACTCACAAAGAGAAGCACAAATGCTAATTTACTATTTACCTTCAAATCTCAGCAATTAAATGGATGGGAAAACAGCATTTAGCAGCCAGAGAATACATAGATCAGTTAGGGGTCCCTGACAAGGTTCCGAGTAGGAACCAGAACAGGCTGAAGCAGAGCTTGTGTTAACTTTCTGATGAGCTTGCATTCAGCCCTGGGTCCCACCACTTACTTTGCCATCCCCTTTGGGGTTTAGATAAACCACATAATGTCCACCATGATTATCTCCACTATGAACCAGGACTGCATGAAGAATATAATTTGCAGGGTCCTTAGGATCTGTTTTTTGCAAAAATTCATCAAGTGGTAACTGCTCTGGGAATTCAAACCTATTAGAAAACATTTTAAAAGAAATTCAGTATTAATTTACACAAAAAATATCACACTTTACAGTAAGTAAGGCCATTTAATGTACTGGCTCATCTTTAATAGGATAAGCATGAATTGCCTTGGGAAGGCCTATGAAGTACATAACGTAATCCGTACTTGATAGAAATAACTATTCCTAGTCAACATAAATATACACTATGAATAATTTAGGGTGGAGGAATTCCAAATATATCAAGAAATGATTCTGAAGGTCGAGGTTAAGACTACTAAGGATATCTGCAAACTGAGAAACATGAAAAATCAAATTCAGAAAGACATGTAAAAATATTTCCCACTCTGAATATTGACTTAGTTTTAATATTCTACAGACATCCTGAAATTGACTTAGTTTTAACTGGCTCTACAAATTTTGATTTACTTGACCAAATTTCACCATCAGTGTTGCAAAATTAACAGAGGCAGGAAGGCAAGTTAGACGGGTGGGGGCTGGTCTCAAGCACAGCATGCACCCGGCCTGCGAAGCAGCCACCACTCAGCTCACAGCCCCTGCGGCCTTCAGGAATGGTGGCCTCAAGTTGCCAAACCTTCTGATTCCTAAACGATGCCCAAATCTGAACATTTATGTGAAATCTCACAATTTAAAAAATGTCTGCCACTGGCTCCAACAAAAATAAAAACAAAGTGAGGATCCAAAGAAACATACCAACAGGTTGGAATTGGTCTGAAGGCTGCCAGTTTGTGGTTTCTGGCTGAGACAGTTTCTGACCACGGTAAAGACTGTGAATGGGTGACCAAAGCCTCAGCTGGTAGCAAGTAAAGTGATTTGATTACACTCTCCCTTAAACCTGAAGGCTGAATGACCAACCTATATTCCATACAAAGCTGGTGCTCAAACTAATCAGGATAAAAATACTGTATTCTAAATCAGATAAGGTAGTGCACATTGTCACTCCTGCATCTACTATTTTAACAACCTAGAAAACTACTTGTGGCCGGGTGTGGTGGTTCACGCCAGTAATCCCAGCACTTTGGGAGGCTGAGGCCGGCAGATCACTTGAGACCAGCCTGGCCAGCATAGTGAAACCCTGTCTCTACTAAAAATACAAAAATTAGCCAGGTACTTGGAAGGCTGAGGCAGGAGAATAGCTTGAGCCCAGCAGTTCAAGGCTGCAGTGAGCCATGATCATGCCACTGCACTCCAGCCTGGGCGACACAGCAAGACTCTGTCTCAAAAACATAATAAAACAAAGTAAATAAAAATAAAATAACTACTTGTAACTGGCATACAAACAACTACTTTAGCATTCTTGAAAACTCTAGCACATTCTAAAAGTTGACGCCAACTGAGAGACAACAAAATATTGGAAAATCCTATTTAAACGAATACACTAAAAGTCCCCTCTGAAATAACATTTATAATCGGTCAAAATTAAATTTATTAGAAATCCTGTGAATGCAAGAGCTGTGAAGCAGAAACAGCCCCATCCTTGTGGACTTAAATCAGCCATAGCTGAGAGCAGGGCTGGGACTGGGCAAAGCATCCTGAGAGGGGAAATGGACTCGGCAGAGGTTGACCTCTGAAACTTGACATAAAATCATTCCTTTAACACTGCGGCTCTTGGGACACAGAGGTAGAAGGAAAATCTAAATAAATCAGATGTGGGACTGAAAATATAAAGACTGAGGAAAGCACTGAGACTAACCCCCTAGACCAGCATGATGATGAAATCTTAACTTTATATCCCACTATAGATTACCTATCATTGATCTTGATATTTTGGTCCGTCTGAGGGTCATACATAAATCTCATCAGTTGTAGATGTAACACTGGTGGCAATGTTAGGAATTTCACACCTTTCTCTGCTTCCTAAACATTGAAAAACAAATGCAAATGTAGTTAGCCTCTACTTACTCCTGGAAGCAATGAAAGCAACAGCGGTTCAGCAAGATTGGAACATGTCTGGAGACTCTGGAGACAAAGGCAGGGAAGTTTAGGTGTCCATTTAGGGCATCTTTGAAATGTTTTCTTTAGGTCTGTTTATGGGTCTCTTTGTTTATTAAAATAATGCTGCACCAGCACTGACTGTGAGAGATTCTCTTACCTTGGATTATATTCTAACTCGATGCCCAGCAATCAGGGAAGAAATGGTTAAGGAAATTTAGACAGTCATTTGCTGCTGTGTTATACAGTCATTAAACACTGTGCAAATTATGGAGAACCACAGAAAAATCATTAAATGGAAAATCAGAAAACTCTGGTTACAATTACCCAAGATTAGGTATGCTTATGAAATGCCCAAACAGAACAAGCAGCAATGAACACAACTGATGAGTCGGCAGGATTATAAGCTTCCTTTCCTTGGGCTCTTTGATGTTTGCATAAGAACCCATATATCACAGGGCACGCCCTTAGGGCTTATGGTTCAATCCCACTTCTAAGAAAATGTTCTGATTCAGTGTCAGCAAGGCCCTTCCCCAGCTGACTGCCGGACTCTGTGGGACAGGACACCCCAACTTCTCAACAAGCCTTCTATGGGGACACCGGACTCTAAGCTCTTGCCCTGCTCTATCACTGCTCCATCTTGGCCAGCTCTTTGTTCCTCAGTAAAATCAGGCTTTGCCTATCTCGACCACGGCCAGGCGGTCAGGGGCCCTCACTCCATGTCTGACTCACAGCTCTATTTCCAATGCAGACCTTCCTTCTGGCTGGAAATCCACCTGCCCAGCAGCCAGCGAGAGACCTGGAGGAACTGGGGACCATGACAAGGCACACCCATATGCCAAGGTTCTTTGGTGTACATCAGCTCATTTAAGAGGACAGAGCTATCTCAGGAAAGACAAAAACAGACCTCAGAACCCCTCTCCACAGTGGGGAAGGACCTGTTTTTAATACAGTCTGAAAGATAAAAGGATTCTGTCTCCACCGCTGTCCACTGAGGCTTCGACTCAAATACATACTGCTCAACCAGACCCTAAAACATCCAGAATAGAGAACAGTAATTCTCGTCAACAGACCAGAATATTTCTTCATCACACCAAGTTCTCATTAAAAAGCAACTTTCTGGATGAGCAAGTGGCTCATGCCTGTAATCCCAGCACTTTGGGAGGCCGAGGCAGGCGGATCACAAGGTCAGGGGTTTGAGACCTGCCTGGCCAATATGGTGAAACCCCATCTCTACTAAAAATACAAAAATTAGTTGGGCATAGTGGCGGGCGCCTGTAGTCCCAGCTACTTGGGAGGCTGAGGTAGAAGAATCACTTGAACCCAGGAGGCAGAGGTTGCAGTGAGTCGAGATCGCGCCACTGCACTCTAGCCTGGGGAACAGACCGAGTCTCCGTCTCAGAAAAAAAAGCAACTTTCTGATCTATACCTCAGTCCCTCAGTCCAACTGGACTGACCTAGCAGAAGAGTACATTTGGAGCTGACAGCTGACTACAAAATGGGTACACAGGCACCATGAACTATATACACTGGCAGGCTTTGTAAGCACAGGCCAGACTGACATTTTTAATTATAAATTAGTTGAGTCAATGAGTCAAGGTTATAAGATTACAAAACAGACCCTGGATCACTGGATCCATGAGGACACTGCAGATCCAACAGACCAGCCAGACCAGCAGCCAGAAACAGCCCATTTCCCTTCATCCAAGCGGGGGCTGGCCACCTGGTCGCCCACCATGCTCACTGCTCTCTCAGATGCCCAGAAACCTGGGGGACACAACCCTAGAGAACACACTACTCATTCTAAAGTCGTGATCCTCAGAAAACTAAATTCATTAAAAATACATTTAAAAATAAAGAAACACAACCTAAACACAGTCCAACTTACTAAGAAATCCCACTTGTGACCAGGAGAAACTGAGGGAAAACTGGAGCAGTGACACCAGTAAGGTGAGGAACGGGGAAAGGACAAGATGCCTAAAACCCCACAAGACCCTCCGGACTGCTGGATGTGCTTCTACAGGATAAACCAGCTGCACTCCATCTCCCAACATCCCCCTCTCCCTCCCCATTCAATTATCCTACAAACAGAATCCTTGTATATTCTAAATACCAGAAACACATGAAAAGGCACAAGCAAATTTTTATTTAGCAATTAAAAGAATTGAAAATAAAGAAGAACGCTACAACAGGACACTAGCACAAAACACTCAATTTACCTGTAAGCCATGTTCCCCAGCGTCGTATTTATTGTCCCCATCGAGCTGTTCTACTGCCACATAATCCACAAATGATTCAAATACTTTAAAGAGAGAGAGAGAAAAGTCAAGTGCTAAAGCTTCATTTATAATGTAGCCAACACAGGTGTAAGTTATTTAAATCAGCATATTTAGGATTAGCAGAGAAGGTAAACAACACTAACAGTAACTCTCCCCCTGTAGCCAAGACTGTAGGTAAATGTGCTGTTAGCACCTTTGCTCATTGGCCAAAGGTCATTGGTATCTTTCTTAAGGACATTAAAATGACAATATGGAGGTAACAGTTAAGGTTTTACTGTTATTCGAACAAAGCACATACTGTAAAGCTATGATTATGAAGACAGCTTGGAATTGGGCAGTGTGGACAACCCCTTGGTCTCAAAAGCAGAGATGCACAAATGTGAATGGCTGGCTGATGTGGCAGAATGACAAGGAAAACCTCGATTTCCTCAGAGGTCAACACGGGGTGGGGTGGAAGTTGGTCCTGACATCTCCCCACCCCCACCTGTTCCAGGTGGATTGTAGATAAATGGAAAAGGCAAAATAGTAAAACGTAACAATTTTTTAGGACATAAAAAGCAAACAAGGACACACTATTTCCCTAAAATTAAGAATGGTAACATTAAGAGTGAAAGGGCGAGCCACATGCTGAGTGACAAGCTCTCAATCCAACACGGAATTGTATATCCAGAGTGTATGGAGAGCTCGTCCTGCTCCGGTCATGAAGGAAAAACGCAACTGCACAACACTGAAAACAGCGCTGTCACGCTCCGGACACATGCGGTACAGGACAGGGATCCCTGAAGGGACAAATGAGAGCCCCGTGATGGGCCCAGCTCTGCTGAAAGTTTACAGGCTGCAGCCCGGAGAAGGCAAACCCAGACAGAGCCAAGAAGTGAGAATGAGAGGAGCTCAAGGGAGCGGGAACCTGCTGGGCAGAGTAGCCTAAAGCAGAATGCTGCCCAGAAAGCGAGATCTGGGGATGTGCAGTTTCTTCCGAAGCTGTCAGTGAGAACTGATCAGTGAACTCGAGGAAATTACCTGGGGCAAGGAAAAGAACCAGCAAGAGGATGAGGATTGGGGGGAACAACCTTCAGAGCTCACGACAGGCTGGGAAGTCTGTGTTCCCACCAGCCACCGTGGAAAAACCGCTGAACACCTGGGAGACTCAGCTAACAACTGAAAGGATGTGGGGACAGGTTATCCCTCAAGTAAAACCTGTTCTCCCACCTAGCAAGGCTTAAAAACAAGCCTCACAGGAAGCAAATGACTTACAAGTCACTTATCTGTGCATAAGAGCAAAGGTTAGGAATATCTAACACCCAGCAAGATAAAAACCACCATGCCTGCTGTTCAATAAAAAAGTTACCAAGCATGTGAACCAGTGCAGTGGCTCAGTGGCTCACGCCTGTAATCCCAGCACTTTGGGAGGCAGAGGTACGTGGATCGCCTGAGGTCAGGAGTTCCAGACCACCCTGGCCAACATGGTGAAACCCCGTCTCTACTAAAAATGCAAAAATTAGCTGGGTGTGGTGGTGGGCACCTGTAATCCCAGCTACTCAGGAGGCTGAAAGGAGAATTGCTTGAACCCAGGAGACAAAGGTTGTAGTGAGCTGAGACTGCATGACTGCACTCCAGCCGGGGCGACAGAGTGAGACTCCATGTCAAAAAAAAAAAAAGAAAGAAAAAAGAAAATAAACATTACCAAGCATGCAAAGAAGCTGAAACCACCACCCATGATGAAGACAACAATCCTTCAATAGAAACAGATGCAGAAATCTCACAGATGACAGAATTAGTAGACAAGAGCATTATCAACTATACTTAAGTCCAAAGGAGAAGAAAGCAAAAGCATACTAAGAAGAGACACAGGGCTGGGCATGGTCCCAGCACTTCGGGAGGCCAAGGCGGGCAGACTGATTGGGCACAGGACCTCCGAGACTAGCCTGGCCTAACACAGCAAGACCTTGTCTCCAAATAATTATAATTAATTGATAAATACATAGAAAAAAAAGAAGAGATAAAGATTTTCATTTAAAAAAAATCCAAGTCAAACTTCTAAAAATAAAAAAAAATTTAAAAAGTTTGAAAATGAAACACCATGGATGGGATTCACAGAGAACTAGACACTGCAGGCAATTAGTGAAGATCAAGACAGAGCAACAGAAACCGCAGCACAAAACCCAGAGAAAGGAGACTAGGACATCTGGAGGCTGGGGGTAACCTCAGGCAGCCAGAATCAAACAACTGAAAACCAGTGAGAAGGAAAAAACCTTAAAAGCACATGGGGGGCTGGGCACGGTGGCTCACACCTGTAATCCCAAAATCTTGGGAGGCCAAGATGGGCAGATCACCTGAGGTCAGGAACTCGAGACCAGCCTGCCCAACATGGTGAAACCTCGTCTCTACTGAAAATACAAAAATTAGCTGGGCATGGTGGCGCATGCCTCTAATCCCAGCTACTTGTGAGCCTAAGGCAGGAGAATCACTTGAGCCCAGGAGGTGGAGGTTGCAGTGAGCCGAGATCGCACCACTGCACTCCAGCCTGGGCAACAGAGCGAGACTCCCTCTCAAAAAGAGGAGAGAAGAGGGAAGACAGGAGAGAAGAGAAGTGAAGTGAAGCGAAGCGAAGAATATGGGGGCTTGGGGCAGAGAAACAGATGAACAGAAAGAGTAAGGACACTACAGCCCACTTCTCAGAAATGAGGCGAGCAAGAAGACGGTAGAACGTCTAACAGACCGAAGGAAGGAACCTGCCAACCTAGAAGTCTACACCGAGTTAAAATGTCTTTCACAACTGCAGATGAAATAAAATCTTTCTAGGCATGCAAGGTGAAAAAACTCATCTCAGCCGACCCGCACTAAATGATTCCTAACGAGAATCCATATCCAAATTAAAAACGGAGGAGCATTGCAAGCTGTAAATATGTGGGTCAACATAAAGCACTTCCCCTCCTCACTCTTTTTATTTTATTTTACTTTCTTGAGAGAGATACTTGCTCTGTTGCCCAGGCTGCAGTGCAGTGGCACAATCATGGCTCGCTGCAGACTTAAACTCCAGGGCTCAAGCTATCCTCCCACCTCAGCCTCAAGTAGCTGGGACTACAGGTGCATGCCACCACGCCCAGCTAATTTGTAGAGATGGAGTCTCACTATGTTGCCCAGGCTGGCCTCAAACTCCTGGGTTCAAGCAATCCTCCCGACTCAGCCTCCCAAAGTGCTGAAATTACAGGCATGAGCGACCACACCCATCCTCCCCCTTATTTTAAATATTTCTTTAAAGGAATGACTATAAATCAGTTAAGGAAAAAGAAAAGAAGCCAATACTAAAATTGTTAAAGTATTTAAACAAGCATTTTATAAAGGAAGACATCCAAATTGCCAATAAGCATTTGAAAAGGTAAGAACAACCTCACTGATCTTCAAGGAAATACAAACTAAAATGCAGATAGCACTATACTCCCACCAAAATCTTTCAAAGTCTGGCAACTGACAGCTCCAGTGTGGGTGTGGAGCAACTGCAACTCTGCCACCTTCCTGATGACTGTGCAATTGATAAACCACTTTGGGAATCTCGCTAACTTGATCCATCAAGCTGGACATACGCACACCCTACAGGCCAGTAATCCTCTTCCTCCAAATGCAAACAGGCATTAAGAATGGTCGATCTGCCTTATGCCTAACCACCTCAAATGGAGACCAACCCAAATATCAAGCAAAAGAAGAAAGATTTCAAAATTTTTGTGGTATATTCTCAAAATGGAATACTATAAAGCAACAAAAATGATCAAACTATGACTACTCCCAGCGTGGATGTATCTCATGAATGTGCTGGGCAAAAGGAATCAGACACAGGCTGGACATGGCAGCTCATGTCTAATTCCAGTGCTTTGGGAGCCCAAGGCAGGAAGGTTGCTTAAACCCAGGAGTTCAAGACCAGCCTGAGCAACAAAGTAAGACCCCATCTCTTAACCAAAAAAAAAAAATTAGCTGGGTGTGGTGGCACACGCCTGTGTTCCCAGCCACTGGGGAAGCTGAAGCAGGAGGATCGCCTGAGTCCTGGAGTTCGAGGCTGCACTGAGCTATGGTTGCACCCCAGCCTGTACAGCACAACAAGACCCTATCTCAAAAAACAACAGCGAAATAAACAAACAAATACATCCTACTACAAGGTTCTATTTAAACAGACACCTAAAACATGCAAAGTTAACCCAGGGTGTTAGAAGTCCACGTGGTGGTTTCCTGTGAGGAGAGGGGAGGTGGTGGCTGGGAAGGGCTGTGGGAGTGCTGGCCAACACCAGAGCTGGGTGGAGGTAACAAGCCTGTGTTCACCCAGTGAGCTGTTTGCTTAAGATCTGAGCCATTCTCTGTGTTTAGACTATTTAAAAAAACATCACTTGTGTAAATGAAACATTAAAACACAGTAGAAATCATCAAAAGATCATGCCATTAGATACACACAACACTTACTATTTTTCTTTCCTTTGATACTTAGCTGGATATCATAATAATCTTCTCTTCTATCAGACCGATAGTCTACTTCTTTACACTGGATATAGGACTGCAAATAAGGAAAGTAAAAGTGGTTTAACTAGTAATAGTCAAAAAATTCACATTCTAAAACCTTTAAAAATCATCTTTTAGAACTGGTAGCCACATACCACCATTTTGCCGCGGAATAATTTGGGTATGGTGCCCTCTACACAGGTGCCTTTCATCTTATTTTCCACATTATCGAGCAACTGAAAAAGAATGTTTTGGCTTTAAAAAAACTTTTTTGTACTTAGTAATATATACAGTAATTTTATAATTGACTAGAAATATCAATGTTCAAAGAAGTTGTAGACTATAAAAATATGACCTCTGGCATGCAATTCTCAAAAACATACAAAATCTTCTTTCTTGGTTGGATTTTTACAAACATCTCTACATGCAACAGTTGAGGTTAACCTTTTATACAGCCTTTGGAATAAATTAGTAATCTGTAGTGCCTTTAGAAGCATTTTTATATTTTTTACCTCTGTGGAAAAGCATGTAAAATTGTTCACTAAACTTAACTCGTAATGGTCCACACCAAGAGATTAATGAGGTTGAGCCTGTCAACAGGATTGACTGGTTTGTCCATGGATATTTAATGAACTGGATTCAATCCAGCTAGTGCTGCAAAAAAGAAAACACACCTTGCCCAGCCAATCACCTTGAACAGCCATTTCATGTTGTGTGTGTGTGCTTCTGCGTCTTTTATCACAACTGGAAGAATGAGGATTTGCTAGTGATTAGTGATGGCGCGGGGAGAGTAATCACCGCATGCTGAGGTCTGCTCAATGAGAACCTCGCTGCACAGGAGGGGTCTGGACACTGGAGTAACAACAGAAGTCACCACTGTACAGTGACTCAGGACCAACGGGACAGCCAACAAAGCCAGTCTTTGGTTTCTGGATTAATAACTCCTGTATATATACCAATTTAACAAATTAAAAGCCTACTGCCTGCTAGTATTAAAATTCAAGCTTCCTCACTTCACCTTCAAATCCCTATTCAAGTAATTCTTACCAGCCTTTATAACTAGACATCTGCTGCCTTTTTGTAGCCTAAGTCTGATCCTAAACAAAGATGGGCATTTTCTGAATTAGGTCTGAGGTTTTACTTGGTAATAACTTCTGACCATGCTTCAAAATATTCATTGTAAGAAATATACAAGTATTGCTTGAAACTTACCACTCGACAAAGCTCCTGAACATCATGTTGCATGAAGCTATCTAAAGTTTCCCACCTTTCAAAGATAAAACAAACAACTCCATTTAAAGCTCAACTTTCAAATGAGCAAATTAAAAGTAACTTAGATTGAAAACCTAAACTGGATAATCAGCTATTATTCTCAAATTCCTTTTCTGTGAAGATTATTTTTGGGAGTCATAATTCAAAGATAGATTTACTGCTGGGGAAGTGGTGTTTCCAAGAAAATGTAATAAATCTGAAAGCAGTACAGGTTCTTGTGTTGAAAAGTAAAAACCTTAAGCGGTGAATTCTTTCTCAAGCAAAATTCTACAACAAAGTGTCTATTTCCAAAGAGATAAAACAAAATACAATGATAAAAGCACTGACACGATTAAATGCTCAAGCCTCCCTAAATTAAGTGCCTACAGTATGCTCTACTAACTTTTCTATTCTCTACTCACTTGTCCTAAAAAAAAAAAAAAAAAGAGGAAGCAGAATGGCAAAGGCAGATGTCTAATACATACCCAAATGACTTTGTTAACTTTTTTGTTCCTACAGGTTTATCACTATGCTGTAATTCATAGAACACTCTTTGTAATGCTAAAGGGACGCTTTTAGACGAATCATCCCCCTCGGTTGGCATCATGTACACAGCCTGAAACAATTAAGAAATAAGAATTTTTACTCTGAGAAGATGCAGGGGAATTTAAAAAACAGTAAGAATTTAATCTTCATGTTTAAAAAAATCATTTCTAATAACACAATGGCTAAGGTTGTTGTTAGGGCTTTTAACGATCCCCAAATTGGTGAGAAAGTTTACAAAATCATGAACGTCTTTAGGGATACTGGAAAACATAAGAATGCAAAAATAAATTTTGAAAATCACCACCCACGTGACACGAAGTCTCACTCTGTTGGCCAGGCTGAAGTGCAGTGGCGCGACCTCAGCTCACTACAACCTCCGCCTCCTGGGTTCAGGCAATTCTCCTGCCTCAGCCTCCCGAGTAGCTGGAATTACAGGCACGCACCACCACGCCAGGCTAATTTATGAATTTTCAGGAGAGACAGGGTTTTGCCATTTTGGCCAGACTGGACTGAAACTCCTGACCTCAGGGGATCTGCCCACCTTGGCCTCCCAAAGTGCTGGGATTATAGGCGAGAGCTACCGCACCCAGCCTCACCCATATGTTCTTGATAAAAAGATAATACAGAAAAAGTAAACAAAAAACAAAATCAGCCCCCAGAGAACTACTTTTATTTCCTACTTATTGGAGCACCATTTCTTTTTTTGTTTTGTTTTGTTTTTGAGACGGAGTCTTGCTCTGTCACCCAGGCTGGAATGCAGTGGCGTGATCTTGGCTCACTGCAATCTCCGCCTCCCAGGTCCACGCCATTCTCCTGCCTCAGCCTCCCCAGTAGCTGGGACTACAGGTGCACGCCGCCATGCCCAGATAATTTTTTTGTATTTTTACTAGAGACGGGGTTTCACCATGTTAGCCAGGATGGTCTCGATCTGCTGACCTCATGATCCGCCCGCCTCGGCCTCCCAAAGTGCTGGAATTACAGGCATGAGCCACTGCGCCCAGCCATGGAGCACCATTTCTTAACTTACCATTACTTGTGAAACAAAGATTTGATTAAAAACTTAAATGTGACTAGAATTACCCATGCTGAGCTGTCCCTGGGATATATCACGACAACCTGTCTGGGTGGCTGTGCAAACATGCCTTGAAGGATGACAAGCCAGCCAGCTCCCTGCCCACCCCACAACCAGGAGTGCCGATTTCCTGTACTGCTTCATAATAATCACAAGTAATTCTCAAAATAGAACTAACTCATCTATATTAGATTTAATGTATGTCTATTCTTTTTGTTAAAATTTTCAATAAAAGTAAGTTGCATTGACTTTTCAACTCAGTTTTTATATAAAACTTTGCAAATGTTGCTGTTAATGGATTATATGTTTTTCTAAATACCTTCACAAGGTGATTTCTAACACAATTTTAAGTCTGCAAAATTAGGTCATGGCTGGGCATGGTGGATCATGCCTATAATCTGAGCCCCTTGGGAAGCTGAGGCAGGTGGATAGCTTGGGGTCAGGAGTTCGAGACCAGCCTGGACAACATGGTGAAACCCCGCCTCTACTAAAATATAAAAATTAGCTGGCCGTGGTGGCGGGTGCCTGTAATCCCAGCTACTCAGGAGGCTGAGGCCAGAGAATCACTTGAACCCAGGAGACAGAGGCTGCAGTGAGCCAAGGTCACACCATTGCACTCCAGCCTGGGCGACAGAGCAAGACTCCATCTCAATAAAGAAAAAGGTTGGCGGTGGTAACTCTGAATCACTGAGGCAGGTTACAAAGTAGGTGTCCCAGCACTGGGGAATGAAAACGCAGCATGAACTAGCAGCCATCTGAGGAGACAGGGCCAGGGGAGGGAGACGCCATGTTTGTTGAGAGGACTTTGCTCTGATATACCTGAGAAGAAAGGGTGAGCGGAAGGCTGCAGGAGAGGAACACTATCCATTTACCTTTCGTAGCTGATTCGTGAAAAATAACGTCTGTAGCAGGCTGTTCATGTAACAAGTCGCTCCCTGATTCTTTAAGCCGACGTAGCCTGTGTGCTTCTTTGAATCCCACCTGAAAGATCAGTTCAAGGTTGAGGGGATCTTGCAGATACCCCATTGCTCCTGCAGTGTGTGTGAAGCAATCTGACTCAAGGTCAGCCTTAAGGAAACCGAGGCCAGGAACACTTATCACACAGCATCCTTCAATGGTCACCGATTCCCTTCTGCTTGCTCCAGTGTGTGAACTGGTGCAAATGCAACCCCCACATTCGCACAGCCCTCGAAGCACCTGCCTGCTGACAGTGGCACTCCTGTCACTGATCAAGCCCAGCACCAACAGACACTTAACGGAGACCTGCATGCTCACACCCAACATGCCTCATGGTAGAGTTTGGTTACATAATTACACTTATCACACGCAAGGTCAGCACAACGTGGAAAAAGCTGAAACTCATCTTTTCTGTAGACACACACACAAGAAGAAACAGAAGTGTGTATTCACCAAGTTTCACCTCAGACTTCTAAACTCCCAGAGCTTTTTTTATTTTGTGATTTTGGTGGTTGTTTGGGAGCAAGATAAGATTCTCAGAATTAACTGTGTCTCGTACCTTCCCACCCCCACCCCAAGTAGTAAAAGGAAGCCACAGAGAACGGTGCCAGAAAGCAAAGCAATCCTCCCACCTCCACGCCCATCTCCCTCTGTACACAATGCCACGACCTGAACACACGACCGTCACCAAGCGGGACCAGTGCTGGGGGAGACACCTACTGCGCAGTACCATTCACCAGCACCTTGCCACTCCAGGGGTTAGCTCCCAGCCTTGGAAACACTCAAATACACCTAACGGCCTTGTCACCCCTCTTTACTCCTCGCTCACCATGTTAGTTGTCGGTGATGCTCACCTCTTCCCCCAGTCCCCCCTTCCTCACACTCGGAGAGGACTTCCTCCCTGCCCTCATCAAAGTAACAACGGAGCATCTCTGCTCTGGGTATTTATGTACCGGTCTTAGCTCCTCTATGAAAGCTGAGTGTACATTCTTTAGGAACAGAAAACCACAGCTGTCTAGTTGCCATAATTATACAATTATGTTCCAAGGGTCTAACATATAGAAACTGCTCAATCAATCTGTTAAACGAGTGTCAAGCAGGTGTGACTCTGTGTGCCACAGGGCAAGCGCAGAGAGGAGGCTTACTGATTAAATATGTGCATCTCTATTACATGCACGCTAAAGCTTCTTTCACTGCAGCACAAAAGACATTTTTAACAGCACCTGATTAAAGAAAAACTTACGCAACTCCATGGGGAGCATCCGCCTGTACAAAGACTTCAAAGGTAACTTTGTCATCATCTATAAATCCTTTCTCAGGATCGGTCACTTCCTATAAAACATAAATAAGAATATCCAGCTTGAATAAGAACACACATTTTATTCCCAAGAGACAAATTACATTAGTGCCCTGTACTTAATAGAGATGAAAATACTTTTTTTTTAAATACATCCCAACTTTTTTGCTAATTTTAGACTGTTTCAATTTTCTTTTAACAGTGGTCTCACAACAAATACAGCAAATGCTTGGCACCTCAGAGGTATCCCAGAGGTACCCAGGGGCTCAGTGCCACAGCATGGACAGGAGAAATCTGTGCCCCTCTAAGCAGGGGAGGGGCTGGAGAATGCAATGATAAGTGACTTAGCATAGTAAGAAGTAACATTCCTAAGATTGTTCCACTGGTTACCACCTCTGCAAAAAGCAGCCAAAGTGAACTGAATGATTACTGGAGTCACATGGAACCACTCAGTACTATGCCTGAATCATGAAAGGACCTCAAACAGCATTATGTCTTTTAAAGGAAATTTAGCCCACTGGGAACTCCCTTTGAATGTCTGACTAAAAAGTGAGACGTGAATCCAGAAAGCTGCTAAAAACGTAAGATACGAAACTGGAGAAAACATGTTTTCAAAGACACTTGTCCAATTTAGAAAGTAAAAATCTGACTCTAAAATCAATAAAGGACTTGAAAAATCAAAAAGTTAAGGGAACAACAAGCAGTAATGCACCAATTGTTCAGACTAAATACACTGTTACTTACACTCCAGGCCATAAAATTGGAAAATCCCCAATCATTTTCTTTATGGAAGAACAAATGACTAATACGACGACTGAACGACTTTTCATCATCTCTGTAATTTATTATCTTCAGCACTGCTTGTGCATGGCAAGACCATGACCTGTTTAAAAGAATAATCTGAGCCTTAGTTGACATTATTTACCAGATGTTATACATTTTTAAAGACAGTAAACATAGCACACCAAAATTCCCATTTATGATTTCATTGCTCTCTCCTTTCGGGTTGGGGTTAAAGGTAGGATGGAGGCATTTTTACCTTTAATAGAGAAATGGGTGTTTGGGGCTCCCCCAGTGTATTCTGTAGTGATTTCACTCATGGTTTCATTTTTTAATTCCTTAGAAGTTGAAACAAATTTTCTTTCATTGTATCTATACAATTTTGACCTCTGCTTCTACTGCCGATATAGGGGTCACCTCTCAGCGTTGCTCCTGCCCCTACAGCCCTTCAGTGCCATGCCTCTCGAGCTCTCCTAGGATGCCCTCCAGCACATGCTGGGGGAAAACCAGCACCGGGGAGCTCTGTGGCCTTAGAGCTTGCTGTCCTGCCCCGGCATCGACGAATTCACGATGAGGCACAAAATTACAACCACAAGAGAACTACTGTACCTGCAGTGAAGTGTGGGGTGGACCACAAAAGGGCCTCTAGATCCAGGTTCAAAAACCATACATACAGCACTTAAGCCAAAGAAAGTTAAGGTTTGCGATTTAAGTGGGGCCTTATCAATCAAAGCTGCAACTGAGCCCTGAAATGGTTTGACTCTTCAGGACAAGGGTAGGACAGTGCTGTTCCCACAGCACTTCCTGCTTGCTCGGGACGCTGACACTGGGTATGGACCATTCACTACTTTTCCAAAGTGCTTCAGGCTAAAGTTGTCCATCGGACTAAAACAAACCTAGCCCAAATACTCATCAGATCACATCATAATGTGAACAGAAGAGGACAACTTTAACCATCCACAGGCCCTGGCTGCATCATAAAATTACCTTAAACATTAAAGAAAATGAAAGTACGGCCAGGTGCGCTGGCTCACGCCTGTAATCCCAGCACTTTGGCAGGCCGAGACAGGCAGATCACCTGAGGTCAGGAGTTCGAGACCAGCCTGGCCAACATGGTGAAACCCCGTCCCTATGAAAAATACAAAATTAGCTGGGTGTGGTGGCACACGCCTATAGTCCCAGCTACTTGAGACGCCGAGGCAGGAGAATCGCTTGAACCCGGGAGGTGGAGGTTGTGGTGAGCCAAGATCAGGCCACTGCACTCCAGCCTGGCGACAGAGTGAGACTCTGTAAATTTTATTCCCTGGGGGATCTGACAGAACAGCCAGAGTCAGTTCACTCTGGGGAACATGTTACTGAGGGTTCCAAAGGGCCACTCTGTGGCGTGGCAGGGAGACTAGGACAGGTGCAGTCCAAGTCAGCAGCTTCCCCTGGTTCCAACTGCAGACAGGTTGACAAAGTGGTCCGTACTCCCAGAATCAACTGGGTTTTTGATAAAGGGTGAATTAATTTTCTAATTCATCTAAATAGAAGGACCATCAAGATTTCTCAGTTTTTGGACATTTCATAATATACATGAATGTTTAAATGTTCCTCAAGTCAGAGGGCCATGTTGTATAAATCCTTCACAAAGTATGTTTTACTTGTACTTTCTGAACAACCCGTACAAATTAGCTATCACACAATGGAAAGGATGTCTGGCTCTGACAGCTGCCATTTTCTGCTCAGACAGTTACTGACAGAGTAAGAATTAAGCCTGGTGGCTCAATGGTCAGCTAATCCAGGCCGGCCCTGATTCCATGGGCTGGTAGATTCTAACAAACTATTTTTAGTTTTTTCACTTACAAGATAAAAATATACTTTTCTAGCTTGGATATTATACATATACCAGTGGGTTTTAAAGAGAAACACGTATTTAATCTAATTTAAAATCAAAAGGCTATGTAGAGGCAGCAAATAACTTAAGATAAAATTGCACTAGGCTGATCAAATTTGGCTTCCAGTAATGAAATACTGTCTTACGTGGAATCAGATTCAGCATTGCACTGGAGAAAGAATCCTACGCTTTTTTGGTGTGGTCTGTCTGGATAAAAGCGTGGCATCACCATAATCTTCCATGGCAGATTTCGCACAAAACACGGAGGGCTAAGGACCGACTCACTCAGTCTGCTGAAGCGCTCCACAGTGAACTGAAAGGTTGCCTCGGAGCGCCAACTGGTGTCTGCAAAAAAAACACATCATCAGTCACAGAGCCTGTGCATTGACCAAAAGCACTAGCATTAATCGACATGGAGTAAACTGTTCTATACATCCTGATTTAACTGCTAAAACCTAACAGTTTGAAAAAATTGCTTCCAATTTATTAAAACCCGAAGACTGAGATAACATACAGTTTCTGAATGGATTAATTCTTCCTTATGAAGTCCAAAACTCAGAGTGCTAACCATACACTTGCCATCCCTGTCAGACTGAGTTCCACATGAGAACAATGTCTACTTTACTAAAGCTGAATTCCCAAGGACCCCAGGCACCAAGTGAGTGGAGAGACCTTGGAGAGAAGGAACGACATGGCTCATATCTGTTCAAGGACGGGACTTCTGGGGGTAAAGACCACGACATGGGACTTGGGCTGACTTTACAGAGCACGGAACACACAGGCAGGACTTGAGAGCCAGGGAAACAGCCATTCCCCTGGAAGCTCAGCACTGCTCAGAGGCAAGACAAGGGCTACAACAGTAGCCTGATAATAAATGCTAACCTCATTGGTTCACGATTTTTGCAAAAATACTAGCCTGGACACCCTAGGGGGAATAATTTTTTTTTTAAGAACTGGTATTTTTTCCCACATGAGTAGTATAAATTGTTAAATGATAACAAGACCAAAGGCTGATTTAAGATATTTAAGTTTCTGACAACACAGTGCCTCTTAGCAGAGGTCCAACTGAAGGTCTCCATTTAAAATTCAATCTTTCACTGATGACAGTGACTATTCATTTGCATGTGGCCATCGGTCAATCACCTTTGACAAACCCTGCAGCATCTTACTGCTTCCCAAACGACTCCTGCGAAGGCACAGTCCTCCCACACCCACACCAATCTGTTATTGACCAATACTTTTATAAAGCATCATGAAATTGCCACAGCAAAGTCAACATGCTACACAAGCTTCTAAACGCTTCCTTTCACTTTCTGTACCTATCTCATTATAGTCTGCACACAGCTCACTGACTGGCAGGAGTCCCAGGGCCACACCAAGGGCCAAGCTCTACAGGCAGTGCCTGGAAGGCTGTTCCCGGCTTAGAATCAGGTGCTATTTTGACATCCCTGACCACCAGGCTCCTAAGGCACAAAATGAGACTTGTAGGCTTGGGTAAAGAGTGCCTAAGAACATCCTCCCATCCTTCATCTTCAGGCCCCTGAAGGCAGTCACCATGTCATCCAACAACCCTTCAGACTCCAAAGTTCACTAACAACTGAGTTCTCAGCATCAGCCACTTCTCAGGGAAGAGAATTTGCTTGAAGTTTCTGACTGAGTTTGGTCTTAAGAAAACATGTCCATCAGTCCTCCTGGGAGGGTAGTATTGAAATATCAAAAGCATGTGTGACGGTAAGCACTTCTACCTTCTTTGAGACACTCTTCATCCCAAATTATTTTATTTCACATAACCCTGCTGAGTTGCTTACAGCACAGGAACTTTGGAAGGAAGAGCAGCTGAAAGAGGCGCATCTTGTCCAAAATAATTATTTATTTGAGCCTCTTCAAGTGGTATTCCCCTAATCCTTTTGAGGATAGAAGTCTACTAAAAGGCAAGAAACTTGTTTAAGATAATAACGTCTAGAATGGCGTGGTGGAATAAGTTTTGCCATGTGCTTTTAGGATCATGCAATTCACAGCTGATCAGGAGTTAAGTTCTGCAAGGTAGACAAGAGACAGATGTCAATTCCCACATTTTAGGTGAGGAAATGGAGGTTCGCCGAGGCTGTTTTACAAAGTGACAATAGAGGATTTTAATATCCAAGATTTGTCAAGACACTATGCACAGTGACCTGACTCTGGTTTTTAAAATTCCACTCCTGGAAGTTACCATAACACACACAAAACACAGGCCTCAACAAAATGAGACTACTAGCTTGCCCGCTTTATGAAGCCCATGTATACAGAACTGCACAGAAGCAACCAAATGGAAAATCACTGCAGGACCTAAAAAGCTGAAAGAAACAAGGTTATGCCTCTTTTCCAACCCATCTATTTTATATAATTCAGCTCTTTACAGGGTTTGATTTTATGTATACAAAATCAATACATATTGTAAGTGCTTTTGGAACTTTCACCCTATACATTAAATTTTCCAAGGTACTCCTTAAACATTAAAAAGACCCAAACAATGGTGAGACTCAGAATTGAAGTTTGCACTTGGTTCACCTGCTGCCCAGCCCCGCAGAGGCCACCGCGCATCCGTCTCTGTGCCCCCGAGTGTGGCACTGCCCTGACACACAGTGGTTAGTTCACAATTAGTGCACTGCACACTCGATTTCAGCCTCACACTCAAGGCACATTTCTTAGAACAGACTTATCAAATCTGCAAGCACAAAGTTTAGATGACACTTCGGGTGTATTAAAATTTCACCTCACTTCCTGAAAACTCTTCATACTAGCAGAATAATTGAAAACTTTTACTAGGCCAGGTGCGGTGGCTCACTCCTGTAATCACAGCACTTTGGGAGGCAGAGGCGGGTGGATCACGAGGTCAGGAGATCGAGACCATCCTGGCTAACACGGTCAAACTCCATCTCTACCAAAACTACAAAAAATTAGCCGGGTGCAGAGGCTGGCGCCTGTAGTCCCAGCTACTAGGGAGGCTGAGGCAGGAGAATGGCGTGAACCCGGGAGGCGAAGCTTGCAGTGAGCTGAGATCGCGCCACTGCACTCTAGCCTGGGCGACAGAGCGAGACTCCGTCTCAAAAAAAAAAAAAAAGAAAATTTCACTAAAAAACAAAAGGTCGGCCGGGCGCGGTGGTTCGCGCCTGTAATCCCAGCACTTTGGGAGGCAGAGGCGGGCGGATAACCTGAGGTCAGGAGTTTGAGACCAGCCTGCCCAACATGGTGAAACCCCGTCTCTACTAAAAATAAAAAAAATTAGCTGGGTGTGGTGGTGCACGCCTGTAATCCCAGCTACTTGGGAGGTCGAGGCAGGAGAATCGCTTGAACCTGGGAGGTGGAGGTTGCACTGAGCTGAGATCATGGCATTGCACTCCAGCCTGGGCAACAAGAGCAAAAAACTCTGGTCTCCAAAAAAATTCAAGATAGGAGGGCCAAAAAAAAGGAGAAGTGGACTTGGAAATTAGCTTTCACAGATACGGCCAGCCAGATTGTCCTCCTACGAGGAATTACATGAGACTCAGTGATGGAGATCTTTGCCCAAGAAAATAGTTAACAGTACACTGGATCCTATGTATTATTTTTTTGCAACTTCCAAGTATGCTAGGTATTAGCAAGGACACCCACATTCACTGCAAAATTAGCACTTCATGCACAAAGACTCCAATCTGCCTGGATGCCACTAACATTAGCAGACCACCATTTCATTACCGCATGCTTCTTTTTACTGTAAATGACAAAGCAACAAACTTCTACAAACTGGTGTCACCACAAATCCTCAACCAGATTCCTTGATAACTCTCACTACCTTCCAATCTGGCCCCTGGAGACTCTTGTACCAGGGGCAGGGACAATTACCTACAGCACGAAGTTCCCACTGTGCACTTTGTTACAGCAATTTTATCCTCCCAGGGCAAAGGCCAATAGACCAGCCTGGGCTTCAGTTGCAAAAAGAAAGGTAGGCCGGGCGCAGTGGCTCACGCCTGTAATCCCAGCACTCTGGGAGGCCGGGGTGGGCGAGGCGAATCATGAGGTCAGGAGTGCGAGACCAGCAGCCTGGCCAACATAGTGAAA
Organism: Homo sapiens; assembly: GCF_000001405.40. Taxonomy (NCBI): domain Eukaryota; kingdom Metazoa; phylum Chordata; class Mammalia; order Primates; family Hominidae; genus Homo; species Homo sapiens. The sequence continues at coordinate 8,927,146 of NC_000016.10, forward strand.
CCCCGGCTCTACTAAAAATACAAAAAATTAGCCAGGCGTGGTGGCAAGCGCCTGTAGTCCCAGCTGCCTGGGAGGCTGAGGCAGGAGAATCGCTTGAACCCGGGAGGCAGAGGGTGAGGTGAACCGAGATTGCGCCACTGCACTCCAGCCTGGCCAAAAAGAAAAAAAGAAAAAGAAAAAAAAAAAGAAAGAAAGTTAAAGAAAAACAGAATACTTCAGATTTTTGAATCAGAAAGGTTGGTATGAAATTTCTCCAAATGGTGCTGTTGCAGTGATTTTAGCAAACTTCTGCTCTTCATTCTAATACAACTTCTTGCAAGTCCTAGTCAATCCCCACAAATTAGTTTCATGGAGAACAACATTCTAAATCTAGATCCATCTAGATCTTCAGAGGCCGTATTTGCTCTAAAACTTCCTTGGTGGCTCACACTTGTAGTCCCAGTACTTTGGGAAGCCAAGGCAGGTGGATCACCTGAGGTCAGGTGTTCAAGACCAGCCTGGCCAACATGGTGAAACCTCGTCTCTACTAAAAATACAAAAATTAGCCAGGCGTGGTGGCATTTGCCTGTAATCCCAGCTACTCGGGAGGCTGAGGCAGAAGAATCGCAAAAACCCAGGAGGTGGAGGTTGCAGTGAGCTGAGATCTTGCCACTGTACTCTAGCCTGGGCGACACAACAAGAACCTATCTCAAAATAAAATAAAATAAAACTTCCTTGGGCCAAGTGCAATGGGTCATGCCTATAATCCCAACACATTGGGAGGCCAAGGCAGAAGAACTGCTTGAGCCAAGAAGTTCAAGACCAGCCTGGGTAACATAGTGACATCCCATCACTACAAACAATTAGCCACACATGGCGGTACTTCCTTGGTCATCTCATGAAAAATAGTGAATAAGGAACTAAAAGTAGAATGAGTAGATACAGTAAAAGATAATTCTGATACTTGCCCGAAATTCTATGTTAACAGGATTTTTAAATAAGTTCTCTCCCTCAACTATACATGTCTCCCATCTCTTTGTCTCATTAGCTATTTAGCATCTTACACAAGAAATGTCCCTTACTAAGAAGTCTTCTGTGCAAATCAGTCAAGTCGCTGATAGTTTGGCTACAGACCAAACTTCTAATGAGGTGCTTCCCAGATTGTGTGCCCTAGTCTGAAATGGACACTCAACACTCAAGGACACAGGACACTCAAAAAAAGGGGGAGCTCTGAAGTCCAGAGTCTTAGGGAATCATTAACAAAAACTTATTTTGGATAAGCAATTTATGCTGCTTCTGATATGACAACCCTGAGACATACGACAGTAAATAAAGCTTGTTTAGCCCAGCACATATCCAACTTCCTAGAATCCTGTGCATTTTTCACAACACACTTATCCCCTGAAGAAGAGGATTGCGCAATTTGTACTGCAGCTGGAAAACGCTGCCCTCAGCTACAAGTTCTTCTCCTACAGTCAGGACCACCTCCCTCCCACGCACTTTGCCATCAGAAAGATATTACATGCTGGGTCTTTCAACGGCAACCACAGTTCCAAACCAAGGAAAGGTGCTACGGAAGATTACTCAACCTTCTCGGATTATACGCTTTTTCCATCAAGGAGGTCACAAGAAGGGCATTTCCACTTTCGGGTCCTATGGCGTGGCACCACTGTCTACTAATTTAGTGAAATGTACCTCAAAAGGAAGGGGACTTTACCCATATTGTCCCCTCATAAGTCATTCTCCCCAGGAGACACCTGGCAATGTCTAGAGACATGTCATGACCGCAAGTGGAGGGCAGCAGCCATGGGCATCCTGGAATGCACAGGACAGCCTCCCACAACCAAGAATTATCCAAGTTGCCATGAGAAGCTAAGAAGCTCCGCCCTATATCTATGTCTCCTCCCAAGACCTCCCCCCTAAAAAAAAAAAGAAAAAAACAGTAGGGAAATGTTGGAACAGATTGCTCTGTGGGAACTAGACCCGGAATGTTCCGATAGGGCAGGGCCTGTCACTGCTACACAAGTGGCTAGAATTGATCCCAAACGCACACCTAGCGCCTCAGAGCTGGCCATGCCTTCCCAAATGCACTCACTCAACCGCTTTCGGCATCTCAGATGTCTAAAGTAAAACCTCCAAAAGCCCAACAACCAGCGAGACCACACCCACACCATTGCCCTCGTCTACGGTGGAAAGCGCACTCCACAGGTAACAAAGCAGCGGGTTTAGACCACGCCTCTTTACCTTCCTCAGATATTGCCTCAGCCAGCTGCCAGGGGTAAACCGCACTGTGAGAGAACTCTCAACTACGGCTGCAGTTTCTCATGGAGGCTGAACTTTTGGCAGGAGGTCTGAACAGCAGTCCTTCTGGTGGTGCAGCCCGTGACTGATGGTTTCTTTCAACTGCCCCGTTACTCCCCTGGGAAGGACACAACCCTCATGAGGATTGATGGACATGCTTTTTGACAGAACATGGTTTCATATTACACTCAAGACTCCAGGGGCTGCATACTGCAATTACTGGCTGCTCCCTACTCACAAGTGTGACTGTGCAAATATTGAGGTCACTAATTTGATAAATTTAAAGAAGGAATGGTCTCGGAAGAAAAAAACTGATTTCCTACACAAAAAATGTCCATGCACATACATATGAGTATGCTTTCTCACAGAGAAGCTATAGACCAAAACTCAGTGAGGGAGAATGAAGGCCAAAGCTTGAATCTGATTTCATCCCTAACAGGAGCGGGGAGGGATTCATAGCTATCATCAACTGATATACACCCTGCAATGAGAATGCAATGGAAAGCCAAGTTCCAATGTCTGCACGTATCTTGCTGCAAACAAACAAGAAGGAGAGTAAGACATGCTTGTTGTTCCCAATACTAGCAGTGGCTGGAGACCTGCAGGCAGGAGTAAATACCCACCTATTAAATTTAAACCTACATTACACCTCCTTGCCTAGGCTAGGGAGACTCTACTTACCTGGCAATGGTGTAGGCAATCTTGAAACTCAAAACCCAAACAGGATTTTCCTCAGTTACAGCCTCCTGAAAACTAGCTACGCTCAGAAGTACCCAAGGATGTACCCAAGAAGTACCAAGCATGGATCTGAACCTGTTTTCTGACAAGTTTCCGCCCACTGCGAGGCGGTGAACCACAGGCACTTACCATCCTCCATGTCCTCCTCCGCGGTGTTGTGTCCATCACTCAGGGCCACATTCCCATTGATCACAGGGTTCTGAGTAATTCTTGGTGGGTCATCTGTATCTCCCGCTTTAAAGAAGAAAAAGAAATTCCACGGGTTTTACATTCATGGCTTTAATAGAATAAGCAAAATATAAACTTATACTTTTGATGTTGCCTAATCATTAATAAATTCCAATTGTACCACAATAAAGATTCATTCTAATCCAAAAAATATTTATACTAATGTTTACTACATACAAACTTTCGCTGTTTCGAAACACTAAATGGAATTTGAAAACATGCTATACCACACTATAATTTGCTTTATTTGCAATGATATTCTGCACAAAACTTTTTATATAAAATCTCTTATGTAGGCCAGACATGGTGGCTCATGCCTGTAATCCTAGCATTTTGAGAGGCCAAGGCGGACAGATCACCTGAGGCCAGGAGTTCGAGACCAGGCTGGCCAACATGGTGAAACCCCGTCTCTACTAGAAATGCAAAAATTAGCTGGGTGTGGTGGCGCATGCCCGCAATCCCAACTATTTGGCAGGCTGAGGAATGAAAATCACTTGAACTCAGGAGGCGGAGGCTGCAGTGAGCCAAGATCATGCCACTGCACTCCAGCCTGGCCGTCAGGGTGAGACTCAGTCTCAAATTAAAAAAAAAAAAAAAATCCTTAGGTAGTTCTTACTTTACAATAGCTAATCAGCGTAAAGAACCTTTATCTAATCATGCAAAGTCATTATTTTACTATAGGTTTCCTAGTAATTAAAACAATTCTACAGCCAATTTTGTTGTGAAGATTACTGAACATATGCAAATGGTATACATTAAAACAAATATTTTAAACGTTTTCATCATGAACACATGCATCTTTTTTTTTTTTTTCTGAGACAGAGTCTCGCTCTGTCCCCCAGCCTGGAGTGCAGTGGCGCAATCTCAGCTCACTGCTACCTCTGCCTTTCCAGTTCAAACTATTCTCCTGCCTCAGCCTCCTGAGTAGCTGGGATTAGAAGCATGTGCCACCACGCCCAGCTAATTTTGTATTTTTAGTAGAGATGTGGTTTCACCATGTCGGTCAACTGGTCTCGAACTCCTGGCCTCAAGTGATCCACCTGCCTTGGCCTCCCAAAGTGCTGGGATCACCCACCCATGCCAGTGTCTTAAAACATCAAATCATCACCCTCAAGGTGTCAGTGGACAATTCCTGTATAATTATGTAAAGATCCGGGAAAGTGTTTAGGAAAGGATAAAATTGTTTTACCACTCTAAATGCATGCTAAATGCTTGGGCTGAAAAACACATATAACTCAAGTTCGGATTCAAAACATTTTAAGTTACCACTGGTAAATAAGGTGTAAATTACAACAACATTCCAATCACTTTTCATTAATTTTAAAGCATAAATTTCTCACACTCACACAGGTGGTTATTCTACAAGCAGAATAATCACAGCAGGACTTTTAGGTTTTACCTAGGTTCACACATCCCATTTAAATCAATTTGTTTTTCCCCATATTAGAATAGCTCACTGCAACTAATGCTGGCCCCACGGTTGCCTACACAGTCGGCTTTCCCTGGTGCACTGGACACCAACAGAAATTAAGAATCTCAACTGCATACAGGAGATGTGCTTTTTAACAGCCAGGTAGTTGTGTGTGTGGCCTTCACAATTTCAGAGCCTTTCTGCCATCCGAACCAGCAAGCAATCTGATTCAGCACCACGGACAGTGCCATGCTCACCTCCCCCTCCAAGAACTCTCCAAAACCCCAACGCTTAGATTACATCATAAACCTCTCCAATAATTCCTGAATAAAATGGTACTCCCCACCACCCAAGCATCTCAAAACATTCAAAATACCAAGAAACAGGTATTACCACTCAGACGTTTAAGACATTAAAGATCAATTTCAGTCTTGATAGTCTCTTAATACACTTAATTAATGATGCATTAAAAGTTATTTCTGGTCCGACCCGTGGCTCACTGCCTATAATCCTAGCACTCTGGGAGGCAAAGATGGGAGAACTGCTTGAGCCCAGGAGTTTGAGACCAGCCAGGGAAACATAGTGAGACCTCATCTCAATTTATTATTATTTTTAAAGCTTATTTCTGAAAACATATACACATACTTCTAAACTAGTCCCTAGACCATCATGTCTTGACAGAAATACTGTGGAAGGGGGTTAAGGAAAAGAACTCAGATGTACACTCAAGACACAGGATGGAGAGAAGGAAAAATGTCTTTTTGCTGGTTAACTAGCTCAAATGCTCCAAATCAAATATACATGCTAAATTTAAAAAAGAGAAAGAAAAGAAAAATCAGGTACTCTGAAATGTCTTTCATCCACATTCATTTTCCTTAGAACTACATCAAATCTTTAAAAAGTTTTATGAGATTCATAAATTGTAAACCAAGGACAGTGACTGGCCCTAGAAAGTGGAGGAGGCAAGAAGGGAATGGGGCTGGGGATGGACAAAGCAGGATAGTGCCTTATCTGCGACATTTAAAGATGAAAAATTTTTAAGAAGTAACATGTATATTTAAACTTAAGAATATATTTATGTACTAACTGAATAGGAAAAAAAAACCAATGAAGGCCTATTAAATAAATTATGGCACATTCCAATGGAATTTTTTTTTTTTATGGAGTTTCGCTCGTTGCCCAGGCTGGAGTTCAGTGGCGAGATCTCGGCTCACTGCAACCTCTGCCTCCGGGGTGCCAGCGATTCTCCTGCCTCCATTTCCCAAATGGCTGGGATTACAGGTGTGTACCACCACGCTTGGCTAATTTTGTATTTTTAGTAGAGACAGGGTTTCATCATGTTGGTCAGACTGGTCTCAAACTCCTGACCTCAAGTGATCCACCTGCCGTGGCCTCTCAAAGTGCTGGGATCACTCATGAGCCACCGCACCCAGCTCCCAATAGAATGTTAAAAAAATTTAGCCAAGCACAGTGGCTCATGCCTATATAATCCCAGCACTTGTGGGGGGCCAAGACGGGACGATCACATAAGTCAAGGAGTCCGAGACCAACATGGGCAATATAGTGAGATTCCCAACTCTATTAAAAACAAAAAAATTCAGGTACCAAGCGATATGTATCACATACTACCTTTATTAGAAAAGGAGAGTCCTGTGTTGAAATAGAAATATATAATTTCATATTCCCTTTACAAAATTCAAAAGATGTCTACAGAAACAGCAGGATACAGAAGAACCTACTAGAGATTAGGGTTACATAGAAGCAATGTAGTTTCTTCACTGTATATGCACACACTCACACTATGTGTATGCGCTATCATTTTTTTTTCCTCAAAGAGACAAGATTTTACAATGTTGCCCAGGTTGGTCTTGAACTGGACTCAAGCAATCCACCCCTCTCAGTCTCCCAAAATGCTGGGATTACAGGCATGTGCCACCCTGCCTGGCCTATACAAACTTTTTTTTTTTTTTTGAGATGGAGTCTTCCTCTATCTCCCAGGCTGGAGTGCAGTGGTGTGATCTCAGCTCACTGCAGCCTCCATCTCCTGGGTTCAAATAATCCTCCTGCCTCAGCCTCCCAAGTAGCTAGGATTACAGCCGTGTGCCACCACGCCCAGCTAATTTTTTTTATTTTTAGTAGAGACAGGGTTTCACCATGTTGGCCAGGCTGGTCTCAAACTCATGACCTCAAGTGATCTGCCAGTCTTGGCCTCCCAAAAGTGCTGAGATTACAGGCGTGAAACACCACGCCTGGCCTATAAATCTTAAAAGTAATTTGCTAGACGTACACCCAGTACTTTTAACTTCCTTGGTTCAAACTTACCCTACGACAATAGCTTTAAAACATGGTTTTAATGCATGGATGCAAAAATGAGGGCTCATTTTCTGTACATAAAACTTCATGTCTAAAATCAGGATCACATGTAAGTGTAAGCAGTCTAAAGTGTGGAAAATAATCGAACTCTACAACTGCTCTGTAATTCTGAGGTACAGGTTATGGTTTCATGAGATGCAGTGAAATCAGACTGAGACACAAGTGAATTCAGATTAGAGCTCAAAGAAGGGCTTGTTTGGGTGACTTGAGAGAGACTGCATTGTCTCCAAAAGTTACAGCAATAATAAAAACCAAGATCAATTCAAGAGCGCATAACATCTTACAGGATGGGGTGGGGGAAATGCGTAAGCTCTACCCCCCATTTTTCAGCAGTGGGATTAATTGCAGTGTGATGACTAAAGAAAGCCTATTATTTTCTGAAATGGTTCTAGTGTGAAGTTAGGGCTTCTCTGCAGTTGGCCTTGAAAACGCAAAGCAAGCAGAGGTCTGCGGTTGCAGCAGAATCTGAGCAAGACCCCAGCTTTTACATCCAAATTAACACATCTGAGTTGGTGTGGCCAATCTGCCCTTTTCCACCTGACAGGTGCAGAGAAAGTGGTCAAGGCCAGTGGCTGTGAAATGGCAAAGGGCCACTGGTTGGCCACCGAGTACATAAGGGGTGGGTCCCGGCCACCAACAGCCCTATGGGTGTCCAAGCAGCCACCAAGGTGATTCCAGCCCAGCTCCCAGGGGCAGGAGATCCCGTTTTTAAAAGCTCCTCATAAATGAGTTAGTTCCGCAAGAGGATTAAAATTTTAATTAAGACATGGTAAATCCCTAGTCCAGAAGTAAATGATGAAAGCACAGGATAGCCACACACACAAGAAATCTGTACTAGACTTCTAGAAATAGCCTAAACGATAAGGCTGCCTTCTTTTATTGTTCAAGACAGATGTACAACATTGGCATGCACATACATTTACTGCCATGTAAGAGTGATGTAATACCAAGTTTTATATGCCACCTTTTCGGAAGTTTTTAAGACATGGGGACTGATTTGGCCAAACACTTGAGCTAAGGCACTAATTTTTTTTTTTTTTTTTTTGAGACAGTCTCGTTCTGTCTCCCAGGCTGGAGTGCAATAGTGTGACCTCGGCTCACTGGAAACTCCTGGGTTAGAGCCTCCTGGGTTCAAGTGATTCTCCCACCTCAGCCTCCTGAGTAGCTGGGATTACAGGCACCTGCCATCATGCCCAGCTAATTTGTCTGTATTTTTGTAGAGATGGGGTTTCACCACGTTGGCCAGGCTGGTCTCGAACTCCTGACCTCAGGTGATCTGCGCACCTCGGCCTCCCAAAGTGCTGGGATTACAGGCGTGGGCCACCATGCCCAGGCTATGGCACTATTTTTGACACAAAATTATCTCAAATAAGACTGGGGACATGTTTGGCAAACACAAGTGACTATGTGCAATGTCAAACAGACAAGCCCTGGATGAAAAACGTCTATAGGAAATAAAGCAATTACCATCCCATAATACGCATATCCCACTCAGAAATAGAAGACAGTCTCCATTATTGGTGATTGCTAGGCCTTTTAACGCAATATGTATATGAAAAGGCAGAAAATATGTTTTTGAAACACCAAGTAGGCTCCCTGGCTAGTTCCAGGGCCTATATTCCCACCTGCTCTACTGGGCACTTAATGCCTATACCCAGCTTTCCTCCCCGTGAATTCCATTTGTGATGTCATAACACAGAACTGCTACCCCACCAGAGAACACCTCCCAATCGCTATGGAAGTTACGTAGACCACTTCAGCACGCGAATCTAACCCCTGAGATAACAGATCAGAATAAGCAAGATTCCAATTGGCTGGCTTTCATATTTTCTGCCACTTCACGAAGATTTATCAATCCTCCCCCAAAAAGCTGGCAGGGGGCGGGGGTCGCGAACACAATACAACCCTGGTGTGTTGAAACTAAGAGTCCATGTCCTGCCACCAGGTGGTGCCTTGTCCATGAAGACCCAGCTCGGCCTCTGAGCCACAGGTGTCTCCACTCAGCCCCCCAGATCCTTCCACTAGTAACAACCTAGTGATCAAAACTACAGCTGTTATTACGGCAGATACGCATGGGCCAACACCTGGTCTCTGGGTGGCTCACATGGCGCCCTACAGCCCATCTCACCCCGCCCCCATCAGTTCACCTTGAACTCCCTCTGGGTTCTGCATGGTCCTCTCTTGACCTCTCATCTCCTCTCCCCACAATGAACTCATTTAAATATATGACTTAAAATAGAGGCTACAGAGGTAAACTAGAAAGCAGTGATCTTTATATAAATTTTACTGATACAATGTCTAGATGTATAGCCCCAAATATACTTCAGAAGTTTGGCTGAGACATGTCAGTATTGGTTATCTCCATCCATCACCAGCATAAGGAGCTCAACCTGAAAACCTGACTCACCTTCCAGCCCAAGCCTGTGGTTCCCAGCCATCTCTGCATGGCTCTGCAGTGGCCTCTGCTGGGGGATGGGGGAGGTTCTCTCACCCACATCAGAGTGACTGCATAGAATCTCTAGGAGCTCTACCTCAGCATTCTTTTTTATTTTTTAAAGCATCCCACAGAAGCCTTGTCTTTAGGACCAGAAACATTCAAGCAACCTCAATTTAGATAAGGCAGTCCAGGAACAGAAGAGGATATTAATGGAAAAACTGGTGAAACTCTGAAAGAATCTGACTTTGGTTAACAACATACCAATGCCAGTTCCTTGGCTGTGACAAATCTGGTTTAAAACACTGTATCAAACACTGGTGATATAAATTGTTAACAACCCGAGAAAGTCGCTGGGGGGCACACAGGCGCTCTGTCATAATTTTGCAACTTTTCTGTACATCTAGAATTACTCCAAAATTAAAAGCTAATTTTAAAAAGGCAAAGTACAATGCCCTCTCAGCCTAACAAGCAGGAGGAATAATTGATGTAAGTGAAAAATTTCAGGGCACCTTACCACACATCAGTAATCCCAGGCACTTAGGACCCTGAGGCAGGAAGATCCCTTTAGCCTGGGCAACACAGTGAGACTCTGTCTTTTTTTAAAAAAAAAAGGATTAACACGAAACAACGTGTATAAGACAAGCAATCTGGGCCAGGCAGGGTGGCTCACGCCTGTAATCCCAACACTTTGGGAGGCTGAGGCGGGCGGATCACCTGAGGCCAGAAGTTTGAGACCAGCCTGGCCATGGCAAAACCCCATCTCTACTAAAAATACAAAAATTAGCCAGACGTGGTGGCGCATGCCTGTAATCCCAGCTACTCAGGAGGCTGAGGCAGGAGAATCACTTGAACCCAGGAGGCGGAGGTTGCAGTGAACTGAGATCACGCCATTGCACTCCAGCCTGGGTGACAGAGTAAAACTCTGTCTCAAAAAATAATAAGTTGGGTGTGGTGGTGCACACCTGTAATCCCAGCCACTTGGGAGGCTGAGGTGGGACGTAAAGGCTGCAGTGAGCAAGGGCTGCACCACTGCCATTCCAGCCTGGGCAACAAAGCAAGACCCTGTCTCTAAATAGGCTACAAAAAAAACAGAAAGGGAAAAATGTCAGCATTATGCACCTAAATAGAGCATGGCTTAAATTCTCAAGCAATTCAAGGCAGACAAAAAAGCAGTTTGGGAGATGAAACACAAAACACTTCCCACACAGAAGCCAGGAGACAACTGGACAAGAGAATTGCTCAGGAGACCTGTAGCCAGTCTGGGGAGCTTGCATCTATGTGGGAGCAAGAGGGGGAGAGAAAATACTGACCACGTGAGAAGGAACTACCATCTGCTTAAGTATTTCATGAATCAGTAACTCCAATGAGCCCCTATTATGTGCCAGGCCTTGTACAATTCTCAGGTAATCGTCACTGGCCCCAGGGTAAGGCAGGGCAGAATATCCTCCCTATGTCACCAGACCAGGGTCACAGCTGGACTGGCAAAGGCACTGCCACAAGAGGCCCTAGGCAGGAAGAATGGAAAAGTCCTGAGCAAACAGGCACGACACTCCGAGAAGGCTGAAGTTCTTTGACTACATATGCTTTTAAATATGGATATTCCCAAAATAACCTGGATTCCTGTAGGACTGCTACTACACTATACTATACTGACTTGATTAAACTTTTCTTGATTAAACTTTGAGATAACTGTAGATTCACACACAGTCTTAAGAAATAACACAGTCAAAAAAAAAAAAAGAAAGAAAGAAAGAAATAATACAGTCAAGTCTTCCACATCTGTGGATTCAACAAACCGCACATCAAAAACACTCAGGGGGCCGGGCACGGTGGCTTACACCTGTAATCCCAGCACTGTAGGAGGCCGAGGCAGGTGGATCACAAGGTCAGGAGATCGAGACCATCCTGGCTAACACGGTGAAACGCCGTCTCTACTGAAAATACAAAAACTTAGCTGGGCACGGTGGCAGGCACCTGTAGTCCCAGCTACTCCGGAGGCTGAGGCAGGAGAATGGCATGAACCTGGGAAGCAGAGTTGCAGTGAGCGGAGATCGCACCACTGCACTCCAGCTTGGGTAACACAGCAAGACTCCGTCTCAAAAAAAAAAAAATTGGGGGGACGGGGGAGTCTGTACCAAACATGTACAGATTTTTTTCTGTGTCATTATTCCCAAAACAATAGTCTACCAACTATTTACATAGCATTTACACTGTATTAGATATTATAAGCCACGTAGAGATAATTTAAACTATATAGGAAGATGTGTGAAGATTATATGCAAATACTACACTGTTTTGTATGAGGAAGACTTGAGCATCTGTGGATTTTGACACCCTGAGAGGGGTCCTGGAACCAATCCACCATTAATACCAAGGGACAGGGAGAGATCCCATACCCTTTTCCTAGTTTCCCCTTACAGCACCACTTTGCAAAACTACCCTGCCTGCAGTATCAACAGCCAGGGTCCTGATGTAACCCACCAACCCAATGAAGATTTCTCCACATTTACATGTACTTACGTGTATTTAGTTCTCTACAATTTTATTTACTGTGTAGATTTGTGTGTCCACTACCACCACAGTTAAGATCCTGAACAGTTCCAACACCACAAGGATCCCTCCAGTGGCCCTGTTACGACCACCCACCCCGGCGTGCGTGCTCCCCCATTATCCCCGGCAACCCTCATATGTTCTGCATCTCTGGGATCTTGTCACTTCACCAATGCTATATAAATGGACACAGTGTGGAATGAGTTGTTCCTTTCTCCTGTACTCTAGGATATCATGGCAGGGATGGACTGCCATTTGACCATTCACTTGCTGACATCTGGGTCCTTTCCAGATAGAGGAAATTCACAAATAAAGCTGCTATGAAAATATTGGACTGGTCCTGGTTTCTATTTATTTCTACTTTTGAGTTCTGAAAGAAGTAAACACAAGCAAGCAAATGTTAGCTAGCAACAATGCAGACATAGATAAGGAGAAATCAACTGGCCTTCCCTGAGTGCTAACATGAAGGAAACCATGAATGTTTCACCTCCAGGCATTCTCAATGTAATGTTCATATGTACATATCATGTACATTGCTCGTGCACTTTTTCTCATGAAGGAAAACACATATACTATTCACATTACGTGGGTAAGTTTAATAACTCCAAAACATTGTCATGATTTATCAACCACTCCCCTAAAGAAGACTGTTTCTGGCCGAGCGCAGTGGCTCACGCCTGTAATCACAGCACTTTGGGAGGCCAAGGAGGGCAGATCACGAGGTCAGGAGATTGAAACCATCCTGGCTAACACGGTGAAACCCCGACTCTACTAAAAATACAAAAATTAGCCAAGCATGGTGGCACATGCCTGTAATCCAAGCTACTTGGGAGGCTGAGGCACAAGAATTGCTTGAACCAGGGAGGCGAAGGTTGTAGTGAGCTGAGATCATGCCACTGAACTCCAGCATGGGTGACACAGCAAGACTCTGTCTCCAAAAAAAAAAGGCTGTTTCCATCCAGGTTTTTCCTGTATTTTTGTGACTCCAAATGATGCTCTCACAAACAGCTCTGTCCTGTGGCTCCCATCCTGCTGCCTATCTACGCATCCTATAGCCAGGTCACCTGTCTAGGCATCCTACAGCCAGGTCATATACACATCTGGCCTCTGCAAGTAGCTAACCATGCTTTGTCCAATGGCAAATGTCAACACTGTTATCCAAGAACCAGAACACCGCCAAATGCTCTGGTGAGCTCCAGCACAGGACCAGCCTCCAGCACAGTGCTCAGGAGAACTCTTCGGCTTCTTGAACACAACGAGAGGCAGAAGGTGTACTAGGAATGTCCAAGAAGCTGGGCGCCACCATCAAGGCTGTTGATCAGAGTGGGAGGGCAGGGGTTACCTTGGGACCAGGCAACCCAGGGCGGGAGGTGGGGCAGTTACAGCAATGGCCCCTGCATCAGAAAGGGAGAGGTGGGAGCCTGTAAGCTCCCGAGGCATCCACAGAAACAGGGACGATGGTGGCAGCCAAAAAAGACGGAGTTACCACACTCCCTAAGAAGCTCCTGACCGCCATCTTCTAGACATTTCCAGGGAGTGGGAAAGATCAGAGGCTGTGGAGTGAGATCAATCCCCTCTGCGAGGCCTCTCCTAGGTGAAGCTCAAGCTGGCTTCAGGTAGGGCCCTGGAATATTAGCCGGACATGGTGGCGCACACCTGTAATCCAAGCTACTTGGGAGGCTGAGGCAGGAGAATCACTTATATACAGTGTCCAGAACCTGGAATATATACAGTCTCCAGAACCTGGAGGTAATCAAGTGGGGGTGAAGGTCATAATAGGATACAATAAAGTCAGGAATAGCAGGACAGAATTCTCTCTCCTCCCACTCCAGGACCCTTCTTCTCGTCCAGCACTCAGGGACTCAAGGTTCACCTTCCAGCCACTGATTGGAAAGTGGTAGGTGCTGGCCAGGCCACACTGCCCATGTTTGCCAAGGAGCTGCTGCCCAATTCACATGGGGCCCATGCCCCATGCCCATGAGGACCCCCCGCCCCACCACCAAATTACTTCCCAGCCCTCACGCCCTCTGTGCCTGACTGGATACCTGAAACCTCTTGGAAGGAGCCAATTCCAGAACATGAACCTAAGTGGAAAAATTAACTATGCTCAAACATAACCCTGAAAGCACCTTTCTAAGCTGCTACCATTAGCTAGGATTTCATGCATCCCCTAAAGGGTGGACATACCCTACATATCCTGCAGTCTGCGGTTAACAACTTTTTAACAAAGAAAACATCTTATTCTGTAGCCTAATACGTTACTTTTCCAGACAGGAAGGACCTGAGGGGTAAAGGCACGTATCTCCAGCCGCATTTCAGCAGAGCCCACCCTCTTCTCGCAGGTCAACCGACATGTCCAGTAACTTGTCCTAAGCCAAAACACATTTCGGCTTTTTTGTCCACGCACGATAGCAACATCAGAGTGTAAATAAGTTAGTCTGCCAATTCGCTTAGTATCTTCCTTCTAGTACCTTGTAGCCTTGCTTGGTACCAGGAAAGACAAAGACCAGGCCGTGTTGGTGTGGTGAGGAGTGAGGGGACGGGCAGAGCCAGGATCAGCTGTGTTGGGTGGTGCGTGCTGTGAAGTCAGGCCTGCCTCTCCCCAGGTGTGAGACCACCGGCCAGCCACTGACCCTTCCAAGCCTCCGTCTCTGACAGATGGGCTGGGCCCAGGGTTCGGCAGGGAACTGGGTGGACACGCCTCCTGGTCTCCTGGTGCTCACTAGGAAGTGGGAGGCAAGTCCCTTGGTGATCATTGCAATAGAGGGCAAACGCACACAGTGACAGCCACAGGGCTGGTTCATGTCCCTTAGTCATGAAGGAGGAGACAACTGGCAAGCACAGAGTGGCAAATTCTGTGGCAAGCACAGAGTGCAAGAAGCCTGCCGGCCAGAGATGGAAAAGTGCAGTCCAGGTAGAGCAAACCGCAACAGGAACAGGAACAGGGCAGTGGGAAGGGGAAGGTGGGCAGGGCCAAAGCTATGGAGGGCCTTGAAGGCCACGATAAGCATTCTTAACTTCACTCTAAAATGTTCCCTCCCAGCAGGTGCTCCACCCAATGAACAGGAAGCCATCCATGTCCTTGGGAGGTACTGGGACACTCGGAGTGACTGGGATGCCCAGTGGAGAGTCTGTCGGACCTGAGACAGCCCCAGCATGGGAATCCTGGTACCAGCCCTTGCCAAATATCAAGCAGTGGGGTCTGTCCCACCCTTATCACATGCTAGGGGTCTCCTGACAAGCTCCTTTGCTGTTCTGCAGCACTGTGAGGGTCTGACCACCTGCACCTCACCCCAGCCTGTCAAAGTAGATCCCTGTGTACTCTAAAACGGGGGCCCTCCTAAGTAACTCTGAATCCCTCTGGTCTTATTAACAATATTTGGCTTACGGCTTATTTATTTTTGAGACAGGGTCTCGCTCTGTTGGGCAGGCTGGAGTGCAGTGGTGCCACCATGGCTCACTGCAGCCATGACCTCCCAGGCTCAAGCAATCCTCCCACCTCAAGCTCTTGAGCAGCTGGGACTACAGGCGCACACCACCACACTCAGCTAGTTTCTGTATTTTTTTGTAGAGACTGGGTCTCACTATGTTGTCCAGGCTGGTCTTGAACTCCTGGCCTCAAGCAATCTCCCAGCTCGGCCTCCAAAAGTGTTGGGGTTACAGACATGAGCCACCACATCCAGCCACTTTGTGATTTTATACCCTCCAGTTATTTGGCCATATGCACCCTCATTAGGCTGGCTGGAAAGCCATTTCCAGGGGACAGTCCTGTCCTACTAAGCTAGGTTGCCTTCAGTTCTGTACCTTTTCAGGCACTGCGGGCCCTGAGGTCAGCCGACCACCTGGCTTTAAGGCAGTGGAGCCTGAGTGTTCAAAGTGGACCCACTTTGACGCTTTGCTCTATATGCTGAAATAATCCTGATGTAAATTAGCTATATGAAAACCAAGCCCCAAAGAAGGCCACATATAATATGTGATCCTTAAATAAAACTATTTGTTTGGAGCTTTCAGTTTAGCTTCATTATGTAAAAATCATCTGTTCCCTAGAGATCATCCTAACTACCAAAAGTGCCTGTCCAAACACTGATGATTGGTTTTAATGCTGTGTTGTGCACTGAGAGGGGTTTAATATACAGCACAAGTAAAGAGCTTATAATTACGCCTGTACTGCTTCTACATGTATAGTCTGCTCCGCAAAAGAAACAGGATTATCTGCTCAACTGTGCAGCACAATGCAAGTAGAAGTTGCAGCACGCACGGCCGGAACCGAGCTGCACAGATGCAGTTAGGGCAAGGGATGCCCCTACCTGGATGGAGATCTGTGACACACAAGAGCCAAAGGATCAACACCGAGAATGCAGGGCCCCAATGCCATGAGAAACACAAACGACTAACCAACAGGCTCCACCTCCCTCGTTAACGTGGGATACCACTCTTCCTCTGCTGGATTAACGGTGAAAAGCAATGGAGATGCCCACCAGTACTGAAGGTCTAGCATATGGGTAGAGTCGAATGGCTGGCGGGAACACACTTTTCTAGAGTCAACTGTCCTTCCCAAAGGCAATATGTATTAAAATCAAAATGTTGAATGTCCTTTCACTCATTTTGAAATGTTACCACAAAAACCCATTCCCCAAGAAAATGAGCATTCACGCTGGGGGATAAACACAAACAGTGCTTCGTGCACTGATGCACAACTTTAAACATAAGTTTAATTTTTCACAGGAAAACATTTTGGTTTTTAAAATTTCATTTCTCTATTAAATTTATTGTATTGCTTATTCTACAATAATTGGGTTTTAAAGCAAAACTATAAGGTGCGGGGGAGGCAGTATACAGGAGTTCAAGACCAGCCTGGGCAAACATAGGGAGACCCCCGTCTCTGAAATTAAAAACAAACAAAAAAGGATGAACTGGGACAATATCCATAATACATCAAGTATATAATGGTAGTTCCCTCTGAGGAACAGAAACTCTCCTTCTTGCCTTTTTGCTTGCATGTTTGAATGTTTCCGGGAATATGCATTACTCTTAAAACAAAAGCAAAAATACGCAGAGCAACAGAGGTGCAAAAAAAAAAAAGCACAGCCAAAATACTGGCTGAGGCTTGACACCCCCTTGGCAGCTGAGAGAGGGGGTGCAACAGCTGCCCGCCTGGAGTCAGGAGGAGGCCAGAGTCCTGGAACAAAGGAATTGCCTGGGCTATTTGTGGCCTGGAAGGTCCATTTACACCTTGGCAACTAAGTAGCAGCTTCCTCTCTTAAATGTCTGTTTTTCCCTAAAAATTATTTGAAAAGACAAGCCAGTTTGGGGACTGGGGATGAGGTCAGAGGTAGAAAGGAGATTTTTATACATACTCTTGGTTGTGCTAATGTAAGTCCTTTAAAAATAGTCAAACATAACCAACTTCAAACAGGTTCCTTTATTTGAATAAAACCACAAAAGGGAACAACCTAGCACAGAAAGAAAACTATTTTTTTCTCTTTTGCACCATGTCACAGGCTGCCAGTCTACTCTAGGCCACTGGAGACACAGACCACCATTCAGGTTTTAATCCCCTTTAGAGGGGACCTACTCAGACTCTCATGGAACACCTGCAATTCAAGGGCTGTCAGATCTTTTGAAAAACTAGCGTCAAAGGTATTTTGAAAAGTTCCTGGCGGCTGGACACAGTGGCTCATGCCTGTGATCCCAGCACTTGGGAGGCTGAAGTGAGGGGCAGATCGAATGAGGTCAGGAGTTCGAGATCAGCCTGGCCAATATGGCGAAACCTCGCCTCTACTAAAAATACAAAAATTAGCTGGGTGGACCGGGCGCAGTGGCTCACGCCTGTAATCCCAGCACTTTGGGAGACCAAGGCAGATGAAAGACCTGAGGTCAGGAGTTCAAGACCAGCCTGACCAAGATGATGAAACCCCATCTGTACTAAATAAAAATACAGAAATTAGCTGGGTGTGGTGGCGGGCGCCTGTAATCTCAGCTACTCAGGAGGTGGAGGTTGTAGTGAGCCGAGATCCTGCCACTGCACTCCAGCCTGGGCAACAAGAGCGAAATTCCATCTTCAAAAAAAAAATAGCCAGGTGTGGTGGTGCACACCTGTAATCCCAGCTACTCGGGAGGCTGAGGCACAAGAATCGTTTGTACCTGGGAGGTGGAGGTTGCAGTGAGCCAAGACCATGCCACTGTACTCCAGCTTGGGCAACACAGCAAGATGCTGTCTCAAACAAACAAACAAAAAGTTCCTGGGAAGACTAGTTGTCCAGAGAGTAGCAAAGGAAATCTTGTTTTATTTGTTCATGGGTTAGTGGGGGCTTTGGGAACAGTTCAACCTATAAACCAACAGACACCTTGAACATTTCTGTGCACTAGTGATGTACTGTGAATGCTAGCCATTCATAAGAGGAAAATCACTGAGACTGGGGACATACCGTGCCCATGGAGTGGGAGACAGCACAGTAAAGATGTTCTCCCCAAATTAATCCATACATTTAAACACAGTCCAATTAAAAAGCAGGATTTTTCATAGCTAAGGACAAGCTGATTCTAATATTTATATGGAACAATAAAAGATTGAGTAGGTAAAACAATTTTGAATAACACAGATCCACTGGGTGTGGTGGCTCATACCCTATAATCCCAGCACTTTAGGAAGCCAAGGCAAGAAGACTGCTTGAGGCCAGGAGTCAGAAACCAGCCTGGGCAACATAGCGAGACCCCACTTCCAAAAAAAAAGTAAAAATTAAAAAAAACAACAGCACTGATTGAGAAATCACATTACCTGATTATGAAGCTTCCATAATCAAGACAGCACTGCTGGCAAAGGAACGGACAGGGGAGAATGGAAGAGTCCAGAAACAGATCCCATTTGATTTTTGACAAAGGTACAAAAGCAATTCAACGGACAAAGACAGTCTCTAACAAAAGTCATGGAACAAATGGACTCTACAGCCCCTCCCCCACAAGACTCTCAACCTAAACCTCACACCTTATACAAAAGGTAGCTCACAATGAAATGTAAAACCCCAAGACTGTAAGAAAACACAGGAAAACATCTGTCATGATGGGTAGGGCAAATATTTGGACATAATACCAAAAGCAAGGTTCAAAAAAACAAAACACAACAACAACAAAAAAATGGCAGGCGGCGGTGGCTTAAGCCGGTAATCCCAGCACTTTGAGAGGCTGAGGCAGGAGGATCACTTGTGGCCAGGAGTTCAAGACCAGCCTGGCCAATATGGTGAAACCGCATCTCTAAATAAAGAAAAAAACTGTTGATCAACTTTGCTCCAGAAAGACTTATGCTCCAGAAAGAAGCTGTTAAGTGAATACACACGAGCTACAGACCAGCAGAAAATATCTGCAAATCGCGTATCTTACAAAGACTCAAATCTCAAATATATAAACAACAGTTCACAAAACTCAACAGCTGGACAAAACTCAACTAAAAAGTCAGAATAGCTGAACTGACACTCTGAAGAGCATACAGGCATGGCAAAGGCACACCTCCAATAATCTGGTCACTGGCCTATACCCCAGCCCCACACACCAGCAGATGCAAAGGCGGCCTCCACACAGCCACTCACGCTCAACCACTCAGCCATCTGCCAGCACGCAGAAGGCTCCACCTACAGAGCAAACAGCAGCAGGCGTTTCCAACAACGCCAATGTCTGGGCATATAAACTCAACTTTTTAATATAACTGTATAATAAAATGTATCAACATTTAGCAGACCTGTAAAACTTGATGAATCCATATTTTCCAAACGGCCAATAAATGCAACTGGAAAAAATCCACTGAAAGTGCATGACGAACTTAAGGTAATGGGGCGGGGTGAATTAACCTTCATTAAGTTACCACTTGTTTTGCTTTGCTGTAGTTATCAGAGAATAGTCAATCATTCAAAAAGGCTACTAAAGCATTCCTCCTGTTTTTTTCAGTATATCTCTGTAAGATTGGTTTTTTCATATTTTAATTAAAATTACACTGCAGCTGACTGAATGCACAAGCAGGTATGAAGTCTTCTATTACAACAGACAATAAAGAAATTTACAAAAATGTAAAGCAATGCCATTCCTCTCAATACACTTTTGGAAAATAATTATTTTTTATACAACATTACTTGGAAAATAATTATTTTTTATACAACATTACCATGTGCTGGTTTATTGTTTTTCCACAGCACTCCCCCCCCCAACACACACACACACAGGGTCTCACTCTTATCACCCAGGCCGAAGTACAGTGGTGCCATCTCGGCTCACTGCAACCTCCACCTCCCAGGTTCAAGCAACTATCCCACATCAGCCTCCTGATTAGCTGGACTACAGACATGCACCACCACACCCAGCTAATTTTTGTATTTTTAGAAAAGACTGGGTTTCACCATGTTGCCCAGGCTCGTCTCGAACTTCCGGCCTCAAGTGATCCACCCGCTTCAGCCTCCCAAAATGCTGGGATTACAGGTGTGCGCTTATTTTTCAATCAATAAACATTTAAGGTTGGCCTTAATTTCTATATGGTAAATAACAGTAGCTATAACCCACCCACCAAAAGCTCTTTAAGGGGTGAAGTCTTTTAGGACTTCGACAGGATCCTGCCATCAAAAACTTAGCTATTCCAGATGTGGGACTGCCTGATGGGTTTGTGCCATGCTGCCTCAGCTAGGTGGGCATGCCATGCCCCTCCCTGCACAGCTCCCACTTTTGAGACCCTCAGTGTGCAATTCGGAAGGTGGGAGTAAAGCAGCTGCCACATGCCATTATGCCTGGGGATTTCTCTGTCTCCAGGGTCTTTAGGCTCCATTACTGCCCTGGAAGCTTGGACATGGTGACAGGCACTTTGGAGCGCAGCACTGCCTGGCTCCCCACTCCCACCCACCACCTCTCGAAGACTGCATGCCCTGCAGACGTCAGTCAGCTCCAGCACCAGACCCAGATGCTAATAGAGCTCCCACCACTGTGGCCTGTAAAATCCCACTAATAAATCCCTGCATCCCTTTCCCACAGTTCCGCTCCCCTGATGGAACCCTCAACTGACCTTGATTCCTCCCTCCCACCAGCCCAGGCTGGAGAATGAGTGGCACCATCTCAGCTCACTGCAGCCTCAACTTCCTGGGCTCAAGCAATCCTCCCACCTCAGCCTCCAGAGTAGCTGGAACTACAAGCACACGCCATCATGGCTGACTAATTTTTGGCATTTTTTTGTAGAGACGAGTTTTCACCATGTTGCCCAGGCTGATCTCAAACCCCTGGGCTCAAGCTATCCACCGGCCTCGGCCTCCCAAAGTGCTGGGATTACAGGTATCAGCTGCCACACCTGGCCCCCAGTTAACTCAACTTAGTAAGTGAAGCATATTCCTAACTGCAAAAAAAGTTCAAATCCCTTTAAAAATACTGACTAAAGCCTATTACAGATGACACAATCCTAAGAACCTGCACATCTCTTTGCTAAATCATGGTGAAGTTCCACACGATGGAATATTATTCTGCGAGAAAAGGGAACGACTACTGGCTACGATGTGGATGAACCTTGAGGATATTAAGCTAAGTAAAAGCAGCCAAAAACAAGCATGGACAACACAACGATAAAAGCAGCCAAAAACAAGCATGGAAAACACAGCGAAACCCCGTCTCTAGAAAAAAAATACAAAACTTAGCCAGGCGTGGTGGCGTGTGCCTGCAGTTCCAGCTACTCGGGAGGCTGATGGGAGAGGATGGCTTTGGCCCAGGAGCTTAAGGCTGCAATGAGCTATGATCAAACCACGGCACTCCAGCCTGGGTGACAAGATCTTGTCTCCCAAAGGGGAAAAAAAAAAGCTTACACAGTCTATGAAATGTCTAGAATAGGCAAATCCATAGATTAGTGGTGACTGCTAATGGGTACAGGATTTCCTTTTGTGGTGATGAAAATGTGCTCGAATTGAATGCTGATAGTCACACAATTGTGAATACTAAAAACCACTGAACCCACTTTAAATGGGTGAATTGTGGTATGTGAATTATCTCTCAATGAAGTTATTTTAAAAATCATGATTGTTACCGAATTTTATCAAAAAGCACAGATGCAAATCTAATCCTTTACAACTGTTACCAAACCAGGTAAAATTAAGGTTAACTGGCATTTAACATCGTGGCACGTTCCACTGGGATTGAAACTGAGACATAAAAATGCAATGCAATTGATTGTTGGGTACTATGTAGGGAAAAACTACTGTTCGAGGCATTGAAAATGCCTGGGGCACAGTCCCTGAACTTTACAACCTCAAAGTCTAGTGGAGAAGAAAAGCAAAGTAACACAACACAACATGGCAATTCCAATACAATGGACATACCCAGGACAGCCTGTGCTTCTATTTTCATCCACCCAGAAGCCTTGCCGCTGCCATCCTTACCTCCAAATCCCCGAGCTCAAGTCCTAAGCCTACTTTAAGGCCCACCACAACACCACCTCTTCACCATGCCTTCCTTCTCTCAGAGTGCAATCTTGTTCTTCAATTTCCAGGCCCCTATCTGCTCACCTCTGTGCATTCATCACCTTCTGCCCTCATTATTTGCTCATATGACCTATCTGAACCCATGCTGGCTTTCCTTACGCAGAGACACCTTATCACTTCATCTCTGCTTCCCCTCCAAGCCCCCAGGGCCTGAAGCAGTGATTACCAGCAAGTATGCCCTAAGCTGAGCTTGGGGAAGCTCCTTCTAAGAAGTTATTACATGAAAATGCTTGGCTTTCCATATTCTAAACCATACTGGTCAAGGAGGTCTAACGGTTGCTATCCCCTAGAATAGCAAAGGAAAACCCCCATTCACAGGCTCTGTCTAAACAGCAGTGCTGTCCCACCAACCATAGAAGCCAGGAGCTGCATGTGGCAACTGAGCGCTTGAAACATGGCTGTTGTGACAGAGGAATTGGTATTATTAATCTTATTCAATTTAATTTTATTTAAATAGCCACATGTACTTATTGAGCACATGAAATATGGCCATGGAGACCAAAAAACCAAATATTTATGTATTTAATTTAATCAACCACATGTGGCTAGTGGCTGCCACAGTGGACAGCGAAGGTCTAGAAATAATGTTATCACTCAGAGCCTTGGTATCTAGGCTTGCAGAGTAGAAGACACAACAGACATTTTCTGCTCTAAAAAAAAAGATGGGACCCAGTGCTCTCTGATAAACACTCAAGATTAAAACAGTATTTTAAGAAAAATAAAAGCCCTTTAATTTCATCAAAAAAGAATTACATTTTAAATAACAGCTTCTGATTTCCAAAGGAAATACTGATCATTAAGAGTAAATGCAGATGTGTGGTGCTAATTCTTCCTCTCCAGACCCCTTACCCCAAGGCAATTAACCCCAACTTGAGAACACTGAAGACTTTGATCACTTGGGCTGGGACAGAGCTTTCAGCAGCACATTTCCCACAGGACTGGGCGCTGACAGAGACAACAGTCTCAGTTACCAACCCAGCCCTGTCTGCCACGAACATGGCACTGCTAATTGTCCAAGATTCAGAAGCTGTATGTGCCTGGCTGCCCTGCATCCTGAAGCTCAACCAGTCACCCGCAGGGCCACATCCCACTGGCGAGGGACCCAAGGGTCACCTGGCTTACATGCATGTCTTCCCCAGGCACTGACCAGCGCACGACAGTGATCTGAGCGGGCACTATTTGTCACTTGTTTCTGCGCACACAGTCACTCCTGACCAAGTTCAATGGGGCCAGAACTTGGGCCTCCTGTCTTATTTTTCCCAAGAGAACCTCATGTACAATTGGTGACCAGTTAAGTAACCATTCAAGCTAAGATCTGTGCACAGACTGAAAAAACTGATCTGATGCAACGTCCCAAGAATTCACAGCTCTTGTGCATTGTGTGAGCAGCAGCGACACGCAGAAAACTAAGATAAAAAAGCCATGTTTATTTCTACTTTCTTCGATCAGTGACTTAACAGGCAAGGCTTAAAGTCAAACCAAGTAAGGATTTCTGTATTTAAAACTGTAGGCTTGCCACTGTTTGACTGCTACAGTCACTTTACAAACTAAATATTGTTTCCAAAGTTGCCTATGAAGATGTACATCATATATATATTTAATCTTTAAAATCTGGCCTCTTAAGTCACCTAATTTCCTTCAACCTCTGCTCAGATAAGGAATCCTGAGCCTCTGGTAGCCCTGACCCAGTTTTCCTTCCACCTTGTGAAAGCTGTCATCTTAAAGAAACTAGGTGATTTAGGCAACAGGAAGGACACCACCCCAACTGGCCAAGGCTCCACAGAGAACACAGCCCGGGGAGCAGGGGGCTCACCCACCTCGCCCTGAGCCAGCCGGATTCATGTGATGAGCTCTGCAGGCTTGGAGAGAGCCCCTGGATATCCTATTTGCTCATCTGTAAATGCAGAGGGCTTGTGGGCATGAGGATGACTGAGGACCTGAGCGCATGAGGCTATACTTAGGTCTAAAATGCTGTAATATCTAACTCTGTACATCTAGAGACCTGGGTATGCTGAGACGCTGTGCACCTGCACCCTGAGCCCTCGCAGACAAGACTCAGGCCTTTTCACATTTAAATCTCTCCATACACTCAGATACATACAGCCCAGCATGGTTTGCTTTAGGAATGATTCATTCAGCTCAGGATCTCATTAAAACTTGTTACTGAACACCTGATTCACAAAGGAAGCAATCTACCAACGTGCGTTATTTTGCTTCATCTCTTTTTATGCCACCAAATGCCACCTGCAGTGTATCAGTGGCCCTGGACTATTCAGGCAGTGGGCTACTTTCTATATTCAAAGCATGTGGGGAACCACACCACAACGTTCAGACTGGGAAGCCCAACTGCAGTTCACGACTTTTGGGTGGTGAGGTAGGAAAATGGATGAAAGCAGGAGGGTGTTTAAATAAAAAAGTAGACCCCCCCGTCTATACAAAAAAGAAAAAAAATGGCCAGGTGTGGTGTGCCTGTAGTCCCAGTCACTAGGGAGGCTGAGGTGGGAGGACTCCTGAGCCCCAGGAGTTTGAGGCTATAGTTAACGGTGATTGCGCCACTGAATTCCAGCCTGGGCACGAGGGAGAGCCTGTCTCCAAAAAAATATTAATTAAAATTCAGTAACCACTACTTTATGACCAATAGCACTTACTGGCTATGGTGAAGCCGGACCACATGTGTTCCAATCCCAGCTCTGCCACTTGCTCTGGGTGACCCAGGTAAGTTGACACACCTTGTTCTTTCACAGCTCTGAAGGTCAGAAGTCTGAAATGGGTCTCACCGGGCTAAAACCAAGGTGCCAGCAGGGCCACATTCCTTCTGGAGGTTCTAGGGGGAAATGTTTCCCTGCCGCTTCCGGGTCCTAGAGCCACCCCATTCCTGGGCTCCCCCTTGCACCTGTCTTCTCAGGTCCCCTCACTCTGGCACTGATGACTGTGAGTACACTAGGCCCACCTGGGGCATGCAGGCCCACCTCCTCACTAGGGATCCTGAATTCAATAAGGTCTGCAAAATCCCTTTGCCATGTAACGTAACATTTGCAGGTTTCAGCGATTAGGACATGGACACCTTTCCGGGGATGGGAGCATCATTCTGCAAACCACAGACCCTAAACCTCTAGTCACAGAGTCTGGCAGTTCCCAAACTCATCCTGCTATTCCACCCCTCCCGCCTGTGACCACACTCGCTTTTTTTTTTTTAAGACGGAGTCTCATTCTTGTTGTCGCCCAGGCTAGAGTGCACTGGCGCAATCTCGGCTCACTGCAACCTCCGCTTCCTGGGTTCAAGCGATTCTCCTGCCTCGGCCTCCCAAGTAGCTGGGATTACAGTCGCGTGTCACCATGCCAGGCTATTTTTTGTATTTTTAGTAGAGACGGGGTTTCACCATGTTGGTCAGGCTGGTCTTGAACCCCTGACCTCGTAATCTGTCGCCTTGGCCTCCCGAAATGCTGGGATTACAGGTGTGAGCCACTATGCCTGGCCTCACCACCTCTTTTCACACTCAGCTGTGTCGCCTTCTCTGTGAGGCCTCACCTGAGGCTCCCCCTCCCCGCGGTAAGCCAGTCCTGTCTCTCCTATGCCACAGCTGCTTTGCCGAAGCCCTCCCCTGCACACGTGTTCAGGGCTCCTTCACTTTCTGAGGCAGTCCCATCCGGGGTAGAGTTGAGACCATAACCCAGCAGCCAGACCCGTTCCTGCCAGTCAGCAGATGTTTGATGAATGAAAGCCTACACCAGCCTCTGTGGACACTACAGGACACCAAGGACACTCCTACTGCCACTAAGTAAAGTCTGAGGTACGATCCAAGGGGAAACCAAGACAGTAAGAAACGGGGGTTGGGGAGAAGACACGTGCCCCATGCGGTGCCACTGGAAGCAGAGGGAAGACACGTGCCCCATGCGGCGCCACCGGAAGCAGAGGGAAGACACGTGCCCCATGCGGCGCCACCGGAAGCAGAGGGAAGACACGTGCCCCGTGCGGCGCCACCGGAAGCAGAGGGAAGACACGTGCCCCGTGCGGCGCCACCGGAGGCAGAGGGAAGACACGTGCCCCGTGCGGCGCCACCGGAGGCAGAGGGAAGACACGTGCCCCCTGCGGCGCCACCGGAGGCAGAGGGAAGACACGTGCCCCCTGCGGCGCCACTGGAGGCAGAGGGAAGACACGTGCCCCCTGCGGCGCCACTGGAGGCAGAGGGAAGACACGTGCCCCCTGCGGCGCCACTGGAGGCAGAGGGAAGACACGTGCCCCATGCGGCGCCACTGGAGGCAGAGGGAAGACACGTGCCCCCTGCGGCGCCACTGGAGGCAGAGGGAAGACACGTGCCCCCTGCGGCGCCACTGGAGGCAGAGGGAAGACACGTGCCCCATGCGGCGCCACTGGAGGCAGAGGGAAGACACGTGCCCCCTGCGGCGCCACTGGAGGCAGAGGGAAGACACGTGCCCCATGCGGCGCCACTGGAGGCAGAGGGAAGACACGTGCCCCCTGCGGCGCCACTGGAGGCAGAGGGAAGACACGTGCCCCCTGCGGTGCCACTGGAGGCAGAGGGAAGACACGTGCCCCCTGCGGCGCCACTGGAGGCAGAGGGAAGACACGTGCCCCCTGCGGTGCCACTGGAAGCAGAGGCTTTGAACAGGTGCCCCTGGGAACCTAAAGGAAATGGAGATTGAGCCTTAGATACCTTTTTAAGAAATCTGACTCTGCTGCAACATCCAAACGTGTTCAGTGGGCTCGCTCATCTCTCTAAACAGAGCATGAGGTAGCTCGCGTGTTCTCAAACTCATCATATGAGGCGTGACTGCATTCGGGTCATGGGCAATGGGACCACAATACAGCTTGTGAGATTTTAGGATTACCCTGTTAACCGTAACTCAAAAAGTCAAATCCACAATCTATTTTTTGCAATGGAAGACAATTTAGCTGTAAGTTTATAGGATGTATTCTGGAAGCTTTCTACAGAGATGAAGACTTGCCAAAAACTTTACTAACTAAATACGAAGGTATGTATTCATTTGAGGTTTGCGTAGTTTAATAACAGCAATTGCAGGCCGGGCACGGTGGACTCACACCTGTAATCCCAGCACTTTGGGGGTCTGAGGTGGGTGGATCAGGAGATCGAGACCATCCATGGTAAAACCCCCCCTCTACTAAAGATACAAAAAAATTAGCCGGTGCGGTGAGGGGCGCCTGTAGTCCCAGCTACTCAGGAGGCTGAGGCGGGAGAATGGTGTGAACCCGGGAGGCAGAGGTTGCAGTGAGCCAAGATCGTGCCACTGCACTCCACCCTGACAACAGAGCGAGACTCCATCTCAAAAAATAAAAATAAAATAAAAAAACAGTAACAGCAATTGCTGTTTCACACAACATTCTGCTCAGCTACCACGAGATGAATGACAGTGGTGTGTGGACCAGTCACTATTAATCACCTATACCCACTTTCTATGAATCTGCAGTTTCTGCAATTCTTTTATTTCTTCCCACGTATGCTTGTTCTAAGAATAACCGCTGAAATGTAATTTTACATTTGTTGTATTTAATAAACTTGGGTTTCTCTTTCCGTATGGCTCGTTTTTTTACATATTAATCTGTTTGCATTTCATTTCTACATGATGGACAGTATTGGGGCCAGTGTCTCACCCCAGGCTAGAGTGCAGTGATGCAATCTTGGCTCACTGTGGCCTCGACCTCCAAGGTTCAAGTGATCCTCCCACCTCGGCCTCCCAAAGTGCTGGGATTACAGGCATAAGCCACCATGCCCAGGCTCACAAGCTTGTTTTAAAATAGCAATTGCATGGCCAGGCGCAGTGGCTCACACCTGTAATCCCAGCACTTTGGGAGGCCGAGTGAGGCAGCTCATGAGGTCAGGCCTGGCCAACATGGGGAAACCGTCTCTACTAAAATACAAAAAATTAGCCGGGCATGGCGGCGCGCCCCTGTAGTCCTGGCTACTTGGGAGGCTGAGGCAGGGGAATCGCTTGAACCTGGGAGGAGGAGGTTGCAGTGAGCCGAGATCACACCACTGCACTCCAGCCTGGCAACAGAGCACGATTCCATCTCAAAAAAAAAAAAAAAAAAAAAACATTGCACAGGGTCAATTAAGAGTCATGAAATATAATTTATTCCCCAAAGTCTTATTGATGAAATGTGCTTGCAACTTGAGGTCAATGGCTTACAGCTTTTTTAAGGGGCTGTGGAGTAGAAAGGTTTGCTCAGCCTACACATTCAGAGGAATGCCACATGGTGTCCCTTGGAAACACACCTCTCAACTTTTTCTGAAGTACTGTGAATGGGGTGGCAAGAGAGACAGCCAGATGTCAGATTACCACCCAGACACTTGCAGCCCCACCCTGGGATGGGACCATGTTCCGCAATACAAGTCACACTACCAAACTCACACAGCACACTTTCCAAACCAGATGCCAGTTTAACAACTTACTGTGAGAGCTGGAGGTTAGTACATAACACAGGACACTGTCCTCCCAATATCGGGATGTCAGGAAACCTTAGTTACTGGCATGTAATCAAAAAAGAGGGGCCTGGATTTTTTAATCTTCTATGGCAGGCAGGAAAATCACATGACCTGTCCTGGTTTCACAAGGGAGCCTCCTTCCTTCTAAATAGTTTTTAGATTCTCAATGACCCAAAGAGAATGATCACCACCTTGAGAATGGGCCACAGCGCTCGCTCCCAGGTTTCAAACATTCATGAAGTTAAAGCTCCTGGCAGATAACATGGGCTCTTTCCAAGGACACACGGGCATTTCTGCAACTATGAACAGCTGTGACCTCACAACAGTGTCTCCACCCGTCAAGGGGCATGCTAAGAACTGAATTTGGGCCAGGCGCAGTGGCCCACGCCTGTAATCCCAACACTTTGGGAGGCGGAGGCGGGCAGACTGCCTGAGCTCAGGAGGTCAAGACTATCCTGGGCAACATGGTGAAACGCCATCTCTACTAAAATATAAAAATTAGCCGGGCATGGTAGCGTGTGCCTGTAGTCCAGCTACTCGGGAGGCTGAGGCAGGAGTATGGCTTAAACCCAGGGGTCAGAGGTTGCAGTGAGCCGAGATCGTCCCACTGCACTCCAGCCTGGGTAACGAATTAAGACTTCGTATTAAAAAAACAAAAACAAAAAAAAAAAAACACTGAATTTGCTTTACACAGCCACAGGCACAGGATAGTAAGAGCCCAGCCCCCCCGCAGGCAGTGCCCCATTATCCACGAGGACTCCCAGCGCAGCCTCAGCCATGCCCAGCCCTTCTGGGCAGCACAACACAGACAAGTCGACGCTATCTCTCAGGGTGCCTTCTCCCAGACACCCCTCTGCCCATCCCATGCTGGGTTCTTGCCAGCCTCTGTCTCAGGAGTGTCATCACTGAATTCTGGAAGCATCCCTGCTCTGGCTCAGGTTGGTGTATTTCCCCATACAAGAAACGTACTAATTACTGTTTCCAACTTCCAAATAAAAAGTTAAAATTACCAACCCTCAGAAGTAGACCTGCTTCTCTTCAAAAATTTCAACACATCTGACTTCTCATTAGCTGAGGCATGTGTTAACTTACTAGAAAAATGGCATAACTGACTTTCTTGCCTACGCATGACACTTAAAACCCTGCTTCCTCCAACTTTCTTAAGTCCAAATTAGTTCAGAACAAGTAATTTCTAAAGTAGGTGACATTTAACATCTAACTCTGTCATGGTACATGGCAAGAAATATGTTGTTACAACTCTTGTTCTCCAGGATAAAACTTCTTTGCCTTGGAAATCAAGCAGGATATCCACGCTATTTGTTACTCATGCAAAAAACCATAAACGGGCTGGGTGAGGTGGCTCACACCTATAATCCCAGTGCTTTGAGAGGTTCAGGCAGGAGGATTGCTTGAGACCAGGAATTCCACACCAGCCTGAACATAGCAAGACCCCATCTCTACAAAACTTAAAATTCAAAAAAAAAAAAAAAATTAGCCAAATGTGGTCACCCTGACCCTGTGGTCCCAGCTACTTGGAAGGCTGAGGTGGGAGGATCACCTGAGCCCGGAAGTTTAAGGCTGCAGTGAGCTATGATCGCCCACTGCACTACAGCCAGAGCAACAGAGCAAGACCCTGTCTCTTAAATTAAAAAAAAAACAAAAAAAAATTAAAAACACAAAAACGATAACAAAAATAGACTTTACAAAATACCGAAAAGAAATTTTCAGTTATTTATGAAAGTCTATCAATGTCTTTGTCTGGAAAACGGGCTTTTACTTCCAAAAGGATCAAAAAAACACCATTACATTAACGTTAAAAGCAATAAAACTGAATGAGCACCTATCAAAGCAATACCGTTTTATGGCTTCAGCGTCTCTTTCTCAGAGCCACTTGCCAGCCAGCCATCTCCTGCATTACTGTTTATTCTCAGAGTACACTGAAAAAAGTGTTTCCTGAATGAGCATCTCCCACAAATAAATTTAACAAAAAAGGAAACTGAGATGGTCACCTTCAGAGCAAACAAGCCAACGGTGTAGAAGAGGCACCCCAATGCCCATCCCACCGGCACAGTAGCAGGTGGGGCAAAAAGTGCATGGGTCTTATGCAAGCCAACAGGGAGAGGCGACTAGAAAGGCTTAGGGGAAAGGTGGCCCCTGGGTGGGATTCTGAACCACTTTCCTGGGGTATCTGTCCTGTTTGTGCCCACACAAGTGCATGTGTGCTGGGAACCGGCAGCACCAAGGAGGCTGGGGCCATCCTAAGACTGCAGCTGTGCGACTTCCTGTAGAGAAGGCAGGACACCAAGTCCTTTTCAGCAAGGCAGTGACGGACAGAAGTCCTGTGGGCAGCAGCTTTCATAAAGTGTGGGGTCAGGCAGGCTGGAAGCAGGACCAAGAGGGAGGCTACCACCACAGTTCCAGCATGAGGCAGCAAGGGCCTGCTTTCAGGGGATGTCTGAGACAGCCAAACGGGCCTGGCAACAGGATGTGGGATAGAGACAGCAGAGTTCAAAGCCGACTCCCAACGTCTGGACACTCAGGGACCTGGTTTCCTGCCACTATCTAGTGTTCCACTTCCCCACACTCATCGCAGGGAGCTCTAGCACTCACGCAAGAATCATCAGAAGGCCACCAGGCTGACTACAGCATCAGTGGCGCATGGCACCAAATCCACTTGACTTTTATCATACAGTGAATCATTCTCAAAATATTACACTTTTAATATTAAAATCCCTATTCAAGCACATCAAGCCCAAGATTTCAAGAACAGCATTGCTTAGGCAGAGGCCGGATGGCTTCTTCCTAATCCACATCGGATATGGTTACTGTGGGCCCTTTCTGCATAGCACCCATCTTCGATGGCCCCACCTGTGGTGTGTGCCCCACTTTAGTTCTAACATAGTGTCACATTTTCTTGGCTGCAAAAGCCCTACCACCAAGGCAACACCATGTGCTGAACATCTCCTATGCTCCAAATTCCATGCCAGGCACTTTAGATGTGCCTGGCGATTCCAGTCTCACAACAACCTTGACGGGCATGAATGACCTCCTTTAAGGGATGGAGAAACTGAGGAACCAAGAGCTTAAGCAATGTGCATTAGGTCCCACAGCAATTAGATGGCAAAACCCAGATTCAAACCCAGGCATGGCTCTAAATCTAGACTGCCTTAGTCACCACAGTCTGTTATACCATGAATTTTTACTTAATGACCTCTTTCTCCTTTTCCAAAACACTAATTCAAAAAAAAAAAAAAGGATACCTTCTTCCTATATTTACTAGTATCGATCATTTCATTACAGAGAAAAAATTAATAATGAGGATATCAGCAGCCTGAAAGAATCAGGAGAG
Source organism: Homo sapiens (assembly GCF_000001405.40). NCBI lineage: Eukaryota > Metazoa > Chordata > Mammalia > Primates > Hominidae > Homo > Homo sapiens. Next base: position 8,959,466 of record NC_000016.10, read on the forward strand.
CTGGAGCCTGGGGAATCGCTTTGAATCATTAAAACCTGACGTGCTCACATCAGAGTGAGATGCTAGGTTTGGCCTAATTTCTCTCTACTGGGTTCTCTGAGCTGATGTTCATCTTGTAACTTTGCAAAGAATTATCTTAGCAACAGAAGCCAATGTAAGGAAAATCAACACTCTCGAATTATTTGACTTTTGTCTCGTTACAGTGCTATTTGAAAGAATCTTCTATTAGTTATAATCACAACAGCACAAGTTTATCTGGCTGGGTGTGTTCAAGAGAACTCACATTCTACTCCCAAACATGCTTCAGCAGAAAAGTAACTGCACAAGTTTGGAAGAAACCCACCACCACCCCCGTAACAAAAAACACAGAAGCCTAGATCAGAAGCTGCAGCTGACCCATTAATTTGCTCCTAATAGCAGCAGTCTAAGTGTCATAGAAAAGTCTAACATCTATCCCATTCGTCTCAGAGCCGACACTGAAACAGAGACTGCTCACTTGGGCAGAAGAACCACACCAGGGAAAAAAACAGTTTGTATGCAGAAGCAAGGCCTCCTGATAACTTCCTGTTGATTCAATAGCGTCTACACCGACCATCTGAGTATTCAGAGGGCAGAGACCCATGCAAGTCACTCCTTCAGCCCCTAGACTTCCATGGCCACCAAAGTTAGCGAATAAATAATACACTGCCAAGCAACCTTATTCCCAGCCAGACCTAATCATGCCACCACCTCCACAGCTCTATCTGCCTTCCAACTAGAAACATGCAACTGGCTGCTTCAGGCCTTACAGGGAGTGTGTGGTTGCAACCCCAGCAAACTGCATCAGGCCCCACCTCTTCCCTCTCCGCACTTCACCCTTCATCACTTTCCTAACTGCTCAGGGCATTTCAAAAAATAACTATTCCAGAGCACTGCTGTTTTCCAATGAATATACAAGGACTGTGCAGAGTTCACTCAAAAGCAAATGCAACCCCAAGAATGTGAGGCCGGAGAGCAAACTCACACTGACCTATTGATAGAGACAAAACAAACGAAACAGTCTCCCAGGCTCCTTCGAAACCACTCTGCCCAGGAGGTGCAGGCAGGATGCTCCAGGTTTACAAAGCCTTCCCTTCCTCAAGCTGTTCAGACCCTGACAGTTTCCAGCTGCTAGTTCGTTAGGAACCGAGGCAGACACTGAACAGGTGCCAAGTCTCTAGCTCTGACCAGGACCCCACTCACAGCCTGGTCCATGAAGCCAACCAGAGTCCACTAAATTCCAGCCTTCTGGCTTTTTAACAGAAGTGTTCTCTCACTCTTTCGGGTCCTAAGTCACATTCCAATCGTAAGGCTAGTACCACATTTCAGGATTGGGAAGGCTGAAATAGATGGCCTAAGACACAAGTAGCTTTTTAAACCACACACCAGTGGGTACTCACAGGGCACTATTATTTGTCCACAGCCTCATGTGCTCACTACAAGAAAAGGGACCTCCTGGATAATGAAATTGAAACAGAGGCCCAGTCAGAAGAAATGAGTTTCTTAAGTTTAAGGAATCAGCATTAGTAACTAAAACCTCTGCCATCCAATTTGAGATTCTGCTAAATTTACAGATTAACTGTCCTAGGGGTTACCTTTCTAATACAAACTGTAATATGAAAATAAAGCTTCATTTTATGAGAAAAGAAAGTAGCCTTGAAAACGTGCATGGAGACTGATGAATTTCTAAAAATTCAACACCCTCTAGTCTTTTAAAAGCAAACACCGGCCAGGCGCGATGGCTCACACCTGTAATCTCAGCAGTTTGGAAGGACGAGGCGGGCAGATCACCTGAGGTCGGGAGTTCGAGACCAGCCTGACCAACATGGAGAAACCCCGTCTCTAACAAAAATACAAAAGTAGCCAGGCGTGGTTGCACATGGCTGTAATCCCAGCTACTTGGGAGGCTGAGGCAGGAAAATCGCTTGAACCCGGGAGACGGAGGTTGTAGTGACCCGAGATCGCGCCACTGCACTCCAGCCTGGGCAACAAGAGCAAAAATCCGTCTCAAAAAAAAAAAAGGGGGGGGGGGGCAAATACCTTGAAATTTGTGGACCTGGTCATTTTCCCAAAGATACAGGTCTGTAACACACATGCTCTGCAGTAATGTCTGTTTATTAATTCTCACTAGTGTCCAAAAACACCTGGAAAGCGGTAGGACAATGTCATGGGAAATCCATATGCTCGTGTTATTGGATATTTGTCTTGACCGGGTACCATTTGAAAAGGAAACTGAAAAGCAACCCTCTTTTATGTTTTAGATGGGCTGCAAAATACAGCACAAAAGGAATACACAAAATTCCCTCAGTAAAGTACTTCTTTTCAGCTATTTGGTTTAATCACACATAACAGGCGCTCTTAGTTGCTGCTTTGCTGGGGCCAAGTGAAACAGATAACCCAGTCCTTGGCGTGGACTCCGCTCTTCTGTCCCCCATTACTGCCATTGATAAATACCACTGGGGAGTGCCTACTGCAGAATCCCAGCCACTTTGTCATTTGCAACCTGGCCAGCCATTTTTTCAGTGACTATCCAATTACTGGAAGTAAGTTATTCTATTCAGAGGTGAACACCAGTCACGCTTAAGTGTTCCCACCAACCGGTGTGCAGCGCCCCACACTTGGAGCCACCGCACAGGACAAATACTGCTTTTCCTGAGCTCCCCTGGAGCTTCATTCATTGAGGCAACCCAAGATCCCTTGCTAAAAGCAAAACTAAAGCATTCCACGCCGTTTTCATTCAGGTGGCCTCCATTTGACTCCCGACAGCCTGAACTCGTCACGTAGGTAAGAAAACTTTTTAAAGACCATTTGGACTTTGCTTTGTTTCAGTGAAATGGGTCGTGAGAAAAAGTGCCTTCCAACGACCAACTCCCTAAATCCAACACCCTTCTCTTTACAGCGTCTTCACATCCAACCTTTACAACCAAGACTCTATACCTCAAACTACAGTGCCTTGGAAAATTACTGCCACATCGGCAGAAAACCGAGTTACCTTTCGAGTCAGGTTTGATTCTGATGCAGGCAGCCATGTGCGGCAGGGCTTTCGCACGGTTGCAAGCGCACACCTGGCCGGATGCTGGCTGCACCACACACTGCCAAGTACAAACTCCCCGAAAAACAGGTGGATTCGGAAACCAACAGCGCCCGGGTCAGAACTCTGGGCCAGTCCAAAACCTGACAACATCTGCGTTCCTTGCAGGTATTTTCGAACGTAAGCCCGACGCTAGGCAGTGCTGTTAGAAAGTGATTTGGAAGAGCGCTTCCGAGCCACGGCGCGCCCTCCGGGGGAGCGCACCGGAGCAGGTGCGGGCGAGCCCCGCGCCCGGGGAGGTCAGGAATTCCCCAGCCACACCAGATCCAACCGGACGCCCCAGAACGGGGACGGTCCCCGGAGTCCGCCTCCCAACCTGGGTGAGAAAACACCTCCGTCCCTCCGCTGCCTGAGCGCTCGAATTTACAACTCAGGGCGCTTTGTGCCGCGGAGGCCCGGCGGACGCGAGGTCGGGACAATGCACGGGGCCGGGGTCCCGGCGGCCGCCCCTCGCCCGCGGACCCGGCATGACTTTGCAGCCTCGCAGGCCGGGGCCGGGAGGCCAGGCCGAGGCCCGGCGGCCGCCCGGGGCCTGGTTAAAGATGGCGAGCCCCTCGCGTGGCTCCCGCGGCTCCCCCGGCCACAATGAAAGGCGCCCCCCGGCCCCGCCGCGGCCGGCCCTCGGGCCTCACCTTCCATCTCCATGTCCTCGGGCTCGCTCAACTGCTGCTCGCCCGCTTTCTGCTGCTGCTGCTGCTGCTGGTGGTTCATGTCGGCCGCGGCCTGGGCCTCGCCTGCGGCCGGGGGCCGGGGCTGCGAGCCCGGCGGGCGGGCGGCGGCGAGCCGGGGCGGCGGCGGCGGCGGCGGCGGCGGGGCGGCCTCCTCCTCCTCCTCCCGCGCGTCGTCGGCGACGGCGGCCCCGGGGCGGCCCGCGGCGGGCGGCGGCGGCGGCAGGGAGACGCGCACGTACTTGCTCGCGATTCGCCCAATCTCGGCGCCGAGGCGGGCGGGCGGCCGGCGGGCCGGGCCGGGCGGCCTCGTCGCTCGCTGCGGCCGCCGCCGCCGCCGCCGCGGGGCCCGCCTCCCGCCGCCGGGGCCGGGGCCGGGGCTGCGGGGCCGCGGGCCGGCCGGGGGCGGAGGGCGGCCGGTCGGGGGCCGCGGAGTCAGCCCCGCCTCGGGCCGGGCGCGGCGGACGGGAGGCCTGGCCGGCCGCGGCGGGCCTGCGGGCCCTGGGGCCGGCGGGAGCGGCGGAGCGGGCGGGCGACGGGCCGGCCGCGTTCCGAGAGCCGCGGCCTCCGCCTCCTCGGCGTCGTCGTCGGGGCTCCGGCAGCGGACGCGGCGCCCGGCAGCTCGGCTCGGCTCGCTCTCAAAATGGCGGCGGCGTGAAATGTCACATCCGCATGGGGGGCCGCGGAGCGAGCGAGCGAGCGAGGAGAGCAAGCGGGCGGGCGCCGAGCCGGAGGGCGGAGCGGGAGCGCAGGGCGGAGCACGGGAGGCGGAGCAGGGAGCGACCCGCCTGCCGCCGCCGCCGAGGCCCGCCTGCCCCGCAGCGCCGCGCCCCGGCACCGCCTGCGCCGCAGCCCCGCGGCGGACCCTCGGCGCTCCCTGCCCCCGGGCCCTGGGGGCCGAGGCGGGCCGCCCGGTGACTTAGCCCTGCGGAGGTGAACCGGAATCCTTCCCATCCTGGGGAGCCGGACACCCCGAAAGACCCAGGAGCGGCAATGAGGAGGGGCCCAGAAGCCACCCGGCAGCCGGGGTTCAGGTCCCAGCCTAGCGCGCCGGGGCGAGCGCTGGAGGTTGCCCGGGGACTGCTCGGGATAGGGCCCGGAAGGGAGCTTGGGGTCAGCGCCTAGAAGTTCCTGTTATTGTCGTTACTTACCCTTGCCCGCTGACGTGCACTTTTTCACCCAGTATCTACCGTGGAAGAATTTATTTTCTCACTGTCAGCCTAATCTGGCAAAGTTTGGCTCCTCAAGAGCAACCCCAGGCGGGGCGCAGCTGCTCACACCTGTGATCCCAGCACTTTGGGAGGCCGAGGTGGGAGAATCACTTGAGGCCAAGAGTAAGAGACCACCCTCTCTACAAAGGTTTTGGGTTTTGTTTTTATATTTTTGAAATGTATTTTTAATTAGCCGGGTGTTGTGCCTCCTGCCTGTAGTGACAGCTACTTGGGAGGCTGAGGCTGGAGGTTCGCTTGGGAGGTTGACTGAGGCTGCAGTGATCAAAGATGGCGCCACTGCACTCCAGCCTGGGCAACAGAATGAGACCCTGTCTCAACTAATAGTGATAATAAAATAATAATATAAAAATAAAACAAGCCCACTACCCTTCACATTTGGTATTAATTTACTTCCTTCCTATCAACCCAGTCTGGGATCATTCACCCGGGGCCTCCCTATTCCAGGAGACATTTGGTGAATATATCTCCTGTCCTGTCTCATTCAGTCATTGACAGACTGATGATTAGGGTCTCAACTTTTCCAGTTAATCAAGGCAGTGTGGGTCAATAAAAATGGAGCAAACCGATATACATTTCTACACATCTCAGGGGAGAATAGAATTTCACCCTAACAAGGCCAGAAGATTGTGGTACCTGTCTTCTCTCCATCTCCCTATACCCGCTTTCCCTGCATTTTTCTCCCATTTATGTACTGTTCATCTCCCTTCCCCCCGAAAGAATGTTTTGCTCACTGTTGTATCACAAATGCCTGGGATACACAGCAAGTGCTCAATAAAAATTGGTTGGGCCAGGTCGGCGCGGTGGCTCACACCTGTAATCCCAGCACTTTGGGAGGCCAAGGCGGGCGGATCACTTGAGGTCGGGAGTTTGAGACCAGCCTGACCAACATGGAGAAACCCCGTCTCTACTTAAAGTACAAAATTAGCCGGGCGTGGTGGCGCATGCCTGTAATCCCAGCTACTCAGGAGGCCGAGGCAGGAGAATCACTTGAACCCGGGAGGTGGAGGGTGCGGTGCGGTGAGCTGACATCGCGCCATTGCACTCTAGCCTAGGCAACGAGCGAAACTCTATCTCAAAAAAAAAAAAAAAATTGGTTGGGCCAGGCACGGTGGCTCACGCCTGTAATCTCAGCACGTTGGGAGGCCGAGGTGGGCGGATCACCTGAGGTCAGGAATTCGAGACTAGCCTGGCCAACATGGTGAAACCTCATGTCTACTAAAAATACATACAAAAAACTTAGCCGGGCATGGTGGCATACGCTGGTAATCCTAGCTACTCAGGAGGCTGAGGCAGGAGAATTGCTTGAAGCCAGGAGGTGGAGGCTGCAGTCAGCTAATCACACCCCTGCACTCCAGCCTGGGCAATAGAGGGAGATTCCATCTAAAATAAATAAATACATAAATAAATATTGGTTGAATGGGCCAGGCACAGTGGCTTACACCCCTTATGCCAGCACTTTGGGAGATTGAGGCGGGAGGATCAATCACTTGAGCCCAGGAGTTGGAGACCAGCCTGGGCAACATAGGGAAACCCGATCTCAATCAGCCAATCAATTAATCAATCATTAGTCAACTGGTTGAATGAACATATGATTCAAGCGTGACTGGATCCCCCTCACCAGCATTTCGTACGCTTGAAGGTTTTTCACCAGTATATTTCCTGCCAGACCACAGAGGTGAGCAGGGGAGAGCCCAGTCACTTCAAAGGAATCCCTTGGGTCACCCCCAGAATCTGAAGAAGAGGTATTGTTATTCACACAGATTCTCACAAATGCTAATCAACAGCGCTCAGATGCAAAAGAGTCCTTCTCTCTAGTATTCTGGAAGCTTGGAGGAGGGAAGAAAGTGCCTTTCTGGCAGAGGAAGAGGTGGCAGAAAGTTATGTATATGGCTGTCAGTTCACATTGGCCAACCTTATCCTCATCACTGAGTTCAAAACCAATCTGGCCGGGCACGGTGATTCACGCCTGTAATCCCAGCACTTTGGGAGGCTGAGGCGGGCGGATCATGAGGTCAGGAGTTCGAGACTAGCATGACCAACATGGTGAAACCACGTCTCTACTAGAAATACAAAAATTAGCCGGGCATGGTAGCGCGCCTGTAATCCCAGCTACTCAGGAGGCTGAAGCATGAGAATCGCTTGAACCTGGGAGGTGGAGGTTGCAGTGAACCGAGATTGCACCACTGCACTCCAGCCTGGGCTATAGAACGAGACTCTGTGTCAAAAAAAAACAAAAAACAAAAAACAAAAAACACACAATATCTCTCTCTCTTTCTAGAAGCACCTTGAGGAAGAAATTGTCTTGTCTACAGCTCTATCCTCAGTACAGCACCAAGCTTACAGTGGATGCTCAGTGAAGATTTGCCGATTTGCCGAATGAATGCTTTCACCCCTGCAACTGTTTACTGCCTGCTAGGAGCTCAGAGCCTCTGGGATACAGGCTGGGAATGACAGTGCCTGCTCGCTTGGAAGGCCTCTCTTCTGGAGTCAATAAAACAGCACTTCTTTGCTTCTTCCTGGCTGGTCCACATCTTTCACTGAGGAGTGGATAGTGGAGGGAGAGTTCATTTCTAGGGCACCACAGCTATGAGAAAAGCAAGACCAGTGCCCTTGGAGGCCCACTAAAAAGGCCCCCACTGGATTATTCCAGCAGGCTCGGCTGGCCTGTTTTCTTCCTCCCCTGGTAGAATTGTGCCTGCATTGGCTATAAAGTCCATTTGCACACAGAAGGGGTGTGTGTGGAAGGACTCTGCAGAAGTGAATCCGCTGAGTAATGCCTGCTTCCTCAGAGGGTGAATGCCAAGATGCCTCCAAAGGACATGAAGGGCTCTGAAGGGGAAGATGACTGAGGGCACCATTTTTGATCACTGCCAATTAAAAAAAAAAAAATTCATGACCCCTACCGTGGTTCAGAAACCGGGGACTAAGGAGATGAAAAACCGGGGAGACAGGAACCGCTGGAGAAACTGACTTGTCATTAGCTAGAGCCAGTAAAGGGCAGGGAGGGCCCACCCTATCATTACTTGGATCAAAACATATTTTGCTGCTCCCAGGGCCATGGCATGACTTGGCATAAACAGAGGGTTGGTTTTTCTTCTTGAGAACCAAAATATTTATCTACCTTGAAGCTATGTTGGTCAGGGTCTAAAATTATTTAATAGAAGTGTCAGAGAAGAAAAGGGATTAACAGCTTTCCCCCTCTCCACGCCTTCATCTGCCCCCACCCCCCGCCCCACCGGGATAACTAAATTCCTAAATAATCCATACCTAGAAAGATGACCTAATCCCATACCACAAGGTTACTGATGAGGATTTGGGTTTAGAGAAGATAAGGGACTTAGCCAAGGTCAAGCAGTGTGGGAGAGTAAGGGGCTTTAGGATTCAGAAACCAGGTGGAACCTAGCTCCATACATGGTTCTGTAAACTTGAATTTGGGAAGCTTACTTAACCTTTTCTTTTCTCTTTTTTCTTTTCTTTTCTTTTTCCTTTTTTTTTTTTTTTTTTTGAGGTAGAGTCCAGCCCAGGCTGGAGTGCAATGGCACGATCTCAGCTAACTGCAACCTCCGCCTCCTGGGTTCAAGCGATTCTCTTGCCTCAGCCTCCTGAGTAGCTGGGATTACAGGTGCACACCACCACACCTGGCTAATATTTGCCTTTTTGGTAGAAACGGGGTTTCACCATGTTGGTCAGGCTGATCTCAAACTCCTGACCTCTGGTGAACCACCCACATCGGCTTCCCAAAGTGCTAGGATTACAGGCGTGAGCCACCACGCCCAGCCCAACCTTTTCTAATTCTGGATTCTTATCAGGGAAATGGGAAAACAGTCTACCTGAAACCATAAAATATCAAACGCTTCAAAATCCACAGGTTGGCCAGTGCATTCGCTCACGCCTGTAATCCTAGCACTTTGAGAGGCCGAGGTGGGCAGATTGCTTGAGCTCAGGAGTTTGACAACAGCCTGGGTAACATGATGAAAACCTGTCTCTACCAAAAAATACATGAAAATTGGCCGGGTGTGGCCAGGCACAGTGGCTCACGCCTGTAATCCCAGCACATTGGGAGGCCGATGTGGGTGGGTCACCTGAGGTCAGGAGGTCGAGACCAGCCTGGCCAACATGGTGAAACCCCGTCTCTACTAAAAATACAAAAATCAGCTGGGTGTGGTGGCGCACACCTGTAATTCCAGCTACTTGGGAGGCTGAGGCAGGAGAATCGCTTGAACCCAGGAGGCGGAGGTTGCAGTGAGCCGAAATGGCGCTACTGCTCTCCAGCCTGGGCGACAAGAGCGAAACTCCTTCTCGGGGGGAGAAAAAAAAAAAAGAAAATTAGATGGGTGTGGTGGCTTGCGCCTGTGGTCCCAGCTACTCAGGAGGCTGAGATGGAAGGATCGCTTGAACCAGGAATGGAAGTTGCAGTGAGCCAAGATCGCACTACTGCACTCCAGCCAGGGTAACAAAGTGAGACCCTGTCTCAAAAACAAACCAACAAACACACAAACAAAAAAACCAGGCATGGTGGTGCACGCCTTTAGTCCCAGCTACCTGGGTGGCTGAGGCAGGAGAATCGCTTGAACCTGCGAGGTGGAGGCTGCAGTGAGCTGAGACTGTGCCACTGCATTTCAGCCTGGGCGACAGAGAGAGACTTCACCTCAAAAAAAAAAAAAAAGAAAAAGAAATGAAAAGAAAAAAGAAAAAAAATCAGAGGTTGTGAGATCATTGTTCTAAGAACAGAATGAGGCTGGGCACAGTGGCTCACGCCTGTAATCCCAGCATTTTGGGAGACTGAGGCGGGCAGATCACCTGAGGTCAGGAGTTGGAGACCAGCTTGGCCAACATAGTGAAACCCCACCTCTACTGAAAATACAAAAATATTAGCCAAGTATGGTGGCAGGCACCTGTAATCCCAGCTACTTAGGAGGCTGAGGCAAGAGAATGGCTTGAACCCGGGAGATAGAGGTTGCAGTGAGGCAAGATCGTGCCACTGCACTCTAGCCTGGGCAACAGAGTGAGACCCCTTCTCAAAAAAAAAAAAAAAAGAAAAAGAACAGAATGAGACCCCAGCCTCCAATTCCTGACCCCCGCAATCCACCATCCTTTCACTCAAATCTGTTTTTGGGATGAGTGCCTATTATGAGATAGGGACCCTGTTGCCTCAGGCTAAATGAATAGCAAAAGTGACTGCCACAGAGTGGCTAAATAAAACGAAGTCATGTGACCAGCATTCTTCTGGGATTGGTTTTGGAAGAGAGACAGCCAAATGCAAATGAAAGCTTTATGCCAAAATGACTGCTCCCAGTTGGCCAGGTGTGTGTATAGTGGTTGGAGTCGTGTTCATTTTTTTTTTTTTTTTTGAGGTGGAATTTCACTCTTGTTGCCCAGGCTGGAGTACAACGGCACGATCTTGGCTCACCACAACCTCCGCCTCCCCGGGTTCAAGCGATTCTCCTGCCTCAGCCTCTGGAGTAGCTGGGATTACAGGCATGCCCCACCACGCCCAGCTAATTTAGTATTTTTAGTAGAGATGGGGTTTCTCCATGTTGGTCAGGCTGGTCTCGAACTCCCAACCTCAGGTGATCCGCCCGCCTCGGCCTCCCAAAGTGCTGGGATTACAGGCGTGAGCCACCACATCCATCCAAAATTTTTAAGAAAACAGTTCGACAAAGGTGCTTTGGTAGAGTGACTGGGTTGGCTCACATTTAGACGAAGTTGCAATGAGAGTCAGTGAGAACATGGACAGCCAGCATCAGTGTCATCTTTTTCTTTTCTTAATTTTTATTTTTAGGAAAATTAGTCAAATTGTTACTAACAAGATCTTGCTATGTTGCTGTTGCCCAGGCTGGTCTTGAACTCCTGGCCTTAAGTGCTCTTCCTACCTCAGCCTCCCAAAATGCTGGGATTATAGGCTGTGATTATACCACTCCTGGCTAGAAAATGGCATTTTAAATGGAAACTGTAAAGCTAAAATTTAAAACTACTTTTTTTTTTTCTTTTCTTTAGAGATAGAGTCTTGCTCTGTCACCCAGGCTGGAGTGCAGTGGCCAAATCTCGGCCCACTGCAACCTCCGTCTCCTGGGTTCAAGTGATTCTCCTGTCTCGGCTTCCCAAGTAGTTAGAACTACCGGTGTGCACCACCACACCCAGCTAATTTTTGTATTTTTTTAGTAGAGACGGGGTTTCATTGTATGTTGGCCAGGCTGGTCTCAAACTCCTGACCTTAGGTGATCCTCCTGCCTTGGCCTCCCAAAGTGCTGGGACTACAGGCACGAGCCACCATACCCAGCCTTAAAACTACATTTTTTTTTTTTTTTTTTTGAGACGGAGTCTCTTGCTCTGTCGCCCCGGCTGGAGAGTGGTGGTGCGATCCTGGGTCACTGCAACCTCCGCCTCCTGAGTTCAAGCGATTCTCCTGCCTCCCCGAGTAGCTGGGACTACAGGCGCATGCCACCACACCTGGCTAATTTTTTTTTTTTTTCGAGACAGAGTCTCACTTTGTCGTCCAGGCTGGAGTGCATTGGCGCGATCTCGGCTCACTGCAAGCTCTGCCTTCCGGGTTCACGCCTTTCTCCTGCCTCAGTCTCCCGAGTAGCTGGGACTACAGGCACCCGCCAGCATGCCTGGCTAATTTTTTGCATTTTTTTTTTTTTAGTAGAGACGGGGTTTCACCGTGTTAGCCAGGATGGTCTCGATCTCCTGACCTCGTGATCTGCCCACCTCAGCCTCCCAAAGTGCTGGGATTACAGGTATGAGCCACCATGCCTGGCCTCTAATTTTTTGTATTTTTAGTGGAGACAGGGTTTCACTGCATTAGCCAGGATGGTCTCATCCTGACTTCCTGATCCGCCGTCCTTGGCCTCCCAAAGTGCTGGGATTACAGGCGTGAGCCACTGTGCCCGGCCTAAAACTACATATTTTAAAGAGGGGTGGGACTCAGTTTAGCCCAGGAACTACCCCCAACCAACATTGCTTTTGGCACCAAAGGCTTCACCTACTTACCTGGCCATGGGATGAGGCAGGTGTCTGCCCAGAGGGGCACCATTAGCTTGCACAAGGGCACTGTAAAAGCTAGTGCCAGCCCTGCCTTTGAGAGGTGCTATTATTACTCCCATTTTACAGAACAGGACACTAAGGCAGCAAAAGGCTAATGGCCCCAAAACTGGTCCAGTAAGAAGCAACACCAAGATGTCAACTCTGAACACAACCCCAGTGTTCATCAACAAGTGAGTGGGTCAACAAGAGTGATCTATCAGCACAATGGAATATTATTCAGCCGTAAATAAGAATGAAGTACTGATTCATGCTACAGCATTGATGAACCTTGAAAATACCATGCTAAGTGAAAGAAAGTAGATAAAAGGAGAACTATTATATGATTAATTGATATGAAACGCCCATGAAAAGCAAATCCATAGAGACAGAAAACAGACTAGCAACTGCCTGCGGTTCACAGGAGGTGGGCAATGGGGAGTGGCTGCAGATGGGTATAGGATTTGGGGGGAGAAATGACAATGTCTTAAAATTGACTATGGTGATGGTTGTACAACTCTCTGAACATAGTAAAAACCATTGCATTGTACATTTAATACAGATAAATTGTGCAGTAGGTGAATTATATTTCAATAAAACTGTTATTGGCCTGGCACGGTGGGGGCTCACACCTGTAATCCCAACACTTTGGGAGGCTGAGGCGGGTGGATACCTGAGGTCAGGAGTTCAAGACCAGCTTGGCCAATGGTGTGAAACCCTGTCACTACTAAAAATACAAAAATTAGCCGGGTGTGCTGGCAGGAGCCTGTAGTCCCAGCTCCTGCTCAGGAGGCTGAGGCAGGAGAATTGCTTGAACCTGCAATGTGGAGGTGGCAGTGAGCCAAAATTGTACCACTGAACTCCAGCCTGGGCAACAGAGTGAGACTCTGTCTCAAAAAAAAAAAAAGCTGTTATTTTTAGTTTTTATTTTTAAGAGGTTTCAACTCCCTGCTGGAGTTCCTAATGAGTCCTATCATGTCTTTACCCAGGCTTATCAGTTTTTCAAAACCCACATCCAAAGAAAACCCTAACTTAATATTCTGCCACTGAATGTATACAAATAGCCATTGTTTTCCCTTATCCACTCTGTACCAGCCCCTTTTTTTTGAGACGGAGTCTCGCTCTGTTGCCCAGTTTGGAGTGCAGTGGCGGGAATTCAGATCTCAGCTCACTGCAACCTCTGCCTCCCAGGTTCAAACAGTTATCTGCCTCACCCTCCTGAGTAGCTGGGATTCCAGGTGCCTGCCACCACACCCGGCTAATTTTTGTATTTTTAGTAGAGATGGGGTTTCACCATCTTGGCCAGGCTGGTCTTGAACTCCTGATCTCGTGATCCTCCCGAAGTGCTGGGATTACAGGCATGAGCCACTGCGCCCGACATTAACTTTTACAAAGTGAAAGCCAGTTCCTCCAAAAGCTAAAGAGTTACCATAGGACCCAGGAATTCCACTCCTAGGCATATACCCAAGAGAACTGAAAACAGGGACTCAAACAAATACATGTACACACACATAGCAGTGTTATTCAGTCACCAAAAGGTGGAAACAACCCAAATGTCCATCAAAGAATGAATGGATGAATAAAATGTGATCTAACAGCTGAGCACTATGCTCAGCTGCCTGTAATCCCAGCTACTCCAGAGGCTGAGGTGGATTGCTCAAGGACAGGAGTTCAAGACCTGCCTGGGCAGCATAGCACAGACACGACCTCTAAAAGTAATAATAAAATATATCTTCCATAAAATAAAATACTATTCAGCCATAAAATGAAATAAACTAGATTCATACTACAACTTGGATGAATCTTGAAAACATTATGCTAAGAGAAAAAGCCAGACACAAAAGGTCACATATGCTTCCACTTATAAGAAATATTCAGGTTACGCAAATTATAAACAGAAAGTAGATTAGCTTTTGCCAGGAGCTGAAAAGAGTGGGGAAAAAGGGGAGTGACTGCTAATGGGTACGGTGTTTGTTTTTGAGACAGAGTCTCAATTTGTCGCCCAGGTTCAAGTGCAGTTATCAGGATCTCGGCTCACTGCAACCTCCCTCTCCTGGGTTCAAGTGATCCTCCCACCTCAGCATCCCTAGTAGCTGGGACTACAGGTGCAAACCACCATGTCCAGCCAATTTTTGTGTTTTTAGTAGAGACGGGATTTCACCATGTTGGCCAGGCTAGTCTTGAACTCCTGACCTCAAGTGATCCACCCTCCTTTGGCCTCCCAAAGTGCTGGGATTACAGGCACGAGCCACCACGTCCACCACCGGTATGGTGTTTCTTTTCGGCATGATGAAAGTGTTCTGAGGACACAGGGTGTCATGGCTTACGCCTGTAATCCCAGCATGGTGGGAGGCTGAGGTGCGAAGATCACTTGAGCCCAGGAGTTCAAGACCAGCTTGGGCAACATGGTGAAATCCCCATCTCTACTAAAAATACAAATAGTTAGCTTGGTGTGGTGGCACACGCCTGTAATCCTAGCTACTCAGGAGGCTCAGCTGGGAGCATCACTTGGGCCCAGGAGGTCAAGGCTGCAGTGATCCGAAGTTGTGCCACTGCATTCCAGCCTGGGCAACTGGAGTGAAAGAAACCCTGTCTCAGGAAAAAAAAAAAAAAGAAAAAATGTTCTGGGATTAGATGGTGGTGATGGTTGCACACTTTTGTGAATGCACTGAAAACCATTGAATTGTACATTGAGTATTGAAAATGTTCAGTGTGGGCCGGGTGCAGTGGCTCACATTGATAATGCCAGCAGACCTTTGTTGGGGAGATGTAATGATATTGCTAAATAGTCAATTCAGCAGCACTCAATGAGGTGATCTGTTCTAGTTTGGAAGAGATTACAAAGGTGATTTAAGGGATTTAAGGGTAATTATGATCCTACTTGATTTTGGCATTTGTTCCAATCTCGGAACCTCTGTTCTATGCAGGCGTCCTTTAGCCATTACTCCTGCTGCGCTAGATCACATCTCACCCTTTGCTCTCCACCCTGCCTCTAGCCTGTGTCCCAAATTCATCCTTCCACTTGTTGCTGAAAAGACCAACTCCTAGACAGGTACTGTGGCTTATGCCTATAATCCCAGCACTGTAGGATGCCAAGATGAGGGGGACTCTGCTAGGCAACACAGTGAAACCTCATCTCTGCAAAAAATAAACAAAATTAGCTGGGCATGGTGGTGCGCACCTATAGTCCTAGCTACTCGGGAGGCTGAGGTAGGAGGATTGCTTGAGCCCGGGAGGCTGAGGCTGCATGAGCCAAGATGGCACCACTGCACTCCAGCCTGGGTGACAGAGCGAGATCCTATCTCAAAAATCAAACAAACAAACAAATAAAAAAAAAACAACCAACTCCGTTTTTATCAATCCAATCCATTTCCAAGGAACACCAGGAAAGGCAAGAAGAGAAAACACAAGCTCAACTGCAACAGAAGAGGCCAAACACGGATTTGGAAATGTCATGCCTAAAACCCTCCAGAGGAAACACAAGCTATCGAAAGCACTGTACATTTTCTCTAAGGTGATCAACGGCGTTATCTATGTCCATGAAGTTTTCTTATAGCCAGCAATCAAGTTGGAAAATATAATTTTAAAAAACATACCTTGTTTTGTGCTGTGATCACTGCAGCTGAACTCAGCCAGTAGCCACAGGGACTGGTGGCTGGTACTTGGGTCTTCCTGGGGAAGGCACCTCAGGGCCTTGGGGAGGGGCTGAGATTTGCGCCTCTGGCTACGCTTGAAGCTTGGCTCACGCCTCGATTTCCGAATTGGTCTTAACGGCGGCATGGGGAATCTCCGGAAAGCAAGCTCTCTGGGGCCTTCCTGAGCTTTCTGAGCCCGTTCAGAGGAAAATAGGAAATAAGAGAAAGTGATGTGATCCCTGCCTTCTCCGCCTCCAGCTTCTTATAATTCAACTCCCACCTACCCACCCTTCCCCACCCGGCTCACTGAAGGCTGGATCTGGACTCCTTACCTCATTTGCATAGCTTAAAGGTTTACTTAAGGCGGTCCCAGAACAAAAGAACAGGCTAAAGTAATTTTGAAGACTCCACCTTTGTTTTTATTTTCTTTCCTTTTTCTTCTGTTTTAATTTTTTAATTTTTTTTTTTTTTTTGAGACAGAGTCTCACTCTGTCACCCAGGCTGGAGTGTGGTGGTGCGATCTCAGCTCACTGAAACCTCTGCCTTCTGGGTTAAAATGATTCTTCTGCCTCAGCCTCCCAAGTAGCAGGGATTACAGGCGCATACCACCACACCTGGCTAATTTTTTTTGTATCTTTAGTAGAGACGGGGTTTCACCAGGTTGGCCAGGCTGGTCTCAAACTCCTGACCTCAAGTGAGCCGCCTGCCTCGGCTTCCCAAAGTGCTGGGATTACAGGCGTGAGCCACCACGCCCAGCCCCGGACATTTCTTTTTTTCTTTTTTTTTTAATTTTACTTTAAGTTCTAGGGTACATGTTCACAACGTGCAGGTTTGTTACATATGTATACATGTGCCATGTTGGTGTGCTGCACCCGTTAACTTGTCATTTACATTAGGTATATCTCCTAATGCTATCCCTCCCCCCTCCCCCCACCCCCCAGCAGGCCCTGGTGTGTGATGTTCCCCACCCTGTATCCATGTGTTCTCATTGTTCAGTTCCCACCTATGAGTGACAACACACGGTGTTTGGTTTTCTGTCCTTGCAATAGTTTGCCCAGAATGATGGTTTCCAGCTTCATCCATGTCCCTATAAAGGACATGAACTCATCCTTTTTTATGGCTGCATAGTATCCCATGGTCTATATGTGCCACATTTCTGAATCCAGTCTATCATTGATCGACATTTGGGTTGGTTCCAAGTCTTTGCTATTGTGAATAGTGCTGCAATAAACATATGTGTGCGTGTGTCTTTATAGCAGCATGATTTATAATCCTTTGGCTATATGCCCAGTAATGGGATAGCTGGATCAAATGGCATTTCTAGTTCTAGATCCTTGAGGAATCACCACACTGTCTTCCACAATGGTTGAACTAGTTTACAGTCCCACCAACAGTGTAAAAGCGTTCCTATTTCTCCACATCCTCTCCAGCACCTGTTGTTTCCTGACTTTTAATGATTGCCATTCTAACTGGTGTGAGATGGTATCTCATTGTGGTTTTGATTTGCATTTCTCTGATGGCCAGTGATGATGAGCATTTTTTCACGTGTCTTTTGGCTGCATAAATGTCTTCTTTTGAGAAGTGTCTGTTCATATCCTTCACCCACTTTTGATGGGGTTGTTTGACTTTTTCTTGTAAATTTGTTTAAGTTCTTTGTAGATTCTGGATATTAGCCCTTTGTCAGATAGGTAGATTGTAAAAATTTTCTCCCATTCTGTAGGTTGCCTGTTCACTCCAATAGTAGTTTGTTTTGCTGTGCAAAAGCTCTTTAGTTTAATTAGATCCCATTTGTCAATTTTGGCTTTTGTTGCCATTGCTTTTGGTGTTTTAGTCATGAAGTCCTTGCCCATGCCTATGGCCTGAGTGGTATTGCCTAGGTTTTCTTCTAGAGTTTTTATGGTTTTAGGTCTAACGTTTAAGTCTTTAATCCATCTTGAATTGATTTTTGTATAAGGTATAAGGAAGAGATCCAGTTTCAGCTTTTACATATGGCTAGCCAATTTTCCCAGCACCATTTATTAACTAGGGAATCCTTTCCCCATTTCTTGCTTCTGTCAGGTTTGTCAAAGAGCAGATGGTTGTAGATGTGTGGTATTATTTCCGAGGGCTCTATTCCATTCCATTGGTCTATATCTCTGTTTTGGTACCAGTACCATGCTGTTTTGGTTACTGTAGCCTTGTAGTGTAGTTTGAAGTCAGGTAACATGATGCCTCCACCTTTGTTCTTTTGGCTTAGGATTGTCTTGGCAATGCACAGCCCTAGAAATTTCTATGAGAAACTACTGCACTTCTTTCTTTCTTCTCTCTTTCTTTCTTTTTCTTCTTTCCTTCTTTCCTCCCTCCATTTCTTCCTTCATTTTCTTTTCATTTGTTTCTTTATTGTCTTTCTCTGTCTCCTAGGCTGAGTGCAGTGGTGCAATCATAGCTCACTGCAGCCTCGACCTCCTGGGCTCAAGCGATCCTCCCACCTCAGCCTCCTGAGTAGGTGCGACTATAGGTGTGTGCCACTACGCTTTTTGTTTTTAAGTTTTTTGTAGAGATGGGGTGGCCATGTTGCCCAGGCTGGCCTTGAACTCCTAGCCTCAAGAGATCTTCCTGCCTTGGCCTTCCAAAGTGCTGGGATTACAAGTGTGAACCACCAGGACCAGTGCCTGCACCTTTTTCTAAGTACACTACAAAAATGTCTCATGTAAAGACTTTCATTCTCTCCTTCACTTGGGAGGCTGGGGTGGGAAGATCACTTGAGCGCAGGAAGTCTAAGCTGCGGTGAGCTGTGATCACACCACCACACTCTAGGCTGGGTGACAGAGTGAGACTTGTCTCAATAAAAAATATAAAAACAGGCCGGGTGCAGTTGCTCACGCCTGTAATCCCAGCACTTTGGGAGGCCGAGGCGGGTGGGTCACTTGAGGTCAGGAGTTTGAGACCAGCCTGGCCAACATGGTGAAACCCCCCCTCTCCTAAAAATATGAAAATTAGTTGGGCATGGTGGCACATGCCTGTAGTCCCAGCCACTCAGGGAGAATCGCTTGAACCTGGGAGGCAGAGGTTGCAGTAAGCCGATACTGCACCACTGCACTCCAGCCTGGGCCACAAGAATGAGACTCCGTCTCAAAACAATAAATAAATAAATAAATAAATAAATAAATAAATAAATAAAAACAGGACCTGGTGTGGTGGCTCAAGCCTATAATCCCAGCACGTTGGGAAGCTGAGGTGGGAGAATCGCTGGAGCAAAGGAGGTCAAGACTAGCTTGGGCAACATAGCAAGACCGCCTTTCTACAAAAATTAACGAAAAAATAAAAATAAAGCCAGGCATGATGTCTCATGCCTGCAATCTTAGCACTTTGGGCTGAGAGGCAGGAGTATTGCTTGAGCCCAGAAGTTCAAGACCAGCCTGGACAACATAGTGAAACCCCATCTCTACAAAAAAAAGGGAAAAAAAAAAAGAAAAAAATTAGCTGGGGATGGTGGTACGTACCTGTAGTTTCAGCTACTTGGGAGGCTGAGGTGCGAGGATCACTTGAGCCCAGGAGGTTGACGCTGCAATGGGCCGTGATCACACCACTGCACTCCAACCTGGGCGGCAGAGCAAGAACCTGTCTCAAACATAAAATAAGGCTGGGAGTGGTGACCCACGCCTGTAATCCCAGCACTTTGGGAGGCTGAGGCGGGTGGATCACCTGAGATCAAGAGTTTGAGACCAGCCTGGCCAACATTGTGAAACCCCGTCTCTACTAAAAATACAAAAATTAGCCAGGCACGGTGGTGGGCACCTATAATCCCAGCTACTCAGGAGCCAGAGGCAGGAGCATCACTTGAACCCAGGAGGCAAAGGTTGCAGTGAGCCAAGATTGTGCCATTGCACTCCAGCCTGGGCAACAGAGCAAGACTCCATCTCAAATAAATAAATAAATAAATAAAATAAAAATAAAGTAAAAATAACAAAACACTGTCACTCTCCAAATATCTGCTAGGACAATTCGATGAATAATACATACATACATAGATAAATTTAGCAATGGTCCAAATAAGCGTCTGCCATGTAAATGCTGTGCATTTCATTGTATGCATTGTTTTCCAGAAGATGTAGCCCTTCACAGGTCCCAGTGTTTGCTTCTGCCAGGTGCCTTGGGAGGCTATGCAGACAGGTCCACTTTGGATAGTATCCTTATCATCTTCACCACGTTATCTCATTGTTTACATTACAGAACAGGGTCTCTGCGTGGTTAACAGAAACATAATTTAACATAGCACAATTGCAGGCCATATTATATATTGTTGTTGCTTATTTATTTATACTACATCTTTAGAAGTAGTTCCCAAGTTGCTTAGTTGATACATTACTCCCGCTCATGAGTTTATTAATATGAAATAATCTGGTAACATTATTATTATTATTATTATTATTATTATTATTATTATTTGGAGACAGAGTCTCAGTCTGTCACCCAGGCTGGAGTGCAGTGGCACAAGGTCAGCTCACTGCAACCTCCGCCTCCTGGGTTCAAGTGATTCTTCTGCCTCAACCTCCCAAGTAGCTGGTACTACAGGTGCATGCCACTACTATGCCTGGCTAGTTTTTGTATTTTTAGTAGAGACGGGGTTTCGCCATATTGGCCAGGCTGGTCTCCAACTCCTGACCTTGGGTAATCCACCCACGTTGGTGTCCCAAAGTGCTGGGATTACAGGCGTGAGCCACCACCCCCCTGCCCCCGCCAACCCGGCCTCTAGTTTTGTTTTTAGAATACAAAGAATAAGTTCTAGAGATCTGCTGGATACCATTGTGTCTACAGTTAATACACAATACAGTGTTGTACACTGGAAATCTTGTGAAGACTGCAGATCTCGTATTAATTAAGTGTTCTTGCCACAAAAACCATAAAAAACAAAAGACAGCAAGGGGACCCAGCAAATATTTTGGGAATCATGGATGTGTCTATTACCTTCATTATAGTGATGGTATCGTGGGTATATGCATATGTCCAAGCTTGTTAAAATGCACAGAGTTGGCAGGGCGTGGTGGCTCATGTCTGTAATCCCAACACTTTGGGAGGCGGAGGCAGGCGGATCATGAGGTTAAGAGATCAAGACCATCCTGGTCAAGATGGTAAAACCCCGTCTCTACTAAAAATACAAAAATTAGCCGGGCGTGGTGGCACATGCCTGTAATCCCAGCTACTTGGGAGGCTGAGGCAGGAGGATCACTTGAGCCTGGGAGGTGGAGGTTGCAGTGAGCCGAGATCATGCCACTGCACTCCAGCCTGGCGACAGAGCGGGACACCCTTTCAAAAAAAAAAAAAAGGCACAAAGTCCACCCTTGCATCTGCAGGAGACTGGTTCCACTGATTCCACAATTCGAGGATGCTGAAGTCCATTATCAAATGGCAGAGTAGGCCAATTGTGGGCTCATGCCTATAATCCCAGCACTTTGGGAAACTGAGGCAGGAGGATCCCTTGAGCCCAGGAGGTTAAGGCTGAACCGAGCTGTGATGGTGTCACTACACTCCCGCCTGCGAGAAAGAGCAAGACCCTGTCTCCGAAAAACAAAAACCCACAAAAAATAAATAAGTATACCTCAATAAAGGTACAGAAAACAAGTGATGAAAAAATAAAATAGTGCTTTTCACATTATATATGTGTATATATGTATATATATGTATATACATATATGTGTGTGTGTGTGTATATATATATGTGTATATATATACATATATATTTTTTTTGAAACGGAGTTTCACTCTTGTTGCCCAGGCTGGAGTGCAATGGCGCAACCTCAGCTCACCGCAACCTCCGCCTCCCAGGTTTAAGTGATTCTCCTGCCTCAGCCTCCCGAGTAGCTGTGATTATAGGCATGCGCCAGCACGCCTGGCTAATTTTGTATTTTTTTAGAGATGGGGTTTCTCCATATTGTTCAGACTGGTCTCGAACTCCCGACCTCAGGTGATCTGCCTGCTTCAGCCTCCCAAAGTGCTGGGATTACAGGCCAGCATGCCCAGCCTTCACATTATATTAAAGGGAATTTTTAGGCTGGGCATGGTGGCTTACACCTGTAATCCCAGCACTTTGGGAGGCCAAGGCAGGCAGATCACATGAGATCAGGAGTTCAAGACAAGCCTGGCCAACATGGTGAAACTCCGTCTCAACTAAAAATACAAAAATTAGCAAGGCGTGGTGGTACACACCTGTAATCCCAGCTACTTGGGAGGCTGAGACAGGAGAATCGCTTGAACCCATGAGCTGGAGGTTGCAGGGAGCCGAGATTGTGCCACTGCACTCCAGCCTGGGCAACAGAATGAGACTTCATTTCAAAATAAATAAATCCTCCCCCTCCCCCTTCCCCTCCCCCTCCCTCTCCCTCTCCCCTTTCCACGGTCTCCCTCTGATGCTGAGCCGAAGCTGGACTGTACTGCTGCCATCTCGGCTCACTGCAACCTCCCTGCCTGATTCTCCTGCCTCAGCCTGCCGAGTGCCTGCGATTGCAGGCGCACGCCGCCACGCCTGACTGGTTTTCGTATTTTTTTGGTGGAGACGGGTTTTCGCTGTGTTGGCCGGGCCGGTCTCCAGCTCCTAACTGCCAGTGATCTTCCAGCCTAGGCCTCCCGAGGTGCCAGGATTGCAGACGGAGTCTCGTTCACTCAGTGCTCAGTGTTGCCCAGGCTGGAGTGCAGTGACGTGATCTCGGCTCGCTACAACCTCCACCTCCCAGCCGCCTGCCTTGGCCTCCCAAAGTGCCGAGATTGCAGCCTCTGCCCGGCCGCCACCCCGTCTGGGAAGTGAGAAGCGTCTCTGCCCGGCCGCCCATCGTCTGGGATGTGAGGAGCCCCTCTGCCCGGCTGCCCAGTCTGGGAAGTGAGGAGCGCCTTTTCCCAGCCGCCATCCCGTCTAGGAAGTGAGCAGCGTCTCTGCCCGGCCGCCTATCGTCTGAGATGTGGGGAGCGCCTCTGCCCCGCCGCCCCGTCTGGGATGTGAGGAGCCCCTCTGCCCGGCCACGACCGCGTCTGGGAGGTGAGGAGCGTCTCTGCCCGGCCGCCCCGTCTGAGAAGTGAGGAGCCCCTCCGCCCGGCCGCCACGCCGTCTGGGAGGTGTACCCAACAGCTCATTGAGAAAGGGCCATGATGACGATGGTGGTTTTGTCGAATAGAAAAGGGGGAAATGTGGGGAAAAGATAGAGAAATCAGATTGTTGCTATGTCTGTGTAGAAAGAAGTGGACATAGGAGACTCCATTTTGTTCTGTACTAAGAAAAGTTCTTCTGCCTTGGGATACTGTTAATCTATAAGCTTACCCCCAACCCCGTGCTCTCTGAAACATGTGCTGTGTCCACTCAGGGTTAAATGGATTAAGGGCAGTGCAAGATGTGCTTTGTTAAACAGATGCTTGAAGGCAGCATGCTCGTTAAGAGTCATCACCACTCCCTAATCTCAAGTACCCAGGGACACAAACACTGCGGAAGGCCGCAGGGTCCTCTGCCTAGGAAAACCAGAGACCTTTGTTCACTTGTTTATCTGACCTTCCCTCCACTATTGTCCTATGACCCTGCCAAATCCCCCTCTGCGAGAAACACCCAAGAATGATCAATTAAAAAAAAATAAAAAAAATAAATAAATAAATAAATAATAAATGAATAAATAAAAATTAAAAAAGAAGGGGGGAGTTTTAAAATACCCATTGAACCAACTATCATGCACTTCATGTCACTTTTAGCTTTTTACAGCAGCTTCTATAAACGTGCATGACATCTGGTAGGGGGTCAAAAGCTGTGAACAGCAGGAAGAAAGGAAGGAAGGAGGGAAGGGGATGAGGACAATATGGATATAATTTAGCAGTAAAAGAAAAGACTGAAATCGTTCCATTCATTAATTCAATCTCCCAACAGGCATTTACTGAGCACGTACTATGTGCCTGGCATCGTACTAGGCAGTGGGAACACAGGTGTGAACAAAATAAGTGTAGCAACCACCTCAGCAACTATGAGAGCTGCCAGAAGTGGTATGGTTTGGCCGGGCGCCGTGGCTCACACCTGTAATCCCAGCAATTTGGGAGGCCAAAGCCAGTGGATCACTTGAGGTCAGGTGTTTGAGACCAGCCTGGCCAACGTGGTGAAACCCTGTCTCTACTAAAAATACAAAAATTAGCTGGGCATGGTGATGCATGCCTGTTATCCCAGTTACTTGGGAGACTGAGGCAGGCAAATCGCTTGAACCTGGGAGGTGGAGGTTGCAATAAGCTGAGATCGTGCCATTGCACTCCAGCCTGGGTGACAGGGCGAGACTGTCTCAAAAAAAAAAAAAAAAAGTGGCATGATTTTAAAGGGTTCATTCAAGTCTGTTATACTCATTTCTCCCTAAATCAAATGACTTTCAGATGTGTCCGTGATGCCACCAGCAGGGGATAATTCATCTTTGAGTGTCCCTTTCACCTTACGTTCTGGTGGGAAAGTGAGACAAGAAATGAACACATCTGTGAGCGGCAGGAGGCAGAGGGAGGAGAGAGTGGTGGAGAGCACTCTTCCCAGGACGGGGCCTAAGACAACCTTGTAGGAGGTGACTGGGACCAAGAGTCAGACAGCCCTGGGCTTCGCTGACAGCCAGCACCGCTGCTTCTCGGGCTGAGGCCCCCCCTCTGGGTCTGTCTCAGTGTTTGAATTCGTAACAATGGAGGTACTGATGGTCCCCCGTGGAGTTACTCTGAAGATGGAATGAGGCAATGAAATGAAACAGAGGCCCCCAGGTGTGCGCCGTTCTTATCCTGAGTGTGCGGGCGGCAAGCCCTGTTTCTAGGACGTCTGCCCTCATTCTGATGCTGTGCCTGGGACTGAGGAGCAGGTCCATTCACCTCCATACAGAATGCTCAAAACAATAGGCCGGGCGCGGTGGCTCACGCCTGTAATCCCAGCACTTTGGGAGGCCGAGGTGGGCGGATCACGAGGTCAGGAGTTCGAGACCAGCCTGAGCAGCATGGTGAAACCTCGTCTCTACTTAAAACACAAAAATTAGCCGGGCATGGTGGCGGGTGCCTGTAATCCCAGCTTTTTGGGAGGCTGAGGTGGGAGAATCGCTTGAACCCAGGGAGCAGAGGTTGCAGTGAGCTGAGATTGCACCACTGCACTCCAGCCTGGGCAACAGAGTGAGACTCCATCTCAAATAATAATAATAATAATAATAATAATAATAATAATGCAAAATAAATCGAGCCTTGAGGCTAGACAAAGATGGTGGGGAAGAACCACACGGGCAGAAGTTCCAAGGCTTCAGGTGTCCCACTTGCAGGGACGTGACTGGCTGTTTCTGGACTAGTGAGAAGACTGGGATGGGCTCTCCCTGGGTCGACTTGATCAGACTTGGGTTTTCAGAAGACCTTGGAATTCCAGCACTTTGGGAGGCCGAGGTGGAAGGATTGCTTGAGCCCAGGAGTTTGGCTTGAGCTCAGGAATTTGGGACCAGCCTGGGCCACACAATGAGACCCCCATCTCTAAAAAAATAATTAAATAAAAAAAGACCCTGGACTCCTGAGTGGAGATTAGATTTAGCTTCTCATCTCCTTCGGCTCCAATGCCCCAACACCCAGGTTGATCTTAAGCCATCTTTCCTCTGAGAAGGAAACACTGGTTCATCTCCCATGATGAGATGACCTTTAGAAGTCCTTCTAGGGGTGCTCCCGACCATTTCTGGACCATGTCCTATTTTATTTATTTACTTTTTTGAGACAGAGTTTTGCTCTTGTTGCTCAAGCTACTGGAGTGCAATGGCGCGATCTCGGCTCACCACAACCTCCGCTTCCCGGGTTCAAGCGATTCTCCTGCCTCAGCTTCCCGAGTAGCTGGGATTACATGCATGCGACATCACGCCCAGCTAATTTTGTATTTCTAGTAGACATGGGGTTGGCCAGGCTGGTCTTGAACTCCTGACCTCAGGTGATCCTCCCGCCTCAGCCTCCCAAAGTGCTGGGATTACAGATGTAAGCCACCGCGCCCAGTCATTTTTTTTTTTTTTTTTTTGAGAGGGAGTCTCGCTCTGTCGCCCAGGCTGGAGTGCAGTGGTGCGGTCTCGGCTCACTGCAAGCTCCGCCTCCCGGGTTCACGCCATTCTCCTGCCTCAGCCTCCCAAGTAGCTGGGACTACAGGCGGCCGCCACCATGCCCGGCTAATTTTTTGTATTTTTGTTTGTTTGTTTTTGTTTTGTTTTTGAGACGGAGTCTCTCTCTGTTGCCCAGGCTGGAGTGCAGTGGTGCGATCTCGGCTCACTGCTAGCTCTGCCTCCCGGGTTCATGCCATTCTCCTGCCTCAGCCTCCCAAGTAGCTGGGACTACAGGCGCCCACCACCACGCCCGGCTAATTTTTTGTATTTTTAGTAGAGACGGGGTTTCACCATGTTAGCCAGGATGGTCTCGATCTCCTGACCTCGTGATCCACCCGCCTCAGCCTCCCAAAGTGCTGGGATTACAGGCGTGAGCCACCGCACCCGGCCAATTTTTTGTATTTTTAGTAGAGATGGGGTTTCACTGTGTTAGCCAGGATGGTCTCGATCTCCTGACCTCGTGATTCGCACACCTCAGCCTCCCAAAGTGCTGGGATTACAGGCGTGAGCCACCGCACCCGGCCATTTTTTTTTTTTTTTTTTTGAGACAGAGTTTTGTTACCCAGGCTGGATTTCAGTGGTGGGATCTTGGCTCACTGCAACCTCCGCCTCCTGGTTTCTTTGCAGCCCTGTGTCCAAGCACCGTTGCCTCCCCTGCATCCCATTTCTGTCTGGGATGGTTGTGCAGGGGGCAATGGTGCTTGGACACAGGGCTGCAAAGAAATGAACAAAAATTCAGGCAACGTAGTGAGACTCTGTCTCCTGCGGTTGATACCTGTTCTACCTCCCATGGCTACTCTTGCTCCCTTCCCATTTGCAGGGGCTGTTAGGACTCCACTGAACAGTTCAGTGCCTTTTTATTGAGTGCCTATGAGATGCCAGGCCCTGTCCTGGGTATTGTGGGCACTGTGGAGCGAGATGTCTTTGACCCTAAAGAGCTTTTATTCCAGTTCAGGGAGAGAGACTAGGCGAGACATGAAATATACAGGGTCACAGGAGTCTCAGTGGACTGGGGTCAGGGAGAAAGCAGAGGAGAGCGAGGAGCCAGGAGAGCCCTGGCTTCGGGAGGTCAGGGTGGTGTCCAGGCAGGGAGGGGCGTGGGGAGGGTGTGGCAGGAGGAGTCTCATCAGGAGTGGGTGACTGCTGGGACTTCTCATTGCTGCTGATGGGATGCCAAGCCTGGGGCCAGGGAGAGGCGGTTGATCTTTCCTGGGGGTGGTGAATTAGATTGTGTTATTCTCTGGCTCCCTGGGTTCTTTGTTCTTCTTCCTCCTTCTTCTTCTTTTCTTTCTTTCTTTTTTTTTTATTGAGACAGAGTCTTGCTCTGTCCCCCAGGCTGGAGTGCAGTGGTGCGATCTCAGCTCACTGCAACCTCCACCCTCTGGGTTCAAGCGATTCTCCTGCCTCATCTTCCCCAGTAGCTGGGATTACAGTCACCCACCACCACACCCAGCTAATTTTTTATATTTTCAGTAGAGATGGGGTTTCACCATGTTGGCCAGGCTGGTCTTGATATTCCTGACCTCAAGTGATCTGCTGGCTTTGGCTGGGATTACAGGCGTGAGCCACTACACCCAGCCTGGCTTCTAACCCTCAAGGGTCCCCATTACTCTTGGGACAGAGGTGAAGCTTTCCAGGGGGTAGTCTGGCCTCTGCACTTCTCTGCATCCTCGGCTACTTCCACCTCTCCCAGCCCCTCCTCACCAGCCACATAGGCCACAGGGCCTTTGCAAAAGTGGCTCCCTCTGCCCAGAAAATTCTTTGCTTCCTACTTCCCTTCATGCACTCCCGGACTAGTTCAACTCCTCATCAGCATCTCCCTTGGGCACCTTCCTCCTCAGTACTTGTTCCTGTTGTCAATACACGTTTATTTGGGCAAGTGTTTAATAATCGACTCTCTTGTCGTCTGCAGAACCCTCAGCATCTCATACAGGGCCTGCCACTTAGTAGGGAGGCAACTTGGTTTTTTTATGTTTTTGAGACAGGGTCTTGCTCTGTTGCCCAGGCTGGAGAGCAGTGGTGCAACCACAGCTCACTGCAGCCTTGACCTCCCAGGCTCATGCAGTCCTCCCACCTGAGCCTCCCAACTAGCTGGGACTACAGGCATGCACCAGCATGCCCGACTAACTTTTGTATTTTTTGGTAGAGACGGGGTTTTGCCATGTTGCTCAGGCTGGTCTCAAACTCCTGGACTCACGCAATCTGCCTGCCTTGGCTTCCCAAAGTGCTGGGATTACAGGCTTGAGCCACTGTGCCCAGTCAAGGTTTGTTCAATGAGAGAACAAAAGGATAAATGCACAAAGGTCTCTGCATTCACGACACGGTTAGGCACACTGGGATAAAGTCCAGGCTTAGCCACTCCCAGGGCCCAGCCTGGGTGAGGCATGTGGTCTCTTTGAACTTCACTGTTTGTCTTTTGTAACACGGAGTGATCACAGTAGCTCCTGCTTTATTGGTTTTTTGTTTTTTGTTTTTGAGAGAGAGAGTTTTGCTCTTGTCATACACGCTGAAGTGCAATGATTCGATCTCAGCTTACTGCAACTTCCACCTCCCGGGGTTCAAGCAATTCTCCTGCCTCAGCCTCCTGAATAGCTGGGATTACAGGCGTGCACCACCATACCCAGCTAATTTTTGTATTTTTAGTAGAGACGGGGTTTCACCATGTTGGCCAGGCTGGTCTTGAAGTCCTGACCTCTAGTGATCCGCCCCTCTTGGCCTCCCAAAGTGCTGGGATTACAGGTGTGAGCCACCGTGCCCGATTGCCTACTGAATTTTTAAAATTGTGTTAAAATATATGTAACAAAAAATTTACCATTTTCACCATTTTCTTTTCTTTGTTTTTTAGAGACAGGATCTCGTTGTGTCACCCATGCTGAACTGCAGTGGTGGGATCATGGCTTACTGCAACCTTGAACTCCTGGGCTCAAGCAGTCCTTCTACCTCAGCCTCCTGGGTAGCTGGGACCACAGGCCCGTGCCCAGCTTCATTTTCACCATTTTCAGGTGTGCAATTCGGTGACATTATAGGCCTAAAGTTTTCAGCCCAGGCTTAGGGATGGGAGAAACGCTTTGAAAACAGTGCTAATTGTTATTGTTATTATTATTATTATTTTTATTTTGAGACAGAGTCTCGCTCTGTCTCCCAGGCTGGAGTGCAGTGGCACAATCTCGGCTCACTGCAAGCTCCACCTCCCGGGTTCATGCCATTCTCCTGCCTCAGCCTCCCGAGTAGCTGGGACTACAGGCGCCCACCACTGCACCGGCTAATTTTTTTGTATTTTTAGTAGAGGCCGGATTTCACCGTGTTTGCCAGGATGGTCTCGATCTCCTGACCTCATGATCCACCCGCCTCGGCCTCCCAAAGTGCTGGGATTACAGGCGTGAACCACCGCACCCGGCCAAAAACAGTGCTAATTATTATTAGTAGTGTGACAATGATGCCAATAAACACTTATTTCACACTTGCCCACGCAAGCAGTGAGTGCCCTGGGCTCCTGGACAATTGTAAATTCATTCAGTCCTCATCCCAATTCAATGAGGCACAGGTTATGTGATCCCCATTTTACAGATGAAGTAACTAGGATAACAGAGGGGTTCAGTAACCTGCCTAATATCACACAGCAGAGCTGGGGATTCAGCCCGGCTCCAGAGTCCACGTTCTTTTTTTTTTTTTTTTCTTGGAGACAGTCTCGCTCTTTTGTCCAGGCTGGAGTGCAGTGGTGCAATCATAGCTCACTGCAGCCTTGACCCTCCTGGGCTCAAGTGATGCTCCCACCTCAGTCTCCTGAGAAGCTGGGGCTGCAGGCGTGCACAGCCATGCCTGCCTAATTTTCATTTTATTGTTTTGTTGAGACGAGGTCTCACATTGTTGCCCAGACTAGTGTTAAAGTCCTGGGCTCAAGCCAGATTCCTCCCGCCTTTTTTTTTTTTTTGGATGCAAGGTCTCACTATGTTGCCCCAGGCTGGTCTTGAACTCCTGGGCTCAAGCAATTCTCCCACCTCGGCCTTCCAAAGTGCTGGGATTACAGGCGTGTGCCACCGCGCCCAGCCCAAAGTCCACACTCTTAACCTCCATGCAGTGCCAACCTCAGACAAAACCAGAGCAGTTGGTGTTTTCCCAGAAGCAGGACAGGGTTAGAAATTAAAGTTTCCCAAGGAATAACTGGGGGCTGGGGGCAGGGGGTGGTTTACTCAACCCGGGTGCCACCTGTAGGTGGCACAAACCTGCTGCTTGCAGTGAAACAGGGCGGATTCCCAGAAGGCATCCTCCTGGCCCCTCGGCCCCTTCTCTTTCATGTATGGCCTCTTCTAGCCTGGCTGTCGCTTGTTGGGCGGGAAGCAGGTCATGAGCTTCCGAGTGGCTTTTTCCCCAGGAGTTGTGACCAGCTGTGACCTGTGACCGGCTCTGCTGCCCTCACGGAAACCACAAAACACTCTTTCAGTCCTGACATGGGCAGGATGGGAGCTGATTCAGGCCCAGCACTCAGCTTCCTCTCAGTCCGTCTGCCGTCAGAGGGAAAAGAACCGCCAGTGGAAAGGAAGAGGCTCCATCCCTCTGGCTGCCACACCCAGATGCTCAGGACATCCCAAGCAGAGACCTGGTGGGCACAGTGGCTCACACCTGTAATCCCAGTACTTTGGGAGGCTGAGGTGGAAGGATCACTTGAGCTCAGGAGTTCCAGACCAGGCCGGACGCGGTGGCACATCCCTGTAATCCCAGCACTTTGGGAGGTCAAAGCGGACAGATCACCTGAGGTGAGGAGTTTGAGACCAGCTTCACCAACATGGTGAAACCCCGTGTCTACTAAAAAAAATACAAAAATTTGCTGGGCATGGAGATGCATACCTGTAATCCCAGCTACTTAGGAGGCTAAGGCAGGAGAATCACTTGAATCTGGGAGGTGGAGGTTGCAATGAGCCGAGATCACGCCATTGCACTCCAGCTTCGGTGACAAGAGGAAAACTCCGTCTCAAAAAAAAAAAAAAAGAATTCCAGACCAGCCTAGGCAACATAGTGAGACCTCGTCTCTACTAAAATTAAAATCTATCTATCTAACTGTCTGTCTGTCTGTCTGTCTGTCTATCTATATATCTCAGCGTGGTAGCACACACTGATAGCCCCAGCTACTTGGGGTGCTGAGGTGAGAGGATCACTTGAGCCCGGGAGGTCGGGACTGCAGTGAGCCATGATTGTGCCACTGCGCTCCAGCCTGGGGGACAGAGCAAGACCCTGTCTCAAAAACAAACAAAACCCAAACATAGACAGTCATTTCCGTTTTCCTGCTGAGATTCTTTACAAAGAGAGAATTATTTTTATATTTAGTAAGAATAAGAATCCAAGAATCCCTGGGGAGTTTTTAAAATGCAGATTCCTCGGTCCTCCTACCTCTGCGGTATTCACCAGCTCCCCTCCCAGCCTCAGAAGGGTGGTTCTTATGGGCTGGGCACAGTGGCTTCCGCCTGTAATCCCAGCATTGGGAGGCCAGGGGAGGCCAAGGCAGGCAGATCGCCTGAGCTCACAAAAAAACTACAAAAATTAACGGAGTGTGGTGGCACATGCTTGTAGTCCTGGCTAACTGGGGAGCTGAGGAACGAGGATCACTTGGAGCCCAGGAGGTCGAGGCTGCTGTGAGCCAAGATCACGACGCTGCACTCCAGCCTGGACGACAAAGTGAGACCCACTCTCAAAAAAAATAAAGATGAAAAATAAAGGTGATTCTTGGACTACCCTTTGAGAAACCCTAGGAATGCAATATGGTATTTTATTACTATTATTATTATTTTTAGACGCAGTCTCGCTCTGTTGCCCAGGCAGGAGTGCAGTGGTGTGATCTCGGCTCACTGCAACCTTCTCCTCTGGGGTTCAAGCGATTCTCCTGCCTCAGCCTCCCAAGTAGCTGGGACTACAGGCACACACCACCATGCTTGGCTAATTTTTGTATTTTTAGTAGAGACAGGGTTTCACTATGTTGGCCAGGCTGGTCTCAAATTCCTGACCTCAAGTGATCAACCTGCCTCAGCCTCCCAAACTGCTGGGATTACAGGCGTAAGCCACCACGCCCAGCCTGTATGGTATTTTATTAATTAATTAATTAATTTTTTGAGACGGAGTCTCACTCTGTCACCCAGGCTGGAGTGCAGTGGCATGATCTCAGCTCACTGCAAGCTCCACCTCCCGGGTTCATGCCATTCTCCTGCCTCAGCCTCTCAAGTAGCTGGGACTACAGGTGCCTGCCACCATGCCCGGCCAATTTTTTTGTGTGTTTTTAGTAGAGACGGGGTTTCACCTGTTAGCCAGGATAGTCTTGATCTCCTGACCTCGTGATCCGCCTGCCTCGGCCTCCCAAAGTGCTGGGATTACAGGCATTAGCCACCGCGCCCGGCCCCATAATTTATTTTTTCTAGAGACAGGGTCTCCCTACATTGCCCAGACTGGACTTGAACTCCTGGGTTCCAGCCATGTCCAGCTTTTAGAAAGGTATTTTAATTTTACATGGGGATGGCTAAACTGGGCGTGAATATCTTTTCTCTCTTCACACACCTTTGTAACAGCTGATAGAATCACCTGGGTCTGGAAAATGTCTGAGCTCTTAATTTCTAATCACTCCTATTGAGATCATAGTAAAAGCAAGAGCAAATATTTATTTAGGACCTACTAGGCAAATTTGCATGACATTTGCATCGCAGTTGCATTTTTACCCTCACAACACTCCCAGGAGACAGTATTTTTATAATAATCATCTCCATTTCTCAGAGGAAACAGCCAATCCCAGCTGGTAAGTGGGAGAGCTGGGATTTGAACTCAAGGCTGACTGTTTAACCTCCAGGCTGTGCTGCCTTCATCGACTAGACACCATAAGCATATGGCAGGTTCCCATGAGCACAAAGAACAGGAAGTCCAACCAGGCATGGTGGCGCATGCCTATAGTTCCAACTACAGGAGGCTTAGGTGGGAGGATCTCTGAGCCCAGGAGGTGGAGTTTGCAGTGAGTCATGATGGCACCACTGCACTCCAGGCTGAGTGACAGAGCAAGACTCTGTCTGAAAAAAAAAAAAAAAAAAAAAAAAAAAAAAAGGAAAAAGAGAAAAACAGCCAGGCGTGGTGGGTCACGCCTGTAATCCCAGCACTTTGGGAGGCTGAGGTGGGTGGATCACGAAGTCAAAAGATGGAGACCATCCTGGCCAACATGATGAAACCACATTTCTACTAAAAATACAAAAATTAACCAGGCATGGTGGCGCGCACCTGTAGTCCCAGCTACTTGGGAGGCTGAGGCAGGAGAATTGCTTGAACCTGGGAGGTGGAGGTTGCGGTGAGCCGAGATTGCACCAGTGCACTCCAGCCTGGGCAACAAGAGCGAAACTCCATCCCAAAAAAACAAAACAACAACAACAATAAAAAAAAAAAATCACCCCCCCCAAAACAATAGGCTTATTTTAAGCAGGGCACCACTTATGCTATAAACATTGCTTCTTATTTTATTGCTATAAACATTGATGATTATTCCCCTATCCCTATGCAAATCAACACAGTGGGAAGATAAAGCAGATAGCAGGTTTGGTACCTGGTGGTCCCTGTCTCCTCTGCAGAGGTCAGGGATGCCTCTGAGAGACCGTGCTTATTTTTGTCTCTTGCAGTTTGTGACAACCACATGCACTCTGCGTCCCAGGGTAGCCCCTGGCTCGCAGCGGCCAGCAGAGCCGGATTCTATGTAAGATGCAAAATGAGACCTGATGTGCGGCTGCTCCAGTTACTCATTTCCTCAGAGGGCTGCTGTGATGGGCAGAATCATGGCTCCCCAAACATGTCCACACCCTAATCCCCAGAACCTGTGCATATGTTACCTCACGTCAAGCAGAAATTAAGATTGCTAATCAGCTATTTTTGATTTTTATTTTCTTTTTAAAGACAAGGTCTTGTTCTGTCACCCAGGCTGGAGTGCAGTGGTGCAGTCTTGGCTTACTGCAACCTCTGCCTCCTGGGTTCAAGCGATTCTGCTGCCTCAGCCTCCAGAGTAGCTGGGATTACAGGCGCCCACCAGCACGCCCAGCTAATTTTTGTCTTTTTAGCAAAGATGTGGTTTCACCATGTTGGCCAGGCTGGTCTCAAACTTCTGGCCTCATGTGATCTTCCTGCCTTGGCCTCCCAAAGTGCTGGGATAACAGGTGTGAGCCACTGCACCTGATCCAAGCTGATTTTATTTTTTATTTATATATATATTTTTTGAGATGGAGTCTGGCTCTGTTGCCCAGGCTGGAATGCAGTGGCGGGATCTTGGCTCACTGCAACCTCTGCCTCCTGGGTTCAAGAGATTCATCTGCCTCAGCCTCCCGAGTAGCTGGGATTACAGGTGAGTACCATCGAGCCCAGCTAATTTTTGTGTTTTTAGTAGAGACAGGGTTTCACCGTGTTGACCAGGCTGGTCTCAAACTCCTGACCTTAAGAGATCTGCCTGCCTCAGCCTCCCAAAGTTTTGGATTACAGGCCACAGCCACCACACTCACCCTGGCCAGCGTTTCTTTTTTCTTTTTCTTTTCTTTTTTCTTTTCTTTTTTTTTCTTTTTTGAGATGGAGTTTTGCCCTTGTTGTCCGGGCTGGAGTGCAATGGTGCAATCTCAGCTCACCGCAACCATCGCCTCCCAGGTTCAAGCGATTCTCCTGCCTCAGCCTTCTGAGTAGCTGTGATTACAGGCATGTGCTACCACATCTGGCTAATTTTGTATTTTTAGTAGAGACAGGGTTTCTCTATGCTGATCAGGCTGGTCTCGAACTCCTGACCTCAAGTGATCTGCCTGCCTTGGCCTCCCAAAGTGCTGAGATTACAGGCATGAGCCACCGCGCCTGGCCTTTCTTTCTTTCTGTTTTTGAGACAGGATCTCATCCTGTTGCTGAGGCTGGAGTGCAGTGGCGTGATCTCTGCTCCCAGGCTCAAGTGATCCTTCTGCCTCAGCCTCCCAAGTAGTTGGGACCACAGGCATGTGCCACCACGACCAGCTAATTTTTGTATTTTTAGTAGAGACGGGGTTTCAACATGTTGCCCAGGCTGATCTCGAACTCCTGAGCTCAGGTGATCCACCCATCTCGGCCTCCGAAAGTGCCGGGATTATAGACGTGAGCCACTGTGCCCGACCCCTGGCCAGTGTTTCTGATGGCTTCCATTTCTGGGCCCTCCTGGGGCCTTTAGGTTTTGCAAGATGCTATAAGGATACTGATCCTTATAGCAAACCCTCCCTTTTGCTTAAGATAGCTGCATTCCTGGCTCAGCAGATGCCTAACAACAGAGGAAGCATTTGGTTACAGCTATCATTCTCCTGTATTGACAGGGAGAGACTTGCCAAACACCCCGGAGAGGTGAGATTGGGATTATACCCAGTTTACCAAGGAAGAGTTGGTGGTGGTGATGCTGGGTGTCCCTGGAGGTAGTGATGAAAAATGATGTTTGACTCTTTGTGGTTGATGGATGAGAATATACCCACTTCCACCCCCCTGAACTGTAGCTATTCTAGGAAGCAGCTCTGGCATCAGTGAGAGTAGCTTCCACAAGGAGAATGCTCCATGGGTATATTAAAAGAAATCCTTTCCATGAACCCTAAAAGCGTCCTGCTAGACAGTTTGACTACAGGTCTTTTCCATTTCTCTGGGTCACAAGGCCCAGGACAGTGAGTCCATGTCATTTTCACGGTGAATGTGGTGATTTCTCCCTGCTCTGTAAAACACCAGGAGTAGGATTATTTTATATCAGATCCATGATTTGTTTGTTTGTTTGTTTGAGACAGGGCCTCACTCTGTCGCCCAGGCTGGAGTGCAGTGGCACTGTCTTGGTTCACTGCAACTTCCCTTTCCCAGGTTCAAGCGATTCTCCTGCCTCAGCCTCCTGAGTAGCTGGGATTACCGGCACCCGCCACCCTACCCAGCTAATTTTTGTATTTTTTAGTAGAGACAGGGTTTTGCCATGTTGGCCAGTCAGCCTCCCAAAGTGCTGGGATTACAGGTGCGAGCCACCCAGCCCGGCCAGATCCATGATTTCATAATATGGATTGATCTACTCTGCAAACATAGCATAACCTTGTGTACATCTTTTTTTTTTTTTTTTTTTTTTTTTTTTGAGACGGAGTCTCGCTCTGTCCCCAGGCTGGAGTGCAGTGGCGCGATCTTGGCTCACTGCAAGCTCCGCCTCCTGGGTTCACACCATTCTCCTGCCTCAGCCTCTTAAGTAGCTGGGACTACAGGCACCCGCCACCATGCCTGGCTAATTTTTTTGTATTTTTAGTAGAGATGGGGTTTCACCGTGTTAGCCAGGATGGTCTCGATCTCCTGACCTCGTGATCCGCCCGCCTCGGCCTCCCAAAGTGCTGGGATTACAGGCGTGAGCCACCGCACCTGGCAACCTTGTGTAAATCTAAATGTCGCCTGCTAGGTCACAGTACCCTCAGTGATAACACGACGTGCTTGGAAGAGGTGGCTGCGGTCCTTTGGCTTAAGGGACTGTGTAGTTGAATGTGCATTTTCTTTCTTTCTTTTTTTGAGACAGAGTCTTGCTCGGTCAACCAGGCTGGAGTGCAGTGGCGCTATCTTGGCTCACTGCAACGTCGGCCTCCTAGGTTCAAGCAGTTCTCATGCCTCAGCCTCCCGAGTAGCTGGGACTACAGGCACTCGCCACCATGCCTGGCTGACTATTTTGTATTTTTAGTAGAGATGGGGTTTCACTATGTTGGCCAGGCTGGTCTCGAACTCCTGACCTCAAGTGATCCGCCTGCCTCAGCCTCCCAAAGTGCTGGGATTACAGGCGTGAGTCACCGCTCCCTGCCACAATGTGCATTTTCATCTCCTTTTCTCTACGTTTCTCTGGGAGAACTTCAGGTGGTCCTGTCTCTTCTCATCTCTCCGTATGCCTAAGGCTGGTCAGACTGACTCCTCCCCCTGGCCACTGGATTGGCTCAATAGACAGGCATGTGACTCAGGCTGGACCAATCAGAATTTTCTCTAGGATTGGCCAGGCACAGCGGCTCAAGCCTGTAATCCCAGCACTTCGAGAGGCTGAGGCGAGGGGATCACTTGAGGTCAGGAGTTTGAGACCAGCCATGGTGAACATCGTGAAACCTGGTCTCTACTAAAAATACAAAAATTAGCCAGGTGTGGTGGTGCACGCCTGTAGTCCCAGCTACTCTGGAGGCTGAGGCACAGGAATCGCTTGAACCTGGGAGATGGAGGTTGCAGTGAGTCGAGGTCAAGCCATTGCACTCCAGCCTGGGCGACAGAGCGAGACTCCATCTCAAAACAAAACAAAACAAAACAACAAAAAACAACAAAAATTGCTAGGATCCCTTCTAGGATTTAGGAAGGGACAATTTAGGATCCCAAAGCTCAAGCTTCATGACTCTCCCGTGAAGGCACCTCTGTTTGCACCCCAGAATCAGTCACTTCATTTGTTTTCAGTTATTACTTTCTTCTGAACATTATGTCAGATTAAGCTAAAGCATTGTGTCCTGACTGCATTAGCCTCTGTCTACAAGGCTCCTGATAGCTGGCAAATGGTTAAGAATATTTATACTGTTTCTGTGTTAACTGTATCAAAAAAAATTAATCTCACCGGTACTCTCTGTTCTCTCTTTTAGTAACCAATTTAGCAGCTCCGTGCACTCAATTCAGCTCCTACTAACAACACAGAAAAGCTTAATAATAGGTGTGAGATACTGTGCTAAGTGCTTTAAAGACATTTTCTTATTTAATCTTGTTGAGAACCCCGAGAGGCAGCATAAGGGACACTGTGGATTGCAACTCTGCATCCACTCTGCATTTTCTTAAGACCAAACGCCTGCATGTAGCCCATGTGACTGCGGGGGGCCAGCCCCACTCCCAGCTCCAGGGATGGGCTCTGATTGGTCTGAACATGGTTATCCCATTTCCCTGCCTGTGATTGGTTCAAGTAGACAGACCTAAGCCAATCAGCTTCAGGCATCCCACCATGTGAATGGGTTCTCAGTCTATGGGTGGGTATGAGACTTATATTCGACCAATTATATTGAAAGGAAGGAATTTTATTTCACGATGGGGAAGGACTGTCTATTGCTCACTGGATATGAACAACAAGGCATGTGGCCTGAATTATCACCAGAAGCCATCTAGCAAACACGAAAAACAAAAACAAAAACAAAAACAAAAATACCCCACAACTTTGAGGCTGGGATGAGGGTTTATGAACCCAGGAGTTTGAGGATGCAGTGAGTTATCATAGTGCCACTATGCTCCAGCCTGGGTGACATAGCCAGACCGTGTTTCCAAACAAAAGCGAAAACGAAATGAATCTTAACCTGAAGGTGAACCTTAGATATAGAGATGGAAAGTTTCTGGGTCCTTGGTGACCAGGTTCAGCTTCTTGATCAGCCTTTTCTTTTTTATTTTTTTTTTTAGACGGAGTCTTCCTGTGTCACCTAGCTGGAGTGCAGTGGCACGATCTCGCCTCACTGCAGCCTCCGCTTCCCGGGTTCAAGCGATTCTCCTGCCTCAGCCTCCCGAGTAGCTGGCACCATAGGCGCCTGCCACCACGCCTAGCTAATTTTTGTATTTTTAGTAGAGACGGGGTTTCACTGTGTTGGCCAGGCTGGTCTCAAACTCCTAACCTCATGATCCGCCCGCCTCAGCCTCCGAAAGTGCTGGGATTACAAGCGTGAGCCACCACGCCAGGCCTTTTTTTTCTTTTTCTTTTTTTTTTTTTTTAAGACGGAGTTTGGCTCTTGTCCCCTAGGTTGAAGTGCAGTAGCGCGATCTCAGCTCACTGCAACCTCCGCCTCCCGGGTTCAAGCGATTCTCCTACCACAACCTCCCGAGTAGGTGGGACTGCAGGCGTGAGCCACCTCACCGGGCACTGGATACTGGATCAGCCATTTCTGAAGGCCAGAAATGGCCTTCTGGGATTTTTGCTATGTGGGATAATATATTCTCTTATGGTTCTAACCAATTTCTGTTCCTTACAGCCAAAAACATCTGGTGGATATATGTAGATATTACTCTCATTTCACATTTGAGAAAACTGAACTCAAAGAAGTTATGTAATATAAATGAGTCACTCAGCTAGTAAATGGCACAGCTGGGTCTGTCTGGCTTCCAGGCTAATGCCCTTAATCACACCAGTATGAGGATTAGCTTGAAGCATCCATGTCCTATCACCCCCGTTTCTGCAAGACAACTCATAACAACAACAGGAATAATGGGAGCTAATAATTGTTGAATATCTATCATGTATCAGGCACTGTTGTTTTTCTCTTTTTTTTTTTTTTGGTTTTTTGTTTGTTTTTGAGACTGAGTTTTGCTCTTGTCACCCAGGCTGGAGTGCAATGGTGTGATCTTGGCTCACTGCAACCTCCACCTCCCAGGTTCAAGCGATTCTCCTGCCTCAGCCTCCTGAGTAGCTGGGATTACAGGCGCCTGCCACCACGCCCATCTAATTTTTTGTATTTTTAGTAGAGACGGGGTTTCGCCATGTTGGGCAGGCTGGTCACTCCTGCCCTCAGGTGATCCACCTGCCTCGGCCATGCTGGTATTACAGGTGTGAACCACCTTGCCCAGCCATTCAGGCACTGTTTTAAGTGATTAACCTGCATTCATTCCTTTTTTAAATTATTATTATTATTTTATTTTTTGAGACGGAGTCTTGCTCTGTCCCCAGGCTGGAGTGCAGTGGCGCTATCTCGGCTCACTGCAGACTCCGCCTCCCGGGTTCACGCCATTCTCCTGCCTCAGCCTCCCGAGTAGCTGGGACTACAGGCGCCCGCCACCACATCCGGCTAATTTTTTGTACTTTTAGTAGAGACAGGGTTTCACCGTGTTAGCCAGGATGGTCTCAATCTCCTGACCTCGTGATCTGCCCGCCTCGGCCTGCCAAAGTGCTGGGATTACAGGCGTG
Source organism: Homo sapiens (assembly GCF_000001405.40). NCBI lineage: Eukaryota > Metazoa > Chordata > Mammalia > Primates > Hominidae > Homo > Homo sapiens. The sequence goes on from NC_000016.10 coordinate 8,999,115, forward strand.
AGCTACCGCGCCCGGCCTAACCTGCATTCATTCTTTAAAATAGTCACTTTTTTTTTTCTTTTTTTGAAACAGAGTCTTGCAGCCTTGACCTCTCGGGCTCAAGTAATCCCCCAGCCTCAGCCTCCTGAATAGCTGGGACTACAGGTGTGTGCCACCATGGCTATTTTTTTTTTTTTTTTTTGAGATGGAATCTTGCTGTCACCCAGGCTGGAATGCAGTGGCATGATCTCGGCTCACTGCAACCTCCACCTCCCAGGTTCAAGCGATTCTCCTGCCTCAGCCTCCTGAGTAGCTGGGATTACAGGCACCTGCCACCATGCCAGGTTAATTTTTGTATATTTAGTAGAGACGGGGTTTTGCCATGTTGGCCATGCTGGTTTCAAACTCCTGATCTCAGGTTATCTGCCTGCCTCAGCCTCGCAACGTGCTGGGATTACAGATGTGAGCCCCTGCGCCTGGCCTTATTTATTTATTTATTTATTTATTTATTTATTTATTTATTTTGAGATGGAGTCTCACTCTGTAGCATAGGCTGAAGAGCAGTGGCTCGATCTTGGCTCATTGGAACCTTCGCCTCTCGGGTTCAAGCAATTCTCCTGCCTCAGCCTCCCCAGTAGCTGGGATTACAGGCATGGGCCACCACACCCAGCTAATTTTTGTATTTTTAGTAGAGACAGGGTTTCACCATGTTGGCCAGGATGGTCTCAAACTCCTGATCTCAGGTGATGTGCCTGCCTCGGCCTCTCAAAGTGCTGAGATTACAGGTGTGAGCCACCATGCCTGGCTTTTTTTTTTTTTTGAGACAGGGGTCTGGGACTGTTTTCCCAAGCTATAGTGCAGTGGCACAATCATGGCTCACTGTAGCCTTGAACTCCTGAGCTCGAGCAATGCTTCCAACTCAGCCTCCCTACTAGCTGGTAGCTGGGACTAAAAGTGTGCACCACCACGCCTGACTAATTTTTGTATTGTTTTGTAGAGATGGGCTGGGGGGGTGGTGGGGAGTTGGCCATGGCTGGTCTCAAACTTTCGGACTCAAGTGATCCACCTGCTTTAGCCTCCCAAAGTGCTGGGATTACAGGCTTGAGCCTCTGTGTCCAGACAATTCTTTAAAAATTTTTTTCAGAGATGAGGTCTCACTATGTTGCCCAAGCTGGTCTTGAATTCTTGGGTTCGAACTATCTCACCACTTTGGCCTGTCAAAGTGTTGGGATTACAGGTGTGAGACACTGTGCCTGGCCTTTTTATTTGTTGATTTATTTTGAGACACAGTTTCACTCTGTCACCCAGGCTGGAGTGCAGTGGAGTGATCTCGGCTCACTGCAACCTCCACCACCCAGGTTCAAGCGATTCTTGTGCCTCAGCCTCCTGAGTAGCTGAGATTACAGGCGTGCGCCACCATGCCCAGCTAATTTTTGTATTTTTAGTAGAGACGGGGTTTTACCATGTGGCCAGGCTTGTCTCAAACTCCTGATCTCAGGTGATTCGCCCATCTCAGCCTCCCAAAGTGCTGGGATTACAGGCCTGAACCACTGTGCCCAGCCTCTTGCATATCATTAATTTAGGAGCGGAAAACCTTTCCAAGTGTACAAAAAGGATGCTAACCACATGCTCACTGCTTGTCTAAGTGCTTAATATGTACTCCTTGCAACAACCCCCAAGGTAAGTTATATTATTATCATTCCTCCTTATAGATAGACAGGTGTGCCTCCTGAGGCACAGAGAGATTAAGGAATTTGTCTAAGGTCACACAGCAGTATGAAACAGAGCAGAGATTTCAACCTAGAAAGTCCGACTAATCACACACAATGGTGAACTCCAGCATTTAACTTACTAGGGGAAGAAAGGAAGGAGCTTTTTTGTTTTGGAGATGGAGTCTCCCTGTGTCACCCAGGCTGGACTGCATTGGCAAGATCTCAGTTCACTGCAACCTCTGCCTCTTGGTTCAAGTGATTCTCCTGCCTCAGCCTCTCGAGTGGCTGGGACTACAGGTGTGAGCCACCAAGCCTGGCTAATTTTTTTTGTTTTTTTTTTTGCATTTTGAGTAGAGATGGGGTTTTGACATGTTGGCCAGTCTGGTGTAAAACTCCTGACCTCAGGTGATCTACCCACCTTGGCCTCCCAAAGCAGTGGGATTACAGGGATGAGCCACCGAGCCTGGCCGGAAGGAGCTTCCAAAATGTTAGTTAAAGCACCCCAATCCCTTGCTGGGCCTAGTTAATACTTTTTAAGTTGAGATGATAATATTTTGCACATACTGGGTTAAATAAAATATGTCGCTAAAATTATTTCCACCTGTTTCTTCTTGCTTTTTTTTTTGAAACAGAGTCTTGCTCTGTCACCCAGGCTGGAGTGCAGTGGTAGGATCATGGCTCACTGCAGCCTCGACCTCCCAGGCTCAAATGATCCTTCCACCTCAGCTTCCTAAGTACCTGGGACCACAGGCAAGTGTCACCATACCTGGCTAATTTTATTTAACAAAAATTTTTGGTAGAGATGAGGTCTTTCTACATTGTGTTGAACTCCTGGGCTCAAGTGATCCACCCGATTCAGCCTCCCAAGTGCTGGGATTATAGGTGTGAGCCACTGCACCCGCCCCTTTACCAATCTTTTTTTTTTTTTTTGAGACAGAGTCTCACTCTATTGCCCAGGCTGGAGTGCAGTGGCACGATCTCGGCTCACTGCAACCTCTGCCTCCTGGGTTGAAGTGATTCTCCTGCCTTAGCCTCCTGAGTAGCTGGGATTACAGGCACGCACCACCAGGCCCAGCTAATTTTTTTGTATTTTTAGTAGAGATGGGGTTTCACCATGCTGGCCAGGCTGGCCTCGACCTCCTGATCTTGTGATCTGCCCGCCTCGGCCTCCCAAAGTGCTAGGATTACAGGTGCGAGCCACTGTGCCCAGCCTGCCTTTACCAATCTTAGACACCTCTTGGAATATTCCCTGGAATTATGACAACCCGCTGAGACTCCAAGCACCACTGCCAAATCCGTCTCCCAAAGCACCACTAAGCTCCTTTCCAAAAACCTGCCAGCACTGACTTCTGTGTGAGTGAGTCCAAATTTTCTAGACTGTCATGCAAGACCTTCTGATTAGCATCAGCTCTCTTAGCACATACAGGATGTGGCTGTGGCATCCCAGGGACCTGGATTCAAGTCATGCCTCCCCTTCTTGGTAGGTGTGTGATCCTAGGCAAGTCACTTCACTGTTCTGGCTTCCATTACCTCATCTGTGGAATGGGGATGATAATATGCACCTTGTAGGGACAATGATGTCTTCAGCACAGAGCTGAGTGTGCAATGAGCACTTACCACTGTGAATCCATATTATTATTACATGGTGTTTTCTTTTCTTTTTTTTTTTTGAGAAAGAGTCTCACTGTGTCACCCAGTCTGGAGTGCAATGGCTTGAATATAGCTCGCAGCAGCCTTGACCTGCCAGGCTTAAGTGATTCTCCTGCCTCAGCCTCCCAAGGAGCTGGGACCACATGGGTGTGCCACCACTCCTGGCTAATCTTTTTTTTTTTTTTTTTGAGACGGAGTCTTGCTCTGCCTCCCAGGCTGGAGTGCAGTGTCGCGATCTCAGGTCACTGCAAGCTCCGCCTCCTGGGTTCACGCCATTCCCATGCCTCAGCCTCCCGAGTAGCTGGGACTACAGGCACCCACCACAACGCCCCGCTAATTTTTTTGTATTTTTAATAGAGACAGGGTTTCACCGTGGTCTCTGTCTCTTGACCTCGTGATCCGCCCGCCTCAGCCTCCCAAAGTGCTGGGATTACAGGCGTGAGCCACCGCACCCGGCCGACTCCCAGCTAATCTTTAAATTTTTTGTAGAGACAGGGTCTTGCCATGTTACCCAGGCTGGTGTTGAACTCCTGGACTCAAGTGATCCTCCCACCGCAGCCTCCCAAACTGCTGGGATTACAGGTATGAGCCACCCACCCAGCTTACTTTGTGCTAATTTTTTGTTGTTGTTGTTGAGACGGAGTCTCACTCTATCACCCAGGGTGGAATGCAGTGGCTCGATCTCAGCTCACCACAACCTCTGCCTGCCAGGTTTAAGCGATTCTCTCACCTCAGCCTCCTGAGTAGCTGGGATTAGTGGCACCGGCCACCACGCCTGGCTAATTTTTGTATTTGTAGTAGAGACAAGGTTTCACCATGTTGGCCAGGCTGGTCTCGAAGTCCTGATCTCAGGTGATCCTCCCAAAGTGCTAGGATTACAGGCGTGAGCCAGGTCGCCCAGACTTTTTTTTTTTTTTTTTTTTTTTTAAGAGATAGGGTCTTGCTCTGTGTCCCAGGCTGGAGTGCAGTGTTGCAACCATAGCAATCATAGCTCACTGCAGCCTGTAACTCCTGGGCTCAAGCAACGTTCTTGTCTCAGCCTCTGGAGTAGCTGGAACTACAGGTGTGAGCTACCGCACCCAGCCTTATAATTACTTTGGTTCTATTTACCCTCCCAGCTGGCTAGGCTGGTCTGGTGACCATAGTGTAAGGAGGAGTGCCTCATTCTTGCCAATAATAGCGACAAGGATGAGGATAGTCAAACAACTCACACCTACTGAGGTCTATTCTGTGCCAGGTACTGTTGGGGCCACACTATAACTTCCATGGACCCTTCCTTCATGAAAAAATATTGTCATTCATGACTGTATTGGTACAAAGAGAAATATAAGGGAGACTGGATTATATTCATTTTTCAGTTCTTATTTATTTATTTTTGAGATAGTCTTAGTCTATCACCCAGGCTGGAGAGCAGTGGCATCATCTCAGCTCACTGCAACCTCTGCCTCCTCGGCTCAAGCAATCCTTTTACCTTAGCCTCCCAAGCAGCTGAGACCACAGGCACAAGCCACTACACCTGGCTGATTTTTTTTTTTTTTTTTGTAGAGCTGGGGTTTCACCATGTTGCCCAGGCTGGTTTCGAGCTCCTTAGCTAAAGTGATCCACCCAGCTTGGCCTCTGAAAGTGCTGGGAATACAGGCGTGAGCCACTGCACCCAGCCTATTTTTTTTTTTACTTCTAATATTAAAAGAAATTTAAACAATTCCCTGGGCCCCTAAAAATATTGAGGGACCTAGGCACTGTGTCTAATGTAGATCTTGGTCCTGTGCATAGTGCTAAGCACATTGTGATTTGTCATGACAGCTCCAGGGAGCAGGGACAGGGTGGAATACCCTTTATTTCTAGGATTTATTCCTGAAGACTTGGCATTATTTTATTGTGTTATGTTATGTTATTTGCTTATGAGACAGGGCCTCACTCTGTTGTCCAGGCCGGAGTACAGTGGTGTAATCACAGCTCTTTGTAGCCTCGACCTCTCAGGCTTGTGATCCTCCCCCTCCCACTTCCAGAGTCACTGGAATTACAGGAGTGAGCACGCCCAGCTTGGCATTGTTTTATTTTAATTAATTATTTTTCATTTTTATTTTTATTTTTTTGAGACAGGATCTCACTCATTGCCCACGCCAGAGTGCAGTGGCACTATCTCAGCTCACTGCAACCTCCGCCCCTTGGACTCAAGCGATCCTCCCACCTCAGCCTACCAAGTAGCTGGGACTACAGGCATGTGCCACCACGCCCGGCTAATTTTTGTATTTTTAGTAGAGACGGGGTTTTGTTATGTTGGCTAGGCTAGTCTTGAACTCCTGATCTCAGGTCATCCACCTGCCTCGGCCTCCCAAAGTGCTGAGATAACAGGCATGAAACACTGCACCTGGTCTATTTATTTATTTTGAGACAGAATTTCCTACTCTCACCTGGGCGGGAGTGCAGTGGTGCCATCTCTGGTCACTGCAACCTCTACCTCCTGTGGCTCAGCCTCCCAAGTAGCTGGAATTACAGGCATGTGCCACCATGCCCAACTAATTTTTGTATTTTTAGTAGAGACGGAGTTTTGCCATGTTGGCTAGGCTGGTCTTTAACTCCTGGGCTCAAGCAATCCACCTGCCTCAGCCTCCCAAAGTGCTGGGATTACAGGCATGAGCCACTGCACCCGGCCATGATTTTAAATTCGTATAATTCATTAGCAAGCCTGACTCAAGTTGGCAAATATGTCGATTTCCCAAAGAAACTCACATAGCAGGAGCCATCAAATAAATAGTCAGTATTATAGGGCTGACAATCCTCAGACCTAGTAACTTTTTTTTTTTTTTGAGTCAGAGTCTCACTCTGTTGCTCAGTCTGGAGTACAGTGGCGTGATCTTGGCTCACTGCAGCCTCCGTCTCCTGGCTTCAAGCGATTCTCCTGCCTCAGCCTCCCAAGTAGCTGGGATTACAGGCGCAAGCTACCATACCAGCTAATTTTTGTATTTTTAGTAGAGACAGTGTTTCACCATGTTGCCCAGGCTAGTCTCGAACTCCTGGCTTTAAGTGATCTGTCTGCCTTGGCCTCCCAAAGTTCTGGGATTACAGGCATGAGCCACCGCGTCCAGCCAAGGCCTATTTTCATCTGCAACAAACAGATTTTGTGAGCAAAAAGCGGGGAAAGTGGCTGCTGGGGGAACCACACCGAACTTCTCAAAGGCAGGGACCATGTTTTAGGTGTCTCCTTTTGCCTACATGGGGCTTATAACTCAAGCAATGTTTGTGAATGAAAAAAGCCAAAGAGGCCGGGCACAGTGGCTCAAGCCTGTAATCCCAGCACTTTGGGAGGCCGAGGTGTGTGGATCATCTGAGGTTGGGAGTTTGAGACCTGCCTGGCCAACATGGCGAAACCCCAGCTCTACTGAAATATAAAAATTAGCCGGGCGTGGTTGCTCATGCCCGTAGTCTCAGCTACTTGGGAGGCTGAGGCAGGAGAATGGTTTAAACCCAGGAGGCAGAGGTTGGATTGCACCACTGCACTCCAGCCTGGGCGACAGAGTGAGACTGTCTCAAAAAAAAAAAAAAAGCAAAAGAGAATTTATTTAAGAGTTTGATTCAGCTGCAGTGGCTCACGTTTGTAATCCCAGCACTTTCGGAGGCTGAGGCAGGAGGATCTCTTGAGCCCAGAATTTCGAGACCAACCTAGAAAACATACGGTGACCTTTTCTCTACAAAACAAAAAATTAGCCGGGTGTGGTGGCATGTGCATATGGTCCCAGCAACTTGGAAGAATGAGGTGGGAGGATCACTTGAGCCTGGGAGATCGAGGCTGCAGTGAGCTGTGATTGCACCAATGCCCTCCAGCCTGGGCAACAGAGTGAAACCCAGTCTCAAAAAAACAAAAACAAGAAGAGTTTAAGGAACATTTTTTCCTGAAACATGGTTCATGATAAATTTAATCTCTAAAAATGTTTTAGGAGGAAATGTTGTAAGTTCAATAAAATGCCTTTCTCTGTACCTGTGGCAGGTAGGCAGAATAATGACCCAAAAGGTGTTCACGTCCTAATCCCTGGGACCTGTGAATATGTTATGTTACACCGCAATGAGAAATTAAGTTTGTAGATAGAATTAAGGTTGCTGATCAGTTGATCTGAGATGGGGAGAATACGATGGCTTATCCAGGTGGGCCCAATGTAATCAGAAGGGTACTTACAAGAGGAGGCAGCAGGCTTAAAGAAGAAAAAAGGATCAGGTGCAGTCCCTCACGCCTGTAATCCCAACACTTTGGGAGGCTGAGGCGGGTGGATCACGAGGTCAGGGGTTTGAGACCAGCCTGGCCAATATGGTGAAATCCCGTCTCTACTAAAAGTACAAAAAATTAGCCGGGTGTGGTGGTGCATGCCTGTAGTCCCAGCTACTCAGGAGGCTGAGGCAGGAGAATCACTTGAATCGGGAGGTGGAGGCTGCAGTGAGTTGAGATCGCACCACTGCACTCCGGCCCGGGTGACAGAGCAAGACTCTGTCTCAAAAAGAAAAACAAACAAACAAACAAACCAAAAACTGGAAAAGGCAAGAAAAAGGATTTTCCAGCTGGGCGTGGTGGCTCACCCCTGTAATCCCATCCCTGTGGGAGGCCAAGGTGGGAGGATTACTTGAGCCCAAGATGTCGAGGCTGCAGTGAGCTTTGGTTGCACTACTGCACGCCAACCTGGGCGACAGAGCTAGACCCAGTCTTAAAAAAAAAAAAGGATTATCTTCCAGAGCCTCCAGAAAGGAAATACAGCCTTTCTACCCTGATTTCAGCCCAGTGAGACCCGTTTTGAACTTCTGACCTCCCGAACGGTAAGATGATAAATGTGTGTTATTTTAAGCCAGCAAGTTGGTGGTAATCTGTTACGGCAGCCCTAGGTCACTGATACGTCATCTCCGGTGTCTAGTCCCTAGCAATGGGCCCCTGGGAACTACATCTCTGGTGCTGGCTCTCTGGAGTTGTCCCCTCCCACACTGAATCCAAGCTGCCTGCGACTCACCAATGCATGATGCCAGATGTGGTGCTGCGTGGGCTCCAGACCCAAGATTTAAGAGGACTGGGGCAGATCCATTTTTGTACTTTTGGGAATCCCAAAATGCAGTGCATGAAGCTCAGCAACCCTGTCGGGGAGGCCACGTGTGGAGGCAGTGCCCCGCAGCAGCGCGGGAGTGAGAGGAGGCAGCCTTCCCAGCATCCTGTGGAGCCTCCAGAGGACTCTAGCCTGTCAGGCTGTGACAGCGTGAGAGACCCCCAGTGAGATCAGCAATGGAATGGTTCATCTCAGCCCAGTGCGCCCACAGAACCAGAGACGTAATGACATGGTCGTTTCAAACCACTACATGTTGGAGCTGAATTTATTTTGCAACCATCGTAACCAAGCCACTGTCCTATTTTAGTGGCCATGAGTTGAGGGCTACCATGGTGGGTGCTGGGGAACTATTGTCTCATTCAAGTCACTCATTGTCCTGCATATTACCCCCACTTTTTCTTTTCTTTTTTTTAGAGACAGGATCTGGCTCTGTCGCTCAGGCTAGAGTGCAGTGGTGCGATCATAGCTCACTTCAGCCGCGGACCTCTTGGGCTCAAGCAGTTCTCCCCCTCAGCCTCCTAAGTAGCTGGGATGACAGGCACACACCACCATACCTGGCTAATTTTAAAATATTTTGTAGAGACAAGGGTGGGGGCGGGGGGGGGGTGTGGTTCTCACTATGTTGCCCAGGCTGGTCTTGAACTCTTGGCCTCAAGCAATCCTCCTGCCTTGGCCTCCCAAAGCCCTTGGCTTACAGGTGTGAGCCTGTACCGTCAAGACGAAGAAACGGAGGCTCTGAGAGGGGAGATCCTAAGCCTGCTGGTGGATGGAGGAGCTGAGTTTGAACCCAGGTCTGCATCTGGAGCCCCAAGCTCTGTGCACGTCCCACTGCCACCTCCCCACCGGGTTCATGATATCATTTCTCAGAGGCCTTGGTTGGTCCCAGCCGCAGCTTTGTCTCCCTTGCCCACCGCTGTGCTGGCTTAAGCGAACTCATAGCTATGCTCCTTCCCTTTTACCCCATCGGAAAAGGGAGCAGGATTACTTACAGTAAGTGAAAACCAAGACTTGTACAGGAAGCACGGCCCGATCCATTACAGGGTTATTCTAGCCCATAATGTACCTGTGCACTTTCAGACACAGCCAGACTGTCTGAAGAGGGGTCGAGAGGGTTTCAACGGGCCAGTGGGATCAAGGCTCAGAAATGCAGAACTGACGGGGAGCAAAGCCCCCGCCCCCCAGCAGTGTGCTCATTCCCACGGGACTCCTGGGGACTGCCATCGCACCCACGCACTCCAGAACGTGCGGCTGGCTCAGAGGTGGGGGTGTCCACCGCAGTCCTGGGTTTCTGAGCCTGTTGTTCCTTCCCTAGGGGCGCAGGGAGGGCCTTCCAGCGCCAAATCACCAGCCATAGCTCAGGGCCCTGACCCCGGCTGGGCTCAGATTCAGCCCCTGCTTGCGGTCCTCGCACCCTCTAGTGGCCACGGGGAGAAAGAAGTAGCTCAGCGGAGATTCTGGAGCTGGGTCCGGGTGGACACTGCACCCCACCCGGCAAGCAGGAGAGAGAACCCAGAAGAACGGATGACTCCCTCACACGCCTCTTTCTAAAGCATGCTGGCGCTGAATAACCACAGGGGTCCGTGATCTTTATCAATTACATGTGTCCGGCCTTATTAGCTCTTAAAGGAATCTTGTTTTCTCTCTCGCTGTTTTTTTTTTCCTTTGAGACAGGGTCTCACTTTGTTGCCCAGGCTGGAGTGCAGTGGTGCGATCATAGCTCACTGCAACCTCTAACTCCCGAGCTAGATTCTCCCACCCCAGCCTCCCGAGTAGCTGGACTACAGGAGCACCACCACACCAGGCTAATTTATTTATTATTTTTTTAAGATATGAGAACTTGGCCAGGCGCGGTGGCTGACGCCTGTAATCCCAGCACTTTGGGAGGCCGAGGCGGGCAGATCACGAGGTCATGAGATCGAGACCATCCTGGCCAACATGATGAAACCCCGTCTCTACTAAAAATACAAAAAATTAGCCGGGCATGGTGGCAGGCGACTGTAATCCCAGCTACTCGGGAGGCTGAGGCAGGAGAATGGCTTGAACCCCGGAGGCAGAGGTTACGGTGAGCTGAGATTGTGCCATTGCACTCCAGCCTGGGCAAAAAGAGCGAAACTCTGTCTCAAAAAAAAAAAAAAGATATGGGACCTTGCTATGTTGCCCAGGCTGGTCTCCAACTCCTGGGCTCAAGTTATCCTTCCACTTTGGCTTCCTAAAGTGCTAGGATTACAGGTGTGAACCACTGCGACTGGCTGATACTCAGCTTTTTTTTTTTTTTTTTTTTTTTTTGAGACAGAGGCTTGCTTTGTCACCCAGGCTGGAGTGCAGTGGCATGATCACAGTTCACTGCAGCCTTGAACTCCTGGACTCAAGCCATCCTTCCACATTAGCCTCCTGAGTAGCTGGGACTACAGGTGCACACTACCATGCCAAGTCGATGGAAGAGCTGGGTTCAAGCTTTATTTTTATTTATTTTTATTTTTTTTACTTTTTGTAGAGACGGGGTCTCACTGAAGTGTTGCCCAAGCTGTATTCGTGTATTTTTGATCCATAAAAAGTCAATTTCATATGGTTCAGCCTAAATTTCAACAATTCACATGCTTACTTATTCACATCCCCAAAGGGATCCACAGAGATTTCTTCCTGAAATACGATGACCTAGAGCAAGCAAGTTAAAATAAATAAAAAATAAATAAATAAATAAATAAATAAATAAATAAATAAAAAAGAGTCACCTCAAACCACTTAAAAGGAAGACAGGACAATTGCCAAAAAAAGAGACAGTCATTGAATGTTTTCAGTTTTAGTTTTTGAGATGGAATCTTGTTCTGTCACCTAGGCTGGAGGGCAGTGGCGTGATCTCGGCTCACTGCAACCTCCGCCTCCCAGGTTCAAATGATTCTCCTGCCTCAGCCTCCCGAGTAGTGGGGCTTATAGGCATGCACCACCACACCTGGCTAATTTGTGTCTTTTTAGTGGAGACGGGGTTTCACCATGTCGGCCAGGCTGGTCTCGAACTCCTGACCTCAAATGATCCACCTGCCTTGGCCTCCCGAAGTGCTGGGATTGCAGGTGTGAGGGACCGTGCCCCGCCAGTCAATGCATTTGATAGTCATTGTACTTGAGTTTAGTTGTTTCTAGGAATTCAAGGTGAAAATGGAAAGATGAGAGTGTAGGCTGTCTGCTGTCAGATAAAAGGAACTAAGTTGAGAAGGGGATACAGATGTTATCCTCAGCCCAAATCCGGGAGAACAATGTCCAAGTTAACACTTAAAGTCTCAGCAAGTCATCATCTCCTGAACTTCAGTTCTGACAAAATGACATTTTTCTTTAGGCTGAAGGAGTTAACAGTGAGTGGCTTTTAGTTCCAGCAGAGAACTAAACTAAAAGTTTAGGCTGAAGTGTAGTGGCATCACTACAGCAGAAGGCAATTATTGGATCAAAGGGACAGTTTAGTGCACCTTTCGAAGACACTAATTTGATGCAGAGGTGACAACCAAATCCTGATCCATGATCGTGCCATGCAGTGCTTAGCTCAGAAGGGAAACTAAATGCTACCTGTTTTGTTTCACTTCAAAAAAACTCATCATTTTTGCGTCACACTTTATTTTATTATATTTATTTTTTTGAGACGGAGTCTCACTCTGTTGCCCGGGCTGGAGTGCAGTGGCGTGATCTCGGCTCACTGCAACCTCTACCTCCCAGGTTCAAGCGATTTTCCTGCCTCAGCCTCCCGAATAGCTGGGATTAAAGGTGCCCACCACCACACTTGGCTATTTTTAGTAGAGACGAGGTTTCACCATGTTGGCCAGGCTGGTCTTGAACTCCTGACCTCAGGTGATCTGCCCGCCTCGGCCTCCCAAAGTGCTGGGATTACAGGCATGAGCCACTGCTCCTGGCCACTTTATTATTGTTATTATTTGAGACAAGGCCTCACTATGTTGCCCACTCTTGTATCAAACTCCCGAGCTCAAGCAGTCCACCCGCTTCAGCCTTCCAAAGTGCTGGGATTGCAAGCATGAGCCACCATACCTGGCTGACACTTTCTTATTTATTATTTTTATTTTATTTTATGTTTTTGAGACACGTCTTGCTGTGTCACTCACGCTGGAGTGAAGTGGCATGAACATGGCTCACTGCAGCCTCAACGTCCTGGGCTCAAGCGATCCTCCCACCTTAGGCTCCCAAGTAGCTGGGACTACAGATGTATGCCACCATGCCTGGCTAATTTTTAAATTTTTCTGTAGAGGCTGGGTCTCACTATGTTGTCCAGGCTGGTCTTGAACTCCTGAGCTCTGTCGATCCTCCTGTCTTAGCCTCCCAAAATGTTGGGATTACAGGCATGAGCCACGATGCCCGGCCTATTTTTATTTTTTATTTGACACTTGTTGTGGACTAGGGAATGTGTTAACACTTTACTTTTTAAAAAATTATTTATTTATTTGTTTTTTTGAGACACAGTCTCGCCTTGTTGCTCAGGCTGGAGTGCAGTGGCTCCATCTCGGCTCATTGCAACCTCCGCCTCCCGGGTTCAAGTGATTCTCCTGCCTCAGCCTCCAGAGTAGCTGGGATTATAGGCACCCACCACCACGCCCAGCTAATTTTTGTATTTTTAGTAGAGACGGGGTTTCACCAGGTCTCGAACTCCTGACCTCAGGTGATCCACCCGCCTTGGCCTCCCAAAGTGCTGGGATTACAGGCGTGAGCCACTTCGCCCAACCAAACAATTTAAATTTTCATATAAACATCTATTTTATTCTCACAGCATTAAAATATAAACAAACAAAACCCCAGAAAGCTTCAGGGTCAGGTAAGAATTTGTTTCGTGCAGGGTTTCTCTAGATCAGCAAACAACACGCTTTGGGGGCCTTACTTTGAAAGAAATCCAGATTCAGAATTCACAAGCTTGGTTTTCCCAGCCGCTGTGGTCCATAATTACTCACAGCTAAGAGCCTCCTTCTTCAGGTCAGAAGTCCTCAAATAGGGATGACGGGCAAAGGAGGAGTGATTCTTCCCTCTCCCAGTGGACATTTGGCTGTGTCTGGAGACATTTTTGGTGTCATAAATAGGGGGAGGGTGGCAGGATGCTCCTGGCATCTGGCTGGCTGAGGGTAGGGGTGCTGCTAAACAGCCTACAGTGCACAGAAAGTGAGCGCAGTGGCTCATGCCTGGAATCCCAGCACTTTGGGAGGCCGAGGCAGCAGGATCACCTGAGGTCGGGAGTTCGAGACCAGCCAGACCAACATGGAGAAACCCCGTCTCTACTAAAAATACAAAAATTAGCTGGGCGTGGTGGTGCATGCCTGTAATCCCAGCTACCTGGGAGGCTGAGGCAGGAGAATCACTTGAACCCGGGAGGCGGAGGTTGTGGTGAGCCGAGATCATGCCATTGCACTCCAGCCTGGGCAACAAGGGCGAAACTGTCTAAAAAAAAAAAATTTAATTTATTTTTGGAGAGACAGGGGTCTCGCTGTGTTGCCCAGGCTGGTCTCCAACTCCTGGCCTCAAGCGATCTTCCCACTTCAGCCTCCCAAAGTGCTGGCATCACAGGCATGAGCCACACCGCCCCCTAGGCCTTCAGTTTCAGGTGGGAGTCCTGAGATGGGGACTGGAGCTCCCGGATTTGGATGTTAAAGGGAAAAAGTGACTCCAAGCGAGGAGAGCCCTGGAGACCCTTTGCGTTTCCCAGGCTACAGAATTAATCCGGGCGCACCCAGCAGTGGGGGAGCTGTTCTTCCCATTGGCGTCCCCTCTCCCCTCTCTGCCAGCACAGGGCCGGCTGGGGGCGACGACGGTGCGTGCGGAGGACGCGAGCTCCATCTGCCGCCTGCAGGGGTGGGAGGGAAGCAGGCTGGACCACTTTGGGACTGAGCTCCCGGGAGGAGGAGGCGGCGGCAGCAGCTGCCTGCCTGCCCCCATGCCAAGTCCGGCTCCTGTTTCTCACCTGGTGGGAGTCGTAGTGAGCAAACCAGCGGAGGGAGATACTCTGAGTTCCTTTTCTTGCAAATGGGACAGCAAGACGTGGGAATAAATCACCCAGGCCTCGTGCTGGAGCAGAGCGAACACGGGCTGTTCTGCTTTGGATTCTGCAAGCCTCCTCCCCCAACTTCTAGAATCTTCTGGTACTCGCATTAAGAGGTATGACGAAATCACATCCATCTGGGCAGTAGGAATAAGGAATCTGGGGTCACCAGAACATGATCTCGGATATAGGAGGATCTCAAACCTGACTGCATGTTGGTATTAGGTGGGGAACTTTAAAAAAAAATACTGATGGCTGGGCCCCATGTCCAGAAAGCCTGGTTCAATGGGTCTGGGGGGTGTGGCCCACCCCACTGACTTTTTTTTTTTATTTTAAGACATGGTCTCACTCTGTTGCCCAGGCTGAAGTGCAGTGGCAAGATCATGGATCACTGCCGCCTCGAACTCCTGGGCTCAAGCAATCCTCTTGCGTCAGTCTCCTGAGTAGCTGGGACTACAGGTGCATGCCACCATACCTAGCTAGTTTTTTTTTTTTTTTTTTTTAAGAGACTGGGGTCTCACTATATTGCCCAGGCTGGTCTCAAACTCCTGGCCTCAAGCAGTCCTCCCAAGTCAGCCTTCCAAAGCACTGGGATCACAGGCATGAGCCACTATGACCAACCTGGATACTAAAAAAACAAAAAAACCTTCTCAGGTGTTTATAATGTGCAGCCAGGACTGAGAACTAGTGATTTTATGCAGAGAACAAAACAAAACCCAAAATCCTACTGAGCAGAGAAAAACTGTAAGCCTGCAGGCATCCTATAAGCCTGGGTTTGATTCTTGACCTCATCAGTTGAATCCTGACTACACCTGAGCCTCACAGAGTCCAGCCTGTGATCCTGGCCAAGTTTCTGAACCTCTCTGAGCTTTATTTACCTATAACACAGGGAGGGTGGCAGCTGCATCTCAAGATTTGTGTTGCTGTCAGTGCTCCAGGCACACTGGGCTTCTTGTCTCCAGACACTGGCATCTTTCTGGTCTCCTTGCTTCTACCCAGGCTGCCCTCTCCACCCAGCTCACTCCAAACATCTTTAATACCCAGCTCAAGTATCATTTGCTCTGAAAGCCTGTGTGTGCATGCAATTGTAATTCCTTCTGCCTGAGATTTTCTTCCTTCAGCTTGTGGCAGTGAATTCTAACTTTCCCCTGATAGCCATTCTCCTCTTCTTTCTTCAGTACTAGGTCCCTGTGTGTTACCTGAGCACTCAGAGGAGACCGTGTTTGCCACTTGATTAAACTCTGGCTCATAGAATGTGAGCAAAGTGACACGTCCAACTTCTAGGTCGTGGCCTTAAAAGAAACAAGCATGCTCTCCATTTTTACTTCCTGCTGGCTGGATTGTTAGTGTGATGGTGGGTACTGAAGTAGCCCTTTTTTTTTTTTTTTTTGGAGACAAAGTCTCTGTCATCCAGAGTAGAGTGCAGTGGCGCAATCTTGCCTCACTGCAATCTCTGCCTCCCTGGTTCAAGCAATTCTCCTGCCTCAGCCTTCTGAGTAGCTGGGATTATAGGTGTGCACCACCACACCCGGCTAATTTTTGTATTTTTAGTAGAAACGGGGTTTCACCATGTTGGCCAGGCTGGTCTCAAACTCCTGACCTCAAGTGATCTGCCTGCCTCAGCCTCCCAAAGTGCTGGGATTACAGGTGAGAGCCACTGCGCCCAGCTGCAGTAGCCCTTTTAAAAAAATTTTTTTGAGACAGAGCCTTACTCCATCATCCAGGCTGGAGTGCAGTGGCACAATCTCAGCTCACTGCAACCTCCACCTCTTGGGTTCAAGCGATTTTCAGGCCTCAGCCTCCCTAGTATCTGGGATTACAGGTGCCCGCCACCACGCCAGGCTAATTTTTTTATATTTTTAGTAGAGATGGGGTTTCACCATGTTAGCCAGGCTGGTCTGAACTGCTGATCTCAAGTGATCTGCCCGCCTTGGCCTCCCAAAGTGCTGAGATTACAGGTGTGAGCCACCGCAGCCTGGAGTAGCCACTGTGGACTAGGATGTATCAGCCTGAATCTCTGACACTGCGGAACTGGCCTATCAGTCCTGGATGGAGGTGACTTAAGAGAAAAACAAACCTTTATCTCATTTTAGCCCCTATTAGTTTGACCTTTGTCACAGCAGCCAAACCAGTATCATAACTTGGCCGGGCGCGGTGGCTCATGCCTGTAATGCTAGTACTTTGGAAGGTACAGGCGGGAGAATCACCTGAGATCGAGGGTTTGAGACCAGCATGACCAACATGGAGAAACCCCATCTCTACTAAAAATACAAAATTAGCCGGGCGTGGTGGCACATGCCTGTAATCCCAGCTACTCGGGGGGCTGAAGCAGGAGAATCGCTTGAACCCGGGAGGCAGAGGTTGTGAGCCAAGATCACGCCATTGCACTCCAGCCTGGGCAACAAGAAACTCCGTCTCAAAAAAACAAACAACCAAAAACAAACAAACAAACAAACAAGAAAAAAACAGAGAGTCTCACTCTGTTGCCCAGGCTGGAGTGCAGTGATGGGATCTTGGCTAACTGCAGCCTCTGCCTTCTGGACTCAAGCGATCCTCCCACCTCAGCCTCCCAAGTAGCTGAGACTACAGGTGTGCACCACCACACCTGTATTTTTGTATTTTCTGTAGACTTGGGGTCTTGCTATATTGCCCAGGCTGGTCTCAAACTCCTGGGTTCAAGTGATTCACTTGCCTCAGCTTCCCAAAGTGCTAGGATTACAGATGTGAGCCACTGTGCCCAGCCCAGTTTCTGACCTTAATTATATTAGCAATGTCATATTCTATTTTTTTTCTTTAGAGACAGGGTTTCACTCTGTCACCCAGGCTAGAGTGCAGTGATGCAATAGTAGCTCACTGTAACCTCGAACTCCTGGCCTCAAATGATCCTCTTGCCTTGGCTTCCCAAAGCGCTGGGATTACAGGCGTGAACCATTGCATCCAACAACAATATCATAGTGTATTGGCTAGAAGTAAATCTCAGACCGGGCGCAGTGGCTCATGCCTGTAATCCCAGCACTTTGGGAGGCCAAGGTGGGTGGATCACCTGAGGTCGGGAATTCGAGACTAGCCTGACCAACATGGAGAAACCCCGTCACTACTAAAAATACAAAATTAGCCAGGCATGGTGGCGCATGCTTGTAATCCCAGCTACTCAGGAGGTTGAGGCAGGAGAATCACTTGAACCCGGGAGGTGGTGGTTGCGGTGAGCCAAGATCATGCCATTGCATTCCTGCCTGGGCAACCAGAGCGAAACTCCGTCTCAAAAAAAAAAAAAAAAAGCAAAGTCACCCAGGGTCTGTCACAGGGAATCTTGGCTGCAAATCCAGAGCTCTTTCCAGAAACCCTCAAAGTTTTCAGAGACATTATTGTTTTGCTCTCTCTGCCTTGGATGTTTCAAATAACAATCGCCATTGTTTGTCTTTATCAACCATGTTTATCCATGGGGCAGGCAAGTCTGCAAAGTGAATGAGCTGCTGAATGGCCTGTGTTCTCACCACTTCCTTCCCCATAGTTGGCAGCCCGGAGGCATCCTGGACATGAGACTTCAGTGAGCACAACAACCACCTCTGGGGCATTTGTTTACTCATTGCCCAATTTTGGCCACACTGTGGGGTCAGGATGGCACCACAATGCGCCATGACAGAGAAAGGGACCAATCAAGGGAGATACTGTTGTTCCCCATCATTCTGTCCTGGATCAGTGGAGGGACACGATAGGACCATATTAGGAGTTAGTAGTTATCAAATGCTTCCTCTAATTCAGACAAGTGCCTAGCACTTTGTGCATGGTTATTCCACTTAATGCTCAGAGCAACCCTTTAGGGTAGGCAGTATAATCAGCCTCATTTCTGGTTTTTTGTTTTTTGAGACAGAGTCTCATTCTTTCACCCAGGCTGGAGTGAAGTGGTGTGATCTGGGCTCACTGCAACCTCCACCCCCTGGGTTCAAGTGATTCTCCTGCCTCAGCCTCCCGAATAGCTGGGATTACAGGCATGCGCCACCATGCCCAGCTAATTTCTGTATTTTTAGTAGAGACGGGGCTTCGCCATGTGGCTAGGCTGGTCTCGAACTCTTGACCTTAGGTGATCCATCCGTTTTGGCCTCCCAAAATGCCGGGATTATAGGTGTGAGCCACCACACCTGGCCAGTCAGCCTCATTTTATAGAAGAGAAAGTGGAGGCTCAGAAAGGTGAAGTGACTTGCTCATAGTCCCATAGCCAGAACGTGGCAGAGCTGGGTCTCTCTGGTTCCCTAGCCAGTGCCTGCCCTGCTGTGTGTGCCCTTCTGTGCCTTTAGTGGATGCCTTTCAAGATCCCTCTTTTCGCCCATTCACAATGAGGCTCTGGAAGACAAATCTCCAGGTTTTAACAGCTTGGTACTCAATGCTAGGGAGATTCTCTAGCCCTATGAGAATTATTCTTGGCGGCCGGGTGCAGTGACTCATGCCTATAATCCCAGCTACTCGGGAGGCTGAGGTGGGTGGATCATCTGAGGTTAGGAGTTTGTAGATCAGCCTGGCCAACATGGCAAAACCCTGTCTCTACTAAAAATACAAAAATTAGCTAGGCGTGGTGGTGCAGGCTTGTAGTCCCAGCTACTGGGGAGGCTGAGGCAGGAGAATCACTACAACCCGGGAGGTGGAGTTCGCAGTGATCCAAGATTGCGCCACTGAACTCCAGTCTGGGGGACACAGCAAGACTCCATCTCAGAAGAAAAGAAAAAAAAAGGGAATTGTTCTTGGTATTTTCTTCTGAGCATGAATCTGCCTGTTTTTTCTTGGTTCAGAAACAGCCGCTGTGTGCAGGGTTGTGCTGGAGCCAGCCCATACCAGCTTGTGAGAACTGATTGTTAAGTCTTCAAAAATTTCGTTGTATTGTTTACAACAGCCAAAAAATGGAAATAAAAGAAATGCCTATTAGTTGGTAAATACAGCATATCCAGGCCGGATGTGGTGGCTCAAGCTTGTAATCCCAGCACTTTAGGAGGCCAAGGCAGGTGGATCACCTGAGGTTGGGAGTTTGAGACCACCCTGGCCAACATGGTGAAACCCCGTCTCTACTAAAAATGCAAAAATTAGCTGGGTGTGGTGGTAGGCACCTGTAATCTCAGCTACTCGGGAGGCTGAGGGAGGAGAATCTCTTGAACCTGGGAGGTGGAGGTTGCAGTGAGCCGAGATCATGCCACTGCACTCCAGCCTGGATGACAGAGTGAGACTCCATCTCAAGAAAAAAAAAAAAAAAGTGAAGATAATAAGTACTCAAAACTCATCACTTTCTAATTATTCTATTACATTTTAGCATTATCTGTGTGTTTGAGTTATTTATATCTGTTTCATCTGTATGATGGGGACACTGTATCATGGTGTGCCACTGTACATCTCTTCCCATCATCAACGTTACATCATCTCATGTTGGTAACTTAAAACCAGCCATGGTGGCCGGGCACATTGGGTCACACCTATAATCCCAGCACTTTGGGAGGCTGAAGTGGGAGGATGGCTTGAAGCTAGGGGTTTGAGACCAGCCTGGGCAACACAGTAAGACCCCGTCTCTACAAAACGTTTTTTTAAAAATTAGCCAGGCATGATGATGCACACCTGTGGCCCCAGCTACTCAGGAGGCCGAGGCAGGAGGATTGCATGAGCTCTTGAGTTTGAGGCTGCAGTGAGCTATTACTGCACCACTGCACTCCAGCGGGGGTGACACAGTAAGAATCTGTCTCTAAAAAATAAAAAAGAGGGGCCAGGCATGGTGGCTCATGCCTGTAATCCCAGAGCTTTGGGAGGCCGAGGCAGGTGGATTACAAGGTCAGGAGATCAAGACCATCCTGGCCAACATGGTGAAACCCCATGTCTACTAAAAATACAAAAATTAGCTAGGCATGGTGGCGCCCGCCTGTAGTCCCAGCTACTCGGGAGGCTGAGACAGGAGAATCGCTTGAATCCAGGAGGCGGAGGTTGCAGTGAACCAAGATTGTGCCACTGCACTCCAGCCTGGCGACAGAGCAAGACACCATCTCAAATAAATAAAAAATAAATAAATAAATAAATAAGAGATTAGCAATATCAATCAATTGTAATGTTTGAACCTTACTTGGATTTTTTTTTTTTTTTTTGAGATGGAGTCTCACTCTGACACCAGGCTGCAGTGCAGTGGCATGATCTCAGCTCACTGCAACCTCCACCTCCTAGGTTCAAGCGATTCTTGTTGCCTCAGCCTGCTGAGTAGCTGGGATTACAGGCGTGCATCACCACACCCAGCTAATTTTTGTATTTTCAGTAGAGACGGGGTTTCACTGTGTTGGCTAGGATGGTCTCCATCTCCTGACTTCATGATCTGCCCACCTCGGTCTCCCAAAGGGCTGGGATTACAGGCGTGAGCCACCGTGCCTGGCCCCTTATTTGAATTTTAATCCAAATAAACAGTAAAACATTCTCAGAGATTTGATCACTAAACTGGATTATTTACTTATTTATTTATTTATGTGAGATGGAGTCGCACTGTCTCGCCCAGGCTGGAGTGCAGTGTCATGATCTCGGCTCCCTGCAACCTCCACCTCCCAGATTCAAGCAATTCTCCTGCCTCAGCCTCCTAAGTAGCTGGGACTACAGGCATCTGCCACCACACCCAGCTAATTTTTGTATTTTTAGTAGAGACGAGATTTCACCATATTGGTCAGGCTGGTCTGGAACTCCTGATCTTGTGATCTGCCTACCTTGGCCTCCCAAAGTGCTGGGATTACAGGCATGAGCCACTGCACCTGGCCTTTATTTATTTATTTATTTATTTATTTATTTATTTATTTATTTAATTTCAGACAGATTCTCACTCTGTTGCCCAGGCTGGAGTGCAGTGGTGCCATCTCAGCTCACTGCAACCTGCGCCTCCTGGGTTCAAGGCATTCTCCTGCCTCGGCCTCCTGAGTAGCTGGGATTACAGGTGTGTGCCACCATGCCTGGCTAATTTTTGTATTTTTAGTAGAGATGGGGTTTTGCCATGTTGGTCAGGCTGGTCTTGAACTCCTGACCTCAGTTGATCTACCTGTCTTGGCCTCCCCGAGTGTTGGGATTACAGGTGTGAGCCACTGCGCCTGGTCTGGATATTTTATTACATTGAGGAATTACTGAACTATGGTTTTAGTGTGTTCCCTCCAAAATTCGTGCTTAAACTTAATCCCTACTGTGGCAATATTAAGTGATGGGGCCTTCTCTGCCCTCGTGAATGGACTAGTGCCTTATAAAAGGGCTGGAGGAAACAAGGTTGGGCTCTTTTAGCCTGTCATCCCTTCCACTACGTGAGGACACCTAGTCAGTGACATCTACAAGGAATGGGTCATCACCAGACACCAAACTTGCTGGCACCTTGATCTTGAACTTCCCAGCCCCTAGAACTATGAGAAAATAAATTTCTCTTATTTATAAATTACCCAGTCTGTTGTATTTTGTTATAGCAGAACAAACAGACCAAGACATACTGTTAAAATTGCTAGCTGTGATGATGATGTTGTAACTATGGTTTTGTTTAGTTTCTGTAGGGACAGGGTCTCTCTGTGTTGACCAGGCTGATCTTAAGTGATCCTCCCACCTCACCCTGGTAACATTGCCTCTTTGTTTGTTTGTTTTGGTTTTTTTTTTTGAGATGGAGCCTCACTCTGTCTCCAGGTTCGAATACAGTTGCGTGATCTCCGCTCACTGCAACTTCCGCCTCCCGGGTTCAAGCGTTTCTCTTGCCTCAGCCTTCCGAGTAGCTGGGATTACAGGCGGGCACTACCAAGCCCAGCAAATTTTTGTATTTTTAGTAGAGACAGGGTTTCACCATGTTGGCCAGGATGGTCTCCATCTCTTAATCTCATGATCTGCCAACCTCGGCCTCCCAAAGTGCTGGGATTACAGGCATGAGCCACTGTGCCCTGTTCGGGGTCTATTCTGAAATATTTATGTTTGAAATAATAAGAATGTCTGAAATTTGCTTCAAATTGATCTAGTGGGAGTAGGAATTAGGTGGAGGTAGAGGTAACACAAGACTGGTGATGAGTGGCCAGTGGTTGAAGCTGGCTGATGGGGCCACAAGTGGGATCATTGTGCCATTCTCTCTATTTTGGTGTATGTTTGGAATTTTTCTTAAGAAAATTAAAAAACAGTGTGCATGTGGGAAGGGAGAGAATATATAGAACTAGTTGCTAGGATATATGTAGATGCTTTCTGGAAGGACAAAAGGAACCAGTAACAATGTTGGCAACTGGGCTGAGAAACTGGGGAAGAGAGACAGGCGAAGGAGGGAGACTTCTCACTCTCTACACTACTCAAATATTACTTGTTGTTGTTTTTATTTATTTATTTTTTTTTACAGAGTTTTGCTCTGTCACCCAGGCTGGAGTGCAGTGGCGTGATCTCGGCTCCCCTGCAACCTCTGCCTCCCAGGTGCAAGTGATTCTCCTGCCTCAGCCTCCCAAGTAGCTGGGATTACAGGCAAGCACCACCATGCCTGGCTAATTTGACCACAGCTTCTTTCATCCCCCTTTTACAGGTGAGGAGGCAAAGACTCAGAGAGAGAGGTGAAGGGACTTGTAAATGGCAGAGCTAAGACTGAACCCAGGGTTCCTGGAGCCCTGAGTAGGACATAGAATCAGCAGAGAATTCTAGAACCTAAAAGGCCACATGCACCAAGATGGTGGATGTCTCCATGGCAACCTGTGTTGATAAATGACAGAGGGGCACTTTGGTACCATGCCACCCTCCAGGACCGTAGCTCAGGTGTGGAGAGGGGTGGGAGTACCAGGAAGGACTTGGGCTTGGGCTTGAGTTTGGCCTAGCTCAACGATGGCTCAAATAGAAATGAACTTGAGTCTGGTGCAGTGGCTTACGCCTTTAATCCCAGCAATTTGGGAGGCTGAGGCAGGGGGATCACCTGAGGTTAGGAGTTCAAGACCATCCTGGCCAACATGGCAAAACCCCGTCTCTACTAAAAATATAAAAACTAGCTGGGCGTGGTGGCACACGCCTGTAGTCCCAGCTACTCAGGAGGCTGAGGCAGGAGAATTGCTTGAACCCAGGAGGTGGAGGTTGCAGTAAGCCAAGGTTGTGCCACTGCACTCTAGCCTGGGCAACAGAGCAAGACTTTGTCTCACAAAAAAAAAAAAAAAAAAAAGAAAGAGAAAGAAAGAAAGAAATGAACTTGAACTCTAGAAATCTAAGAAAGTGATGTGCTTGCACAGTTCAGTTTGTGGTCTATATATAGTAGTAACTGGGCACAGGAATCAGACTGCCAGGTCGATATAACTAACCTAGGGCTGCCTATAAGGCACGGCGACTCACATCTGTAATCTCAGTGCTTTGGGGGCCGAGGCTGGACCATCGCTTGAGGCCAGGAGTTCAAGGCAGGTCTGGGCAATATAGCGACCACTGTATTCCAGCCTGAGTGATAGAGTAAGACCCTGTTTATGAAAAAAAAAAAAAAAAAAATCAACCATAGTGGGAGTATTTACAAAAGAGCCATCAGCAGATACTACAAACCCTGGCTTTATTTGTTGAGTTGATTGTCCGGGTTTGAGAAAGTGATAGACTTTTTTTTTTTTTTTTTAGACGGAGCCTCACTCTACTGCCTAGGCTGGAGTGCAATACCAGTATCTCAGCTCACTGCAACTACCACCTCCTGGGTTCAAGCGATTCTCCTGCCTCAGCCTCCCACATAGCTGGGATTACAGGCACGTGCTGCCATACCGGCTAATTTTTAGTAGAGATGGGGTTTCACCATGTTGACCGGGCTGGTCTTGAACTCCTGACCTCAGGTGATCCACCCGCCTCGGCCTCCCAAAGTGCTGGGATAACAGGAGTGAGCCACCACGCCCGGCCTGAGAGAATGTTAATAAGGCAGGTCAAACTCAAAGCGTATCATATCTGTAACCATTCCATTGTGAATAGTACAACAAATGGAGAAAAATCTTGCAATATTCAAGATCCAATTCAACAAACATGTTGGTCACATTGACAAATGAGCAAAGTTCGCTGAATGCAGTGGCTCACACCTGTAATCCCAGCACTTTGGGAGGCCAAGGCAGGTGAACCCCTTGAGCCCAGGAGTTCAAGACCAGTCTAGACAACGTGACAAAACCCTGTCTCTAAAAAAGAATACAAAAATTAGCTGGACATGGTGGTGTGTGCCTGTAGTCCCAGTTACTCTTTAGACTGAGGTGGGAGAATCACTTGAGCCCAGGAGGTTGAGGCTGCAGTGAGCTGAGATTATGCCACTGCACTCCAGCCTGGTGACAGATCAAGACCCTGTCTCAAAAAAAAAAAAAAAAAAAAGAGAAGAAAAAAGAAAAAGCAAAGTTCCAATATACACTATCATTGTTTCATTTCACTTTCGTCTCACTTGTTAATATAAATTTAAATATCAGCCAAATTTATCCAAACTATACCTGGAAGGCTGGTTTTAAACATTTACTAGCACACTACAGGTTGTGTGGCCTTTGTAGGCCAATAATCCTAAATTAAAATCTTTGCTTTGCCACTTATTTGCAGGGTGACCTTAAAAAGTTCACTGTGTTTTCTGAACGATGTATTTTCCTTTACTGTAAAATAGGGTCTATAATACTGACCTCATATAATTAATCATAGCCTTAATGTGTACTACTATATGCCAACTATATGCTAAGTGTATTAAGGATTATATAGATACTGTCTATAATATATAGTAGCTGGGATTACAGGCGTGAGCCACCACACCCGACCTCATAATTACACTTGCAAAAAAACCTCAGTTGGCCAGGCGCAGTGGCTCACACCTGTAGGTCCAGCACTTTGGGAGGCCAAGGCGGGTGGATCACCTGAGGTTGGGAGTTCGAGACCAGCCTGACAAACATGGAGAAACTCCATCTCTACTAAAAATACAAAATTACCCGGGCGTAGTGGTGTGCATCTGTAGTCCCAGCTACTTGGGAGGCTGAGGCAGGAGAATCGCTTGAACCTGGGAGGTGGAGGCTGCAGTGAGCAGAGATGGCACCACTGCACTCCAGCCTGGGCAACAGAATGAGACCCTGTCTCAACAAAACAAAACCAAAACAACAACAGCAACAGCAACAACAAAAACATTTATCCAAAAAGCCCTTTGGGTCCAGGGGCTCCACAGTTTTCTTTTTATCCTCCACATGAACTTTAGCAAATGAAACAAGCTGTTCTGCATCATACTTTACTTAATGATACAGCCTGGATACGATTGCATATAATGTGCTTTAGACTTTTGAAAACAAAAGCTCAAAAGATTATTTCTGTGTGATACAGGATCCCTTGCTACACATCTCCCCAGAGGCAATGAATGTTTGAATTCAGAGACAGGAAGAGGAGATACAGAGAGAATACTCAGCAGATGGAAAATCCCTGAACGCATTACCTAGAGAAGTGCATCAACAATAATCCCATCTTCCTTATTCACTCTTTGGTCATATCTTTAAAAAAATGCCTTTCCATTTAATAATTCTTTTTTTTTTTTTTTTTGAGATGGAGTCTCGCTCTGTCTCCCAGGCTGGAGTGCAGTGGCGCGATCTCCGCTCACTGCAAGCTCCAACTCCCAGGTTCACGCCATTCTCCTGCCTCAGCCTCCAGAGTAGCTGGGACTACAGGTGCCCACCACCAAGCCCGGCTATTTTTTTTTTTTTTTTTTTTGTATTTTTAGTAGAGATGGGGTTTCACCGTGTTAGCCAGGATGGTCTCGATCTCCTGACCTCGT
Source organism: Homo sapiens (assembly GCF_000001405.40). Lineage (NCBI taxonomy): Eukaryota > Metazoa > Chordata > Mammalia > Primates > Hominidae > Homo > Homo sapiens. The sequence continues at coordinate 9,025,278 of NC_000016.10, forward strand.
GATCCACCCACCTCGGCCTCCCAAAGTGCTGGGATTACAGGCATGAGCCACCGCGCCCGGCCAATAATTCTTTTTTTGTTGTTGAGACGGGGTCTCTCTCTGTTGCCCAGGCTGGAGTGCGGTGGTGTGATCACAACTCACTGCAAGCCTCGACCTCCCAGGCTCAAGCTATCCTCCCACCTCAGCCTCCTGAGTAGCTGGGAATATAGGCATGTCTCACCACTCCCAGCTAATTTTTTGTATTTTTTGTAGAGATGGGGTTTCGCCATGTCACCCAGGCTGGTCTCAAACTCCTAGACTCAAATGATCTGCCTGCCTTGGCCTCCCAAAGTGTTGTGATTACATGTGTGAGCCACAGTCCAGTAATTCCTTTTTTTTTTTTTTTTTTTTTTTTTTGAGGTGGAGTCTCGCTCCGTCGCCCAGGCTGTAGTGCAGTGGCACAATCTCCGCTCACTGCAGCCTCCGTCTCCCAGGTTCAAGCGAGTCTCCTGCCTCAGCCTCCTGAATAGCTGGGATTACAGGCACACACCACCACACGTGGCTAATTTTTGTATTTTTTTTTAGTAGAGATGGGGGTCTCTCTATGTTGGCCAGGCTGGTCTTGAACTCCTGACCTCAAATGATGCACCTGCCTCAGCCTCCCAAATTGCTGGGATTACAGGCATGAGCCACTGCGACTGGCCTAGTCATTCTTAAGAGTGGTAACACACTACTTATGGAAGAGCAAAAAATGCATTTAGTCAAATACAGTCACGCGTCGCTTAACAACGGGGCATGTGCTGAGAAAGGAGTCCTTAGGCAATTTTGTCATTGGGGGAGCATCACAGAGTGCACTTGCACAAACCTAGATGGTCTAGCCTACTACACAGCTAGGATATAGGTCTAGCCTATTACTCCAATGCTACAAACCTATACTGCATGTTACTGTGCTGAAAGGCATTTGTAATGCAGTGGGAAGTAGTTGATTATCTAAACATAGAAAAGGTACAGTAAAAACCTGCTATTATTATTTATTTATTGTTATTATTATTATTATTTTGAGATGGAGTCTCACTCTGTCACCCAGGCTGTAGTACAATGGTGCACTCTTGGCTGACTGCAGCCTCCGCCTCCCGGGTTCAACCGATTCTCCTGCCTTAGCCTCCCAAGTAGATGGGATTACAGGCATCTACCACCGTGCTTGGCTAATTTGTTGTATTTTTGGTAGACACGGCATTTCACCATGTTGGCCAGGCTTGTCTCAAACTCCTGACCTCAAGTGATCTGCCCTCCTCAGTCTCCAAAAGTGCTGGAATTACAGGCATGAGCCACCGAGCCCGGCCAAAACCTGATATTATCATCTCTTTTTTTTTTTTTTTTTTGAGACAGAGTCTTGCTCTGTTGCCCAGGCTGGAGTGCAGTGGCGCTATCTCGGCTCACTGCAAGCTCTGCCTCCCAGGTTCATGCCATTCTCCTGCCTCAGCCTCCCGAGTAGCTGGGACTACAGGCGCCCGCCACCACGCCCGGCTGATTTTTTTGTATTTTTAGTAGAGACAGGGTTTCACTGTGTTAGCCAGGATGTTCTCCATCTCCTGAACTCGTGATCTGCCCCCCACGGCCTCCGAAAGTGCTGGGATTACAGGCGTGAGCCACCGCACCCGGCCTGATATTATAATCTTATAGGCCCACCGTTGTATTTGCAGTCTATCGTTGACTGAAACGTCCTTATGTGGCACATGGCTGTAGTCACCTTTTAACACATAGTGCTGAAAAATTCCTTCTCTTGTCTCATATAATTAGCGTATGCCAAAAACCATAGCCCCATTCAGGAACCATAAGAAAACAGCAGTTTGTCCATCTCCAATTTCCCAGAGCCTCAAGGAATTCACTTTCTTTCCTTAACAGCTGAGATTGTAGCGAGGACGCCGCAAACTGAATTCTAGAAACTCCTGTTCTCTCCACCTTCCCCTACACTCAGCCCCCTCCCTCCTTGTCTTGTCAGCTTCTGACAGGTTTCAGCAAGAATCTAAAGTTCAAAAAGTTATGTTCCCGGAACTAAATGCCCGGGAGCCTCGAGTAATCTTTCTTTGCATAATACAGTACTTCGGGTTACTCTTCAAATGCCAAAATGCCTTCCACCTTTCTTTCTCAATTCTGATACTGAGAAATAGTGGATACTGAGAAATACTGCTTTGCTGAAAGAAAAACAGCAGTTCAAATGTAAAGGTAATCCATTTGAAATTCTAATTTCAGCCTCATCCCTGGGCAACAGTAGAGAGGGGTGGAGACTGTGGCGAACTAGGGTTGCATGCCCTTTCTAAAGAGGCGGCTCCTGTTGAATTCTGGCTGCTTGTTGCCAGGGGAGGTGTGGGCACAGTGTTGCCACATCTTAGAAATTTTTTTTTTTTTTTTGAGATGGAGTCTTGCTTTGTCACCCCAGGCTGGAGTGCAGTGGTACGATCTCGGCTAGTGAGCTGAGATCCTCCTCCTCCAGGCTTCGACCGATTCTCCTGCCTCAGCCTCCTGAGTAGCTAAGATTATAGGGGCCTGCCACCATGCCCGGCTAATCTTTTTTTTTTTTTTTTTTTTTTTTTTGAGACGGAGTCTTGCTCTGTTGCCCAGGCTGGAGTGCAGTGGCGCGATCTCAGCTCACTGCAAGCTCCGCCTCCCATGCCCAGCTAATTTTTTGGGTATTTTTTTGTAGAGATGGGGTTTCACCAGGTTGGCCAAGCTGGTCTCGAACTCCTGACCTCAACTGATCCACCCTCCTCGACCTCCCAAAGTGCTGGGATTAGAGGCATGAGCCACTGTGCCTGGCCAGAAATTTTCATTTGTCTTTTTATTAATTTTTTAAAAATTGACGGGGTCTTTCTATGTTGCCCAGGCTGATCTCAAACTCCTGAGCTCAAGTGATCCTCCTGCCTCTGCCTCCCAAAGTGCTGGGATTACAGGCATGAGCCACCAGCCCCACCCATTTTAGCAATTTTCAAGAGATATTGGAAATCTGCAGTTGATGTTTGTTGAGTTTTAAATGGTGACTCAATTTTTTAAATAAAGCATTTTGCCAGCCAAACAAAAATACATTTCTGGGCTAAATTCTGATTTTCAGACCTTTAGTTTGTAATTCTCTTTCCTTTATTATTATTTTTATTTATTTATGTATTTATTTATTTTTGAGACAGAGTCTCACTCTGTTGCCCAGGTTGGAGTGCAATGGTGCAGTCTCGGCTCACTGCAACCTCCGTCTCACGGGTTCAAGCGATCCTCCTGCCTCAGCCTCCCGAGTAGCTGTGACAGGCACGCCCGGTTAATTTTTGTATTTTTCTTTTTCTTTTTTTTTTTTTTTTTGAGATCCGTCTCACTCTTGTCCCTCAGGCTGGAATGCGATGGCGCCATCTCGGCTCACTGCAACCTCCGCCTCCTGAGTTCAAGAGATTTTCCTGTCTCGGCCCCCTGAGGAGCTGGGATTATAGGCGCCTGCCACCACGCCCAGCTAATTTTTTTGTATTTTTAGTTGAGACGAGGTTTCACCATGTTGGCCACGCTGGTGGAGAACTCCTGACCTCAGGCGATACGCCTGCCTCGGCCTCCCAAAGTGCTGAGATTACAGGCATGAGCCACCACGCCCGGTCAATTTTTGTATTTTTAGTAGAGACGAGGTTTCACCATCTTGGCCAGGCTGGTCTTGAACTCTGGACCTCAAGTGATCTGCCTGCCTCCGCCTCCCAAAGTGCTGGGATTACAGGCATGAGCCACCTTGCCTGGCCATAGACTTTTTGAATTTAGGTGTCAGGTTCTATGTTGGGTGTTGGGTTGAAGTTCTGGAAAGGGGATAATAGGAAGAGGGTAACATTTGTGCCTAATCAATTGGTCACATCGTTTGTCTACCTAGCTTTATTTTTTTTTTCGATTTTTTTTTTTTTTTTTGAGACAGAGTTTCGCTCTTGTTGCCCAGGCTGGAGTGCAATAGCGTGATCTCAGCTCACTGCAACCTCTGCCTCCTGAGTTCAAGCGATTCTCCTGCCTCAGCCTCCTCAGTAATTGAGATGACAGGCATGCGCCACCACACCTGGCTAATTTTGTATTTTTAGTAGAGATGGGGTTTCTCCATGTGATCAGGCTGGTTTCGAACTCCCGACATCAGGTGAACTGCACCTGGCCTTGTCTACCTAGCTTTCTAAGTACTTACCTACCTGGGGCCTCCCTATCTTTTTCTTTTTCTTTATATAGTAAAATGTTTTTCCTTCTTTTTTTGTGAAAATTAAATTTGTATCACATAAAATTAACCGTCTCAATTCAGTGGCATTTAGCATGTCATCATGTTGTGCAACCACCACCTCTATCTAGAGATCTCTCTCTCTCTCTTTTTTTCGAGACAGGATCTGGCTCTGTTGCCCAGGCTTGAGTGCAGCGGTGCCATCCTAGCTCACTGCCACATTCACTTCCTGGGCTCAAGCAATCCTCCTGCCTCAGCCTCCCAGGTGACTGGGCTCACAGGTGCCTGCCTCTATGCCTAAGTTTTAAAATTTCTTGTAGGGACTGGTGTGGTGTCTCACACCTGTAATCCCAGCAACTTTGGAAAGCCAAGGGAGGTGGGTCATCTGAGGTCAGGAGTTGGAGACCAATCTGACCAAGATGGTGAAACCCCGTCTCCACTAAAAATACAAAAAAAATTAGCCAGGTGTGGTGGCACACGCCTGTAATCCCAGCTATTCGGGAGGCTGAGGCAGGAGAATTGCTTGAACCCGGGAGGCAGAGGTTGCAGTGAGCCATGATTGCACCGCTGCACTCTAGGCCTGTGCAACAAAAGCAAAACTCCCTCTCAAAAAAAAAAAATAAATAAATAAATAAAATAAAATAAAATAAAATTTCTTGTAGGAATGGGGTCTCACTATGTTACCCAGGCTGCTCTCTATCTCCTGGGCTCAAGGGATTTGTCTGCCCGGCCTTCCAATGTACCGGGGTTACAAATGTGAGTCATTTTACCTGGCTGAGGTATCTCTTTATCTAGAGATACCTAATATTTCTAATATCTCTCCAAAACATTTTCTTCATCTCAGAAGAAAACTCTTATTAAGCGATTTCTCCCCATTCCCTCCTCTTCCAAGTCCCTGACAACCACCAATCTGTTTTTCTTTTGTTGTTGTTTTTGGGACAGAGTCTCACTCTGTCGCCCAGGCTGGAGAGAAGTGGCACCATCTAGGCTTGCTGCAACCTCTGCAACACCCCCCCCGCCCCCCATTCCGGGTTCAAGCGATTCTCCAGCCTCAGCTTCCCGAGTAGCTGGGATTACAGGCACCTGCCACCGTGCTTGGCTAATATTTTGTATTTTTAGTAGAGAGGGGTCTCCACCATCTTGGCCAGGCTGGTCTTGAACTCCTGACCTCATGATCCACCTGCCTCGGCCTCCCAAAGTGCTGGGATTACAGGCGTGAGCCACTGCGCCTGGCTGTGTTTTCTATCTCTATGGATTTGCCTATTTTGAAAGTGTCAAATGGAATCACACAATATGTGACCTTTCATGTCTGGCTACTTCCTGCGACTACAGGCTTGCACCACCATGCCCGGCTAATTTTTGTATTTTTTAGTAGAGACAGGGTTTCGCCATGTTGGCCAGGCTGGTCTTGAACTCCTGAGCTCAGATGATCCGCCCGCCTTGGCCTCCCAAAGTGCTGGGATTACAGGTGTGAGCCACCGTGCCTGGCAGTAGCTCATTTCTATGTCAGAATAATGATCCATTGTACAGGTATATCACAGTTTGTTTATTCATTCATCCATTGATGGACATAAAGATTGTTTCCACTTTTATCCACTATCATTAATACTGCTACTATGAACATTCATATACAAGTTTTTGTTTGAAGACCTATTTTCAATCTTTTGGGTATGTACCTAGGAGTGGAATTGCCGGGTCATATGGTAACTCTATGTTTAACTTTTGGAGGACCTGCCAAACTTTTCCACGGCAGCTGCACCATTTACATTCTCACTAGCAATGCACGAGGGTTCTAAATGTGTCCATATCCTCACCCACACTTGCTATTTTCCATTTTTAAAATTATTACCATTCTAGTGGGTGTGAAGCAGTATCTCATTGTGGTTTAGATTTGCATTTCCCTAATGGCTACTGATGTTGAGCATATTTTCATGTGCTTTGTTGAAGATGTGTATACTTTCCTTGGAGAAATGTCTCTTCAACTGTTGACCATTTTAAAATCAGATAGTTTGTCTTTTTGTTGTTGACTTGTAAGAATTCTTTTTTCTTTTCTTTTTTTTTTTTTTTTTAGACATCGTCTCGCTCTGTCGCCCAGGCTGGAGCGCAGTGGCGCTATCTTGGCTCACTGCAGCCTCCACCTCCCGGGTTGAAGCGATTCTCCTGCCTCAGCCTCCTGAGCAGCTGGGATTACAGGTGCACACCACCACACCCAACTAGTTTTTGTATTTTTAGTAGAGATGGGGTTTCATCATGTTGGTCAGGCTGGTCTCAAACTCCTGACTTCAAATGATCCACCTGCCTCGGCTTCCCAAAGTGTTGGGATTACAGGCGTGAGCCACTGCACCCGGCCGATGTCTATACTTTCTTTTAAGAGCTTTATGTTTTTGGCTGGGCGTGGAGGCTCACGCCTGTAATCCCAGTACTGTGGGAGGCTGAGTCAGGTGGATCACCTGTGGTCAGGAGTTCAAAACCAGCCTGGGCAACGTGGTGAAACACCGTCTCTACTAAAAAAACAAAAAACAGCTGGATGTGGTTGTGCGCACCTGTAATCCCAGCTGCTTGGGAGGTCGAGGCATGAGAATCACATGAACCTGGGAGGTGGAGGTTGCAGTGAGCAGAGATGGCGCCATTGCACTCCAGCCTGGGCGACAGAGCGAAACTCTGTCTCAAGAAAAAACAAAACAAAACAAAAAAACCCAAGAACAAAAAAAGAGCTTTATGTTTTTAGTTCTTATGTCTGGGTCATCAATCCTTTTTTTTTTTTTGAGACAGAGTTTCGCTCTTGTTGCCTAGGCTGGAGTGCAATGGCACGATCTCGGCTCACTGCAATCTCCACCTCCCATCCCAATTCTGAAAAAGGCACTTCCACCTAATGAATTCACATAGACACTACAACATAAGGAGGGGAACCACCAGTTAAACCAACAGGCCAGTATTAGGGAAACTGAATATCCACATTAGAAGAAATGATGTTGGATCCCTACTTCACATCGTATGCAAAACTTAATTAAAAAAGGATTAATGGCCAGGTGTGCTGGCTCACGCCTGTAATCCCAGCATTTTGGGAGCCTGAGGCAGGCGGATCACCTGAGGTTAAGAGCTTGTGACCCGCCTGACCAACATGAAGAAACCCCATGTCTACTAAAAATACAAAATTAGCCGGGCGTGGTGGTGCCTGCCTGTAATCCCATCTACCTGGGAGGCTGAGGCAGGAGAATCGCTTGAACCTGGGAGGTGGAGGTTGCGGTGAGCCGAGATTGCGCCATTGCACTCCAGCCTGGGCAACAGAGTGAAACTCCATCTCAAAAAAAAAAAAACAATAAAAAACAAAAACGAAAAACAAGCTGGGCATGGTGGTGGTGGTGGTGGTTACCTGTAGTCCCAGTTACTTGGGAGGCTGAGACACAAGAATCACTTGAACCCAACAGGCAGAGGTTGCAGTGAGCCGAGACTGCCCCACTGCACTCCAGCCCGGGTGACAGAGCAAAACTCTGTCAAAAAAACCCAAAAAAACAAAAAACAAAAAAGGAAGCCAATGCATGGGCTCCTGTGGTGGCCACAGGGTCCAGAATTCTCAGGTCTCAGGGATGACTTCACTAGGGCAGTGCAGAAGGGAAATGTGGGGTTGAAGCCCCCACACAGAGCTCCCACTGGGGCACTGTCTAGTGGAGCTATGAGAAGAGAGCCATCGTCCTCCAGACCCCAGAATGGTAGATCCACCATGCACCACGCACCTGGAAAAGCTGCAGGCTCTCAACGCCAGCCCGTGAAAGCAGCTGGGAGGGAGGCTGTACCCGCAAAGCCACAGGGGCGGAGCTGCCCAAGACCATGGGAACCCACTTCTTGCATCAGCGTGACCTGGATGTGAGTCATGGAATCAAAGGAGATTATTTTGGAGCTTTAAGATTTGACGGCCCTGTTGGATTTCAGACTTGCGTGGGGCCTGTAGCCCCCTTATTTCAGCCACTCTCTCCCATTTGGAATGATGTATTTATCCATTGTCTGTACCCCCATTGTATCTATGAGGTAACTAACTTGCTTTTGATTTTATGGACTCTTGGGCCCTAGGACCTGAAATTCCTTTGGTTTCCCTTCTTGCAGAAGCCTTGTCTTTGGTCTCCCAAGCTAATCTTGGGCTTAAGAGACTAGACAAGTGCCCTCTGGTGGCGAAAGGGAGCCTCTGGGATCTCTCAAGTGGGATCTCAAAATCCTCTGGGATCTTCTCTTCCCAAATGTGGGTGGAGGAGGGACCTTCCCTCCCTCCCTCCCTCCTTTCCTTCCTTCCTTCCTTCCTTCCTTCCTTCCTTCCTTCGGTCCCTCCCTCCCTCCTTCCTTCCTTCCTTCCTTCCTTCCTTCCTTCCTTCCTTCGGTCCCTCCCTCCCTCCTTCCTTCCTTCCTTCCTTCCTTCCCTTTCTTCCTTTTTTTTTGACGGAGTCTCGCTCTGTCACCCAGGCTGGAGTGCAGTGGCGTGATCTCAGCTCACTGCAACTTCCGCCTCCCGGGTTCAAGCAATTCTCCTTCCTCAGCCTCCCAAGTTGCTGAGACTACAGGTGCCTGCCACCATGCCCAGCTATTTTTTTGTATTTTAGTAGAGATGGGGTTTCACCGTGTTGCCCAGGCTGTTCTTGAACTCCTGAGCTCAGGCAATCCACCTGCCTTGGCCTCCTAAAGTGCTAGGATTACAGGCGTGAGCCACCGCGCCCAGCCTGGACATTGGTTTTCTGAAACCCAAGTAAATGGAATGTGCTGCCAGGGTTGAGAACCTCCGCTCGTGGAATGTATTGCATTTCCACCGGAAGCTCTGCTCCTGGGCGAGTCTGTCCCATTGTAGGTCTACAGGAAACATCTCATTGCAGTCTTCCTCTTCTCAATGTAATTTATTTAAATGTCTATTTATAAGTGTATAGATTTGTTTAATTATAAAAAAAGATCAAACATCATTTTAAAAATACAGATTGTAGGCCAGGCATGGTGGCTCAAATAATCTCAGCTCATGTAGATTGGTGGCTCAAATAATCTCAGCTCAGCTGAGATTACGTGGTGCTCATGTAATCTCAGCACTTTGGGAGGCTGAAGTGGGAGGATCGTTTGAGCCCAGGAGTTCAAGACCAGCCTGGCCAACATGGTGAAACCCCATCTCTACAAAACATACAAAAGTTAGCCGGGCATGGTGGTGCATGCCTGTAGTCGCAGCTACTCAGGAGGCTGAGGCAGGAGGATCGCTTGAATCTGGGAGGCGGAGGTTGCAGTGAGCCAAGGTCGCACCACTGCACTCCAGCCTAGGTGACAGAGTGAGCCACTGTATCAAACAAACAAACAAACCAAAAAAAAAAAAAAAAAGAAATAAAAGAAGGAAGGAAGGAAATATATAGATTATAACAGGAGATCATATTCCTATTATGTGATTGGTGTATTAGTCTGTTGTCACACAGACTATAAAGGAATACCTGAAACTGGGTCATTTATAAGAAAAGAGGTTTAATTGGCTCACAGTTCTTCAGGCTGTACAGAAAGTATGGCTGGGGAGGCCTCAGGAAACTTACAATCATGGCAGAAGGTGAAGGGGAAGGAGGCATGGCTTACATGGCCAGGGCAGGAGGAAGAGAGAAGGGGGAGGTGCCATATCCTTTTTTTTTTTTTTTTTTTTTTTTTAGTGCAGTAGCCCAATCTCAGCTCACTGCAGCCTCTGCCTCTTGGGTTAAAATGATTCTCCTGCCTCAGCCTCCGAAGTAGCTGGGATTACAGGCACCAACCATCATACCCGACTAATTTTTGTATTTTTGGTAGAGACAGGATTTCACCATGTTGGCCAGGCTGGTCTTGAACTCCCGACCTTAGGTGATCTGCCCACCTTTGCCTCCCAAAGTGCTGGGATTACAGGTGTGAGCCACTGCACCTGGCTGAGGTGCCACACACTTTTAAACACCCATATCTTGTGAGAACTCATTCACGTCATGAGAACAGCAAGGGGGAAATTCACCCCCATAATCCAATCACCTCCCACCAGGTCCCTTCTCCAACACTGGGGATTACAATTTGACATGAGATTTGGGCAGGGACAGCCGGGCTCAAGGGCTCATGCCTGTAATCCCAGCACTTTGGGAGGCTGAGGCGGGCGGATCACGAGGTCAGGAGATAGAGACCATCCTGGCTAACCGGGTGAAACCCTGTCTCTACTAAAAATAGAAAAAATTAGCTGGGTGTGGTGGTGGGCGCCTGTAGTCCCAGCTACTCGGGAGGCTGAGGCAGGAGAATGGCATGAACCCAGGAGGCGGAGCTTGCAGTGAGCAGAGATGGCGCCACTGCACTCTAGCCTGGGCAACAGAGTGAGACCCTATCTCAAAAAAAAAAAAAAATTGAGATTTGGGCAGGGACACAAATCTAAACCATATCAACGGATAAAGATGAAAAGTTTTGATAATGCAAAGTGTAGGGGCAGGAGGAGGGCTATAGGGAAAGGGCCATCCTCATTTTGTGTTGGAAAAAGGCACTGTCACTTGGTACCCTCTTTTTGCAGGGCAATACCTGTCCAAATCCAAACCTGGGCTCTCTTGCGATTCAGTTCATTTCTCACAAGCAATCCTCGTCCAACGATTGCTTGAGTGTGCCCAAAGTGGTGTCATTTCAAAAAACTGAAAAGAATGTTCAAATACATCCGTTGAACACTTGACAAATAAATCATGAGACTCCTGCACTATGGCTGGATTGTCATGCTGCCTTCATAAAGAATGAGGCAGAGAACACCCTTAAATAGAACTGTCTGCCAGATACATCCGGTTGGAATAGCAAGCTGCAGAACCACATGCCTAGAATGATCTAACTTCTATGCTATATACATATGTCATAGAAGTATATGTATATGTGTGTATATATATATATACACACACACACACATATATACATATATACACACACACACACACACACACACATATTGTATGTATAGGTTTAAGAGAAGGGTCAGCTGGGTGTGGTGGCTCATGCCTGTAATCCCAGCACTTTGGGAGGCCAAGGTGGGTGGATTACTTGAGGTCAGTTCAACACCAACCTGGCTAACATGGTGAAACCCTGTTTCTACTAAAAATACAAAAATTAGCTGGATGTGGTGGCACATACCTGTAATCCCAGCTACTTGGGAGGCTCAGGCCCAAGAATTGCTTGAACCTGGAAGGCGGAGGTTGCAGTGAGCCGAGATCGTGCCACTGCACTCCAGCCTGGGCAACAGAGAGAGACTCCGTCTCAAACAAACAACCTACCAAGTACAGGTCATTCAAGGTGGCTCATGCCTGTAATCCCAGCACTTTGGGAGGCCAAGGGAGGAGGACGGCTTGAGGCCAAGAGTTCAAGACCAGCCTGCGCAACATCTTGTCTCAAAAAAATAAAATTAGGCCAGGTGCGGTGGCTCACACCTCTAATCTCAGCACTTTGGGAGGCCGAGACGGGTAGATCACTTGAGGTCAGGAGTTCGAGACCAGCCTGGCCAACATGATGAAACTCTGTCTCTAGTAAAAAAATACAAAAATTAGCTGGGCATGGTGGCGGGCCCTTGTAATCCCAGGTGCTCAGGAGGCTGAGGCAGGAGAATCGCTTGAACTCAGGAGGCTGAGGTTGCATTGAGCCGAGATAGCACCACTGTACTCTAGAACTGGGCAATGGAGTGAGACTGTCTCAAAAAAAAAAAAAAAATGATGTGGCCATGGTCCTCTAAGAAGTCACAGCCACCTTGGGCCAGGAGGCACCTGCTTATTTTTCCTGTCCTGTAATGAGTAGAAGATAAGTAAGTTTCAGTAGCAATTCCTTGTTGAGGCATGAATAAATGAACAGCCAACAACAAGCAAATTCAGTGTGAGCAAGGTCAGTGGGCGGAATGTGCTATCTGGCCCCAGGAAATTTGCTACCCAAATACCACATCTAGAGCTTTTCTTAGTTTTCAAGATGTGTACTTGTAAGGTCATGAAATTTTGACTCCTGCTAATTCACTTTTCTGAGCCTCAGTTTCTCTATCTATAAAACAGAATAACAAGAGTATCTCAATGAAAATGTGATTTTGGGAGGCTGAGGCAGGCAGATCACCTGAGGTCAGGAGTTTGAGACCAGCCTGGCCAACATGGTGAAACCCTGTTTCTATTAAAAATACAAAAAATCATCCAGGCATGGTAGTACGTGCCTATAATTCCAGCTACTTGGGAGGCTGAGGCAGGAGAATCGCTTGAACCCTGGGAGGTGGAGGTTGCAGTGAGCCAAGATCATGCTATTGCGCTCCAGCTTGGGCAACAAGAGTCAAACTCCATCTAAAAAATATATATATATATGATTATGAAGATTAACTGAGACAAAGCATACAAAGTGCTTAGCATAGTGCACTCAATAAATGTTAATGGGCCTGGCGCGGTAGCTCACACCTATAATCCCAGCACTTTGGGAAACTGAGGCGGGTGGATCACCTGAGGTCAGGAGTTCAAGACCAGCCTGGCCAACATGGGGAAACCCTGTGTCTACTAAAAACATAAAATTAGCCGGGCAAGTGGCTGGCACCTCTAACCCCAGCTACTTAGGAGGCTGAGGCAGAAGAATCACTTGAACCTGGGAGGCAGAGGTTGCAGTGAGCTGAGATCGTGCCACTGCACTCCAGCCTGGATGACAGAGTGAGGTTCCATCTCAAAAAATAATAATAAAAATGGCTGGGTGCAGTGGCTCACACCTGTAATCTCAGTACTTTGGGAGGCCGAGGCAGGCGGATCACAAGGTCAAGAGACCAAGACCATCCTGGCTAACATGGTGAAACCCCGTCTCTACTAAAAATACAAAAATTAGCCAGGTGTGGTGGCGGGCACCTGTAGTCCCAGCTACTTGGGAGGCTGAGGCAGGAGAATCACTTGAACCTAGGAAGTGGAGGTTGCAGTAAGCCAAGATCACACCACTGCACTCCAGCCTGGAGAAAGAGCGAGACTCTGTCGGAAAAAAAAAAAAAAAAAAAAGAGAAGAAAAGAAAAAAAAGAAAACCCAAAAAGCAGTAAAAACAAATGTTAATGTGCTAGGCATGGTGCCTCACACCTGTAATCTCAGCACTCTGAGAGGCTCTGGTGGGAGAATCACTTGAGGCCTGGAGTTCAAGACCAGCCGGAGCAACATAGCAAGACCCCCATTTTCCAAAAAAAAATAAAAAAAAGGAAATAAAGGATAATTAGCCAGTCATGGTGGTGCGCACCCATAGTCCTAGCTACTCAGGAGGCTGAAGTGGAAGCATCACTTGAACTCAGTAGCTGGAGGCTGCAGTGAGTTATCACTGTGCCATTGTACTCCAGCCTGAGTGACAGAATGAGACCTTGCTTCTCAAAATAAACAAATGATAATGATGACCATTATTGCTATTATTTTTCTTTCTTTTCTTCTTTCTTTCTGTTTTCCTTCCTTCCTTCCTTCCTCTTTCTTTCTTTTTTTAGACAGGGTCTTGCTCTGTCACCCAAGCTGGAATGCAGGGGCGCAATCTTCACTCACTGCAACCTCTGCCTCCTGGGTTCAAGTGATTCTCCTGCCTCAGCATCCTGAGTAGCTGAGATAACAGGCACCCGCCACCACTCCCGGCTAGTTTTTGGCATTTTTCGTAGAGATGGGGTTTTGCCATGTTGGCCAGGCTGGTCTCGAACCCCTGACCTCAAGTGATTCACCCTCCTTGGCCTCCCAAAGTGCTGAGATTATAGGTGTAAACTACCAGGCCTGGCCTATTGCTATTCTTTTTTTCTTTACTAATAATGTAATTCACATATGTCATTATTAAGTTATGCAACTGCATAGTGATGTCTCCCATAAGACTGTGGGCTCCTTGAAGGTAATGTCTATCTTAGCCCTCTTTGTCTCTACCATAAACCGAACCAACTTACGATCAGGAGTGGGGGTCAGAGAGAGAGAGAGAGAGAGAGAGAGAGACACGTCCCTGTCCACAGTGCTGAATCTTCATGGCCTGCTAGTGCTTGGGTGTTTCCTGTGCTGCTTCCTCTCCAACCTGTATCTCACCAGACTTTTTTACTACGCATTTACAAAGACATTTATGCAAGCATAAAAAATGCTGGCCTCTAGTCCCAGCTACTCAGGAGGCTGAGGTGGGAAGATCCCTTGAGCCCAGGAGGCAGAGGCTTCCAATAAGCTGAGATTGTGCTACAGCACTCAGCCTGGGTGGCATAGCGAGACCCTGTCTCAAAATAAACAAATAAATAAAATAAAATAAAAAATAAAAATTTTAAAAATAAAAATGTAGCTCTGTCAAGAATGTTCTTTCTTCCTTTGTATATCTGCATGCTGCCTTCTTGGTCATCCACTGAGGCTTTGCTTAAGTGCCTCATTTCTAGAAAGCTTCTCCCAGTCTATCTGCTTGTATCTCCAGCATCAGTCCAATTCATTCATTTATTCATTCATTCAAATCGTATTTCATTCATCCATTATTTATTTGAGAACCTATCATGTTCTAGGCCTTTGTTGAGTATAAATAAATACAAATAAATATATTTATGTTCTAGGCCTTTCTTGAGTATAAATAAATATAAATAAGAACTTGTCCCTCAAAAACTTGCAGCCTTGTTAGGGAGACAGACGCTTAAATAAGTCATTACAATGTAGTGTAATGAGAGCAACAAGCAAGATAACCCAGGGCACTATTAAGAGTGGGGAGCAGATCCCCTAAGCTGGCCTGGGGAAATCAAGGAAGGGCTTCTTGGAGCAGGTGAAGAGGTCTGGGCTGAATTTTGAAGGAAGAAGTAAGATAATGAGTGAAAAGTAGAAAAGGGTGGAGAGCAAGATGAAGCTGGAAGGAAGAGATTGCTGAGGCAAAGAAGGACAAAGTGAACACAGTTCAGCCAAGGAACTGCAGAGTTCAGAGGAGAGGGGCAGCACTCTTTTTTTTTTTCCTTATTAAAAACCTGTACTTGTGCAGTACATAAATTGAACAAAAATTCAACCATGCAAAAATTAGGAGATAAAAATCATCTGAGGCGGGCGGATCACCTGAGGTCGGAGTTTGAGACCAGTCTGGCCAACTTGGTGAAACCCCGTCTCTAGTAAAAATGCAAAAATTAGATGGACATGGTGGCGGGCACCTGTAATCCCAGCTACTCGGGAGGCTGAGGTGGAAGAACCCAGGAGACGGAGGTTGCAGTGAGCCGAGATCGCACCATTGCACTCCAGCCTGGGCAACAGAGTGAGACTCTGTCTCAAAAAAAAAGAAAAAAATCTGTGATTCCACTCACAGAGATAAGTGTTCATGTTAGCATGTATTCATTCCAGCATTTTTTCTGTACAATATGGCATTGGATATATGCTTTTCCTATTACCAAAGCAATAGTATATTGTACATAAGATATTGTTTTATTTGCACGCCATCAGATATTCTATGGCAGGGGTCGGCAAACTTTTTCAGTAAAGGTCCAGAAAGTAAATACATTTGGCTTTGCAGGTCACATGTTCCTTGTAGCAGCTACTCAACCCTGCTCTTGCAGTGTGAAAACAGCCACAGGCGATACGTAAATGAGTAAGTGTGGCTGCATTCCAATAAAAGTTTATTTACAGTCCCTGAAATTGGAATTTCATATAGTTTTCATGTCTTTTGATTTTTTAACCATTTTTTAAAAAGTAGAGACTATTCTTAGCTCACAGACTGAATAAAAACAGGTGGGGGTGGGGGCTACATTCAGCCTGCAGGCGGTTGTTAACCAACTGCGCTGCTACATTTTTTTTCTGGCCGCATCGCATTGCATTTCATAAATGCACCATTGTTTACTTAAATCATCCCTTTTTGCTAATATTTGAATGGCTTCAATATTTTGCATTTCTGGAAAGCTGGGACAGAAAGCACCTTTGAAGTCCGGGCACGGTGGTTCACGGCTGTAATCCCAACACTTTAGGAGGCTGAGGTGGGAGGATGGCCTAAGCCCAGGAGTTCGAGACCAGCCTGGGCAACATAGGGAAACTCCCATCTCTACAAAAAAGAACGGAAAGAGGGAAGGAAGGGAGGGAGGAAGGAAGGAAAGACAGAAGAAACCTTTGTGGCCCAATCTTTGGGTACACCCTTCACTAAATTCCTGGATGCAAAATTGTTGGTTCAAAGAGTAAACACAATTTAATATGTTTCTTCTTCTTCTTCTTCTTTTTTTTTTTGAGATGGAGACTCCTTCTGTCGCCCAGGCTGGAGTGCAGTGGTGCCATCTCAGCTCACTGCAACCTCTGCCTCTCAGGTTCAAGCAATTCTCCTGCTTCATCCTTCTGAGTAGCTGGGATTACAGGTGCCTGTCACCATGCCTGGCTAATTTTTGTAGTTTTTAGTAGAGATGGGGTTGCACCACATTGGCCATGCTGGTCTCGAACTCCTGACCTAAGGTGATCCACCTGTCTCGGCCTCCCAAAGTGCTGGGATTACAGGTGTGAGCCACCACGCCTGGCCTGTGTTTTTGTTTTTAACAAATTAACAAATTATTTAAAATATTAAAAAGCTTAAAGGCTAGGCATGCTGGCTTATGCCTGTAATCCCAGCACTTTGGGAGGCTGAGGCAGGAGGCTCACTTGAGCCCAGGAGTTTGAGACCTGCCTGGGCAACATAGCAAGACCCCATTTCTATAAAAAATAAATAAAAATAGAAAAAAAGCCTATAGAATAAAGATATAAGGAAAGAAAAGACTGGGCATGGTGGCTCACACCTGTAATTCCATCACTTTGGGAGGCCGAGGTGGGAGGATCACTTCAGCTCAGGAGTTCAAGCCCAGCTTGGGCAACATGGTAAAACCTGGTCTCTACAACAACAACAAAAAAAAATTAGCCGGGTGTGGTGGCACTTGCCTGTAGTCCCAGCTACTTGGGAGGGTGAGGTGGCAGGATAACTTGAGCCCAGGAGGCAGAGGTTGCAGTGAGCTGAGATCATGCCACTGCACTCCAGCCTGGGCGACAGAGCCAGACCTTCTCTCAAATATATATATATGGTCCCATATGCCTTTCCAAAGCCTTATTCCTCATTATCAAGAAGCAGAATCTATTTCTTCTGCATCTGAACTTGGTCAGGACGTTGTGACTGCCACAGTGAACAGAATATGGGAGAAATTACTTCCAAAACTAAGCCGTGAAAGGTGATCTGATTTCCACCTGTCTCCCTTTCTTTCCAGATGCTTGGCCTTGAAACCCAGCCGCCATGCTGTGAGGAAGCCCAAGCCAGCCACACAAAGAGATCCACGTGGAGAGGCACTGAGGCCCCGCCTACAAGGAGCATCCTCTTACTCACATGGGAGGGAGGGATGGAGGGAGCCTTGAATGATCCAGACCCTGGCTTTCCAGCTGAGGTTCCAGACAAAAAGGAGCAGAGACAAGCTGTCATCATGGATGCTCTGTGTCTGAATTCCTGACCCATTCAACCGTATCCATAATAAATGGTTGCTCTATGTCACTGAATTTTGGGGTAGGCATAAAAACTGGAGCAGCTTATAAGTCCGAAGTCATAAAAACGGGTGCAGCTAATGAGCACGGAAGTCAGGGTTTGAACATAGGCATCCAAGACTCTTTCCACTACATTTCCCCGCTACCCCACTCTTGCTGTGTGGCGAAACACCAGCATCATCACATTTATCCGCCTCCTCTCCCCCTGCCTGGGACCTCTGACTAATCTCAAGAGCACTCATTTTTATTTGGAAAAAAAAATCAGAATTCAAAGGAAATTGTTCACAGAGCGTGTAAAAGCCTTTCCCAGTGACAGCTGCAGTTCATTTCACAAAAAAGAGCCACCAGCCCACTTATAGCAGCCCCCCTCCCCACCCCCAACAAGTGAGAAAACCTGAGTCAAACAAAAGTAATGAGAACGTCTGTTCATTTCTACCGCCCATGCTGTTTGCTTATATAACAAAGTCTCCAAGGATCTGCTAAGCCAGGCCTTGTTTTTTTTTTGTCTTTTGAGACAGAGACTCACCGTGTCACCCAGATTGGAGTGTAGTAGCGCCGTCAGAGCTCACTGCAGCCTCGAACTCCTGGAGTCAAGCAATCCTCCTGCCTCAGCCTCTCGAGTAACTAGGACTACAGGCAGGCACCACCACACGTGGCTAATTTTTTATTTTTTGAGACAGAGTCTCGTTCTGTCGCCCAGGCTAAAGTGCAGTGGTGCAATCTCAGCTCACTGCAATCTCCACCTCCCAGGTTTGATCAATTCTCCTGCCTCAGCCTCCTGAATAGCTGGGATTACAGGCACCTGCCATCATGCCTGGCTAATGTTTGTATTTTTAATAGAGATGGGGTTTCACCATGTTGGCCAGGCTGGTCTGGAACTCCTGACCTCAAATGAGCCACCCACCTCGGCCTCCCAAAGCGCTGGGATTACAGGCATGAGCTGCCACGCCTGGCCATGCTTTGCTAATTTTTTTTTTTTTTGAAATGGAGTCTTGCTCTGTCACCCAGGCTGGAGTGCAGTGGTGCGATCTCGGCTCACTGCAAGCTCCGCCTCCTGGGTTCACGCCATTCTCCTGCCTCAGCCTCCCGAGTAGCTGGGACTACAGGCAGCCACCACCATGCCTGGCTTATTTTTTATATTTTCAGTGGAGACTGGGTTTCACTGTGTTAGCCAGGATGGTCTCGATCTCCTGACCTCGTGATCTGCCCGCTTCAGCCTCCCAAAGTGCTGGGATTACAGGCGTGAGCCACTGCACCCGGCACTTTGCTAATATAAAAAAAATTTTTTTTGTAGAGACGGGGGTCTCAGTATGTTGTCCAGGCTGGTCTTGAACTCCTGGGCTCATGGGAGCCTCTGCCCTCAGCCTCCTAAGTAGCTGGGACTATCGGCACAGCCGCCATACCCAAGCACTATCTTTTCTATACCTACCTTGCCTCCCTCCAAATAACTTTCCAGCAGGCATAGATATAAACCCACGTCTTCAGACTTGAGAGCAAAGTTTAGCTGAATGTGAATCTGTTTTCTTTCCTCTGGGCCTGTGGATCAAATAGGACTCATTGCACGATGGAAAAAATAACAAAAACAAATCAACAACCCCAAACTAAGCTGTTTAAAACACATTCGGCCACGCACAGGAGCTCACA
Source organism: Homo sapiens (assembly GCF_000001405.40). Classification (NCBI taxonomy): domain Eukaryota; kingdom Metazoa; phylum Chordata; class Mammalia; order Primates; family Hominidae; genus Homo; species Homo sapiens. The sequence goes on from NC_000016.10 coordinate 9,044,527, forward strand.
CCTCTAATCCCAGCACTTTGGGAAGCCGAGGGGGGAGGATCGCTTGAGCCCAGGAGGCAGAGGTTGCAGTGAGCCGAGATGGCACCACTGCACTCCATCCTGGGTGACGGTGAGACTCTGTCTCAAAAAAATAAAATAAAGTTTAAAAAACATTTAAAACAACAACAAAAAAAGTCGTTACGTACACAATGGGGAAGTTCAGATGTTGTTAGACTGTGGACATGGCTGGATCCAGGGTCTCAGATAATGATACCAGCAAGACTCAGAATCCCTGCATTTCGGCCAGCCACAGTGGCTCACGTCCATAATGCTAGCAGTTTGGGAGGCCGAGGCAGGTGTATCACTTGAGGTCAGGAGTTCGAGACCAGCCTGGCCAACATGGCGAAACCCCGTCTCTATTAAAAATACAAAAAATTAGCTGGGTGTAGTGGCACATGCCTGTAATCCCAGCTACTCAGGAGGCTGAGGCAGGAGAATCGCTTGAACCTGGGAGGTGGAGGTTGCAGTGAGCTGAGATCGTGCCATTACATTCCAGCCTGGGCAACAAGAGTGAGACTCCATCTCAAAAAAATAAATAAATAAATAAATAAAAGGAAATTGGGGTGCACTGAGAAAAACATTAACTGTCCATGATCCTAACAGGCTCTGACAGGCCATTCCCAGAGGACAACATGGAAATAGTCATTATAAACATTACAGGGCCGGGTGCAGTGACTAATGCCTGTAATCCCAGCACTTTGGGAGGCTGAGGCAGGTGGATCACCTGAGGTCAGAAGTTTGAGACCAGCCTGGCCAACAGGTGAAACCCCGTCTCTACTAAAAATACAAAACTTAGCCGGACGTGGCGGCAGGCAACTGTAATCCCAGCTACTTGGGAGGCTGAGGCAGAGGAATCATTGGAAACCGGGAGGTAGAGGTTGCAGTGAGCAAAGACCGTGCCACTGCACCCCAGCCTGGGCAACAAGAACAAAACTCTATCTCAAAAAAACGAAAAACATTAGAGGAGGTCAGGAGCAGTAGCTGATGCCTATAATCCCAGCACTTTGGGAGTCCAGTGCAGGAGGATCACTTGAGGTCAGGAGTTTGAGACCAATCTGGGCAACATAGCAAGACACCATCTCTACACAAAAATTAAAAAATTTTAAATTAGCTGAGCATAGTGGCTTGCATCTGTGGTCCCAACTACTCCGGAGGCTGAGGCAGGAGGATCCCTGGAGCCTAGTAAGTGGAGGCTGCAGTAAGCTGTGATTGTGTCACTGCACTCCAGCCTGGGCAACACAGTGAGACCCTGTCTCTCTCTTTTTTTTTTTTTTTTTTTTTTTGAGATGGAGTTTCACTCGTGTTGCCCAGGCTAGAGTGCAATGGTGTGATCTTGGCTCACTGCAACCTCCACCTACCAGCTTCAAGCGATTCTCCTGCCTCAGCCTCCCAAGTAGCTGGGATTACAGGCATGCACCATCATACCCGGCTACCTTTGTATTTTTAGTAGAGATGGAATTTCTCCATGTTGGCCAGGCCGGTATCAAACTCCTGACCTCAGGTGACCTGCCCGCCTCGGCCTCCCAAAGTGCTGGGATTACAGGCATGAGCCACCATGCCCAGCCTGACCCTGTCTCAAAAAAAAAAAAAAAAAAGATGCTCGAGAAAATGCTAAGTGCCAAGTGAAATGTCAAATGACACATCTCTTTCCCACCTCCCCCATCAGAGGAGCTGTAAGTGACAGCGCTATCCAGTGTTGGCTAGAGCATGGGGATTGGCCACACACAGAAGATCAAGTGTAAATGGAAGCATCCTTTTGGAAAGTCAATCTGACAATATTTCTCGAAGATTTAACTCCTTACTTCTAGAAATCCCTAGAAATCAATGCACGGGTGCCCAAGGATGTATGTGCAAGTGACAATTGACAAAGGATTATTTGTGAAAATGAAACAGTGGAAACCCCCTAACAGTTCATCTTTGCACTATAGAATGCCACATAGGACTGCACCACCATTAAATGCAGAGAAACATGGAGAGACATAAGGTGCTCTCCAAGATTTATTAAATACAAAAAGCAAAATGCAAAATATGCACAAGGTATGACCCCATTTTTGGAAAAAAGAGAATATTCGAGAGACAATAGAATGCAATGGTTGTGAACAGACTCTGGAACCAGGCTGCCTGGGTTTCAATCCCAGCTCTTTTTCTCTGAAGCTGTGTGACTTTGGGGAAGTTACTTTACCTCTCTGGGCCTGAGTTTTCTCCTCTGTAAAGTAGAGCTAATAATAGAGTTTGCCTCATGGGGTTTTGTGAAGACTAAATAAATGAATCCATGTAAAGTGTTTAGAGCAGGGCCTGATATGTATCAAAATGCCCAACTAGTGTTAGCTATTAGCCCTGTGCACATATATACATAAATGGAGAGACAGAAAGAGAGAGAGAGAGATTGTAAGGATGTGCTCCAAACTGTAGATAGTGGAAGCTCGTGAAAAGGGACTCCACATTTTGCTAAAATCCAGATTGCTAAAATCTTTCACAATAAACATAGATTCATGTATTACTTGGGTGATATTTTTAATACTCTCCACTTCCAAATCCCCAACCATGATGTCAGTTAACATTTTTCCTTCTGTGGAATATTCTCATTCTGTGTGAGACAGGGCAGAGTCTAGCATGATCATTGTGCAGCTGGAGAAAGGTAAGCTGCTGGAGGTTAAGCCATTTGTCCACCTTCAGCCTTAGACCCCCTGGTCAGCCTGGCCTGGCACACAGAACCTTGTTTTCCCCCAACTCCACTCCATCCCATCTCTACCATGGGGTTCAGTCCTCAGTTGCCTTTATGACTTTAAAGTGTGTTTCTTCCTTCTTTAGGCTGTGCAAAGAGCTCTCACTCAAAATGTCTCACGCCTTTCTCTTGCCAACCCTAGCAAGTAGACAATATTATGACCTCATTTTTCAGATGAGGACACTGAGGCACAGAGTTGTATAGTAGTGTGCCTACGGTCACACAGCTAATAAGGGGCAGAGCTGGGCTTCAAAGTCACTTCTTTCTGATGTCAAGGCTTGTGTTCTTTCAAAATTTAATCAGTCATATATGCCCACAGTTCTTTCAAAATTTAAATAAGTCAGGTGTGCACACAGTTACTGCAGGTGCCCATCCATCCAAGAAAACCTCCTAGCAGGAAGCCCCTGCAAGGCAGGAGCCTCTCTGCTGCCAGTGCTGTGATCTTGCAACAGTCTTGGAGTCTTGCCTCCAGATCTGCAGGGCTCTCTGGGGAGTGCTGGCCTGGACCCACATCCAAGCTTGTGTCTGGGTCAGACTGTCCCAGCCAATAGGGCAGTCTGGAAGGTCAAATAAGAAGGGAGCCAGGGACTATGTTGAGCGCCTGGCCGCTCTCCCAGCAACAAGCTCTGGGAGAGCAAGAGCCGGAGGTCTGAATGAGTCAGCATAGTGGGAAGTGGAAATGATGACTCAGCTCTGGGCCCTGATTTTCCTCTTCTTTGTCTAAGAGATGAGTCATCGCCTTTATGCCTTTAATTTTCAGACTTCAAACTCATCCCAGCAATGTAGAGGAAGCTGATGAGGGAAAGCTCCCTGCAGCGTGGGCTGTGCCCCCAGGAGCCCCTGAGTTTAAATTCAGTCTCTGCTACTTACTAATCACAGGATGTTGGCAAATCGCTGAGCCTGCATCCCCCCATCTGTCAAATGGGGGTGCTAAGGCCTACCTGGCAAGATTCCTTCATCTGATCAGTGCCAGGCGCTGGGGAGATGATAGTAAATGACACAGACAAAATTCCTGCCCCCACAAAGCTTACATTCTGGCGAGGAAAGACAATAATGAACAAATCTATATGTACAACGTAAGGCCAGCTGGTGGGGAGCATGGTGAAGAAAAATTAAACGGGTGAGGTGTAGAAGTAAGAGGAGGTAAGAGGATTGAATGAGAAAGTCCCTCTAGAGAGTCTGGCACAGGGCCTTACACAGGCTAGGGCTTCAATAAATAAGCACAAATTGTCCTCTTTGTGGTTTAGGAATTAAAGGGCACATGGCTGTTAGGACTGAACAGACCTCCGCTCCCTGGAGGAGATGCAAGGTGGATGATCCCACAATGAGTTCCAGCACTGGGCCAAGGATTCCAGGTCCAGGGCAGTGAGAAAAAAGACACTCAGCTTTTATATATGTGTGTGTGTGTATATATATATATATATATAATATGTATACATATTATATATATATATAAAATATGTGTGCGTGTGTGTATATATATATAGAATGGGTGCATTATATATACAATACACATATATAATATATATCATATGTATACATCTCTTATACATATGATATATCATATGTATAATATGTGTGTGTGTGTGTATATATATAGAATGGGCGCAGTGGCTCATGCATGCCTGCAATCCCAGCCCTTTGGGAGGCTGAAGTGGGAGGATCCCTTGAGATCAGAAGTTTGAGGCCAGCCTAGGCAACATAGGGAGACCCTCCCCCCCGCCCCCAGCCATCTCTATAAAAATTAAAGAAAATTAGCTGGGCATGGTGACATGTGCCTGTAGTCCCAGCTACTCAGGAGGCTGAGACAGGAGGATCACCCAAGCCCAAGAGTTTGAGGTTGCAGTGAGCTATGATGATACCACTGCACTCCAGCCTGGGCAACAGAGGGAGACCCCATCTTCAAAAATAAATAAATAAGTAAATAAATAAATAGTTTTTATTGAGGTGAAACTCGCACAACATAAAATTAACCATTAACTATTTTAAAGTCAACAATGTAATGGCACTGAGTATATTCACAATGCTGTGCAACCACCCACGCCACCTCTATCTAGTTCCAAGACATTTTCGGCACCCAAAAGGAAACCCTGTGTCGAGTAAGCAGTCACTCCTCATTCATCCTGCTCCCTAGCCCCCGACAACCACTAATCTGCTTTCTGTATATTCGTTTACATTCTATTCTGGATGATTCACAGAAATGGGATCATGCAATATGTGACTTTTTGTGTCTGGCTTCTTTCACTAAACATAAAGTTTTTCGTTTTTGTGTTTTGAGACAGGGTTTCTCTCCCATTGCCCAGGCTGGAGTGTGGTGGCACACTCTTGGTTCACTATAAGCTCTGCCTCCCTGGCTCAAGAGATCCTCCTGCCTCAGCCTCCAGAGTAGCTGGGACTACAGGCATGCACCACCACACCGGGCTAATTTTTTAAATTTGTTTTTTGTATTTTTTGTAGAGACAGGGTTTCACCATGTTGGCCAGGCTGGTCTTGTACTCTTGACCTCAAGAGATCCTCCCTCCTTGGCCTCCCAAAGTGCTAGGATTATAGGCGTGAGCCACCGGCCTGGCTGAGTATAATGTTTTTGAGGCTGTTTCATGTTGTAGTATGCATCAATGCTTTGTTCCTTCTTATAGTTGAATAATAATCCATCGTGTGGGTATACCATCTATGTTTATTCATTCAACAGTTGAAGTGGTTTTTAAAATTTTAAACTTCTTTTGGTTTTGTTTTGAGACAGAGTGTCACTCCCTGTCGCCCAGGCTGTAGTGCAGTGGCTAAATCATAGCTCAGTGCAACCTTGACCTCCCACCTCAAGCAATCCTGCCTCACCTTCCTGGGACCACAGGTGTGCATCACCACGCCCAGCTAAATTTCTAATTTTTTGTAGAGATGGGGTCGCGCTATGTTGCCCAGGCTGGTCTCGAACTCCTCAAGTGGTCCTCTCACCTTGGCCTCCTAAAGCGCTGGGATCACAGGCCTGAGCCACTGCACCCAGCTCATTTCACCCTCGTGATGCTTTGCTTGCCTGGTCTTAGTCCCAGCCCTGGGAGATGATGTCAGGAATCACTGGGAGGGAGAGGGAGCGAAGGGTACAGGAAGGCCAGAACCAGCAAAAGGTGCAGATTATTGTGCGCAAATGGGGCTCCTCTGGGAGACCGTGAGGAGTATATGTCATGAAGCCCCAGTGGAGGGTGGGGAGCCTGAGGCTTTTATCCAAACAACTCCTAACGTGACTGGTTGAGGTGGCCCTCCGTACTGGAACTCCCCCGACATTTCCAGGGTGAGCCTGTGTTTGGTTGAGCTGAAGAGCGCCCCCAGGTGGAGAAGCGGAGCAATTCGGGCCCCTGAAATAGGAAGTGCTGAGTCAACTGGAAACCATCTCTTCTGCAGCTGCAGGTGAGCTCAGGTGAGCGAGGGGATACAGGTAGCATCATCAGCCCCTACCGGCACTTACGCGATGCTTGGGAGCTTTACAAATATCAGTTCACTGACTTTTTTTCTTTTTCGAGATTGAGTTTTGCTCTGTTGGCTGGAGTGCAGTGGCACAATCTCAGCTCACTGCAACCTCCACCTCCCGGGTTCAAGCGATTTTCCTGGCTCAGTCTCGCAAGTAATTGCGATTGCAGGTGTGCACCACCACACCAGGCTAATTTTTGTATTTTTAGTAGAGGCGGGATTCCACCATATTGGCTAGGTTGGCCTTGAACTCATGACCTCAGGTGATCCACCCGCCTCAGCCTCCCAAAGTGCTGGGATTACAGGTGTGAGCCACTGTGCCCAGCACAGTTCACTGACTTATCGTGACAGCCCTATAAAACAGGTATTGTCATTCTCCCCATTTTAAAGACGAAGATGCCGGGCGCGGTGGCTCACACCTGTAATACCAGCACTTTGGGAGGCCGAGGCGGGCGGATCACGAGGTCAGAAGTTCAAGACCAGCCTGGCCAATATGGTGAAACCCCATTTCTATCAAAAATACAAAAATTAGCCGGGCGTGGTGACGTGTGCCTGTAGTCTCAACTACTCGGGAGACTGAGGCAGAAGAATCACTGGAACTCGGGAGGTAGAGATTGCAGTGAGCCGAGATCGCACCACTGGACTCCAGCCTGGGCAACAGAGCAAGACTCTGTCTCAAAAATAAACAAGTAAATAAATAACTAAAAAAAAATAAAGATGAAGAAACTGAGGCCAATAACGTATCCAAGATCACGCAGCAAGTCGATTTCAGAGCAGGATTTAAACCCAGGAAGTCTGTGCTCCTCATGACCATGCACTGCTCTTGTCCACTCAGTTTTGCTTCCTTTCATGGTTTCCATGGGCACCAACTCCATCTGCAGACACCATGCCCACTACCCAGTTAGGGTGGCCAAATTTAGCAAATAAAAATACAGGATGCCCAGTGAAATGTGAATTTCAGAAAAACAATGAACAATTTTTTTAGTATTTTTTTAATAGGTAAAATATTGTGTGGGAGATACTTACACTAAAAAAAAATTGGCTGCTTATCTGAAATTCAAATGTAACTGGGTGTCCTGCATTTTATCTGGAAACCACATTCCTTCTCCTCACTATTCTCCTGGGGGTGGAACTAGAAGCTGGTGAGAGGGGTTAGAAGAAGCCCCCTATTGTTCTTTCCATTTTTTGCTTGTTTGTTTGTTTATTTTTGTTTTTGAGACAGAGTCTCACTCTGTTGTCCAGGCTGGAGTGCAGTGGTGCAACTTCGGCTCACTGCAACCTCCGCCTCCCAGGTTCAAGCGATTCTCCTGACTCAGCCTCCCAAGTAGCTGGGATTACAGGCACATGCCATCATGCCCGGCTAATTTTGTGTATTTTCAGTAGAGACGGGGTTTCACCATGTTGGCCGGGCTGATCTCGAACTCCTGACCTCTAGTGATCTGCCCGCCTCAGCCTCTCAAAGTGCTGGGATTACAGGAATGAGCCACCATGTCCAGCTCTTTCCATATGCTATGAAAGCTCCACCTCCCTTTTTCTTTTTCTTTTCTTTTTTTTAATTCAGACAGGGTCTTGCTCTGTTGCCCACACTGGAGTGCAGTGGAGTCATCTCAGCTCACTGTAGCCTCTGCTTCCTGGGCTCAAGTGATCCTCCCACCTCAGCCTCCCGAGTAGCTGGGACCACAGGCGCATGCCACCATGCCCGGCTAGTTTTTGTATTGTTTTGTAGAGATATGGTCTCCCCATGTTGCCCAGGCTGGGCTCAAGCAATCCTCCTGCCTCAACTTCCCAAAGTGCTGAGATTACAGACGTGAGCCACCACGCCCAACGAAGCTCAGATTTTTTTGATTTTTTTTTTTTTTTTTTTTCTGCCCAGGCTGGAGTGCAATGGCGCTATCTCATTGCAACCTCTACCTCCCAGGTTCAAGCCATTCTCCTGCATCAGCCTCCCAAGGAGCTGGGATTACAGGCGTCCACCACCACACCTGGCTAATCTGTATTTTTAGTAGGGATGGCGTTTCCCCATGTTGGTCAGGCTGGTCTTGAACTTCTGACCTCAGGTTATCCGCCTGCCTCGGCCTCCCAAAGCGCTGGGATTAGAGGCGTGTGCTCCCGCGCCCGGCCCTGAGCTCAACTTTTTAAGGTGGATTTGATATAACGGCTGTGTATTACTTAAGAGAACACGAGCCACCGTAACAAAGAAACCCTCAAAAGGACAAAAAAAACAAAAACAAAAACAAAAAACCCGAAAATAAACCCCCAAATCTCAGTGGCCTAACACAAGGAGAATTTATTTCTTGCTCATATAAAGTCCAAAACTGGTATTCCTGATAGGCAGGTGGCTCTCTTCCATTACCTGATCCAGGGACCCACGCTCCTGCTTGCTCGGGGCTCTGCTTTCTCCATCAGGATGAGTAAAATGCAGGAGCACGGAGGTCAGCCCAGGAGGTGGTTACTAGCAAGGCCACTAGCACGGGGTTGGGGGAATGCCTCTCCTTGCATTCCTTTGGCCCAAATCCAGTCACGTGCCCACCCTCAACAGCAAGGGATGCTGGGAAATGTAGTCCAGCCACAAGCCAAGGAGGTGGCCAGGAACAGCCTTTGGCCAACTCGGAGGCCCTGAGTGATCTGAGTCTGAGCTCACACCACCTTCCTCATTCACTACGCTGTAGGTACATTGATTCCTATAGTTCCCCCAAATGAAAACCTCTTTCCTACCTCAGCTTTTGCCCGGGCTATTCCTTCTGCCTAAAATGCCCTCCTCCTCTGTCCACCTGGCTGGTTCCTTGCCATCCTTCAGGTCTCAGCATGGGGATCCTCTTCTGAGAAGCCTCTTATGACCGTGCCATCAAAAAAAGATCCCTTCAGTCCAGGCTCGCTGGCTCATGCCTGTAATCCCAGCACTTTGGGAGGTCAGGGGTTCCAGACCAGCCTGGCCGACATGGTGAAACCCTGTCTCTACTAAAAATACAAAAATTAGCCTGGCGTGGTGGTACACACCTGTAATCCCAGCTACTTGGGAGGCTGAGACAGGAGAATCACTTGGACCTAGAGGCGGAGGTTGTGGTGAGCGGAGATCACACCGCTGCACTCCAGCCAAGGTGAAAGAGTGAGACTCCATCTCAAAAATAAAAAGAAAAAAAACCAGGCCAGGCGCAGTGGCTCATGCCTGTAATCCCAGCACTTTGGGAGGCCGAGGCAGGTGGGTCACCTGAGGTCAGGAGTTCGAGACCAGCCTGACCAACATGGAGAAACCCCATTTCTACTAAAAATACAAAATTAGCCAGACATGGTGGGGCATGTCCATAATCCTAGCTACTGGGGGGACTGAGGCAGGAGAATGGCTTGAACCCGGGAGGCAGAGGTTGCGGTGAGTGCATATTGCACCATTGCACTCCAGCCTGGGCAACAAGAGTGAGACTCTGTCTCAAAAAAAATAAATAAATAAAAATAAAAAACAAAAATGAAGACAAATAAACCCCTCCCACTAGTCTCTATCACAGATTTCTATTTTTTTTCCTCGTGGCACTCAACAATTTGTAATGATTATATCTGGTTTACCTATTTAGCATCCGTCTCCTTTGCTAGACTAGAAGCTCCATGAGAGCAGGAGCTGATCTCCCTTGTTCACAGTTGCACCTCCTGTTCCCAGCTCAGGGCCTGGCTCAGAGTAGAGCTTAACAAATATTAAGAGCACCTGGAGTGTAGTTGAATAATTAAATAAATGAACCCAACTTACAAAACATCCTGATGCCATATATCTTTAGGTCTGGCATATACAAGTTATACTTGTTGTCCAAATATTAATTAATGAAGTCTTTGCAATTTCCCCGAGGAGTTGGCTGAGGGTGCTTTCATGTCGATGATACAAGACACAAATAGAGCGAAATGATTTATTCTGGGTCACTGGTGACTCAGTGTCTGGGAATAGAAACATACTCAGAAACCTTTGCTCTAATTAGTCAAGGTAATTATTAGGCACAATAATTAAGCATGAATGACCTCAGCCAGGCTGTTTTGTAACCTCTGGAATTTAAGACCTGTACTAATTTTGCTTTAATGACAGTATTCGTTGTGGCTTGCCACAAACCCTTTTTGCTTTTCCTGAGAAATCAAACATATTTGCCTCAAAATATAGTATTTTCAATGATGAATGCTTTGATTGACTCACTGTCACATTCTGGAGTCATTCCTTACATTATTTCCCTCTAATATAATTTTTGTTTTTGTGGGATTCTTCTTTTGTGTTTTAGTTTTTGGTTATTTTTACAGGTCAATTCTAGTCCCATTAGAAACTCCCCCCCAGCCCATTTTATTATTGAATCAATATTTATTGTGGGCCAGGTGTGGTGGTTCATGACTGTAATCCCAAAACTTTGGGAGGCCCAGGTGGGAGGACCACTTGAGGCCAGGAGTTTGAGACCAGCATGCACAACATAGCAAGACCCCATCTCTACAAAAAATAGAAAATTAACCAGGCATGTTGGTGTGTGCCTGTGGCTGAGGCAGAGGATCACTTGAGTCCAAGCATTTGAGGCTGCACTGAGCTATGATTGTGCCACTGCACTCCAGCCTGCGCAACACAGCAAGCTCCTGTCTAAAAAAAAAAAAAAATTCCACCCCTTAGTGTAGGCAGGGTTCTATAAGGAACAAAACACAGTTCCCACCTTGAGAAACTTCTCTAGGCTGGGCGTGGTGTCTCACACCTATAATCCCAGCACTTTGGGAGGCCAAGGTGGGAGGATCACTTGAGGTCAGGAGTTTAAGACCAGCCTGGGAAATATGGTGAAACCTTGTCTCCACTAAAAATACAAAAATTAGCCAGACGTGGTGGTGGGTGCCTGTAGTCCAAGCTACTTGGGAGGTTGAGGCAAGAGAATCGCTTGAACCTTGGAGGCGGGAGGTGGAGGTTGCAGTGAGTGGAGATTGTGCCACTGCACTCCAGCCTGGGCAACAGAACAAGACTCCATCTCAAAAAAAAAAAAAAAAAAAAAAGAGAGAAGAGAAAAAACTTATCTACGTGTGTAATTGGTAGTATGAGGAGGATTTGTAACACTTTATTTATTCCTTTAGCATACTGTTTGCTATGACCTCACTCAGCCAACATCTCCTGTGGTCTTACACCAGGCAAGGCTTGGCAATGTATGAGTTTGCTCCTTTAATCTTCAAAGCCGACCTAGAGGAATGTGCTATTATTAGTATTATTATTCTTATCCCCAGTTTGCAGATGAGAAAACTATAGCATGAGGGTTTAAGTAACCTGCCCCCAAATCACACAGCTGGTAGTTAGATGATGGTGGCAGAATCTGAACCCAGGGAGTTGATATCTGAGCCTGTGCTCTTACCTTCATCCTACTCAACTCATGATACTACAATTTGTGATTGTCTAAAAAGGACCTTAACTTCTCTAATATTGCACATTGCCCCTATATATTCATGCAACGAGCATTTGCTGATGGTTTGAGACCCTGGGGCCAAATCCTGGCTTGGTCAGCAATTAGGATTGCAGATTTTGGTAACAAAAATACAGGTCAGGGCCGGGCGCGATGGCTCACACCGGTAATCCCTGCACTTTGGGAGGCTGAGGTGGGCAGATCATCTGAGGTCGGGAGTTAGAGACCAGACTGGCCCACACGGCGAAACCCCGTCTCTACTAAGAATACAAAAATTAGCCAGGCATGTTGGTGGGTGCCTGTAGTCCTAGCTACTGGGGAGGCTGAGACAGCAGAACCGCTTGAACCCGGGACACGGAGGTTGTAGTGAGCTGAGATTGCACCACTGTACTTCAGCCTGGGTGACAGAGCAAGACTCAGTCTCAAAAAAAAAAAAAAACACAAAACACAAAAAAACAGGTCACCCAGTTAAATATAAATTTCAGATAAACAACAATTTTTTTTTTTTTTTCGAGACAGAGTCTCGCTCTGTCGCCCAGGCTGGAGTGCAGTGGCACGATCTCGGCTCAAAGCAAGCTCCGCCTCCCGGGTTCACGCCATTCTCCTGCCTCAGCCTCCTCAGCAGCTGGGCCTACAGGTGCCGGCCACCATGCCCGGCTAATTTTTGTATTTTTAATAGAAATGGGGTTTCACCGTGTTAGCCAGGATGCTCTTGATATCCTGACCTTGTGATCCTCCTGCCTCAGCCTCCCAAAGTGCTGGGATTAAAGGTGTGAGCCACTGCACCCGGCCAACAACAATTTTTTTTTTAGCATAAGTATGTTCCATGCCATATTTTATTTTATTTTATTTTATCTGGCAACCCTGCAGGGAATTGCTGTGTGGCCTTGGGTAGGTCTCTCAAACTCCCTGGTCTCAGATTCCTTGTATTCAAAATGAACAGAACAATCCTCACTCACAGACTTGCTTTGAGAAGTAAATAAGAATGCTGCCAGGTGCAGTGGCTCACGCCTGTAATCCCTACAATTTGGGAGGCCAAGTTGGGTGGATCACTTGAGGTCAGAAGTTGGAGACCAGCCTGGGCATCATGGTGTAACCCCATCTCTATCAAAATACAAAAATTAGCTGGGCGTGGTGTCACACTCCTGTTGTCCTAACTATACTCGGGAGGGGGAGGCAGGAGAATCTCTTGAACCTGGGAGGTGGAGGTTGCAGTGAGCAGAGATTATGCCATTGCACTCCAGCCTGGGGTGACAGAGTGAGACTCTGTCTCAAAAAAAAAAAAAAAAAAAAAGAATGCTTATAAAGCACTTGGAATGCTGCAGTGCCTCCTAGCTGGTCTTTTTATAGGTAGACCCCTCCAAATTGTGCTCTGTGCATTAGCTAGGCTACAGGAGACTTTTATCTTAAATTAATTAATTAACTAGTTAATTAATCTTTAGAGAGAGGGTCTCAATCTGTTGCCCAGGCTGGAGTGCAGTGGCATGATCATAGCTCATTGCAGCCTCAAACTCCTGGGCTCAAGCAATCCTTCTGCCTCAGCCTCCTAAGTAACTGGGACTACAGACATGCACCACACTTGGCTAATTTTTTTTTTATTTTTATTTTAAGAGAGGGTCTTGATATGTTGCCCAGGCTGGTCTTGAACTCCTGGTCTCAAGGGATCCTCCCATCTTGATCTCCCAGAGGGGACTTTTAAAATCAGGCCACTGTCTATTGAAAACTCTCAAAAATTCCCATGGCCGGCTGGGCATGGTGGCTCAAGCCTGTAATCTTGGCACTTTGGGAGGCCAAGGTGGCTGGATCACTTGAGGTCAGGAGTTTGAGACCAGCCTGGCTAACATGGTGAAACCCTGTCTACTAAAAACAGAAAAATTAGCCAGGCATCGTGTGGCGCATACCTGTAATCCCAGCTACTTGGAAGGCTGAGGAAGAAGAATCACTTGAACCCAGGAAGTGGAGGCTGCAGTGAGCAGAGATCATGCCACTACACTTCAGCAGCCTGGGTGACACAGTCAGACTCTGTCTCAAAAAAAAAAAAAAAAAAAAAATTCCCATGGCATCTAGACTAAAGCCCAAAGGGTACAAGGAAAGCACTTGAAGTGAAGGAGGAGAGAAGATGGTTGGGGATTTGAAACGAGATGCTGAAATAATCTAGGACAATACAGCCAAGCATATTTGAAGCCATCCTTCTCTTCTGGCCTTTTCTGTCCCTCTCCACAAGGCCACCCTACTTCAGACCTCACTTGCTCCTGCAGCTGCTACCCTTCTCACTGGTCTCTCTCTTCTATGTGAAAAATAACAACCGGCCAGGTGCAGTGGCTCACGCTTGTAATCCTAGCACTTTGGGAGGCCAAGGCGGGTAGATCACGAAGTCAAGAGATCGAGACCATCCTGCCTAACATAGTGAAACCCCGTCTCTACTAAAAATACATAAAAATTAGCCATGTGTGGTGGCGGGCGCCTGTAGTCCCAGCTACTCCGGAGGCTGAGGAAGGAGAATGGCGTGAACCCGAGAGGCGGAGCTTGCAGTGAGCCGAGATCGTGCCACTGCACTCCAGCCTGGGCGACAGAGCCAGACTCCGTCTCAAAAAAAACAAAGAAAGAAAAATAACAACCAATTTTTTTTTCATTATAGACATTTTCAAAAGATATACAAAAGTAGAGTGACTAGAATAAAGAACCCAACTTCAACCAGCTCATCAGCTCATGGCCAATCCAGTTTCAGTCAGTCCTCAACTCATTGGAATTTTAAATTCCTCCTCCAGGGATTTTTTTCTTTTCTTTTCTTTCTTTTTTTTTTTTTTTTTTTTGAGACAGAGTTTCGCTCTTGTTGCCCACGCTGGAGTGCAATGGCGCAATCTCGGCTCACTGCAACCTCCGCCTCCCAGGTTCAAGTGATTCTTCTGTCTCGGCCTCCTGAGTAGCTGGGATAGTAGTACCAGGCGCACACCACCACGCCCGGCTAATTTTTTGTATTTTTAGTAGAAGCGGGGTTTCACCATGTTAGCCAGGCTGGTCTCAAACTCCTGATTTCAGGTGATCCGCCTACCTCGGCCTCCCAAAGTGCTGGGATTACAGGCGTGAGTCACCGCACCTGGCTGGATTTTTTTCTTTTATGTTGAAAAATTTCAGTCTCAGGGACAGGATAATATGACTTTTCTTTTCTTTTTTTTTGAGACAGAGTCTTGCTCTGTTGCCCGGGCTGGAGTGCAGTGGTGCAATCTCGGCTCACTGCAACCTCCACCTCCCAGGTTCAAGCGATTCTGCTGCCTCAGCCACCGAGTAGCTGGGATTACAGGCGCACACCACCACGCCCAGCTAATTTTTGTATTTTTAGTGGAGATGGGGTTTTGCCATGTTGGCCAAGTTTGTCTCGAATTCCTGGCCTCAAGTGATCCTCCCGCCTCACCCTCCCAAAGTACTGGAATTATAGGCGTGAGCCACCACGCCTGGCCCTAACTTTTTGTCAGTTCTCCTGTAGTAAATCTCTTGTTTGTTGTGGTGTAGACTTTATTCCAAGATAGCTTCAGGGATTTGCTTTGAATCCCTGATTCAAAGTTTTGATACTCAAAACCAAGTTAAAAGAACTAGAAAAAAAGAAAAGATAGAAAACAAAGAAAAAGGAAAAAGATCCTCTTTTTGCAAATCAGAAGTCTTGGCTTTCTTTCTTTTTTTTTTTTTTTTGAGACGGAGTCTCGCTCCGTCGCCCAGGCTGGGGTCCAGTGGCGCGATCTCGGCTCACCACAAGCTCCGCCTCCCGGGTTCACGCCATTCTCCTGCCTCAGCCTCCCGAGTAGCTGGGACTACAGGTGCCCGCCACCACGCCTGGCTAGTTTTTTTTGTATTTTTAGTAGAGACGCAGTTTCACTGTGTTAGCCAGGATGGTCTCGATTTCCTGACCTCGTGATCCGCCCGCCTCAGCCCCCCAAAGTGCTGGGATTACAGGCGTGAGCCAGCGCGCCCGGCCGAGGCTTGGCTTTCAAAATGATTCCTTCAGGGATTTGCTTTGAATTCAGAATCTGATACTCAAAATTAAATATGGAGAAGAAGGAAGGGAGGAAGGAAGGGAGGAAGCAAGGGAGGAATGGAGGAAGGAAAGAAAGAAAAAGGAAAAAAGCCTCTTTTTAAAAATCTTGCAAATCAAAAACCTTGGCTTTCAAAATTATTATTTCTGCCATGAATTTCAAAAGCTTACTTGGGAACTCATAAAATAAAAAAAATTTGGCTCTTTCTTCTTTTCTTGGTTTGAGTCAAACCTTTCCAATTGGTTTATCCAGTATGATTCAGCCTCAGCCTTAATATATGATTTTTATGGGGAGAGGGGTCACAGGGTTTTTCAGAAAAGGAAAATAAGCATAATATTGCAACATGTGCAAAAAATGTCACCCATTGCTGTTTTTATTGTTGTTAAAGTAATTTTAGTGAACTTAAGCTATTTATCAGAATATCTACTGGCTGTGATGCTCACTATCCTGTTTTTTTCCCTGTGACTTTAACCTCTTCAATTATAATTTCTCCTAATATAAAGTTTTGCATGTCCAGGCATCGTGGCTCATGCCTGTAATCCTAGCACTTTGGGAGGCTGAGGCGGGCAGATTGCCTGAGCTCAGGAGTTTGAGACCAGCCTGGGCAACAAAGTGAAAGCCCTTCTCTACTAAAAAACACAAAAATTAGCCAAGTATGGTGGTGCTTGCCTGTAGTCCCAGCTATCTGAGTGGCTGAGGTATGAGAATGGCTTGAAACTGGGAGGTGGAGGTGGTAGTGAGCTGAGATCGGGCCACTGCACTCCAGCCTGGGCGACAGAATGAGACTCTGGCTCAA
This sequence comes from Homo sapiens, assembly GCF_000001405.40. Classification (NCBI taxonomy): domain Eukaryota; kingdom Metazoa; phylum Chordata; class Mammalia; order Primates; family Hominidae; genus Homo; species Homo sapiens. The sequence goes on from NC_000016.10 coordinate 9,060,964, forward strand.
AAAAACAAAAAACAGTTTTGAAAGATGCTAACTCCCAAGTTTGGGGTAGTTCTCTCTCTCTTTCTTTCTTTCTCTCTTTCTGTCTCTCTCTCTCTCTTTCTCTCTTTCTTTCTTTTCTTTCTTTCTTTCTTTCTTTCTTTCTTTCTTTCTTTCTTTCTTTATTTCTTTCTTGCTTGCTTCCTTTCTTCCTTTCTTCCTTTCTGTAGAGTTAGGGTCTCACTTTGTTGCCCAGGCTGGTCTTGCACTCGTGGCTTCAAGCAATCCTCCTGCCTTGACCTCCCAAAGTGCTGGGATTACAGATTACATGTGTGAGCCACCATCTCCAGCCTGGGGTGGTTATTTTTCATTTAATATGTCAATATCCCAGGTGTTTCTGCAAAAGCAGCATCTTGGGTCTCTGCACTGTTGCACACTCACAAGCCAGTGTCTTAGAGGTCACCTAAAGTTCCATGTCATTTGGAAGTCTGACACTCCAGTTTACCCTTGCATCATCGGATCCCCTTAGTCATAAGCACTGGCATTAATGTTGAAGTTAGGCACCTGTTAAAGCAAAGTCAGATTTTTCTTTTCACGCAGATCCACTGGGAAATTTCCCAATACTGTGTTTATCAAAACTAAAAGCCTCGTAGAATCAGGATTCATCCAGACAGCATGATTTAGGCCCAAACATAATATAGATATACAGAAGGGGAAGGAAGGATGGTTAGCGGTTAGAACCACTTACTGAGAATAGAATCACTTATGTTTATTCTCAGCTCAGCCAACAGCTTCCCTGGCAACCCAAAGTGCCACAGCTGGGCTCAGCTTCCTCATGGGCAGTTTTCCTGGTGATAAAATCAGAATAGCCTGTGTCCTTACAGCCAGAGGTAAGAGAGCTTGTGTTTTTTTTTTAAGTGGCCCCAATTGTTACAGTTGGGTGTGCCTTGATTTTTTTTTTCATTAATAAGAAACTTTTTATTTTATTTTAGTTTATTTTTTGAGGCAGGGTCTTGCTTTGTCACCCAGGCTGGAGTGCAGTGGGATGAACATGGCTCACTGCAGCCACGACCTCCCAGGCTCAAGCCATCCTCCTACCTCAGCCTCCCGAGTAGTTGGGACTACACGCGTGTGCTATCAAGAACAGTAAATTTTTGTATTTCTTGTAGAGACGGGGTTTCACCATGTTGCCCAGGCTGGTCTCGAATTCCTGAGCTCCAGCGATTCTTTCACCTCAGCCTCTCAACTTGCTGGGATTACAGGCGTGAGCCACCGCACCTGGCCATTTTAATAATTTTTGCTGCATAGATCTACTTAAAGGAAGATTAGTTTTAACCTATTTGATTTTAGTTCATCCTTTAAATAAAGGCTTTTTATGTTTTTTTCAGATAGAAGACATTTTATTACATTAAGAATATCATGCTGGCTGGGTGCTGTGGCACATGCCTTGTAATCCCAGCAATTTGGGAGGCAAAGGCAGGCAGATCATTTGAGGTCAGAGTTTGAGAACAGCCTGGCCAACATGGTGAAACCTCGTGTCTACTAAAAATACAAAAATTAATGAGGCGTGGTGGCCCGCACCTGCGATCCCAGCTCCTCAGGAGGCTGAAGCAGGAGAATCGCTTGAATGCGGGAGGCAGAGGCTGCAATGAGCTGAGATTGTGCCACTGCACCCCGTGGCCTGGGCAATGGAAACTCTATCTCAAAAAAAAAAAAGAATATCATGCTGAAGCAATTTGCAGAGATTTTTTAAACCCATATTTAACATCCAGTGTTAGTGAGGATGTAGATAAACAGAAGTTTCATTGGCTGTCTGGGGTAAGGAAAGAGGGAAATCAGGAGAGATTTTGGCAATTCATATCCAAAGCCTTAAAATGTGCCATCTGAGGCCGGGCGCGGTGGCTTACGCCTGTAATCCCAAAACTTTGGGGGGCCAAGGCGGGTGGATCACGTGAGGTCAGGAGTTCGAGACCAGTCTGGCAAACACAGTGAAATCCCGTCTCTACTAAAAATACAAAAAAAATTAGCCGGACATGGTGGCATGCGCCTGTAATCCCAGCTACTCGGGAGGCTGAGACAGGAGAATCCAGTGAACCCGGGAGGTGAAGGTTGCAGTGAGCCAAGATCACGCCACTGCACTCCAGGCCAGGTGACAGTGCGAGACTCTGTCTCAAAATAAAATAAAATAAAATATGCCATGTGAATCCATCAATTCTACCTTTAGAAATTCATATGAGGAGGCCAGTCTTGGTGGCTCACACCTATAATCCCAGCACTTTGGAAGGCCAAGGCGGGTGGATCACCTGAGGTCAGGAGTTCAAGACCAGCCTGACCAACATGGAGAAACCCAGTCTCTACTACAAATACAAAATTAGCCGGCCGTGGTGGTGCATGCTTGTAATCCTAGCAACCCGGGAGGCTGAGGCAGGAGAATCGCTTGAATCTGGGAGGCGGAGGTTTCGGCGAACTGAGATCACACCGTTGCACTCCAGCCTGGGCAACAAGAGCAAAACGCCATCTCAAAAAAAAAAAAAAAAGAAAAGAAAAGAAAAGAGAAAGAAATTTATATGAGGAAAACAAATGTGCATGCAAAGATTTAGCTAAGAAAAACCCCTCATAATGATATTATTTGTAAGCCTGGACAACATAGCGAGACCATGTCTCTGTGAAAAAAAAAAAAATAGCTGGGTGTAGTGACTGACACCTGTAGTCCCAGCTACTCAGGAGGCTGAGGAGGGAGAATTGCTTGATCCCAGGTGTTCCAGGCTGCAGTGAGCCATGATTGCACCCTGTCCTCCACCCTGAGTGACAGAGAGACCCTGTATGAAAAATAAACAAAGGCGGGTGAGGTGGCTCACACCTGTAATCCCAGCACACTGGGAGGCTGAGGTGGACAGATTGTTTGAGTTCACAAGTTCAAGACCAGCCTGGGCAGAATGGCAAAACCACACTGCTACAAAAATTTTTTAAAACATTAGCCAGGTATGGTGGTGTGCCTGTAGTACCAGCTACTCAGGAGGCTGAGGTGGGAGGATCGTTTGAGCCTGGGAGGCAGAGGTTGCAGTGAACTGAGATCACAACACTGCACTTCAGCCTGGGCAATAAAACCAGACCTTGTCTCAAAAAATAAAATAAAAATAAGTAAATAAAATAAATAAATAATATTATTTGTGGGAACCAAGGGATGAAAATAGCCCAAGTGCTCCCAAACAGAAAATTAGCTTTAATGTTGATGACACAACTCCACAATCCAATTCCAAACAATTACTTTAAAAGGATGTAAAGACATAGGCCAGGTTCAATGGCTCATGCCTGTAATCCCAGCCCTTTGGGAGGCCAAGGCGGGTAGATCATTTCAGGTCAGGAGTTTGAGACCAGCCTGGCCAGCACGGTGAAACCCCATCTCTACTAAAAATACAAAAATTAGGCCGGGTGCAGTGGCTCACACCTGTAATCCCAGCACTTTGGGAGGCCGAGGTGGGCGGATCATGAGGTCAGGAGATCGAGACCATCCTGGTTAAAACGGTGAAACCCCATCTCTACTAAAAACACAAAAAATTAACCGGGCGTGGTGACGGGTGCCTGTAGTCCCAGCTACTCGGGAGGCTGAGGCAGAAGAATGGCATGAACCCGGGAGGCAGAGCTTGCAGTGAGCTGAGATTGTGCCACTGCACTCCATCCAGCCTGGGCGAGAGAGCGACACTCCGCCTCAAAAAAAAAAAAAAAATTAGCTGGGCATGGTAGTGCGTGCTTGTAGTCTCAGCTACTTGGGAGGCTGAGGCAGGAGAATCACTTAAGCCCAGGAGGTGGAGGTTCCAGTGAGCCGAGATGGTGCCATGCACTCCAGCCTGAATGACACAGCAGGACTCTGTCTAAAAAAAAAAGGGATGAGAACATAAAAAGATGGTCATGATTTATTAAGTAAAAAAAAACAAAAAACAAAAAACTGGGCCAGATGTGGTGGCTCATGCCTGTAATCCCAGCATTTTGGGAGGCCAAGGCGGGTGGATCACTTGAGGTCAGGAGTTCGAGACCAGTCTGACCGACATGGAGAAACCCCCGTCTGTATTAAAAATACAAAATTAGCCAGGCGTGGCAGCACATGCCTGTAATCCCAGCTACTTGGTAGGCTGAAGGAGGAGAATCACTTGAACCCGGGAGGCTGGGGTTGGGGTGAGCCAAGATCACGCTGTTGCACTCCAGCCTGGGCAACAAGAGCAAAACTCCGTCTCAAAAAACAAAAACAAAAACAAAAACAAAAACAAAAACAAGTGTAGTGGCTCATACCTAGAATCCCAGCACCCTGGGAGGCTGAGGCAGGAGGATCACTTGAGGCCAGGTGTCTGAGACCAGCCTGACCAACATAGCAAGACCCTGCCTCTACCAAAAAAAAAAAAGGCAAATTAGTGGGGTATGGTGGCTCATGCCTGTAATCCCAGCTACTTTGGAGACTGAGGTGAGAGGATCACTTGAGTCAGAAGTTCAAGACTGCAGTAAGCTATGATTGTGCCACTTCATGCCAGCCTGGACAACGGAGCAAGACCCTGCCTCTAAAGATATAATTTTTAAGAAAGAAAAAATTAAGAATAGTATGTAAAGGAAAATTCTAATTTTATAAAACACATATGCATAGAAAATGTAATGGAAAGATATCTATGAAAATATTACGTTACACTTGTTTTTGGGTGGTCGGTCACTAGTTTGATTGGCTGTGTCTTCTCATTTATCTGCACTTTATAGTTTTGTTTGTTCATTTATTTATTTATTTTGAGACGGAGTTTTGCTCTTGTTGCCCAGGCTGGAGTGCAATGGCACGATCTCGGCTCGCTGCAACATCTGCCTCCCAGGTTCAAGAGATTCTCCTGCCTCAGCCTCTTGAGTAGCTGGGATTACCGGTACAGGCCATCATGCCCAGCTAATTTTGTATTTTTAATAGAGACGGGGTTTCACCATATTGGCCAGGCTGGTCTCGAACTCCTGACCTCAGTTGATCCACCTGCCTCGGTCTCCCAAACTTCTGGGATTACAGGCGTGAGCCACCATGCCTGGCTAAAATACATTTTTGAACAATGAGTTTCATGAGCTTCTGGGTTGGTGAACACATCCAGGTGCTGGGAGAGCAACACACCTGGAGGGGTCATGGAAGCTCCAAGCCCCCGCTCCCCTGTCTTTACCAGTAATATTAAGTGCAGCGTTTTCCTGAGTTCTATGAGCTGTTCTAGCAAATTACTGAACCTAATGAGGGGCTTGTGGGAACCCCCAATTTATGTCTGGTCAGTCAGAAGTATGGATGCCCCAGACTTGGGATTGGCACCTGAAGTGGGGCAGTCTTGTGGGACGAAGCCCTTCATCTGTGGGGTTTGAGGCTAACCCCGGGCAGCATCAGAATTGCATTACGTTGCATTGCTGGACACCCAGTTGGTGTGTGGAGAATTGGAGAATTGGTTGTTGATGTGGAAAAAGCCCATCAATTTGATTAGAAACCTCTTTGTGCCTTAACTCTATCTTTATATATATATATGTTACATCATTTTTTGTTTTTGTTTTTGTTTTTGAGATGGAGTCTCACTCTGTTGCTCAGGCTGGAATGCAGGGGTGTGATCTCGGCTCACTGCAACCTCCGCCCCCTGGGTTCAAGCGATTCTCCTGCCTCAGCCTCCCAAGGAGCTGAGACTACAGGTGCACGCCACCACACCCAGCTAATTTTTGTATTTTTAGTAGAGACAGGGTTTCACCATGTTGGCCAGGCTCGTCTGGAACTCCTGACCTCAAGTGATCCACCCTCCTTGGCTTCCCAAAGTGCTGAGATTACAGACCTGAGCCCGAATGAACTTGCTTGATTGTCATGCTCACGTCTCCACCCTGGGAGGAGCTATAGCTTGTGACCATCGCATGTGACCTAGGTGCTGGCATGATTACTTACTGAGTCTGTGCCATGGAGACCCCTCCTCTATGTGGAATGACGCACCATCTCCCCTCTCCATCACCGCATAAAACCCTTCTGTCACTTTCCCTCAGAGAGACACTGCTTTCGAGAATACTCCCAGCTGTCCTCCTTACTTCTGCCATGTAATAAAACTATTGGTGGCCGGGCGTGGTGGCTCACGCCTGTAATCCTAGCACTTTGGGAGGCTGAGGCAGGTGGATCAAGAGGTCAGGAGATCGAGACCATCTTGGCTAATACAGTGAAATCCTGTCTCTACTAAAAATACAAAAAAAAAAAAATTATCTGGGCGTGGTGGCAGGCGCCTATAGTCCCAGCTACTCGGGAGGGTGAGGCAGGAGAATGGCGTGAACCCAGAAGGCAGAGCTTACAGTGAGCCGAGATCGCGCCACTGCACTCCAGCCTGGGAGACATAGCGAGACTCTGTCTCAAAACAAAACAAAAACAAAAACAAAAACTACTGGCCTGGCATGGTGGCTCATGCCTGTAATCCAGCATTCTGGGAGGCCGAAGTGGGTGGATCACTTGAGGTCAGGAGTTCGAGACCAGCCTGGCCAACATGGCGAAACGTTATGTCTACTAAAAATACAAAAGTCAGCTGGGCATGGTGGCATGGGCCTGTAATCCCAGCTCCTCGGGAGGCTGAGGCAGGATGATCACTAGAACCCAGGAGGCAGAAGTTGCAGTGAGCTGAGATCGTGCCATTGCACTCCAGCCTGGGAGACAGAGCAAGACTCCTCTCAAAAATGAAAAATAAAAAATAAATTAGCTGGGCTTGGTGGCACATGCCTGTAGTCCTGGCTACTCTGGAGGCTGAGGTAGGAGGATCGCTTGAGCCCAGGAGTTCAAGACCAGCCTGGACAACACAGCGAGACCTTATTTCTATTAAATAAAACAACAGCAACAGCAACAACTACACAAACCCTACGTTCTCATGGAGAGTCATTTGCCACTCACTTCGGTGAACCGAACCCTGTTTTTTTCAGGTAACAAATATAACATGTGAAATTGTGTGTGTGAGTGTCGTGGGGGTGGGGGCTTTCTGTTAAAATGTTGTAATTAATTTTGAAGCAGCCAGGCTCCCCAGCTTTTTTTTTTTTTTTTTTTTTTTTGAGACAGAGTCTTGCTCTGTCACCCAGGCTGGAGTGCAGTGGCACGATCTCGGCTCACTACAACCCCTGCCTCCTGGGTTCAAGCGATTCTTCTGCCTCAGCCTCCCAAGTAGCTGGGACTACAGACCTGTGCCACCATTCCTGGCTGATTTTTGTATTTTTAGTAGACACGGGGTTTCACCATGTTGGCCAGGCTGGTCTCGAACTCCCAGCTACTCTACAGGTGTCCATTACAGGAGCCCGTTCTCAGGTGATCCACCCACCTTGGCCTCCCAAAGTGGGAGGCTACCCAGCTTTAACAGCAGGTAAGAATACTCACCTCTGAATATTAGTGTCTGCATTCAATCTCCTCCTTGCCATACGTAATTGATATTCACACTGCCCAATATCCAGTTCTCCCTTCCTTTTTCAGTGTATGGAAGTACCTTCCCAATGACTTTGAGTTAGGCAGGGCTACGTGACTAATTCTGGCCAATAGAATATGAATCATAAGTGATGTGTCATTTCCTTTCTGAGGCCCCTGCAAGATTCTCCAGGCTTCATCTTGCTCATCATAGAGGAGGCCTTGTACTGAAAGCGTGGAGCCACAAGATAGAAGCTGCCTGGATCCCTGAGTCACCACATGTCATCACGTGGAAGGCAGAAGCCCTGGAGAGTGGTATGGACCCAGAGCCTGCTTTGCCTGAACATGAAATAAACTTTTGTGGTGTTTAGCCTATTAAATATATGTGTGTGCGAGTATATATATATATATATATATACTTTTTTTTTTTTTTGAGACAGAGTCTTACTATGTTGCCCGGGCTGGTCTCAAACTTCTGGCCTCAAGTGATCTTCCTGTCTCACTTTCCCAAATAGCTGGGACTACAGGCATCAACCACCATGTTGCCAGGTGTACATAATTGTATTGTTTTCATTTGTTCATTTACAGCAGCATAGCCTGTCCTGAGCAGTACAACATAGCGATGAATATTTCTAGAAGATAATCCAGACTGTTTGGGGAATCGGGCACACCCCTGGCATCTTTCATCCCACCACACTTTTATGCTTCTGTTCTCTTCAAACAAGCTGTTGCTTTAGCTGCTGGAGAAACCACAGAAACACATACTGCCAACTACATCAGCATCATCAGCTCTTATGACCACTGGGACAGGACAAATGATGCTATTTATTTATTTATTTTTTGGAAACAGAGTCTCACTCTGTTGCCCAGGCTTGAGTGCAATGATGATGTGATCTTGGCTCACTGCAACCTCTGCCTCCTGGGTTCAAACAATTCTCCTGCCTCAACTTCCCAAGTAGCTGGGATTACGGATGCCTGCCACCACACCCTGCTAATTTTTTTTTTTCTTTTTTTTTTTGAGACAGAGTTTCACTCTTGTTGCCCAGGCTGAAGTGCAATGGCACGATCTCAGCTCACCGCAATCTCTGCCTCCTGAGTTCAAGCGATTCTCCTGCCTCAGCCTCCCGAGTAGCTGGGATTACAGGCATGCGCCACCACGCCTGGCTAATTTTGCATTTTTAGTAGAGACGGGGTTTCTCCATGTTGGTCAGGCTGCTCTCGAACTCCCGACCTCAGGTGATCCGCCCACCTCGGCCTCCCAAAGTGCAGGGATTACAGGCGTGAGCCACTGTGCCCAGCCTCCGGCTAGTTTTTAAAATATTTTTAGTAGAGACAGGATTTCACTATGTTGGTCAGCCTGCTTTCAAACTCCTAAACTCAAGTGATCTGCCCGCCTAGGCCTCCCAAAGTGCTAGGATTACAGGCGTGAGGCACAGCTCCCGGTCGATGCTATTTTTTATTTTTATTTTTATTTTTTTAGAGGGAGTCTTGCTCTGTTGTCCAGGCTGGAGTGCAGTGGTACAATCTTGGCTCACTGCAACCTCTGCCTCCTGGGTTCAAGCAATTCTCCTGTCTCTGCCTCCCAAGTAGCTGGGATTACAGGAGCCCGCCACTACGCGCGGCTAATTTTTGTATTTTTAGTAGAGACGGCATTTCACCGTGTCGGTCAGTGTGGTCTCGAACTCCTGGCCTCAGGTGATCCGCCCACCTTGGCCTCCTAAAGTGCTGGGATTACAGGCGTAAACCACTGTGCCTGGCCGATGGTATTTTTTTTAAGGAGGAAAGAAAATGTCCTTGTGAAGTGGTTCTGACCTGCGAGGCCAATATTAATGTGCCCTCATTTGGGCAGAGAGGGAGAACACTGCATGTGTCTGCTTTCATACTTCTGCATGTTCCCATTTGTTACGTGAGGTGGGCAGCCTCTAAGAGAGCTCCCAAAGATCCAACGCCTCTTGGAATTCATTCTGTTGTGTAACATCCAGCCCTCGAGTGTGCATTGGATTGACTGACTTATCTCAAATGAATAGGATACAGCAGAAGTGATGGATGTCACCCCTGAGAGTGGATTATGAACAATGGTAGTTTCCACCTCTTGGACACTCTCTTTTGCACTCTCCCTCTGCCCTAAAGAGCCAGCTGCCAGGTTGTGAGCTGCCCTTTGGAGGGCTGATTAACACGGCTATCACCCAGCCTGTTTCCTTGTCACCCCAAGGGGAATTCAAATGGAATCGAATCCCTCCTTCACTTCCCCCTGGCCCTTCCACACATCCCCAGGCAAATGGTTTGATCTGTTTTTTTCCTGTGGCTATAGACTGATTAGTTTGCATTTTCTATAATTTTATGTGAAGGGAATGAATTATAATGCATGTATTCTTTTGTGTCTGGCTTTTTTCACCCAGCATAATTATTTTGAGTTTCATCTCTCTCTCTCTCTCTCTCTCCGTGTATGTATATATATATATATATATATATATATATATATATATTTTTTTTTTTTTTTTTTTTTTTTTTTAGATGGAGTCTCCCTCTGTGCGCCCTATGGCCCAGGCTGCAGTGTAGTGACACAGTCTCAGCTCTCTGTAACTTCTGCCTCTCGGGTTCAAGCGATTCTCCTGCCTCAGCCTCCTGAGTAGCTGGGATTACAGGTGCACACCGCCACACGTGGCTAATTTTTGTATTTTTAGTAGAGACAGGATTTCACCATGTTGGCCAGGCTGGTCTCGAACTCCTAACCTCAGGTGATCCACTCGCCTTGGCCTCCCAAAGTGCTGGGATTACAGGTGTGAGCCACCGCACCCAGCCTCATCTATGTTGTATTGTGTACTCATAGTTTATTCCTTTTGATGGATGAGGAGTAAATTGTCCACTGTGTGAATGTATCACAGCCTGTTTATCTGTTCATCTGGACATTCGGGTCATTTCCAGTTTTTGGTGATTATGCATAGGGCTGACATAAACGTTCAGTTTTAGTAGAGATGGGGTTTCACCATGTTGGCCAGGCTAGTCTTGAACTCCTGACCTCAGATGATCTGCCTGCCTCTGCCTCCCGAAGTGCTAGGATTCCAGGCATGAGCCACCGCACCCGGCCATCTCAAATTATTTTTGAAAGTGATTGTACCATTTTACATTATCACCTGCACCCTATAAGATGGCGAGCAATGCTGGCAGCCACCCACTGGATGCCAGAGATCACATCACGATGACAACCCAACACCCACTCTCTGTTTACAAACGTCAGCTTGAATGGGACAGTGATGCCACAATGGAGAACCACTAGACCAGTGTTCCTTTTGTTTCGACAAACCCCATTTAGGAACCACGGGAGATGTAGGGAAGGAAAGATCTTTCCTCACCCATTGCTAGGTCCATGGCTGAGTCCCCACAATGAAAGACAGATTAACACACGCATTTAATATAAGTTTAATGTGACATGAGAACCTTCAGAAATGAAGATCTAGAAACAGGAAAACCTGCGTGTGTATGTGTGTGTGTGTGTGTGTGTGTGTGTGTGTGTGTTTTGTTTTTTTTTGACAGTCTCGTTTTCTTCCCCAGGCTGGAGTGCAACGGTGCAATCTCCGCTGACTGCAACCTCCGCCTCCCGGGCTCAAGCAATCCTCTCACCTCAGCCTCCCAAGTAGCTGGGACCCCAAGTGTGCGCCATCACGCCTGGCTAATTTTTGTCCTTTTTTTTTTTTCTGAGACAGAATCTCACTCTGTCGCCCAGGCTGGAGTGCAATGGCAAGATCTCGGCTCACTGCAACCTCCATCTCCTGGGTTCAAGCAATTCTTCTGCCTCAGCCTCCCTAGTAGCTAGGATTACATGTGCATGCAACCATGCCTGGCTAATTTTTGTGTTTTTAGTAGAGACAGGATTTTGCCATGTTGTCCAGGGTAGTCTCGAAGTCCTGACCTCAAGTGATCTGCCTGCCTCGGCCTCCCAAAGTGCCAGGATTACAGGCATGAGCCACCATGCCTAGCCAATTTTTGTACTTTTTGTAGAGATGAAGTTTCACCATGTTGGCCAGGCTGGTCTCCAGCTCTTGACTCAAGAGATCTACCCAGCTTGCCTTCCCAAAGTGCTAGGATTATAGCCATTAGCCACCGCACCTGGTCAGAAACCTGTCTATTTTATGCTTAGGTTTGATGAAGAGTGGACAGCCATGGAGAAGGATAACTGGACACCGGGGCTATGACCTAATGGGAATAAACTGGCTGGAAGTTGGCAAGGCCTTTTTGTTTAGGCTTTTCCCTGTGTCTTCAGACACAAGGATGTTTCTTTCCTCCAGGTACAGGGTGTGTACCTCTGACAGGTCTTACGATCTGTTCTAAAGGAAGATCAGAGAATCCTTTTTGTGTTTTATGGCTTTTTTGCTTGAAGGGAGAAGGCAAAGGGAAGATGAGAGGGATCTTCCTGCTTCTGCTGTTTTTTTCAAATGCCAAGGTACCATATTTTGGGGTAGCATGAGCCCCAACAAGGAAAACAGTTCATATTCTCAGCTGAATTCATGATAGCACATTTCACAAGATGGCAACAAGCATGAGATATAGCTATGAGCAGTACATTTTGGCTTAGCTTTGTAGTCTGTGGTTTTCAGTTTCTGAAAAGACCCAAATGTTCTTTATTTAAAGAACCAAGGTTTACATGCCGTGGTGAATCACAACGTGGTGGTTAGAGCCCAGTCAGACGGTCCATTTGCTTTCTATTCTTAACTTTCTCGCTGGCCCCAGAGCCTCTTAGAACCTCCCTGGATAAAAATAAGTGGTGTTTGGTAATCCTGAGCTGAAAGGTGGTACTTAAGTCAAAAGCACACCTGAACACAGCTAATTTGCACTAATCATCTAGATCTGCCATGAATCAGCCAGAGGGGAAAACGTCATTATGATGCAACCACAACCAGGTATTGCAGGACCTAACCAACCTCAAACATGATTTTCATTTCTGAAACCGACTTCTAAGCCCCCTCATGTAGTGGTTATCAAATGGGAGCCTGCATCAGAATCCCCTGGAGGATGTGTTACGAGATTGCCGGGTCCCAACCCTGGAGATTCTGATTCCAGGTAACTGGAGAAGTCCTGAGTATTTTCTTGTTTTTTCTTTTTTCTTTTTTTTTTTTTTTTGAGACAGAGTCTTGGTCTGTCACCCAGGCTGGAGTGCAGTGGCGCGATCTTGGCCCACTGCAACCTCTGCCCTCGGGGTTCAAGTGATTCTCCTGCCTCAGGCTCCGGAGTAGCTGGGATTACAGGCGCCCGCCACCACGCCCTGCTAAATTTTGTATTTTTAGTAGAGACGGTTTCACCATGTTGGCGAGCCTGGTCTTAAACCCCTGACCTCAGATGATCCGCGCGCCTTGGCTTCCCAAAGTACTGGGATTACAGCCATGAGCCACCATATCTGGCCCTGAGTATTTTTATTTCTAACAAGATCTCAGATGGCGCTGAAGCTGCTGGTCCTGGGGCCACATTCTGAGACCCTCATTTCCCATACAAAACAAGGTTTCCTATCAGAACCTTATTTTTGCCAGTTTATTTTTTATTTTTTCGAGACAGAGTCTCGCTGTTGTCACCCAGGCTGGAGTGCAGTGGTGAGATCTTGGCTCACTGCAGCCTCTGCCTCCCGGGTTCCAGCAATTCTCCTGTCTCAGCCTCCTGGGTAGCTGGGATTACAGACACGCGCCACCACGCCCTGCTAATTTTTGTATTTTTAGTAGAGATGGGGATTACAGGCCTGAGCCAATGTGCCCAGCCCAGTTTATTTGTTTATTTTTTAAAGAGATGTGGTCTCACTCTATTGCCCAGGCTGGAGTGCATTGTCGCCATCATAGCTCACTGCAGCTAGAACTCCTGGACTCAAGCGACTCTCCTGCCTCAGCCTGTCAAGTAACTGGGACTACAGGTGTGAGCCACTACGCCTGGCTAATTTTTAAAATTTTCTGTAGAGATGGGGGGTCTCACTGTGTCACTCAGACTGGTCTTGAACTCCTGGTCTCAAGCAATCCTCCTGCCCCAGCCTCCCAAAGTGCTGGGATTACAGGCATGAGTCACCATGCCTGGCCTATTTTTGCCAGTTTAAAGTGGTAAATGAGGCCGGGCATGGTGGCTCACGCCTGTAATCCCAGCACTATGGGTGGCTAAGGTGGGTGGATCATGAGGTCAGGAGTTCGAGACCAGCCTGGCCAACATAGTGAAACCCCGTCTCTACTAAAAATACAAAAATTAGCCAGGTGTGGTGGCACGCACCTGTAGTCCCAGCTACTCAGGAGGCTGAGGCAGGAGAATCGCTTGAACTGGGGAGGCAGAGGTTGCAGTGAGCTGAGACCACACCATTGCACTCCAACCTTGGTGACAGAGTGAGGCTCCATCTCAAAAATAATACTAAGAAGAAGTAATAAAGTGGTAAGTGGGCTGGGTGCCATGGCTCATGTCTGTAATCCTAGCACTTTTGGAGGCCAAGGCAGGCGAAACACTTGAGCCCAGGAGTTTGAGACCAGCCTGGGTGACATAGTGAGACCCCATCTCTACAAAAAAATGCTAAAATCGGCTGGGCGTGGTGGCGAGCGCCCACAGTCCCAGCTACACAGAAGGCTGAGGCTGGAGGATCGCTTGAGCCTGGGAGGCGAAGGTTGCAGTAAGCCGAAATGGCACCACTGCACTCCAGCATGGACAACAGAATGAGACCCTGTCTCAAAACAAAAACAAAAAACAAACAACAGCAACAAAAAAAGTGGTAAATGTCCAATTATAGTAGTGATCTTCAACTGGCGTGATTTTGTCGCCCCAGAAGACATTTTTGGTTGTCATTACTGCAAGAAGCTGCGTGGGGTGGGTATTACCAGCCTCTAGTGGGTAGAAGCCGGGGATGTTGCTAAACAGCTTAAAGCGCTTAGCCCAGCCCTCAACAACAAATAATTATTTTGGTCCAAAATAGCCATAGTGCTGAGGTTGGGCAACTCTGAACTCCAGGGGACTGCTTAAATAAAGTAGAACATTCTTACAAGGAATAACTATTATGTAGTCATTGAGAAGAATGTGCCTTAAAACTTTTTAACATTTCTATTTATTTATCTATTTGTTTGTTTATTTACAGAGGTGGGATCTTGCTATGTTGCCCAGGCTGGTCTTGAATTCCTAGGCTCAAGCGATCCTCTCACCTTGGCCCCCTGAAGTGTTGGGATTACAGAAACAAGCCTCTGCACCCAGCTAAGACATTTTTAGAACTTAGGGAAATGTTTATGACATGATGTGGGGGATAAAACGGTAAGAGGAGTCTATTCAACATATCACCTGTTTTAATTTTCTCCCTACTTTATATCACTACTTACAATGATCTTGTTTGTTTCCACGTTTACTTATGTATCGTCTGTCTTCCTTCACTAGGGTGAAGGTCCTGGTATACTGTAGGGGAAAATGAAATAGTCGGAGAAGTGAAATAGGGGAGAGTGGAATGACAGGGTAAACCTGATGATAATAAAATCAGTGAAGTGCTGGTAAATGTTTAACAACTGACTGTGCAAAGAAAATCCCTGATTTATAGAGTAGCATTTGCCAATTTCTATGGTGTAAATACTCCCACCATGGCTGATTTCAAGCTACCTTGTGATGTCACTGAAGGAGGAGCAGAATAGAGACATGCACAGCTGCCTATCCAAGCCCATGGGAGCTGGTGCTAGCACAACAGTGGAAATACTTCTGTCAATATAAAAGACTGAAAGGTGGCTGGGGCAGTGGCTCAAGCCTGTAATCCCAGCACGTTGGGAGGCCAAGGCAGGCATATCGCCTGAGGTAGGAGTTCGAGATCAGTCTGGCCAACGTGGAGAAACCCTGTCTCTAATAAAATACAAAAATTAGCTGGGTGTCGTGGCACACACCTGTAATCCCAGCTGAGGCAGGAGAATCGCTTGAACCCGGGAGGCGGAGGTTGCAGTGAGCTGAGATCATGCCACTGCACTCCAGCCTGGGTGACACAGCAAAACTTCGTCTCAAAAAATAAAATAATAAAAGACTGGAAGGAAAACTGCTAAAATTCGAATGGAGAGCAGTGGGATTAGATACATAGTGGAAACCACCGCCGGGTGTGGTGGCCCACGACTGTAAACCCAGCACTTCGGGAGACCCAGGTGGGCAGATAGCCTGAGTGTAGGAGTTTGAGAACAACCTGGCAACATAGCAAGACCTCATCTTTACAGAAAATAAGAAATGAACCAGGCATTGTTTGCATTCCTGTGGTCCCAGCTATGCAGGAGGCTGAAGTGGGAAGATCACATGAGCACGGGAGGTCGAGGCTGCAGTGAGCTGAGATCATGCCACTGCACACCAACCTGGGTGAGACCCTCTCTTAAAAAAGAAAGAAACAAAGTGAAAAATAAGAAAGAAAAAAAAGGAAACCATTGAGTTGGGCAAGGTGACTCATGCCTGTAATCCCAGCACTTTGGGAGGCCAAGACAGGAGGATGGCTTGAGGTGGAAGTTTGAGTCCAGCCTGGGTAACATAGGGAGACCCCACATCTACAGAAAATTAAAACAAAAAATTAGCTGGGTATGGTGGCGCAAGTCTGTCATCCTAGGACTCTGGAGGCTAAGGCAGGAGGATTGCTTGACCCCAGGGGTTCAAGGCTGCAGTGAGCTATGATTGCTCCACTGCACTACAGCCTGGGTGACACAGTGAGACCCTGTCTCAAAAATAAACAAATAAATTAAATTAATTAATTAATTAATGCAGACTCCCAGACCTCCAGAACCAAAGTCTGTATTTGAATACGAGAGCCTGTGTTACTGCTATTTTTGTACACCGGTTGTGGTCAGAGAGTGTAGCTCTATCATATAGATGTCTTGGCTCGTCAAGAAGCTGGTCCTCATGTGATACCTGGGTTGGCCCATGAATCTGAGTCTTTTTGTTTTCAGAGCCATGCCACTTTTAGAACACAGTTTCAGGAAAATTGGGGAACTGTTTAGTCATCAGAAGCAAGAGACCTGAGACACAGTCTATAGGTGGCACCTTCCTCCATGGCACTGTCATCGTGCTGAATGAAGCACATCTCCAGCCCAGGGTCTGCCTCCAATCCAGGCTCAGAGAACCACCCACAGAGTGGCCACAAGTCGGGCAAGGCCACAGGCAGTCTTTCTGAAAATGCATTTAATTGCCTGTGATTCAGCCCTCAGATAGCAGAGTCAGGATGAGCGATCACATTCTTATCCTGAGTACTATCTGATAACCGGCAGCAACTTGCAGCTACTGTTCTAGGCTGAGGACCAGCTTCAGAAGGGACACGAGGCTGTAATGGAGAAAAGGTGCATAAACACAGTGGGTAAAAGCAAGATGAAAGTAAAAATGAGGAACAACCGCAGATCTCAAACTACAAAACATCACATGTATTGAGAAATCTGCAAATTGCCAAGAGCTTGTCGGTTAATAGAGTTAAACTACGTAAAATACTTAAAGAGATTTATCTGAGCCAAATATGAGTGACCATGACCCATAACAGCCCTTAGGAGGTCATGAGAACATGTGCCCAAGGTGGTTGGGCTGCAGCTTGGTTTTATATATTTTAGGGAGGAATGAAACATCCATCAAATACATTTAAGGAATACATTGAGTTGTTCCAGAAAGGTGGGACAATTTGAAGTTGGGGGGGGAGGGGCTTTCAGGCTATAGGTAAATTTAAACATTTTCTGGTTGACAACTGGTTGAGTTTTTGTCTAAGGACTTGGTATCAATAGAAAGGAAATGTTCAGCTTAAGATAAAAGATTGTGGGCTGGGCACGGTGGCTCACGCCTGTAATCCCAGCACTTTGGGAGGCTGCGGCAGGCAGATAACCTGAGGTCAAGAGTTTGAGACCAGTCTGGCCAACATGGTGAAACCCCATCTCTACTAAAAATACAAAAATTAGCCAGGCATGGTTGTGTGCGCCTGTACTCCCAGCTACTTGGAAGACTGAGGAGGGAGAATCGCTTGAACCCGGGAGGCGGAGGTTGCAGTGAGCCGAGATCGAGCCACTGCACTCCAGCCTGGGCAACAAAGTAAGACTCCACCTCAAAGGAAAAAATAAAATAAAATAAAATAAAAACAGATCGTGGAGACCAAGGTTCTTTTCAAGTCTCATAGCAGCTGCCCTTAGAAACAATAGATGACACACGTTTCCTTTTCAGAAACTTTAAAAGGTGCTAGACTCTCACTTACTCTATTCAGAATTGGAGGGGCCTGGAAGGAAAACGTCTAGCTATGTTAATAGGGATTCTTTACAGATGTGAATTTTCCCTCAACAAAGGACTGGTTGCAGGGCCATTTCAAAATGTTACAAAGAAACATGTTTTGGGGGTAAAATATTTTGATTTTCTTCCTTGCATCCTCATGTTATGCCAGAGTCAGGCTGAAAAGTAAGTCAAGACATATATAGGGTTAAATAAAACCCATCTGATGAGAATTTACGGTTTGTAGGGCATGACTCCCCAGACCCCTTAGATAGGAATTTGGGCAAGATAAAAAAAAAATCAGAATTTAGTTCTCAAGCTTTACATATTATAAGGATGAATAAATTGTGTTTAGTTCGTACAGAGACATGACCACAGTTGCTTATATAAACTAGAGGTTTATTTTTCTCTACTTAAAAAAGTCTGGAATTAGGTAGTCCAGGGATGTTGACAAATTCATCACGCACTTCCTCCTTTCTTCTCCACCATTCTTAGCACATGGCTTCCTTTCTTAAGGTTACTTCATGGTCAAAGATGGCTGCTGCAGCCCTCAACGTTTTGCTTGTGTTCCCGGCAGCGGGAAGAAGGAAGTAGCAAGAGCCAGAGGCAAGCTAAGTCATTTCCCTTTAAATAGCTTTCCTGGAAACCCCACCCAATGACTTCCTCTTATTATTTCATCATCCTCCCTTAGCTGCAAGGGAGGCTGGGAAGTGTAGTCCTTAAGATGGGCACATTGCTCACTTGAATAAAATTCAGACTCTGCTAGCAAAGAATAATGGGGGAATGGATATTAGGAAGGGAGCTAGTGGACTCCATTATGCATACATTATCCCATTACATGCTCACTGTTGAGACACCCTTAGGAAAATCTAGTATTTCCTCCATTAGGAAAATCTACTATTCTCCATTAGGTTAAAAATTTAAAGAAAAAAACTAAATTAAAAAAAATTTTTAACATTTTTTTTATAGAGGCGGGGGTCTCACCATGTTGCCCAGGCTGGTCTTTAACTCTTGGGCTCAAGTGATCCTCCCACCTTGGCCTCCCAAAGCAGTGGGATTATAGGCATGAGCCATCACGTCTGGCCTACTTAGCACTTCCGGGTAAAAGTTTTTCTGTTTCATAGAGAAGAGACTGGCAGTATTTGCTATTGCTTTTTTAAGACAGGTAGAATTTGCTTGCCCAAGGTAAGGTGCATTTCATAACAAGGGGAGGAGAACATATAAGCCTTTTGATTTCTGTTAAAAAAAAGCTCTTTATTTAAAATTTAATTTTGTTTGCTATCTGCGCTTTTATTCAAAAGAAGAGTTTAGGGCCCGGCATGGTGGCTCACACCTGTAATCCCAGCACTTTGGGAGGCCAAGGTCGGAGGATTGCTTGAACCTAGGAGTTGGAGACCAGGCTTGGGCAACACAGTGCAGCACCACCTCTATAAAATAAAAAAACGTCGGGCCAGGCACAGTGGCTCATGCCTGTAATCCCAGGGCAGAGTACCTGAGGTCAGGAGCTCGAGACCAGCCTAGCCAACATGGCGAAAACCCATCTCTATTAAAAGTACAAAAAAATTAGCCGGCCATGGTGGTGTGTGCCTGCAATCCCAGCCACTCGGGAGGCTGAGGCAGGAGAATCGCTTGAACCCGGGAGGCGGAGGTTGCAGTGAGCTGAGATCGTGCCACTGCACTCCAGCCTGAGCAACACAGCGGGACTCTGTCTCAAAAAAATTAAATAAATAAATAAATAAATAAATAAAACATTAAAAAGTCATAAAAATAAATAAAACAAGACTTTAGAAAGAAACAAGTACGATCAGAAGAACAAATGAAGTGAGTTGTGACTGGATTCAATTATGAGCTTGCCATTTCTGCCCTAGGGGAGATATTCAAAAAGGGGCCCTAGGATGGGCTCGGTAGCTCATGCCTGTAATCCCAGCACTTTGGGAGGCCGAGGCGGGCAGATCACCTGAGGTCAGGAGTTGGAGACCAGCCTGACCAACATGGAGAAACCCCGTCTCTACTAAAAATCTCCCGGCTCATTGCAACTTCCGCCTCCCGGGTTCAAGCAAACCTCCTGCGAAAGCCAACCGAGTAGCTGGGATTACAGGCATGCGCCACCATGCCTGGCTAATTTTGTATTTTTAGTAGAGACGGGGTTTTACCATGTTGGTCAGGCTGGTCTCGAACTCCTGACCTCAGGTAATCCACCTGCCTTGGCCTCTCAAAGTGCTGGGATTACAGGTGTGAGCCACCATGCCTAGCCAGGTTACCCAATTCTATGACATTCCTACCTTCAAAAGGTAGATCCTGGCCCGGGTGCAGTGGCTTAAGGCTGTAATCCCAGCACTTTGGAAGGCCGAGGATGGTGGATCACTGGAAGTTTAGGAGTTCGAGACCAACCTGGCCAACATGGAGAAACCCCATCTCTACTAAAAATACAAATATTAGCTGGGCATGGTGATGGGTGCCTATAATCCCAGTTAGGAGGCTAAGGCAGGGAGAATTGCTTGAACCTGGGAGGCAGAGGTTGCAGTGAGCCAGGATTGTGCCACTGCACTCCAGCCTGGGCGACAGAGTGAGGCTCCGTCTCAAAAAGAAAAAAAAAAGAAAAGATATTTGATCCTCAATGTGGCAGTGTTGGGAGGTGGAGCCAAATAAGAGATGTTGGGTTATTGAGTCAGATCCCTCATGAATGGCTTGGTGCTGTTTCTGCAGTAGTGAGAACTGAATTGATTTCCGTGGGACTGGATTAGTCCCTCTGAGAGTGGTTTGTTATAAAGCCAGGAAGCCTCTTAGGTTTTCCTCTCTTCACATATGTCCACTTCCCTTTTGACTTTCTCTGCCATGTTGTGACACAGCACAGAAGCCCTCCCCAGAGGTCAGGGCCATGCCCTTGGCCTTCTCAGCTTGTAGGACCATGAGCTAAATAACTGTTTTTCTTTACACATTGCCAAGTCTGAGGTATTTTTTTATAGCAATACAAAATGGACTAAGACAATTACTAAATATTATCTGAGAGGAAATAAATGGAGATACTTCCTGGCTGGTTTCTGTCTCTGAGTTTCTTGAAGTTTCTCATTTGTAATTAAAATAATCAAGGGCCAGGCGCGGTGGCTCCCGCCTGTAATCCCAGCACTTTGGGAGGCCAAGGAGGGCGGGTAACTTGAGGTCGGGAGTTTGAGACCGGCCTGGCCAACATGGTGAAACACTGTCTCTACTAAAAATACAAAAAAAATGTAGCCAGGCATGGTGGCGCATGCTTGTAATCCCAGCTACTTGGGAGGCTGAGGCGACAGGACTGCTTAACCCAGGAGGCGAAGGTTTCAGTGAGCCAAGATTGCTGCTACTGTACTCCAGCCTGGGTGACAGAGCAAGACTCTGTCTCATAAACAAAACAAAACAAAACAAATAATATAAAATAAAATAAAATAATCAAAAGCATGGTCTAGGCTAGAGAAAAAAAGTCAGACTTGATTCGGGCACGTCTGAAACCAGCCTTAACAACCCCATGATGTGTTTATCACATGGGTACTGCACTTGGTAGGCAGCCAACAAACCAGAGGTCTTTCAGAAATACAACCCCAGAGCCTCATACCTGGAGATGATTCTGTTCCAGAGCTCTGAATAGGGCCCAGAGACCCCAATTTTTTTTTTTTTTTTTGAGACAGAGTCTCACTTTGTCGTCCAGGCAGGAGTGCAGTGGCGTGACCTCGGCTCACCGCAACCTCTGTCTCCCGGGTTCAAGTGATTCTCCTGCCTCAGCCTCCCAAGTAGCTGGGACTATAGGTGTGCATCACCATGCCCGGCTAATTTTTGTATTTTTTAGTAGAGCCGGGGTTTCACCATGTTGGCCAGGCTGGTCTTGAACTCCTGACCTCAGGTGATCCACTTGCCTCGGCCTCCCAAAATGTTGGGATTACAGGCGTGAGCCACCGTGCCCGGCCCAGCTGTGGGGTTTTGCATGAGTTATCTACCCCCTCTAAGCCTCAGTCTCCTCACCTACAAATGGTGACAATTGACAGTAACTGTGCCACTAGGCAGGTGTGAAGAAAAATGAGATAATGCGTATGGATCATGGTTTCTCACCCTCAGCACTGGTGATGCATTGGACCAGATAATTCTTTGTTGTGGAGGGCTGTTACGCACATTGTTGAATGTTTAGCAGCCTTCCTGGCTTCTACCCACTAGATGTGGCAGCAACCCCCAACCCCCAAGTTATGGCAATCAAAATGTCTCCAGACATTCTTTTTTTTTTTGAGACGGAGTTTCACTCTTGTTGCTCAGGCTGGAGTGCAATGGCGCAATATCGGCTCACCACAACCTCCACCTCCCAGGTTCAAGCAATTCCCCTGCCTCAGCCTCCTAAGTAGCTGGGATTACAGGCGTGTGCCACCATGCCGGGCTAATTTTGGATTTTTAGTAGAGATGGGGTTTCTCCATGTTGGTCAGGCTGGTCTCGAACTCCTGACCTCAGGTGATCCATCCGCCTCGGCCTCCCAAAGTGCTGGGATTACAGGCGTGAACCACCATACCTGGCCCTCCAGACATTCTTTACCAAATGCCCCCTGAGGGAGCAAAGTTGCACTCAGTTGAAAACCCCTGATATAGATGACCTAATTCTGTGCAAGGTGCTTAGTTAGTATTCAATAAACGATAATCGTGTTCATTTTTCCTCTCTTTGGATTGCAATAATATAATATTTCGAAAATACTTTCCTAGACATTCTTTTTTAAAAAAAGTTACTTGCATTTAAAAAAAAAATTAACTTGGCTCGGCGTGGTGGCTCACGCCTGTAATCCCAGCAGTTTGGGAGGCCGAGGCGGGTGGATCAAGAGGTCAAGAGACGGAGACCATCCTGGCCAACATGGTGAAACACCGTCTCTACTAAAAATACAAAAATTAGCTGGGCTTGGTGGCGAGCACCTGTAGTCCCAGCTATTCGGGAAGCTGAGGCAGGAGAATCGCTTTAACTAGGGAGGTGGAGGTTGCAGTGAGCCAAGATCGTGCCACTGCACTCCAGCCCTGGTGACAGAGCGAGACTCTGTCTCAAAAAAAAAAATTTTTTTAACTTTTTTTTTTTTTTTTTTGAGACAGAGTCTCACTCTGCCACTGAGCCTGGAGTGCAGCAGTGGTGTGATCTCCACTCACCGCAATCTCTGCTTGCTGGGCTCAAGTGATTCTCATGCCTCAGCCTCCTGAGTAGCTGGGACTACAAGTGTGTGCCACCACGCTTGGCTCATTTTTGTGTTTTTAGTAGAGATGGGGTTTCACCACGTTTGTCAGGCTGGTCTTGAACTCCTGGCCTCAAGTCGTCCATCCTCCTCAGTCTCCCAAAGTGCTGGAATTACAGGTGTGAGGCACTGCACCCGGCTCATACATTTTTTGAAATGTATGTGGAATAGTTAATTTCATGTTATGTGCATTTTACCTCAATTTAAAAAACTGTGATGATAAGCAGCATAAGACAAAATAGATAAATTGTACTGCATGAAAATTGAAAACATTTTGTGCTTCGAAGGACAGCATCAATACAGTGAAAACGCAATTCGCAGAATGGGAGAATGTATTTGCAAATCATTTATCTGATAAGAGACTATTATGTAGAATACATAAAAACTCTGACAACTCTATAACAAAAAGACAACCCAATTAAAAATGAGTGAAATACATGAATAGACATTTCGTTGTTTTTTTTTTTTTTTTTTTTTGAGACAGAGTCTTGCACTGTCGCCCAGGCTGGAGTGTAGTGGCACAATCTTGGCTCACTGCAACCTCTATCTCCTGGGTTCAAGTGATTCTCTTGCCTCAGCCTCCTTAGTAGCTGCGATGACAGGCACGTGCCACGACCCCCAGCTATTTTTTGTATTTTTTAGTAGAGATGGGGTTTCAACATGTTGGCCAGGCTGGTCTCAAACTCCTGACCTCAAGTGGTCCTCTCACCTCGGCCTCCCAAATTGCTGGGATTACAGGCATGAGCCACCATGCCCCGCCTGAATAGACATTTCTTCAAAGAAGATAAACAAATGCCACAGCACATGAAGAAATGATCAACATCATTAGGCAACAGGGAATTGCAAATTAAAACCACAGTGAGATACTACATCCCACTCACTAGGATAGCTATAATAAAAAGGACAGGCGCTGGTTGTGGTGGCGTGTGTCTGTAGTCCCAGCTACTCAGGAGGCTGAGGCAGGAGGAAGGGCTGTGCCTAAGGATGGGGGTTCCCAGGTCAGAAACAAAGCGGTCATAACTCCCATGCTGATCAGTAGTGGGATCGCTCTGTGAATAGCCACTGCACTCCAGCCTTCGAAATAGAGGAATACCTTGTCTCCAAAAACAAAACAAAACAAGACAAAACAAAAAAGATGCTGGGCACGGTGGCTTATGCCTGTAATCCCAGCACTTCGGGAGAGCGAGGCAGGCGGATCACCTGAGGTCCAGAGTTTGAGACCAGCTTGGCCAACGTGGTGAAACCCCATGTCTACTGAAAAAATAAAAAAATTAGCCAGGCATGGTGGCGTGTGTCTGTAATCCCAGCTACTCGGGAGCCTCAGGCAGGAGAATTGCTTGAATCAGGGAGGCAGAGGTTGCAGTGAGCTGAGATCTGGCCACTGCACTCCAGCCTGGGCGACAGAGCGAGACTCCATCTCAAAAAAAAAAAAAAAGGACACAATAACAAGCGTTGGCGAGGATGTGGAGAAATTGGAACCCTTGTGCACTGCTAGTGGAAACGTAAAATAGTGCAGCTATTTTGCATAACAGGTTGGCAGTTTTTCAATGAGTTAAATATAGTTACACTGTGACCCAGCAATTCCGCTTCTAGGTGTAGAGCCAGGAGAAATGGAAACATATGTCCACGCGAAACTTGTATGTGAATATGCATAACCACATTATTCATAATAGTCAAAAATTGGAAGTAATCTAAGTGCTCATCAACTGATGATTAGATAAACAAATTGGGGTATGTGTATGTATATATGCAATGAAATATGAAATATTTGTAATACTCTTTGGCCATAAAAAGAATAAAGTACTGATACATGTTATGTCAAGGAAGAACCTTGGAAAAACTATGTTAGGTGAAAGAAGCCAGACACAAAAGGCTAAATATTTTATAACCTAATTTATATTAAATGTCCAGTATAGGCAAATCCAAACAGAGAGAAAGTAATTAGCGCTTGTCAAGGGCTCAGGGGAGGGTAATGGGGAGTGACTGGTAATGATGAGGGGGTGGGGGTTCTTTTTTTTTTTTTTTTTTTGAGATGGAGTCTCGCTCTGTCTCCCAGGCTGGAGTGCAGTGGCGCGATCTTGGCTCACTGCAAGCTCTGTCTCCGGGGTTCACGCCATTCTCTTGGCTCAGCCACCCGAGTAGCTGGGACTAGAGGCGCCCACCATGATACCCGGCTAATTTTTTGTATTTTTTAGCAGAGACGGGGATTCACCATGTTAGCCAGGATGGTCTCGATCTCCTGACCTCGTGATCCACTCTCCTCGGCCTCCCAAAGTGCTGGGATTACAGGCCTGAGCCACCGCGCCTGGCCTAGTGAGGGGGTTCTTTTAAGGGTGATGAAAGTGTTCTGTAATTAGATAGTGGTAATAATTGCATAACTGTGAATATACTAAAAACCACTGAATCATATACTTTAATGTGCGAACTGTAGGCTGTGTGAATTACATATCAATAAATGTATGTGAAAAGAATCTGTTTCAAAGTAAGGACATTCAAATTCCCATGGTTCCTTCATTGTTACAGTCTTTATTTTATTCTATTTTGAAACAGTTTAGCTCTGTTGCCAGGCTGGAGTTCGTGGTGTGATATCAGCTCACTGCAACCTCTGCCTCCCGGTTCAAGCGATTCTCCTGTCTCAGCCTCCTAAGTAGCTGGGACTACAGGCGTGTGCCACCATGCCCAGCTAATTTTTGTATTTTTAGTAAGAGATGGGGTTTCACCATGTTGGCCACGATGGACTCGATCTCTTGACCTCGCAATCCGCCCATCTTAGCCTCCCAAAGTGCTGGGATTACAGGCGTGAGCCACTGTGCCTTGCCATAGTCTTTATTTTTATTTATTTATTTGAGATGGGGTCTTGCTATGTTGCCCAGGCTGGCTTTGAATTCCTGGGCTCAAGTGATTCTCCTGCCTCAGCCTCTCAAGTAGCTGGGAGTACAGGTGAGCACCACTGTGCCCGGCTAATTTTTTATTCTCGTGTAGCCACTGGGTCTCCCTATATTTCCCAGGCTGGTCTCAAACTTCTGTATGCAAGTGATCCTCCTGCCTCAGCCTCCCAAAGTGCGGAAATTACAGGCCTGAGCAACCGCTCCTGGTCTATTTTTATTTTATTTTATTTTATTTTGAGACGGAATCTCGCTTTGTCGCCCAGGCTGGAGTGCAGTGGCACTATCTTGGCTCACTGCAAGCTCCGCCTCCTGGGTTCATGCCATTCTCCTGCCTCAGCCTCCCGAGTAGCTGGGACTACAGGCGCCCGCTGTCACGCCCTGTCAATTTTTTGTGTTTTTGGTAGAGACTAAGTTTCACCGTGTTAGCCAGGATGGTCTTGATCTCCTGACCTCGTGATCCGCCCGCCTCGGCCTCCCAAAGTGCTGGGATTACAGGCGTGAGCCACCGCGCCTGGCGAGAGTATTTTTAACTTTTTAATGTAAGTGTGCACTACTCTTATAATTTGACAACTGCTAAAAAAGACAGCATATATAAAAGGAATGTAGCACATTTTCATGGCTATTACAATTATATAAACATCTGCTGTTTGAAATGTGAATAATTCTAATATCATTAAGGGCAGATAGATCGCTTGATTCAGAATCTCATGAGCTTTCATCTTTTTTTTTTTTTTGAGACGAAGTCCCACTCTGTCGCCCAGGCTGGAGTTCAGTGACATGATCTTGGCTCACTGCAACCTCCGCCTCCTCGGTTCAAGCAATTCTCCTGCTTCAGCCTCCCAAGTAGCTGGGATTACAGACATGCACCACCACACCCAGCTAATTTTTGTATTTTTAGTAGATACGGAGTTTCACCATGTTGGCCAGGCTGGTCTCCAATGCCTGGCCTCAGGTGATTCACCTGCCTTAGCCTCCCAAAATGCTGGGATTACAGGTGGGAGCCACCGAGCCCGGCCTTTTTTTTTTTTTTTTTTCAAATGAGACAGATTCTTGCTCTGTTGCCCAGGCTGGAGTACAGTGGCGCGATCTCGGCTCACTGCAACCTGTGCCTCCCGGGTTCAAGCGATTCTCCTGCCTCAGCCTCCTGAGTAGCTGGGATTACAGACATGCACCACCACACCCCACTATTTTTTTATTAGTAGAGATGGGGTTTCTCCATGTTGGCCAGGCTGGTCTCGAATTCCTGACCTCAGGTGATCTGCCTGCCTTGGCCTCCCAAAAGTGCTGGGATTACAGGCATGAGTCACCGCTCCCGGCTTATGAGGTTTCATCTTTAAACTGAAGAGTAGGTGGCATTGGAGAGAATCTCCACATTGACAAGGTCTTCTATTTGCTGACTGCTGGTCATAATACGTATCGTGCATTGTTATTTGACATTCCTCCATTCCAAGTGGCATTGATTATAAGGTACACATGAATAAGAAGATAATAAGCATTTGTATAATAGCTCAAGTGCTCTAAGACTATCAATTCAGAATTCAGAAACTTTTCGAGGTGGGTTGGGTGCAGTAGTTCACACCTATAATTCCAGCACTTTGGGAGGCTGAGGCAGGAGGATTGCTTGAGTCCAGGAGTTGGAAACCAGCCTGGGCAACACTGCAAAACCCCATCTTTACAAAAAATACATTTAGCCAGGCATGGTAGCATGTGCCTGTAGTCCCAGCTACCTGGGAGGCTGAGGTGGGAGAACTGCTTAAGCCCAAGAATTGGAGACCAATCTGGGCAACATTGCAAAACTATCTCTACAAAAAACACAAAAAATTATCTGGGCATGCTGGTGCACACCTCTGATCCCAGCTACTAGGAAGGCTGAGGCAGGAGAATGGCTTGTACCCAGGAGGCAGAAGTTGCAGTGAGCTGAGATCACGCCACTGCACTCCAGCCTGGGCGACAGAGCGAGATTTCGTCTCGAAACAACAACAAAAAAGAAACTCTTAGAGGTTAACACAAAGCTCAGGGTCATGGAAATCAAGCAGATAGGTGGTGCTTTTCAATATTTATTCCTTTTTCTTTAGACTGTTTTTTCCAACTGACAAATATTTATTATAGAGCCAGCGTTTATGCTATTCAATATCATTCCATCTTGTATGTATGGCTGAAATATTATGTTCTTACAAGAAAAGGCCAGAGGCTTCTGGAACAGGGTCTGAGTTACATGAAGGAGAAGAAGAGCAGCCTTCATTCTGTAAAAACTCGAAACCTTTGGACTGTCCAAAGTGGTGTGTGGCTTTTGAAGCGGAGCCTGCAGGCAGCGAAATCGTCCAGCTGTGTTCTCTCCTTTGTCATACCTACATGTGCAGGCCTGGACTTCCCACGTGCTACCATGAATGCAGAAATGTAGAAATTGACATATCAACAACCATTGATCGTACACTCAGCAGGCAGTTTTATTGATTGATTGATTGATTGAGATGGGGTCTCTGTCACCCAGGCTGGAGTGTAGTGGCACTATCTCGGCTCACTGCAACCTATGCCTTCTGGGCTCAAGCAATCCTCCCGCCTCAGCCTCCTGAGTAGCTGGAACTACACGTGTGTGCCGCCATGCCTGGCTGTGTTTTGTATTTTTTTGTAGAGACTGGGTTTCACTATGTCGCCTAGGCTGGTCTTGAACTCTTGAGTTCAAGCAATCCTTGCGTCTTGGCCTCCTAAATTGTTGAGATTATAGGTGTAAGCTACCATGCCTACCCTCCTAAAATATTTAACTCATATACCTTGTGACTCTAAAATACTATTTCTGAGGATATATATTCAATACACATATGTATATATGCAAGGATGTTCACTGTATTACATATGTACAAGATGTTCATTATGGCATTGTTTATAATAGCCAAAGACTGGTCACAATCTAAATTTGTATCAATAGGGGCCCTGTAAAATACTTTGTAGTGAATCCATACAATGAAATTATTTGCAATATTTTAAAAGAATAAATAAGTCTTTAGGTCCCAATGTGGAGACATCCAAATTATGTTAAGGAAAAAAGGCTTGTAGGATAGTACACATAAAATCATCTTTTTTTTTCCTTAAGAAGGGACATACTTGTATATAGGTACACACACACATACACACTCGACGTACACATAACTCCGTTTTCAAAGGTCACAAGTTATTTCCTGGGAATAGGATTGGGAGGATGTAGAATGAGGTAGGTAGAATGATTTTTGTTTGCTTTTCACTTTATATTCTTCCCTACAATTGGAAACCTGTTTTTTAGCCACCGCGCCAGGCCTAATTTAGCATTTTAGATAGTGATTGATGTTATGAAATAATATAACCAGGCAATACGAGACAGTGTGAAGGGTGCTACTTTAGGCTTGTCCTAGTAGGCTTCCTAAACAGGAGCTATCTGAGGAAAGAGGAGGAGGAAGAGCTTCCAGAGATAGCAGACTGGGGCAGGAAAGAGCCTAGTGTCCCAGGGAAATAAGGCAGGCCAGTGTGTGAGCGTCCAGGCGAGGTGGGGAAGAGGGGGAGTGCGCAAGGTACAAGCCAAGTAGGGGATTGTGTGAGAGGCGCCAGGGCCAGATCCTGCAGGGGTTTGCAGGCCGCGGTGAGGGGGTCAGATTTTCTTCCAAAGCCGCCTTGCTCTGTGCAAGCGCACTATCGCAGGCTGCGGGCGACGCTGCCTCTGGCCGGCGCCCTCCGCCGCTCCAGGCCGGATGGTGCCTCCCGTGGGCATGTAGGTGGGGATGGTGGGTTTTGCCTCTGTGCGGTCACCGCCTGTCTGCGTTGCTGCCTTCTCCGGGGCCTCAGACCCTGGAGAAAGCCCCGACAGGGGAGGGGGGCGCGCAGCCGCAGGGGCGTCCAGCTATCGCGCACTGCGGGGGGAGTAGGGGCGGGCGCAGCGCTCGGCACCGCCACGCGGGTTCGGGCCGGGGAAGGCAGGGGCCGGTACGTGACGCGGGGCATGCACGTGGCCTGGGAGTGTGCTTTTCGGGACAGGTGCGGGGGCCGCCGCGCGCGCAAAGGCGCAGACGCACGCGTGCGGGCACCGGGCACCGTCGGCCGTCGGGTTATCCTTGGCTCCGCGGGCGGCCGCCGAGGTCCTGTCCACCCGGAAGGCGCGACGTCCTCGGGGGACGCCAGGGCGCAGGGGCAACTGAGCCGACTTCGCAACTCGGAAGTTTTTCTTTGGCTGTGATGGTCGATTTGCCCGTCTAAGAAATGGGACTCTGGGCCGGGCGCGGTGGCTCAAGCCTGTAATCCCAGCGCCCTGGGAGGCTGGAAGATCGCCTGAGGCCAGCAGTCTAGACCTCGACAACGTAGCAAGACCCCGTCTCAAAAAAAAAAAAAAAAAAGGGGGAGTACTCAAAAGAATAGGAAAGCGCTTTGCAAACTTGGACACGAGTTGGGCGTTTTATTCACTTTCTCTACTACCCTCCTCCCTTTGGGAGCCCCAGGGGCTGGAGTAAGCACGCTACCACCCACTATACCTCTCAGTGCCCGCGGCACAGGAGCCGCACTCGACTTTGCATCCCCCCAGGGCCTGTACACGCCGGAAAAGCTCCCGCGGGGTGCGGTCGCTGGGCCTCGTCACGTGATCCCCACTCAACGCCCCTGAGCGGGGGGGGGAGCAGCGAGCAAGTGCGCATGCGCATCCCTTCTAGCTCTTCCCCTCCACCCCCCACCCGCCCCCTTGGCTCGGACGCAACCACTGTCAGCTCCTCCCCCTCCTCCTCCTTCATCCTTCCTGACATTCACTCCCTTCCCCCAGCCAATTGGTTACGTCAGGCAGACAGGCCGAAGAACCAATCACGACGCTGTGCTCAGAAGCCGCCACGCGGAACCGGCCGGATCCGACTAATAGGGGCCCTTGGAGCGGCCACGCCTCAACCGGGCAGGGTAGCTTGGGCCCAGTGGGCGGTGCTTCTCCTGTCAGCATGTGGGCGGGGTAGGGCGGGGACCAGCAGCCGCAGAGCCGTCCTCGGCGGTGGCGACGACGACGACGTTGCTCAGTCTTGGGGTGGGCTCCGCGGTGCAGGCCGAGCTGCGCGGAGGGCTCGGCGATCAGCGGCGGCGGCGGCAGTGGGGAGGCCGCAGCGCCATGGGGGGGCGTTAGACAGGCTGCGGCGGCCGAGGCGAGGGGCGGCAGCGGTTATCTGGTCCGCGGCGACCTTCGGCCGGGCCCGGGGGTGGGAAGGCCTGGGGCGGGGGTCGTCCCTGGTTGCACGGGGCCGCGGGGCGGGGCTCGCCGGCCGTCGGGGTGCAGGAGGCCTGGGCCGCTGAAAGGAGAAGGCGCCGTCGGTCGCCAGGCCCTGCCGCCGGGCCGCTTGACGACGACGCTCCCGCGGGGGCCCCGCCTGAGGAGGACGCGGCGGCGGTGGCGGCGAGGCCGCGGGAGGCCGCGGAGGATGGAGGAGCGGAAGGAGGAGGGCGAGGCCGAGATCCAGGAGCACGGGCCCGAGCACTGGTTCTCCAAGTGGGAGCGGCAGTGCCTGGCCGAGGCCGAACAGGACGAGCAGCTGCCCCCCGAGCTGCAGGAGGAGGCGGCGGCCGCCGCGCAGCCCGAGCACAAGCAGCAGAAGCTGTGGCACCTCTTCCAGAACTCGGCCACCGCCGTGGCCCAGCTCTACAAAGGTGAGGCCGCCGCCGCCATCTTGGTACCGCTTGGCCGCCCCCGCCCGGGCCCGGCCCCGGCCCTATCGGCTCAGCGGCCGCTTCGGGGGGCCGCGACGGCGGCGGCCTCGGGGATCCCGGCCGGTGGCTCCGCGGCCCTGCCGCCCCCTCCCCGCAAGATGGCGCCGCGGGAGGGAGGCCCGGGGTTGGGGGGACAGGCCAGAGCCGGCGTGGGGGTAGCCCCGCTTTGGGGTGGTCCGAGGGTCCCCGCTCTCCGGGCCCGGCCACCCGGTGTCCCCCTCGGCCCGGAGACGGGAGAGGAGGAGCCCCCGTCACAAAATGGCGAAGGGAGACGGCGGGGCGGCCCCATTGTGCCCTGAGCCGGCCTCGGGGCGGGGACTGCCAGGGGGGGCGCTTCCCTGCGCCGCGGCTCGTCCCTGATCTGTGCCCCTGAGCTCTGCGGCATCCCCTTTTCCCCGCCGCGACCTCCCTGCCCCCCCGGTCCTCACACTGGGTTTGGGATCCCGAAACCCCTGAACAAAATGGCGAAACCTAATATGGCCGTTCCGGAGTGATTGACGCGCAAATAACATTCTTGTTCTCTTTCTTTCTCTTTCTATGTGTGTTTCTTTTTTCTTTTTGGTTTTTTTTTTTTTTGGCTTGCTTTTCAGACCGAGTGTGTCAGCAGCCAGGACTTTCTCTCTGGGTCCCCTTCCAAAACGCAGCCACCGCCGTCACCAATCTCTACAAAGGTAAAGATAACCTTGCTGCATTGCCGATTCAGGGAAGGGCCGCCTGCGTCAGGGTGTCTGCCCTGCGTTCCAAGTGTGTTTTCTGCTCCCCAGCCCAGCTGCTAACCTTGAATACCTTGCAACTTGAGAATCGCGGCGGTGCTCTAGCTAGATCCACCGGAGGCGATTTTGACACCTCCCTCCGCCCCCCGGGACAGATGGCAACGCCTGGGGACGTTTTTGGTTGGCTTCTCCTAGAAGGGGCTGTTGTTGGGCACCCAGTGTATAGAGGCTGCTGAAGGTCCTGCAGTGCCCAAGATAACCGCCCCGGCCCCCTCTCAGCGAAGAATTATCATGCCCCTAAAGTCAGTAGTGCTCAGGTTGAGAAGCGTTGAGCTGGAAGACGGCTGAGCCTTGCCTCCCTCTGGAAAAGACATTGAGGGAAGATAAGAGTTGATGTTTTTTGTACTACAGTCGGAAGTGGGACGAACTTTATGGAAAAGATTCTTGAGTTAGGCATTTGAAAGCGTGGCAGTCTATATAGTTTTGAAGTGCTTGAAAGCTTGCTAATCGGAGTCATCTGCGCGCATGTTAACGTGCTGCTCTTCTCTAGCAATTTGATCAAGTGTTTTCTGTTAAAAGGATCCTATATTTGATTATAAGTTGCTGGCAGGAATTCTGTTGAGAGTTTTGAGTCCATAGGTTTGTTTTATGGTGGTTCCTTTCTGGAGTTAATCCCCCTCCCTTTGTGATGACATGAAGATGTGTAAGTAAACGTTCTTGCCCATTTGTGCATTCTTGGTAACGGTGGGTTTAGATTTTGTGCCTTACTGGTTTTGAAGATTGAGAAATTTGGGGTTGATTTTTTTTTTTGGCAAGATTTTTATGGAAAAAGGATTTGACTTTGTTAATCTTAAGAAATATGTAATTAAATGTTTTCAGACTTTTAAAAGTTGCTCAGAACAGTAATGGAACTTTGTGCATTTCAAAAATACCAATATTGGTATTTTTGCCATATATATTTAGGCCATATATAGGTTGAAACGGGCTATGAAGGTGCTGCTTGACTGTCAAGTTGTTAATTTTTGCATAAGAATGTGCAAATGGCCGCAGCATCTTGTAGGAAAAAATATCTCCTTGTGAGATTTCTTGAGTAGACTACAGTTTTTTGGGACAGTAATTTGAGAACTGGTAACAAAGTGGTGAAAAGAAACGCTAACTTTAGGGAATGAGGAACTGTAATAATAATAGTCCAGTCTTACTGAAAAAAGGGAAACATGGTTAAATAGTGCCTCAGTGGTTAGCTTTGATTTTATATAGCTGTTTGTTAAATTGTGACTGAGTAAATTGCTTCAACATCTATCAGTGCTGACGGTCTTGAACGTTTTGGAATGGCTCTTGGTTTTGTCCAAAAACAGAATTTTGAAATAATACTTAATTAAAAAAAAGGTTTCTGGGAGTGTAATTTACATACAGTAAAATCACTGTTTTAGGATATATACTTTGATTTTTTTTTTTTAAGAAGTAGAATATATCTATCACCCCCACCTCCCAGTCCCTGGCAGTCACTGATTTGATTGCTGTTTTTTCTCCTCCATCATGTCCTAAATAGAATGGTGCAGTCCTTGTAGCCTATTGTGTCTGGCTTGTTCCAGTTACTATGATAAGGTTCACCCATCGAGTTCGCATTGCAGGTGTGCATAGTTCAGTGCCTTTTGATTGGCTAGTATTACTCTATGGTGTGGCAGTACCATGGTTTATTCTTTTGCTTTTGTTGGTATTGCTTTGTGCTTGAAGGGGAAGGCAACACATTTTTAGTGTTTTTATGTGCCAGGTTCTTAGCCTAGGCCGTATAAAATGGGATTGTCCTCTGGCTTTGGTCCTGTTGGGTTCTTGTAGAATGTGTCCCTTTAGGACTAACCTAGCAGTTTTCGTTAGTGCTAACTTTTCGTGTAAGAAGATGGGTTCAGCAGTTGAACTCTGAAATAATCCTTAATTTGATTACTTCATTTAAAAATGTTTACAATTTGTTTGTTTTCCTGCTCAGAAAACTTAAGGAGGAACATTAATTTTATTTTTAGAAAACATCACATATGATTCTTGGATTATTGTAAATGCTAGATTGTTAGTCTGAACTAGTTTTATTTTGTACCTTGTTTCTGTACAGTGAAAACACATCCCTTGCCTAATAGAAATGGTAAGTTGTGTCTTGTGGAATTTGATAGTGCAACGTTTTCTTATTTGATTCAAGGAGTGTGTGGATAATACTCTGGATAGCCTCACACTTTTTCTTTTTCAGGGTGTGGTCTTTAGAGAACAGGCATACAGCTGTAGGAATAATTGGTTACCTTAAATAGAACCAATAAAATTAGCAAGGTGGTGTCACAAGTGCATGCAGCAGTAAGTAGTACTAAATTTAAATGATATTGGTTATAGTTCTGATTAAATATTTAAATATAATTTAAGGGGGGAAAAATTTGGTGGATACTTCTAAGTGGGCAGCAGGCAGCATTCCTGTATTTTGTATAATATCTGACAAGGTAAAAATGGCTTATTGTGCAGCCTGGGGACAATTTGGCACTCCTACCAGCTTCTTGATAACTACCAAGAAGTTCATTAGGTGTTTATCTCAATCCTGACCTTCATTAAGAAGGTCAGGATTGAGATTAAAAACCCAGCAGAGGGTCGCTTTTAGTTGTCAGAGGGCTTTTGAAAAGTTGAAAATTGAGTTAATTGGTTTGGTTGGAATGTGGCTAGAAGGATTTGGAAGATAATGTAAATGTAAGTTGAACTTCAGCAAGGACAGAATTCAATAAAATGGAGTGGGTGGTTACCTCTACTGTAAATAGTAGGGTCAGACTTGTCTTCCCCTTTCCAAAAAAGGAAGGAAGCCAAAATACTGACTGCTGGTTTTTGATTTGATAAATGCAAAGAGGATGGTGTTTCTTCAATATTCAGTAGTATCCTTAGATCAGTATATTTTTTGATTCCTGGAACTAAAGAAGGGGAGTAAAAAATCATTTTAATCTGGCTAGGGTTGATGTTTACCCAGTGTCATTGTGAGTTGGAGTCTACTGCCACATTGCCTGAGTTCAGATCTTGGCTCTGTTACTTCTTACCTTTATGGTCCTGGAGACAGTGAAGCCAGGTGTTAATTCACCATTGTGCTCCTTGACTTAATTAACTTAAATAGGGATAACTACCACAGATTCTAGTACAAGCTCTTAGCTTTGTGCCTGGCATAGTGAGTGCTCTGGCATTCATTGTGTTGGTGGTCAAGTTTTAAGTATTTTTTGGATTTTTCTCAATGTGGGCAGTGCTTAAAATGAAGGGAAGTAATAATAGTTTATTTTCTGTCTTTTTAAAAATTTTTTTTGTGTTGAAATAAACTCTGGTGTGTATTTCCTTCTTCATCTTCTTTCCCTAATTGGAGTAAATGTAAGTAGAATTGACAGGTGGGAAAAATAGTCTGATGCCCTTAAGTCCTCACTTTTGATACATCTTGATGCCAAGCCCTCTTTATATGTCTCACTTCAGTGTGGCCATTTTGGACTCGTACACTAAAGGAGAACTGAGCATAACTGTAAATGTGTGGGCCAAGTGGCAGGTGACTTAGAAACAAATGGCCAGAAATCATATTCTACCTGGAGACTGGTGGAGCTGGTTTGTGACTCACTTGGCTGCAAAAAATTATTACTGAGTTTGAGACTTTGTTCAAAATACCTTAGTGTGGATTACAGTGAGAAACCCTAAGCATTAAATTTCTATTTAACTTTTCATGCCTGTAATCCCAGCACTTTGGGAGGCTGAGGCAGGAGGATTGCTTGGGGCAATATAGTGAGATCCCGTGTCTTAAAATTTTTTTTTAATGAAAAAATTGTAGCTTTGTCAGAAGCAGTAGCCTCAGTTATACATAATACTTATTTTTTATAATAGACTGCTTTTTTTGTGTGTAGCTCTTATTTTTTTTCCTTTTTTGGAGACGAAGTCTCGCTCTTGTCCCCCAGGCTGGAGTGCAATGGCGTGATCTCGGCTCACTGCAACCGCCTCCCTGGTTCAAGCGATTCTCCTGCCTCAGCCTCCCCAGTAGCTGGGATTACAGGCGCCTGCCACCACACCAGGCTACTTTTTGTATGTTTAGTAGAGACGGGGTTTCACCATGTTGGCCAGGCTGGTCTTGAACTCCTGACCTCAGGTGATCCGCCCGCCTTGGCCTCCCATAATGGTGGGATTACAGGCGTGAGCCACCGCGCCTGGCTCTTTTTTTTTTTTTTTCTTTTGAGACAGGGTCTCATTCTGTCACCCAGGTGGGAGTGCAGTGGTGCTGTCTCAGCTCACTGTAACCTCCACCTTCCAGGCTCAAGTGATCCTCCCACCTCAGCCACTGAGTAGCTGGGACCACAGGCACCCATCACCATGCCCAGCTAAGTTTTTGTATTTTTGGTAGAGATGAGGTTTTGCCATGTTGCCCAGGCTGGTCTCCTGAGCTCAGGCGATCCACCTGCCTCAGCCTGCCAAAGTGCCGGGATTATAACTGTGAGCCACCATACCCAGCCTGTGTGTAGTTTTTCTGTGAAAGAATATGTTGGTTGCAAGTATGAGAAAACACAAGTTGGGCTGGCTTTAGCTGTATGGCCATGTATTGGCTCCTCTGACTTAAAAGGCCACAGTAGGATTGACTTAATTGAGCAGCCCAGGCTCCCCTGCTCTGTTCTCCCCTGTGTGCACTCGCACACTTTGTTATCAGGCTGGCTTCATTATGTTGGCAGAATGGCTTGTGGCTCACATCTTAGAGCCACTCAGTAAAGCTTAGAAGAGCCTAAAAATGACTTCTGTCATCTCTTGGCCATAACGGGGTCACTTGCTTACCCACAACCATTAATAGGGGTACATAGGGTTATGCACATGAGTTGAGAGCTAAGCCACAACCCCTTGAGCAAATGTGGAGGGAGCTTCTCTCGAAACATGGTTGCTATCTAAACAAAAACCTGGAGTGCTTTTAGGAAGGGGAGGACAAGGATTGGATGCCAGGCAGGCAACAAACAGTGGTTATTAAGATGCTCCCCCAGGGCTGGGGCGGGGGCTCACGCCTGTAATCCTAGCACTTTGGGAGGCTGAGGCGGAAGGATCATTTGAGGTCGGGAGTTTGAGACCAGCCTGACCAACATGGAGAGAAACCGTATCTCTACTAAAAATAAAAGATTAACTGGGCATTGTGGTGCATGCCTGTAATCCCAGCTAACTCGGAAGGCTGAGGCAGAAGAATTGCTTGAACCTGGGAGGCGGAGGTTGTGGTGAGCCGAGATCAGGCCATTGCACTCCAGCCTGGGCAGCAAGAGCGAAAATCCATCACACACACACACAAAATATTATCCCCCTGGTTCCTGGTCCTTTGTTTTGTGTGCTAGGTGAAGATTAAGTAAATACATAAGTAGCTAGGAGGTGTGCTTATTTTTGGATGCCACTTCCTTAGGGAATACGATTGGGAACAGTTTTATTTTGGCTGTGACTTAGATTGTTACATTCCTAAAGAAACAGTACATTTTCTTTACTGGTTGGAGTGCCAGGGCTCACACCTGTAGTCCAGCACTTGAGGCTGAGGGGAGAGGTTCTCTTGAGATCTTGAGGCTAGGAGTTTGAGATCAGGCTGGGCAACATAGTGAGACCCTGCCTCTACCCTTCCTCCCAAAAAAGAATAAAATATTTTTCTGTGTGGTGGACTGGCTAGTGCAAATTTAATTCTTAAGTTTAAAAATCACGTAGTCAGTAGTATTTCTTTAGAAGTGTTGCTTTGATGTAGCATTGTGCTCTTATGGTTTGTAGATTGTCTGCAATTGAGAGATGGCTTCTCATTTGAGGAAGAGAGGTCACAGAGGGAACTCTGTCAATGAACTTTGGACACAAGGCCCTTTGAACTTCAGTTCCTTGTTACAAACTTGCGATACCTGCTCTAATTCACATGAATCAATGTGTATCAAAAAGCTATAAGTAGAGTAATCTGATTAATTTTATGCAGTTATGTAAGAAAGTTATGATTTGGTCTTCAGAATCAATATAATTCTTTGCCCTCTGCCCCCACCCCAGCCCGTTGTGGTGGGAGAATTTGTCTTCTAAAATCTCTTGGATTCAGTTTCCCATGCTTATATAAAAGCATTTAAAGAAAAAAAAGGGAAATATGGGATACCTGCTATGACTGGTGTATGAATCAGTTCATTTTCTTTTTTTTTTCTTTTTTTGAGATGGAGTCTTGCGTGTCACCCAGCCTGGAGTGCCATGGTGCAATCTTGGCTCATTGCAACCTCTGCTTCCCAGGCTCAAGTGACTCTTCTGCCTCAGCCTCCCAAGTAGCTGGGATTAGAGGTGCCTGCCACCATGCCTGGCTAATTTTTATATTTTGAGATGAGGTTTCACCATGTTGGCCACGCTGATCTCGAACTCCTGGCTTCAAGTGATCCACCCACCTTGACCTCCCAAAGTGCTGGGATTACACGGATGAGCCACTGTGCCATGCCCGCCCAGTTCCTTTTTTGAATAAGGAAATGAATGTGTTGTGGTTAAAGGTTAGATTGACATTTCAGTGCTTGTGGAGTTTGCCTAACCTTCAAGTATGTGGCTCTTTTTCACAGTGACTTTGGTTTCTGTAAAATAGTGTTGGACGCAAGACTGGCCACAGCTTCTGTGCTGTTTTTCTGGGATAGGTACCCGAAAGTCCACGCTTCTAGAATTGGGGTGTGCTCAGAGCAGTGTTTGGCTGAGAGCCTTCAAGAGGCCGTGTGTGTGTGTATGAGATTATCCACTGTACACTAGTTTGTCCTGGGATTATGTTAAAATGTAGTCATGCCTAAGATTCTCCAGTAAGCATGCAGGTCTCCTAATTAGCTCAAGTTATGAGAAAGGTTTGTTTTCAGTCAGGTAACTATTTAAAAAGGACTCTATTTTAAATACTTCACCATTTACATGGGACTTTGTATTTTGGGAAATAACTGAGGTTGGGTTTGAGTGGTAAGGCAATTGGACTTGGTTTTCAGAATATATACTGTTAACAGTACAAAACTACATTATGCCCCGGTGGAGCAAAAACATACCTAAAACCTTAAATGTTGTTTCTGCTTTTCTCCTCTAGGACCTTCTAGTCTGTAAGGGTAGTGTTTGCAAAATGCATGACTTCTAGTGTGCTCATAGTGGGTTCTGACATTGAGACTTGGTTATCTCAGAATTTTTGAGGTGAAATAATTGGTCAGTTGCATAATTTTTTAAAAGAGGTTCACAACTTGTTACATAAGTGTCTTACATCTAAGCCAGGCCACTAGTGATTACTGAGTTTTCCCGATGTTCAAATCTGTGATGAAACCATTAGTCCCTTGCAGATCTGACTGTTGGACTTCTTGTGTCTTCAATCAAAACAACCCAAAACTTGGCCAAGCTCTTCACAGGATATTTTTTTTTTTTTTAAACACCTCACGTGGCCCCTTCCTTTTGGCCCTTGAGTTTTGTATCAAGTTTAGCTTCTCTTTTTTTGCTGTCTGGTTTGCCAGGTGTATGTTTACATGCTTACTTCATCTTTTTTTTTTGAGAGAGAGTCTTACTCTTTCGCCCAGGCTGGAGTGAAGTGGCGCATTCTTGGCTCACTGCCACCTCTGCTTCCCAGGTTCAAGTGATTCTCCTGCCTCAGCCTCCCGAGTAGCTGGGATTACAGGTGCCTACCACCCATGCCTGGCTAATTTTTGTATTTTTAGTAGAGGCGGGGTTTTGCCATCTTGGCCAGGCTGGTCTCGAACTCCTGACTTCAGGTGATCCACCCACCTTGGCCTCCCAAAGTGCTAGGATTACAGGCATGAGCCACCATGCCTGGCCATCTTTCTTTGCACTCTCCAAGCCTGCTTCAGACTTGTTTCTTGTATCCCTTTTACTATGCTTTAGACTTTTTTTCCTCTGTTTCTGCAGGGCTGGGCTTACCTCCATTTGGCTTTTGAAGAATAAAATACCCTCATTCTCTTCAGAAACAGA
Source organism: Homo sapiens (assembly GCF_000001405.40). Classification (NCBI taxonomy): domain Eukaryota; kingdom Metazoa; phylum Chordata; class Mammalia; order Primates; family Hominidae; genus Homo; species Homo sapiens. The sequence continues at coordinate 9,100,988 of NC_000016.10, forward strand.
AACTTCTTCATTTACAAGCTTGATTAAAAGCAATTCTTCTAGGTAGGATAGGTTTAAAAACCTGATTGCTTCTAGGTTAACACATTTTACATTTATCCTTTATGTGGTGTGATAAGTTTAGTTGGTCAATGACTTGATTTCTCTTAATGCCTCCAGCTCTTTCAGAATCATTTAAGTTTTAGGTACAGCACTACAAGGTCATCTTTAGGTTTGTCCACCCCTTTAGGGTTGGCTCATCTAAATCTTTTCCTAAAGAGATGGGAAAAGTGGTGACCCTCTCTACTGTTATTTACATTCAAAATGGAGTTCATGCTTTGTTTATGAAGAAGTGAGAAATCAAAATTATTGATTCATGTTATACCAGTAGTGAGACACTGGAGAAGTTACTTCACTCTTGAGCTGCTTTTTATATTTGTAAAATTAGAATAATCCACCTTCTCAGAGTTGTGATGGAGAAGATATGAATGCACTCTATAGCATATCAGGTTTCCAAATTGATGTTGAATTCTTGTCCTGGTCCTTTTCATTTTAAAGTATTTTTTCTTTCTTTTTAACATCCCAGGTCCTACTTTGATTATTTTTTTAAGAGAAAAGATCTGTGGACAATATCCTTGTTTTTCTTTGTCTTTAGCAATAAAGACTGTCATCTGCTTAAGAGTAGGCCTTATTATAAAGTTCTGGTTGTTGTGCTTCCCTCTTGCCATTTTCTTTAATAGTGCAAATTCAGCTTGGCATCCTCTGTGATGTCTGGATGATTTTTTTTTTTTTTTTCTGGAACATAGCTTTACATTGTTTGACTATTGCCCATCCTTTGAGAGTCTGCTGTAGATGTAGCAGACAAGAAATTAAAGCCGCCGGTTGCAGTGGCTCACGCCTGTAATCCCCAGCACTTTGGGAGGCTGAGGCAGGCGGATCACAAGGTCAGGAGTTGAAGACCAGCCTGACCAATATGGTGAAACCCGGTCTCTACTAAAAATAGAAAAATTAGCCAGGCATGGTGGCGTGCGCCTGTAATCCCAGCTACTCAGGAGGCTGAAGCAGGAGAACCCTGGAGGCGGAGGTTGCAGTGAGCTGAGATCGAGCCATCGCACTACAGCCTGGGCAACAGAGAGACTCCGTCTCAAAAAATAAAATAAAACGAAATAATCAAAGCCGGGAAAAGTAATAGAGAAATGTACACAGTATTGTTGCTTTTACGGAAAGTTCAAGGATAAAGTAACGATGTTGGTTAATGCCATTAAAGACATACTGGTGATGTTCTGCTGGCACAGCAGCTCAATTAAAACTAAATAATAGTCACTTAAATTTTCAAATTTTTTTTCAACTAAATGAAACCACTAAAAGGTAGAGATCATTTTACCAAAACCCAGGTGGAGTATATGCAGAGAATTTAGTCTAGGAGATCTGTTGGGAATGGTTGAGTTACAGGAAGCTGTTGAGAACTGGAAGCAAAATGAGTATACCCAGGGAAATGAATAAAGCTTTTTGTTTTCCACCATGCTATTTGGTTTTAGTGTTGAGCCATCAGTCAGAATTAATTTTTCCTTCTAAAACATTTGCTGCTGCCTTCAGCTTGTTCCTCATTCTTGGTGCTGAATCTGTCAGTAGGAATGTATCTCCACAATGACGTGGTAAATGCAGATGAGCGTGGCCTGAGGCATGTGCAATATTTAGACATCTGTTGAATGATGTGATGCAAGTTATTTTAGGTAATTTCATTAAAGATACCTAATCTCTCTGTTTCTGTTAAATTTTTTTTTTTAACAAGCCAAGCTCCAGGACTGTGATAAGTAAACACTGAATTTAGACCATTAAGATTAAATGTTACATATAACATTTTCATTATGACTGAAATCATTTCAGTTTATATTACTGATGGGCTCAGAGGCCACATCATGGTATTCACTTTGGTTAAATTGTAAAATGGTTTTCTTTAGAAGGGAATACGGGCTCTAATGGTCATGATACATGTTTTCTTTTTCTTTTTTTCTAACAGAAAGCGTGGATACCCATCAACGAAGTTTTGATATTGGAATTCAGATTGGCTATCAGCGACGCAATAAGGATGTGTTGGCTTGGGTTAAAAAACGCAGAAGAACTATTCGTCGAGAAGATTTGATCAGCTTCCTGTGTGGAAAAGTTCCTCCACCACGAAACTCTAGAGCTCCCCCAAGACTGACTGTAGTGTCCCCTAACCGAGCTACTTCAACGGAAACTAGCTCATCTGTAGAGACTGATTTGCAACCCTTCCGGGAAGCCATAGCTCTGCATGGTAAAGCCGTTTAAACATATTTCTTTGGAAAAATGGTTAAGAGGGTGCCTGTGGACCCATTTTTCACGGTTAGGTTTAGGTCCAGATATACTGTTTTTTGTCTTACAGTAAACAGCTTGCTCTAGAAATGTTTAATAGAATGTAAGCTAAGAACTTAATATGGGCGATTTCTGTCAGCTAACCTATCCTAGAAAATGTTTTTAGAAAGTTAGTTTGAGCTTATTGGTGTTAAAATGACATATCTTTCTGCAGTGTTGATTAGAATTTATCGCTTTACACTTATGTGTTGTACGTGTTTTTTTCCTCTTCTGAAGTCAAAGAGGAAGTTCTTGTGTCTTAAGAATTCTGTTATATTTCTAATGGTCCATGACAGGCAAGTAAGGTGGGAAATTGTTGGGTTAGTTCTCATGGGACCTGGGACCTCCCTTGACACCTTTCTTACTTGGTTTGCTGTAGATGGTGGGAGAGGATGGATGTAAGACTTGACCTTCTGCCTGTCGTCCCTCAGGTCCCTTGCACTTTAAGAGGCAGGACCAGCAGAGTGCAGCCAGTGGGCAGGTGGATCTCTATCTCCCCAGGCCAGACCTGTCATAAGAAGGCACTCTTGGCTAAGGGATTTTAGTATTGCTGGAGAAACCCGGGAAATGTAGTCAGTGATAAGTCTGTTGTTGCTTGTTGCTGTCTAATACAGACTTCCAAATAGAGCTGGGAGAGTTAACCTGTGTGACAGCATTGAATACTGCTGTAGGAAAAAAAGCAACAGAATAATAAGACTTGCTTGAAACCATGATGGAAAGATGGATCACGCAGATGGCTAAGCAGGTAGAAGTAATTAGGTCATGAATCCTTTTTTTCTTTTTTTTTTTTTTTTGGAGACGGAGTTTCGCTCTTGTGGCCCAGGCTGGAGTGCATTGGCGCGATATTGGCTCACCGCGACCTCTACCTCTGGGTTCAAGCGATTCTCCTGCCTCAGCCTCCCGAGTAGCTGGGATTACAGGCATGTGCCACCACGCCGGCTAATTTTTTAGAGACAGGGTTTCACCGTGTTGGTCAGGCTGGTCTCGAACTCCCAACCTCAGGTGATCCGCCCACCTTGGCCTCCCAAAGTGTTGGGATTACAGGTGTGAGCCACTGCGCCTGGCCATGAGTCTTGTTGAAAGTTAACATTTTTGGGCCATAGTACAGGTCATCTAAAACAAAGTAACCTGGTAAGGTACTAAGAAATAGTGGCATATAAAGAAACTTTATAGACGTTGAATCATTGAGACTTTATAATACCTGTAGAGATCTTGTTCTCTCTGGCAAACCGTAGTTCTTTCCTGAAACCCCAATGTTGTTTTTTCCCTTGATAGTGTTTAGGACAATTAAAAACAAAAACATGAATTGCAGGAAAGTTCAGGTTGTGTGGATGCAGTACTTTAAGACTGCACACTGTTCCTGACACAGTGGAATAGTTAGGCTGTCAGAACTTTGGAAGCTCAGGCAAAAATGGGATTGATCTGTTTATGCTGAATTAGAGAGTTTCACATCTTTCCCCCTAAAGTTTGGGAAAACAATTAACTAGAGGTGTACATAGTTTGTTAGATTAATTTTAGCGCATGGTAATATTTGATGCAGTTGTCTCTCCTTAAGTATTGTGATTTTCTTCCTTTATTAAGAGGGTTGTGGGTCATTCCATGCTTCTCTTAAGGTATCTTTTTACTCTGTTTTACTGTTATATTTTAGAAGATAGTTTTAAGAAACATAAAAACCATGCTTGTTATCTTAACGTAGTAGTAGTGTACATAATAGTAAAAAGGGCAAGCCAGCCCCCTCTGCCCTCGAAAAACTGTATTCTCCAACTCCCACTACATTTTCTCATATTGAATCTGTTCCACCTGTGATTTATTGTTTTCCTGAACTTTGGGAGTTTTAAGCAATGATACAGTTGAAGGGACTGTTTATAATTTTCACATGTTTAAGTTGTGAGGCTTTAAAACTTAAATATAAGGCTTTGTCTAGGAAGAAAATGATCTTTACCTTCAATAAATTTATAATGTAGCACTAATCCAGTATAGATTGGAGACTGAATGCATTCTTACTCTTAGGGTTCATACCTCTAATTCATGTGGTTAAGACAGTGTTGTGGTGAAGTAATAGGGCCCCTTGAAAGAATCTACAGAAACATAAATTATACTGAGTTGTGCTGTACTGGTTTGTGAGAACATCAGTGTATTAAGGAGAATGGTAGTTTAATTTGAATATTTAAAGAAAGTAATTTGAATGGTTCTAGTACTAGGGCCATTATTAACTAGTAACATAGATTAGTGACTTCAACTGGGTGTCCTTATTATCTGATTTGTCTGAAGTGAAAACTGTTAAGGTGCTCTTTTAAAATGTATTTGGAAACACCATAGTTAGGGTAAATACAATGTCACAATTCACTCTTGCATATTATTTGCTTAGCCAAATTTATGAATTCTAAGTTAGGCCAAATTGAAGGTTTTGGAGTTTTACATTGTGGGTGAGTCTAAATTCATGCGTTTGGCAAGCACAAGGACATGGGAAAAGAATCTGGTATTTTGAGGCAGGCTTGAGTTTATAATGAAAGCAAACTCAGTTCCTCTTCATGTCCTATGTATTTAAGAGAGGACAGTTTTCCCTCAGTTTTTTTCCCCTTCCTTACCCCTACCCCCATCAAATACAGCCCAACCAAATAACTGTGTTCTTAATTTAAAGGAAAATGGCAGACTTGACACCTGCTGAATATTTCGTGTAGACAGAGTATGACAATGAATGAGATCCCCAGTCATTGCCCTTGTAAGCCTGGGAACCCAGTTTAGTGGGAGAGACTAATGTAAACAGCTTTAATCAAAAGTATATCAATTGGCCGGGTGCTGTGGCTCACACCTATAATGCCGGCACTTTGGGAGGCCAAGGTGGGTGGATCACTTGAGGTCAGGAGTTTGAGACCACCCTGGCCAACATGGTGAAACCCTCTCCCTATTTAAAGAAAAAAAAGTAAGGCATATCAATTTATGGTTATCAAATAGGTTTTTTTTTTTTTTTTTGAGACTGAGTGTCGCTCTATAGCCCAGGCTGGAGTGTAGTGCTCACTGCGACTTCCGCCTCCTGGGTTCAAATGATTCTCGTGCCTCAGTCTCCCGAGTAGCTGGGATTGTAGGCGCCTGCCACCACGCCCAGCTAATTTTTGTATTTGTAGTAGAGATGGGGTTTCATCATGTTGGCGAAGCTGGTCTTGAACACCTGACCTCAAGTGATCTGCCTTAGCCTCACTGCTTGCCCCTAAGTGGTGGGATTGCAGGTGTGAGCCACTGTGCTGGCCTCAAATAGTTTTTATCAAAGCTACTTCAATTAGTGGTTAGCAAGGCTTAAAGACTAATTCAGTGCTTTATTTTGACACTTGTTCGCAACATGTTGCTTTTTTTCCTGTGTCCTATGGGACCTAGTCATCTGTATGTTAGATTCACAGAGGAATTAAAGAGATAAACATGCATGTGCTAAATTGATTTCTGTCTTGCTTTGTTATCCTATAATAATGTTATAAAATAACATTATTATAAATTTCCCAAGAGTTGAATTAATACCAACAACTGGTAACTCGTTTTTATGTAAACAGCATACTTGAGACCAGAAATCTTCTGGATCACTTTGTGGATCTCTGCCTGCCATTCTCATTGGTCCTCTGTTCATCCCTTTTCTAGAGCTTCTCCTTACCTTGGCTTCTCTTCTGCCACATTGGCCTGCCTGACCTGTCCTCAGGCCCTGTCACTGCCCTAGATTACGTTTCCCATGTCTTCACTTCCAAATCTGGACCTCTCGTTTAGACCTTCTCTCCTGACTGCCAGATGGCATGTCCCACTGTCCTCCGGTGTACATCTCCAAATTGTCCCACAGGCATTTATCTCAGATGAAGTTTCAGGTTGGACTCATTCTTCTGCCCCAACAGCAGAATGACTCATTGAGCCATTGAGCCATTCAGCACATTCTCTATATGGCAGATTCGGTGCTGTCTCTGGAAATACATAAACATAGAGCGATTCCTTTTTCTGTTGAGGCAAAATATGGATTTGGTTAATTTCTATTCACGTCATGAATGTGGTATGTGGAAGGTCTTCTGAGAGCAGAAAGGGATGTTTCACAGCACAGCCCGGCTGTGTGGTGCTCAGGGCAGGCCCTCTGGAGGAGGTGAGCCTGGGCTCTTGGCCTAATGTTTCAGCTCTCACTTTCCAGTCCTGAGCTGTTGTTGCCAGTCCATCTTTCATGAGACCATTGGAGTGATCTTTCTGGTCTTGTCACTTCATGGTTTAAAGTTTCCCTGGGCCTACACAGTGAAGTCCAAATTCAGCATGGTATTACAAGACCCTTATGATCCAGTCTTAACCATTGGTTAGGTATCCTACCCATACTGTTTATCTCTTGAATACCTCTATGCTCTTTGACAAGTCCAGCCCCTACGTGTTCATACCTCACTTCTGTGACACAGCCTTGCTTCAGGGCTCCCAATCTCTGTAGCCTCCCTGAACTGTGCATTTGCTCTGCTGCTTGATTTGTTTCTGTGACTGTTCCATTCTCCTCGGGACACATAGCAGGGACCTTGTCTTGGTCCTTTTTTTTTTGGCTTTAACAGAACATAGCAAAGAACCTGACATAGGTGTAGTCTGAGTTTACCACTGGGGTTATCACAGAGGTCTGCTAAGTGAATACAACACAGTGGGGACCCAGAACCTCTAGAAAGGGTTGAGGATTACAATCCCCAGATAGCTACAATCAGGGAATAATGTAACCTGTTTGCCTAGGGTGCTACATGGTAATCTTGAATTAGAACAACTGAGACTTCCATGGGACCTTAGGGTGATAACCATTAAACCTACTCTTTCAGTGTTTACTTTGTAAAAGCATCACACTAAGGAGGTTGTCATTTAATCCTCACACCTACCCTGGGTTATTAACACTGTTGATGAAGAAAGCCTTACTTGGCTAAGATATGGAGCAGGTTAGTAAGTGGTAGAATAGATACTCCAGTCCTGTCTCCAAAATGCAAATTTTTTTTTAATTAAAAAAATTTCTAATTTTCAATATATTTATTTTTGATTTTTTATTTTCTGTAGAGTTGGAGTTTCGCCATGTTGTCCAGGCTGGTCTCGAACTCATGGGTGCAAGCCATACCCCAACCTCGACCTTCCGAAGTGTTGGGAATACTGGCATGAGCCATGATGCCTGGCCTCAAAATGCATACCCTTAACCACTATGCTCTCACATTTTTAGATGTGGGATTTCTGTCTACGACGTCGCCCCCACTAAGACCTAGGGCTTAGGTGTCGAGGTGGGAAAGATCTTGAGGCTTTTCTTCTCAAAATTAATCAGAAACGATGTGAATTTTATATCTCTTTCTGAGGTTTTCCCCATAAGCTAATCGGGATTAGTAGACTTAAAGGTGAATGACCAACTGTATCCCTGGTTCACTGGTTAGGAAGAGTACATAGTCTTTGTGTATAGGCTATTTTCCTCGGTAACCTTGGGCAACATGCTTGACTTCTCCAAGCCAGTCTCCTTTGTGAAAGGTGATATACTTACAAGACATTATATTAAATGAGAACCCAGGCAGGTTACCTACCCTACCATGACACTGGAAGTATTCTTTGCCTTAAGAAAAGGAGAATTGCTGGTTGGTTCCAGGTCCGGTGGGTACCCTCATTTCCCCTGGGCAATTTTACTGTAAAAATAGACCAAGGATCTCAAGGCCCAGTGGCTTTTGCCTTCTGGGATACTTTTTTACCTCCCTGTTTAGTAGTAAGGGTCACATTTTAAATTGCAGCTATCACACTGGAGGGATCAGATCATTTAGAACTTTGACTGCTTAAATATTACTCTTGCTAAGATCTTGAGCTTGTCTCATGTTGACAGACTAGTGAAGTTGGTTACGTTGTCTGTCTCCTCACTGGAGGGAGAGATTCAGAGTTGCCCTGTCCAACCCAGTGCTATCTCTGGAAAGGGTTGGATTGAAATCTAGTCTGCCTTCATTCTGAGGTATAATCATGAGGGTTAGGTGAAAGGGTCCCGAGTGAGAAGATGGCATGGGTCCTAGGGTGGGGAGCCCGATGCCAAGTCAGACTTCACTCGGTATGTTTATTCAAAGCCCCACTTTCACTCGTAGCATATCATAGGTGGTCTCTGCAAGTTGCTGACCCTGATTCAGACTGTTCCATAAAAGTCAGACACTTGGTTTTAGTTCCCAAACTGATTTTGATGACATTCTTGACTGCAGGGCTTGGAGTTAACCCCACTGGGCCTGAGTTGTCTCTCTGTAAAGTTACACATCATTTCAGACTCAAAGGCCTCTAGCATGCAGGGTCTGGTGTCATAATAGGCACCAATGGGAACCATTACTGTCATTGCCTTTTTTGGCTTTAATCTTCCCAATTGTAAGTTCCTTTCATGTTTAAAACAAGTTTAAAAGACAGGGGGACTTAGGCATGCTCAGGCAGTCTAGCCTTTAATGTAAGAATTTCAAAACATAAAGGAAAAAAAACTTTTTTTTTTAAGCAGTACTTTGTGAGTTACAAGACAGCAGCAGCTCCTTAGTGTTGATTGCCGAGGCCTTTTTGGTTTGAAAACTCTGCTTCCTTTGTGAATTTGGTGTTAGGAGTTCTTATTGTTATTCTGCAGCCTTTACTATTGTCCTTTATTTACTGAACACAGTGAATACCAAGCACTGTTTATTAGAGGTTAGGAGTAGGGGCAGGTGATTAAAAAAACAAAAAAGCTAATAATCTCCTCAAGCAATTTCTGGCCTAATAGAATTATAGTAGACAGTGAAGTATCTAAACCCAGGGAATCAGATTGAGGCACCATGTCCATCGCCTTGAGAATTAATAGGCTGCATTTCTGGGTTCTCCTTTTTTTTTTTTTTTTTGCCCAACTGAGTCTTTCTGTGGACTTACATGGAACTTCTTATTCTCTTAAATCATTAAGTTACTTGACAATATTCTTGGATTTGGAGAAACTGGATGTAGGGCCGTATGAAAAAATCATTCGAAATCAGATTTAGGGGTATAAGGTTGGATAGGAATGTTTTAGAAAGAAGAATGTAAGGCAGATAACTAATTTGTCACATCCAAAGTATAAAACTGCTACTTTTTCCCTAGAAAAGGGAAGCTCATTTTAGGCAGCCTAAACCAGTAAGATTTTCTTCCTCCTCCAAGTGCAGATTTTTGTACCTTTCGTTTGTCAAAACATTCTTTGGCCCTATGCATGCCAGAGTGATATAGAAAGGAAGTTACCACATTTTTTTGAGAACAAATCACTCCTGATAAAATTTCTTAGACAATTGATAATCATTTTAAGAAGAAATTTAATTGTATTTAGCTCTGTGTCTCGCCCCTTTGGTGTCACTCTTCTACCTCTTCCATCACTATAGCTAAATATTTAGAAGTATATCTTGACACCTAGCACAAATGTTTTGGTTAAGTATCTTAAAACTGATGGATGGTATGGCTGGGGCAGCATGGCTCACGCCTGTAATCCCAGCACTTTGGGAGGCCAAGGCGGGTGAATCACCTGAGGTCAGGAGTTTGAGACCGGCCTGACCAACTTGGAGAAACCCCGTCTCTACTAAAAATACAAAAATTAGTCAGGGGTGGTGGCGCATGCCTGTAATCCTGTCTACTCAGGAGGCTGAGGCAGGAGAATTGCCTGAACCCGGGAGGCAGAGGTTGCAGTGAGCTGAGATCGTGCCATTGCACTCCAGCCTGGGCAACAAGAGCAAAACTCAGTCTCAAAAAACAAAACAAAAACCTGTTGGTATAGTACGAAAGAAACGTCTTGCAGTTTTCTGTTGCAGAGAATTAATTAGAACCAACCTGTTGGATTATACACATTCACCTTTCAGAATCCTTTCTTCTCTGTGGAAACCCACACTCTCAGCAGTGTGTGGGAACACAGTAGATTCTTAAGGAATGCTTGTTGAATGTTGCAGTCTGCATCTTCTTGAAGTAACAGAACTGTTGGTAGCTGTTTAAAAGTAAAATGTGTCTAAAGACCTTTTGGAAATTAAGATGTAAGAGATTAATGCACCAAAGCAGTCTCTTAATTACTTAAAATGAATTATTTCAAAGAATCTTTAATTGAATTTTCTGTGAAGTCTGGAATTTGTAAATTATGTCCCTTTGTTCAAACCAGCCCCTGAAAAGAACAATTAAGGCAATTAAGATAGCATTAAAGTTTTCAATGAAGTTGGCATTTTCTGTGTATTAAGATTAGATGTTAGCTGCTGAAGTTTGTGGAGGTCGGACATAAAGCTTCCAACATCAGTAATGCAAAATTGTCTTGAACCTGCGATAAAATTTTGTTGGACTTTTTTTTCATTGCAGTGAAAAGGGCCATGTAGCATGCCTCAAAGCCAGGTTACTCAGCCTAGTCCTTGTTTAAGCAGTTTTGATATTCATTCAAGTTCAATTTTCTCACTGATTTTATGATTAATTTCTTGGAAAATTTGAAAGTTTTCAAGAAGTAAAAAATTAATATCTTGTTATCCCAGTATATAGAGATTAACTTCAGTTCAATGTTTGGTGCATTTTCTTCTAGTCTTTTTTTCAATGTATAAATATTAAAGTTATTTCATAGTTGAGATCATACTGCATATATGATTACTGTATCTTGCTTTTTTCATTTTAACGTCGTGAGCAATTTTCCCATGACATTACAAACTGTCTTTGAAAAATGGAAAACATTTGGGGCTGTCAGCATAACTGAAAATGTTTTCTTGGTGTGACACATGTATCTTTGTAATTGGTTTGATTTAGTGTGCTTTATTTCAATAAAAATTCAGTATTATAATTTACAGATTGGGGTGGGGAGTGGTATCTACTTCAAATTACTGAAATCTTCCTAGTAGAATTCCTTTTTAAATGTTTGAACTCCCCTGGTACATCTTAAACACGACATTGACACTGCAAGTGCTTGGATGTCCTGGCACCTCAGAACACAACTTTGTGCAAAAGGAGTGCTGTGCATCTGAATAGTGCAATTCATTTCCAATGCAAGAATGCCAGTTTCTTAGGGCCCCCGGTCAGGATATTACCCACTTGGTTTAAGTTGTGATTTCAAATCCCATTTTCTATGGGAGATACACTGGTGGAACAAATCTGCAGAGGGCCCTGCACCTGCGCTGGTGGATCAACGGTGTCTTCTCACCTCCAGGGCTAGCTGCCTTGCCTTCCCTCGTGGGGCTTAAGTGGCTGGGAAGCAGATAGACAGTGTAGATGAAGTCCTGGGCCACTGGCTGCTGGACTGAGGCAGTGAGATGACTGGGCTGGCATTTGTTCTTTCTCTGCCTGTGTGTGACCTCTAACTATGTGCCTGGAAACTGAATTACATGTAATTAATGCTGCAAACAGGATTTTCTTATTGCCTAAGCATGAACTTGGTATGAAAATAATAGTTAATAATTTACTATGTAACTTGGATTCTTATAACCTGGACTGTAAGTTTGTTTTAGCTCCAGTGGGAGTTTCCTTTTCAAAGTATGATGAAACCATCCTCATCTTTTCTACCCCTGGACTAATCATTTAAAATGGATACAGACACTTTAAAACTGCTGAGTTTATCTTGTGTTAAGCAATTAAGACTTCTCTGTCTAATCATGCTACTTGTTCTGCTTTTGTCAATTGATACTCTCATAGCCCTTTTGAAAAAGTATGTTTTTGTAGAAATTAAGTTGTATGCCCTCAGGACGTACAACTTGGTTTTTTTTTTTTGTTTTTTTTGTTTTTTTTTGTTTTTTTTTTAGTTCTGAAGCATGTTTAGATTTTTCTGTACTTGTATAGGTCTGATTGTTTATGTGGCTTAGCTAAGGTTTCCTAAAGCATCTTCTAGTAGCTGTCATTGGTTTGTAAAATAAAATTTGGGCTGTCAAAATGCACATTTTTTGGTTGTTAATCTTAATTATTTTTGACCCTTGTGAAAAGTCTTTTTGGGGAAGATTAGGTAGGCAGACTTTGAAAATATTTTCACTGCTATGAGAGTCAGTCATAGATCATATTGCACATTAAAGTTATCAAGATAAACACCCAGGTCATACACCCAGTAGAAAAAGATGATTTCCCAGAAGCTGTTAGAATTTTCAGATTGACCAAATTGATGTTTAACACATCTTCTTTTTCATGGAGAATGGCAGCTGAAACAATAAGGAACATTTGCTTGAAATCCCTAGTCCACTTCTGATACAGTGTTTTGAGCCTTCCATATTTGTTGTTAGGTATTAAACGTGCTGCCATGAGACTCCTATGTTAACAAGGGCATTAGGGTGGGGTTTGTTGAATTCTTTTTATAATTTGAAATGATAAAGGGGATCTTGATTTTAATTATTGAAGTAGCCCAGTTTATTGCTGAACGTGCCCATATTTTGCCATAATAATTACCTTTTGGATTATGAAACAAGTACGAAAGGTTATCTTTGAAGAACATGGGCACCTTGTAATATGTTACAGGCTGAGACACTAGGATGAAAGAAGGCACATCTCTCCCCTCAAGTTTAGTCTTGCGGTAGAACTTTAAAAAAAAGCCAACAATGGGGATAATTGAGTTTTAAACTTGATGGCAATGATTTAAGTGAAGAGAACACCTGGGTTTATTTTCTGGTGTTGGAGAGGTGAATAAACATCAACAGTTGAACCTTTGATTTCAGTGGATTTCAACATGAGGGGGTAGGACTTTGAAGTATTATTCTTTTTCAGAATTCGTAAGTGCCAGGCACTGTGCTTAGGTCATTAGATGGAGATGAAAAGATATTTTCTATAGGAAGAGACGGTTGATTGTACCATGCTGTAGAAAGATAGCTCAAGATTTTTTTTTGGTTTATTTTGTTTTTTAAAAGTAAGCTTGTGCCGGTTGGGGAAGAGGAAGTGAAGTTCCTTTTTGATGGTGTTGAGTTTGAGATGTCCAGTAGGCAGTTAGAAATCTGGGAGGGCCGTTGAGCTCATTAGTCTAGTTTTGGGAAACGTGTGTGGGTAAGGTAGGGGTTGAGGATATCACCCAGGGTGACACCAGCCTTTCAGGGGCAGAAGGGAACCCCACCAAGGCGACTGAGGAGTGAGCGGAGAGTTTCAATTTCAAGGAGGGGGAAAGAGGAGCCAGCAGGAAACTAAAATGGAGAGGTAGGAGAACCAGGGAAGGAGCCTCATAAGGGAGGTGCTGGGGAACAGGTGGGCTCACTCAGGGAGTGAATGTTGGGAGAGACAGACATTTGCAAATGTTGGAAGAGACAGATAGTTGCAGGCCTCACTATTTCAGAGAGCTGCAAATTGCATGATGTTGGTAGTCGGGATACGGTCTAAGGGTGAAGTGAAGAGAGCAGGAAGGGAAGAGAGAGAAACTGTTCAAAGAGATGAGGCCTAAGAGGCAGGCTGGCCCTAGGACCAACCTGAAGCCACCTTTTTGCTAAAATACTCTAGGCTTGGAAGAGGATCAGAATAACTGAATAGGAATATAGATTACACTTGGGTGGGAGTGCCAGCTCTTGTTTACTACCTGTTGACCTTGGATGAATTAACTTTTAAACTTGGGTTTTCACCTGCAGAATGGAGATATTATAGGTGTCATAGGAAGTAATTGACATAGTACCTGACACAGGAAGTATTCTCATGTTAATGCTTCTATTTTTTAATAGGTGCTAGCCTTGGAAAGGTTGAGAGGCTGAAGAGGGACAGTTTGATTTCCTCTGACCACCAGCAGGAGGGGAGGATGTGTCTTCTGCAGGGAGAGCAGCCAGGGGGATTGGTTGGATCAGTGCAGAAAGGAATGGGGGCACCTAGAGTGCGGAGTTGAGCACCTCAGAAGGGAGGTGTGGCCCTCAGGACATTGTCAGCATGTGCGATGATAGTGGAGGCCATGGATTTGAGAACATTTCAGAGAATATTTGATGGAGGGGAACGCCAAGGGGAATGTAATAGATTTGTGATAGGAGGCAGAGACTTTTCAACTTAAAATTCAAATTTAAACTACATTTTTAGGGAGTTCATGATTAGAAAGAATGGGCCCCTGTCAAATGAAACCTCTAAGCTTACTTGAAAATCTTATAAGTCCTATTCTTTGAAAATTAATTGATAGTCAAGCAATAACAGATCCCTAGGTGAGGAGAGAATAGTGGAAGGGGAAATTCCTAAGGCAGAAGATCACTGCCAGTGACGGTAGGTTTTTAAAAATGCAACACTGTGTTTGGTGTTTCCTGGCCTGACTCATACCTTTCACAGGTTTATCCTGAATGTTTAGGAGTGGAATGTAAGTTTGGCTCTTTAACTGTGTAAGAGTTTAAGGAAAGGAATAAGTATCCATGAGTGCTGGGTATATTCTGGATTCAGTAAAGTAACTCTTTTGTTTTTGAGACGGAGTTTCGCTCTTGTCACCCAGGATGGAGTGCAGTCTCGGTTCTTTGCAACCACCGCCTCCCGGGTTCAAGCGATTCTCCTCCTTAGCCTCCCGAGTAGCTGGGATTACAGGCGCCTGCCACCACGCCGGGCTAATTTTTGTATTTTTTAGTAGAGACGAGTTTTCACCATGTTGGCCAGGCTGGTCATGAACTCCTGACCTGAAGAGATCTGCCCGGCCTCCCAAAGTGCTGGGATTACAGGTGTGAGCCACTGCGCCTGGCCTTGGATTCAGTAACTCTTAATGTTGAAAACAAAGCAGCAGGATTCTTCACAACCCTCTCCCCTCCCCACTTCCATGAAGGATTAGAGAGGCTCATGATTGAGGCTGTCCTGAAGGATATCTACCAAATACATTCCAGACCTTAGGTGATCACATAGCCTGATTTGTCCAGGGTAGACTGACTTTGTACCTCATGTCCCAGTAGAAATTTTAACAGTGACTCTTTTCGGGCTCAACAGTAATCTGTTTTGGATGGCAAGTTATGTGATCACCTTATCTAGAGGGGATGTTGGAACAAGCCCACCTAGGCCTGGAAGTGATTTCTGGCTCTCCTGAATACATCACACACATACACACTCATCAGAGGGGTCTGTTGGAATGGTAACTTTGGGTAACCAAAAATGTCTTGTCTTTAAAGCAAATGTCTCCTGTCCTTATCTGTAAATTTTGTGCAGTACCTACCTCATAGATGGGAGAATTTAATGAGATATTTGTACACCTAGCACGGTGGTTGACACGTAGTAACTTTTAGTAATTGGTAGTTACCAATATTGTAGATATTGGTAGTATTACCAATAAAATATATGTCAAGGCCAGATGATATGTTTATCCAGAATAAAACTTAATTGCTTACTAGTAATCCCTTATAAAGGAAATAGGCAGACATGCTTTGACATTGTGACAACATGGAAAGTAAGTGGGTTGCTTTCAAAAGGGTTACATAATTGAGCAACTCTAAAACCTTTTTTCTTCTTCCTAGGTCTTAGTGGTGCAATGGCTAGTATAAGCGTGCGTTCGAGTACCCCAGGCTCTCCTACACATGTAAGCAGTGGATCGAATGCTAGTCGAAGGAGAAATGGACTCCATGATGTCGATTTGAACACTTTCATATCAGAAGAAATGGCACTCCACTTGGACAATGGTGGAACTAGAAAGCGTACCTCAGCCCAGTGTGGCGATGTCATTACAGACTCACCAACCCATAAACGCAACAGAATGATCTAAACTGCAAACATTTTCACACCCACCATGCTGCTTGAAAGCCACTTGATCCTCAACATATACTATAATTGCAAAGGAAACATGAGGCCATCTTCCCTTGTTCACTGTTTAAGACAAGTGAATTCTATAGTGGTTGCCATAAAAGGAAGTTCTAGGTATTTATAGTAGATGCCTCTTGTAATTATGGCTTTCTTAAAACTATAATCCTAGCAGAGGACATCAGATATTGTGTAGTCGTTAGCAAGATCATCATAGGCAAACATATATCCGTTCCAAGGCTAAAAGTGACCTTAACTGTATTTATTCTCAAAGGGAAAGGAAATATCAGATGTTTATTTGGTTATAGAATGCTTTTTTTTTTTTTGGGTCCATTTCCTGCTGTGTTGAGTATTTTGCTTCAACAGTATTGCCAGGTTCCTAAAATTGTCTAAAAACATGATTTGGCTTCCATTTTTGCAGCTGCACTGTACCATGCACCTGGTTTCTATATAGTAACAGTGTGCAATTCTAATTATTGGACTGTGCCCTGTTTTTAGTTTTCAAATCAATTTCTAATTCTGGTGATTGTGTGATGTAAAGAGGTGCTATGATGGTCATGCAATTAATACTAAATATTGAATCAATGCCCAGAGCTTTATTGGATTCACTTTGTGTGTGTTAGTGCTCTAAAGTAGCAGTATTATTATTAAACTGTCCCCAGAGTAACCCTGTAGGCCTAAAGTACTCAGTTTTAAGACAAACACTACTTCCCATGCGGGGTACTTTCCTTATGGTAAATGTAAACATGTAGACTGCATTCGAGGTGACCTAAAGTAGAGAGGTCATGAACTTTGAGAATGGGCTTCCTTTTTGGTTCAGTATTAGTGAGAGGGAGAGGGAGATGGATGGTGGGGTAGGTTTTCTAGTCTATCATTTTACATTTTTCATGGAGTCCCTGCTTAGTGCAGTTTCCATTGGAATGGGTGGAAGATGATAAAGCTCTCTTTTTTATCTACTAATAATGTGATTGCAACTTAAAATAGCAAAACCCAACTCTCCCTGTCCCTCCAATCCCTCTCCTAAAAAGTTCAGTTTGGAATCTCATTCTGGAAAAGATGGAATCGCATGGAGATTCTCTAGCTGTTAGGTAGACCTAAATAAAAAGTTCTCAATAGATTCCTCTTTTGAGTAAATATAAGACCTCTTGTAGCTACAATGTTTTAGAGCATGTTTCATCTTCATTTTTAATATCCTGAACTGAATGATAGTGTTTTTTTAGATGAAGAACTGATGTCAGCCTGCCAGGTACTGTAATTTATTCTATCATATTATTATATTATATATCAAGTAGGACAGTGAAAAATGTTTCCTTGCAAACTTGTAGTCCAGTATCAGTTACTTCCTATTTTTATCCTTAAAAGACCATTGCAAATCAGTGTAAGGGTTTTTCCAGTAATTACTCACAGCACTTTGTTAAAGTTTGCAATTTCTTCAGCCATTTAATAATATCTTTCTGTGAAGAAACTTTGCTGAGTTAACCATAAATGTTCATTCATTGACTGGGTGGGATGTGAATGGAATGTTAGAAATGTTGTGTGAATTGAAGTTCTGTATTCATTATAGATGTAGCCCTTATTTAAAAAAGTGAATTCCATACTAAAACTAGGAATGAAAGTGAGAGATTTCTAAACTTTTGCGAAAGTGGGTCATTTTTTGTTTGACTATAATAGCAGGAAGAATTATAGCAATCTGTCATTTTACCTGAAACAGACAAGCCTATGTATTATGAATACTTTCAAGCTTCCCTTTGGAATATACAAGACATGCGTTTGGAGTTACCTTTGTTTTTCTATCGTAAATTTAGATTCTGGAATTGGGGTTTGGTGGTGCAATGTGTTGCTCACAAGTGGCCAGAACTCCTATTCCTAAAAGGATTTTGAGATGGAGGAACACATATTTAATTCCCCTTTATGCCTTGGTTCTTGCTCCTCTTTCCACGTTGGATAACAATTTTTTGGTTGTTTTGTTTAAGTTGGTGCTCTGAAGCTTAATCTCAGTACCCTTTACTCTGAATTGTCAAATTTTGATAAAACGTGCCATTTTCTTTGGTAAGAGAAAGCAGGTCTTAATGTCTGCCAGAACACAATTTATATGCCTTATTGGCTTCATTAAACTTTTAGAAAACTTTAGCATTTGTTACTTTTTTCCATTGCGTTTACTTTCAAATGCACCTAATGAATTTGTCACCCAGTCGCAACTTTTCCCTTCTCTGTCCCATTGCTTTCTCCTTTCCCCGACGCACAGAATAAACATGAAGCTCAGCAGTAGAAGCGTAATGATTTCCCTCAGGAAAAACTTCTGACAGCTAGGTTTTTCAAGGGTTTCCCTGTGCTAGCTGAGATGCAAAACAAATCATGGAAGATTGCATACCTGTGTGGTATTTTAAAAACAAGTTGACTTTTTCAGTTTCTTGAACGGTTAAGGGTGGATTTAAAAACTAGACAGTTTAGTTTTGGGGAACAGAAGCTCTCTTCGTCTTAAGCCAGATTCTCTGATTCTTTTAGACGTCATAGCTCCTTAGTTCTGCTCCTGTCGCCCTAACTTGGCATGGGCAAGTTGAAGTTCATCCTTAGACTGCAGCGTTCTGAGCATGGCTGAAGTATTAAAATGTTTAATATTTTTTAGAGCAAAATTGTTGGAAAGCATTTGGCTGAATCTAAAGACCTGCAGTCAGATTCTTCAATGTGGTTTACCCAACTGGAGTAGTGATAAACACCTTAATCATAAAATGAATAAAAACAAAAAAACCATGGGGCTTGTCTGCAGTTTTGTTTTGGTCATCACATCTGAATAACTTTTTGATGCAATCAAATGAAGTTTAGGCTTTTAAAAAAGAATTAGCTTTCTAAATGTTTTTTTCTAAGGGCTACTGGAACTCATTAAACTCGAATAATTGTGGCTTTGGGCCTGAAGATTTCCATTCAACAGTGAAAACTGGCTAACTTCCTTTATAGTGAGAGGGATGGCCAACATCCAACCCAGAGGGCTAGTCAGCCTCAGAGGCCAGTGCAAGACGCCAAGAGATGATTTTGAAATGGGGCCATAAGTTTAGAAAATTATGAACAGAATGATTGAGTTTTTGGCCTGGCTACTACCTCTAGTGGTGACTACGTCAGCAGATTAATCTCATTGCATTTTACTTTATGTAGTATGTTGTAACCTGGTGCTTCATTCATTAGATTGGTGACTGAGGTATTTAGTCATGGTGAGGATGGGAATCTTCAGAGATACATTCTGGATTTGTGGAATAAAGTGACTAGAAAGGTTCTTCCAGAGCAACCCCTTGTTTAAAGTTATAAGTGTTTATGGTACCTGCTACCCCTTCTGGAAAGTTGTCGGCTTTGATGGTTTAGATGACCTTACCCCATAAGGCCAGCTTCTAGCCTCCCTTTGGAATATTTGAGGTGTGTGATGTTTTAGTGGGGGCAGCATTTGAGAGACGAGCAGGCCCGAGCACCCAGGCTGGCTGTCAGACCGTGTGTTGTGCTGTTGGGTTTGATGGGATGAGATATCCAGGGTTTTACTTCCTATAATGGGATCTGCAGGCTCCTTGTGAAGTTCAGTTAGACAGTAGCCTGTGACGTAGCAAGTCAAGTTTTCGATGGCCCCTCATTTTTTTTTTATTTAGTGCTTAAAAAAAAGATTTAAAACAGCAAAAATCAAGCCACACAGCAGCTTATAGTATATACAGGTCTTTTATACATTAGAAGTAATATGGTGAAATCTTTTTTTTTTTTTTTTTTTTTTGTGATGGAGTTTCACTCTCTCACCCAGGCTGGAGTGCAGTGGCACGATCTTGGCTCACCACAACCTCTGCCTCCTGGGTTCAAGCAATTTTCATGCCTCAGCCTCCCGAGTAGCTGGTATTACAGGTGCCTGCCACCACACCTGGCTATTTTTTGTATTTTTGTTAGATACGGGGTTTCAAATATGGTGAAATCTTGTGACAGAATAGTATTCCCTTGTACAGATAAGCCTTGATGCAGGTTACAGATTTTTTATAATTAGTAATGCAGCAGTGGAGTGTTTTCTTTTTCTTGTTTTTTGAGATGGAGTCTCTGTCGCTGGAGTGCGGTGGTGCGATCCCAGCTCACCGCAATCTCTGCCTCCCGGGTTCAAGCGATTCTCCTGCCTATAACTACAGGTGTGCGCCACCACGCCCAGCTAATTTAATTTTGAATTTTTAGTAGAGACGGGATTTCACCATGTTGGCCAGGCCAGTCTTGAATTCCTGACCTTAAGTGATCTGCCCGCCTTGGCCTCCCCAAGTGCTGGGATTACAGGCATGAGACACTGCGCCTGGCCTATGTTTTAAGTTTCTCTATGACAAATTTCTGTAGATGAACTATCTGGGTCAAAAAAATTCATCTATAAAATACTGATGGGTCTTGCCAAAGTACCTTCTGCAAGGTACCAGTTAATACTTCCATCAGAAAGTAAGAGCGCCTGTTCCCTTACATCGTAGCCAGTGTTGGGTATTTATACTTCCTTTGGCAGAAGTGACCTTTCAGTTTTAATCTGTTTTTTACCTGCTCGTATGAAGGAAGACTTTTTGCTTGATATCACGTGGGTTTGAATGCTGACTCTACTACCAGGTCTGGGAACCTAGGTAAGTTTGCCTCTCTGGGCTGTTTTCTCATCTGTGAAATAAATAGAAAACATAGAAAAATAAATTAAAAAATGTGAATGTTAGTGACTTGTGTTCCTTGGAAGTTGGATACATTTACATCTCCATTTATAATTCTCCCATCAGCAGAGCCCTGGAGAACTCTGGAATGTGGCTGATAGCTTATCTTAACATGCCATTGAAAAATTAGCCCTTTTTGGCTAGGCGTGGTGGCTCACGCCTGTAATCCCAGCACTGGGAGGCCAAGGCGGGCAGATCACGAGGTCACAAGAGATTGAGACCATCCTGGCCAACATGGTGAAACCCCATCTCTACTAAAAATACAAAAATTAGCTGGGCGTGGTGGTACGCACCTGTAGTCCCAGCTACTTGGGAGGCTGAGACAGGAGAATCACTTGAATCCGGGAGGTGGAGAGGTTGCGGTGAGCAAAGATTGCACCACTGCACTCCAGCCTGGCGACAGAGCAAGACTCCGTCTAAAAAAAAGAAAAAGAAAAATTAGCCCTTTCTTTTTTCTTTGAGACAGGGTTTTACTCTCTTGCCTAGGCTGGAGTGCTTTGGTGCGATCATAGCTCACTGCAGCCTCGATAGGTAACACACTAAGTGGTGAGTTTTCAGGGAAGGGGCTTGTTCACATGTAAGAGAGATTTTAATTTTTCAAACTGAAGTTGAATGCCCTCCTAGGAGATGCCACAGGCCGGCAAGTACAGGCTGCCTCACTTCACTAGTACTTAACCCTCAAGCAGGGAAGCTACTCCCCTTTAGCCCAAGTAGAGGGAGTATGGGGTGCTGGTGTGGTTGCTGTGCACGGCCGCTGTTGGGGAGGGCCGTAGCATTTGCTTGTGTTTTAGGCCTGGTGGGCGTGTTCTCTGAGTTGCTGCTGGAAGTGTTGGGGCTCTCATCACTTAGTGGAATTGCCTTTGGGAGCTTCAGAAGGCCTGTGGTTTTCTGCAGCTTCAGCAACAAGGAGGGCTCAGCTGGCTGACAAGAGTTTTGTAGCTTGACCCTGGAAGAAGGGTTTGGGGGTGCCTGGGGCAGCCAGCTACCACTGGGCTGCTTTTGGCACCGGTGGGTCCAGTGGGCTCAACACTCAGAACTATTTGCTTGTGGACTCATAATCTGAATGCCCTCTATAAACCCACCAAGGTATGTGCCACTATAACTTAGAGCTTTAAGGAAGGATTCTAAGACCATTCATACCTCTTCCTCAGGAGTGGCGGTGCCAGGGCTGAAGTTCCCTGGGGAAAAGGGGATCACCTGCTAAACTGTCCTTGAGTGTAGTGGGCAGGAGCTTAATCACTCCCAAACTCTTTTCCCCATGGTGAGTCTCAAGATCACCATGGCCATGTTGATTTCAAGGTGTATGTAGAAATTTGTAACTACCAAGAAGTTCTTATTTGCTGTTTGGGGTCTCTTAGGTTAATGTGAATGTTGTATAGAACTGTGTTTGCGTACACAATTGCATTGGGCACAGGAAGGCTCGCCTCTTGCCCATCCTCAGTGTTTCTCAGACATACTGGACTATGATCTGTGGTAAGAAATACCTCTCCCATCAAGATCTTTTACCCAGCCACACCTTTTGTGAATGAACACACAGAACTGATGAAACAGGTCTCAGCAGTTCTTAGCTTTTTATGTCAAATGCACTTTATAGCTTCTTGCTGTTTCACTGAACAGGATGTTGTATGTGACCAACTGTGTTGATTTCACAGCCAGCTTGAAAACCTGGGCTCTCTGGACC
This sequence comes from Homo sapiens, assembly GCF_000001405.40. Classification (NCBI taxonomy): domain Eukaryota; kingdom Metazoa; phylum Chordata; class Mammalia; order Primates; family Hominidae; genus Homo; species Homo sapiens. Next base: position 9,123,317 of record NC_000016.10, read on the forward strand.
TCAGCATGCAGCACAGGGTAGGTATAGACATTTCTTGAATGAGTTCATAAAAGGTGGCTTGAAGTTTTCTAGGTTTTCACAAGGAACTCCCTATTTTTCCTCTTCCTGGGCCTTAGGTCTGTCAAGAACTAGGGTGGTGGTGAAGAGAAGGACTTTGGGGTCAGTAGGGTGTAGGTGACAGTCCCACTGGCGGCCTGCCTCCCGGGCCCCTCCCTCAAGGTTATGGTGTGGAGGATGCCTAGCACCATGCCTGGTGCGAAGTGAGGACTCAGATGTTAGCCTTTAAATGTGCTTGTCGTGGCATGGCTGGATAAGATTCCCTTCTCAGAGTCCGAGGGCTCGCTTCTGGGTTCTGCACTGGCCTCCAGCCTCAGTTTCCCCCGTCTCCTCTTTGCTCTCTAGTTTTGTGTTTCTCATCCTTCCTTCATGTTAGAATCTGCCACTGGGCATGTGGTACCCCAGAAGAACTAGATGGGACTCTGGGGTGGGGCCCAGGCACCAAGATTTTCCATGCTTCAGCAGAATGTACCTTTGGCACATTCCGCAGAGGGAATGTTGCTTTTGCTCCTTTGCAGATTGTTAACTGGGTGGGTGGCTAGTGGCACTGGGCTCCTTGGGGCCAGCCCTGCGGCTGAGGACAGATGGGGCTGTCAGAGGACTCAGCCCCTACTCTTGGGCCGCCTGCCACCCACCCTCAGTCCCTTGGGCTTTGGGGAAGTCAGCACAGTCAGTGCGTTCCTCTGGGCCAGGGTGTTTGACTGGCTTGGTAGGAGGAAGTTGGCACCCACAGGGCCCAGGGCGTGGTGAGTCATGGCTCACCAGGGATGACCCAGCAGGTGTGCCTTGGCGACAACTCCCTGAAGCTGGAAGCTGGTGGGGCTTTGTCTTCTGGAGGGAGGTTTAATTTACAGATTTCTGGATTCCCCACCTGGACACACATGCTGAATCCAAAGGTCTGGGTAGGACATGGTATCTCAAAAAAACAAAGCAAATTAAAGAATTAAAAATGGGTTCTGGCCAGGTGTGGTGGCTCACGCCTGTAATCACAGCACTTTGGGAGGCTGAGGCAGGTGGATCACTTGAGGTCAGGAGTTCAAGACCTGTGTCCAACATGGCAAAACCTCATCGCTACTAAAAATACAAAAAAAAAAAAAAGTTCTAAGTCCTACTACTTGTTTATCTCTTTACCTCTGTTTACACTTGGGGTTAGAACTACTTGGGGGAGGGGGGAAATGGTATAGGAAGGTACAGGTGAAGTCTTCTGGAGGGTCTCCTGCTCCCAGATGTCACCTGCAGGTGAGCCTGGAGTCGCCGCAGCCTCTTGCAACTACGAGGGAAGCTGGACCAAGGTCAAGGCAGTTGGATGCGGCAGAAAGTGAAAAGACCCTTGATCCTCGAGCAGTATGTCAGCCATCCTATTAATTGGAATCCTGTGATGTGCAGCAGCTTTCTGCCCGTATTCCTATAGACCCCAAATCTACCCACCTGGCCAGGAGCTACTGGTGATAACGTTACAAAATACCTGTCTGGGGAGTATACCGTATTCCTAGAAAACCATATACCAAACGGGTCTTATACACACCACTTCTTTCCCTGTTCAAGTAGATGGGAGCCTTGTTACCAGTCTATGCAGAACTACATCTTTTGTTATGTAAAGGATATTGCAGTGAAAAAGCTAAGGATTACCGAGTGCTTAATGCCTTTGCCAACCCCATCGGGCAGGTTCTGATATCTCCATTCACGCGATGAGACGGTCTGTGTGACCCAACGGCGCCCCTACGTGGCCCCAGGCTGGATACTGATTGGACCCCTGCCTTGTGCCCTGGGGACACCCAGCAGACCCTTGGGAAGCCCTCACAGGCTGTGATGGCAGCTGTGCCCTGAGCTTCCAGGTGCAGCCTGCCTGTTGGTTCAAAGGCTGTGTCACTAGCCCATCTTGGCAAGTTCTTTAGCTACTCTGCCTTGGTTTCCGCATCCATAAAGAGGATGATAAGGTTGTGAGGATGAAATGAGGTGTTTCCTAAAACACTTCAGAAGGGTACCTGGCACTCGACAAGTTTTTAATCCTGGCACTGTGGCCACAAGATGGCATTCTCTCTCCATTTCTCCACTGGTGACTTGGAGCAGTTGGGCAATTGTGAACCATCCCGAGATGAGAAGAGGTCATTCCCAGGTGAGAAGAGGGGCTCTGGAGGAGGAGGGGGTTCACTGAGGTCGGCAGGAAGCTTGGTGGACAGTCACCAGGAATGGCCTAGGTGATACTCATTCCTTGGCTCGTCACAGACCCAGCTGAAAGGAACTGTTTCTGCACTGTTGTCAACCTTAACCCACGCGCAGAACGACAGGGTGGGCTCTTGCGAAGCTGTTGTGACCTGACATCGGGACACTGATGCAGCCCAGTGCAATCCCATGTTAAACCAACTTGCCCAGCTTGGCTTCTGGAGCCTTCACTGGGCCTTTGCGCCAGCTGCTGAAGCCTGGGCAGCCGGCACGTCCCGAGGACGTGGTTGCTGTCCTTGCATAGGCTGCTGGGGGAGCCGACTGGGATGGGGGTGGAGTATTTCCAAGCCCCGGGTGGCTGAGATGGGCCTTCTGAGCCTGGGGAGGGCCAGGGCTCTCAGTGGGTCCAGCAATTGAGATTTCCCTTCCTTCTGAGGTGTGACCTAGCAGGGCCTGGTCTGCCCAATGGAACCTTCTCCAGAGGCCTCCCTTGTTAACATTCACTTCAGCTGCAAGTTTGACAACTACTGTGGTTTACATCTCCCAGGACGTCCTTCTGCCCATTCTTTGGAAAGGCCATCCCCCTTATTCTGGCTCATCTGTCGTGTCCTCCCGGGCATGTCTTCACCCTCTCCTCCTGTGTGAGTCTCTGGGCCCCTTGTTTCTCATTCTGCCTTGTGATGATTTTCCTTGCTGGTTTCCTGGTGTTTTGGGTCTGCTATTGCTGTAGGGCAGGGTCTGCATGTGTGTATTCACTGTTGCCCTGGCACTGAATAGACACCAGTACGCAGTTGAATGAGGGGATTCCCAGCTTACAGATGAGAGGGCTGAGGCACTGAAAGGTCTGGGGGGTGCGCAGATCTCTCTGGCTTCTGTCCTGTCTGAAAGGTTTGGGGGGTGCGCAGATCTCGCTGGCTTCTGTCCTGTCTGAAAGGTTTGGGGGGTGCGCAGAGCTCTCTGGCTTCTGTCCTGTCTGAAAGGTTTGGGGGGTGCGCAGATCTGTCTGGCTTCTGTCCTGTCTGAAAGGTTTGGGGGGTGCGCAGATCTCGCTGGCTTCTGTCCTGTCTGAAAGGTTTGGGGGGTGGGCAGATCTGTCTGGCTTCTGTCCTGTCTGAAAGGTTTGGGGGGTGCTCAGATCTGTCTGGCTTCTGTCCTGTCTGAAAGGTTTGGGGGGTGGGCAGATCTGTCTGGCTTCTGTCCTGTCTGAAAGGTACTCATGAGCATTTCTTGTCAAGCCCAAGCTTGGGTTCAAAATCAGGAGGGGATTGGGGAGTGTGGGCTGGTAGGAACTTGGGCAGATAACTTAATCTGAGCCTCAGTTTTCTCATCTGTGAAGGTGGGCGTGACAAAGCTAACTCACAGGACTGCGAGCACATCAAACATTTGGTTGGTTCTTAGTGTGCTTTCAACAACCTCTTTTTTTTTTTGAGACAAAGTCTCACTGTTGCCCAGGCTGGAGTGCACTGGCATAATCTCAGCTCACTGCAACCTCTGCCTCCTGGGCACAAGCGATTCTCCTGCCTCAGCCCTCCAAGTAGGTGGGATTACAGGTGACGGGTGTGCCCCACCACACCCAGCTAATTTTTATTTAGCAGGCTGGAGTGCAGTGGTGCGATCTCAGTTCACTGCAACCTCCGCCTCCTGGGTTCAAGCGATTCTCCTACCTCAGCCTCCAGAGTAGCTGGGATTATAGGTGCACGCCACCACGCCCATCTGATTTTTTTTTTTTTTTGTATTTTTAGTAGAGATGGGGTTTCACCATGTTGGCCAGGCTGGTCTCGAACTCCTGACCTCGGGTGATCCACCCACCTTGGCCTCCCAAAATGCTGGGATTACAGATGTGAGCCACTGCACCTGGCCCTAATTTTTGTATTTTTTAGTAGAGACGGGGTTTCACCGTGTTGGCCAGGCTGGTCTTGAACTCCTGACCTCAGGTGATCCACCTGCCTTGGCCTCCCAAAGTGCTGGGATTACAGGTGTGAGCCACCGTGCCTGGCCAACAACCTCTTGTTTTAAGGGCCTGGCTTTGCCCGGTCAGTGACCCAAAGATGCCCGTGAAAGCTGTTTGACCCTGGTTGACTCAGATGAACCTGGGCTGAGTTAGAGACCTTCCCCTCAGTCACACACCATTCAATGATGTCAGCAAATGCTGAAATAATCTTTCCCCACCCACAGAGCCATGCACCTACAAAGGCCTGACCCCCACGGGGGCATCTGAGGTCAGCCTCGAGCCCCCTAAGGCTGGGAACCCTGTATTTTCCTGTGGTGACTCACTTCCTGTTGGGGCCTTGGTTTTTGAAAGACAGAAACAGCTCAGAGTCTGCTCCATGGAAATGGCTGGGCCTGCCCACCAGACCCTTAAAGCGACAGTTTTCCCACGGCAGGGCTTGTCCTGGGAGGTCCCTGGTGGCGAATGGGGTGCTGACAAACGGGCCCAGAACTTCTTGAGTCAGGATTTGAAGCGAGGGGGGTCTGCTGCCAGATTCCACAGCTCAGACACGTCCTCTTTTCCCCACCCGGATTTTCAGTTCCCCTGAGGAACCACCTCTCCGTCTCCGAGTGCCCAGTCTGGTTCACTGAGCCATTTGTGCCCAGAAGGACCTGTAGTGCTGGGCATTTACTTGCTAACCTTGTTTAACTCACTGCCCTGTCTGGGCTCCGCTGCCTTTTGTCTCAAACTGGGTGATAAAACCCCAAGTTAATTGTGAAAATGCATCCTGTTTGCTTGGGGTGGTGCATTCAGATGCTGGCAGCCTGAGACCACAGCGATTCGCAGAGTGCACATCTGTTTAAGGACACTTGAACCTGTGTATTTAAAAACAGACCAGGTTGACCCACCAAGCACATCTGTGGACAGGGCTGTCTTTGGCTTCTCTTGGGTCAGGACACCTGGGAAAATGGGCAGGTACGCTTCCATGCTCCTTCGGAAACAGCTCTCTGGGCCTCACTATCCCCATCTCTAAAATGGGCTCCCTCGCCTGTCCTGGATCTGGGGTTCTGGGCTGGAATGCTCAGGAATCAGTGAACTGTACTCGCAGGTGCTTATTCTCTGGGTTTAGAACCTGCTCCCCCCGCCCCAAACATCTTCCCGTTTCCACACTACCAGGTGGGGTCCTGGTGGTGCCCTGGGCCTGCCCTTCGGGGCTCTGTTCTATAGGACCCTAGGGCTCTTGGTTGTGGCTGTAATCCTGTTATCCTTTGGCAGCAGACAAATCTATGGCTGTGTGCAAAGCAGGCTCTAGCTTCTCTGTAGGCAGGAGAGTGGGGACAAGACAAACTGGAAGTCCACCAATCCTGCAAGAATTCATGAAATGCCCACAGTGGGATGCGAGGGGCCAGTCACCACAGTCGTCTTGATAAGCCCATTCCCCAGCCGGCTCCTGGGTGCTTTCCATGCACATCCCCAAGGGACGTGTTTGTGCCTGTTTTGCTGATGCTCAGAAAGGTGGAGTGATTTGTGTGAGATGTCCAGTTGCGACTCTCACTTAGGATTTTCTCTCTGTAAGGTCCAGGCCCTCTTCCCCTGTGCAACATTTCCTTACCTGATCCTATCAGAGCACAACCCTTGCTTCCGTGGAGCATGTGATCCAGGAGAATGACATGTGGGGTCACTTTTATGTGTTTAACTTGGCTTTTTATTCACTCCAGATAAACGGTGGTGGTTCCCTGTGTAAGCAGAGAGAGAGAGAATAGTTTCCTGTTGATGCTTTTTCCACTGAATTATGCCTTTTAAAAAAATTTAATTTAATTTAATTTTTTTGAGACAGTGTTGCTCTGTTGCCCAGGCTGGAGTACAGTGGTGCAATCTTGGCTCACTGCAGCCTCTGCCTCCCAGGTTCAAGTGATTCTTCTGCGTCAGCCTCTTCAGTAGCTGGGATTACAGGCGCCTGCCACCACGCCCAGCTAATTTTTGTATTTTTAGTAGAGACGGAGTTTCACCATGTTGGCCAGGATGGTCTTGAACTCCTGACCTCAGGTGATCTGCCCATGTCAGCTTTCCAGAGTGCTGGGATTACAGGCGTGAGCCACTGTGCCTGGCCTAAAATTTTAGTGTTTTTTTTTTTTTTGAGATGGAGTTTGGCTCTTATTGCCCAGGCTAGAGTGCAGTGGCGCAATTTCGGCTCACTGCAACCTCCGACTTCCGATTTCAAGCAATTCTCCTGCCTCAGCCTCCCAAGTCGCTGGGATTACAGGCGCCCGCCACCACGCCCAGCTAATTTTTTTGTATTTTTAGTAGAGACGGGGTTTTACCATGTTGGTGAGGCTGGTCTCAAACTGCTTACCTCATGATCCACCCGCCTTGGCCTCCCAAAGTGCTGGGATTACAGGCATGAGCCACTACTCCTGGCCTAAAATTTTAATTAAAATTTTTTTTGAGACAGGGTCTCAACTATGTTGTCCAGGCTGGCATCAAACTCCTAGATTCAAGTGATCTTGTTTCCTCAGCCTCCTGAGTAGTTGGGACTACAGGTGCACACCACTGTGGCGGGCTCCAAATTATGCTTTTTCTTTATGAGAAAAATAGAATTCTTTATTAAGGTGGCTGGTTTAGAATACTAAAGAAAATACGACAGGACTAAACAAAATAATGCCGATGCGCAGTCTCTGGAGACAGGCTGCCTGATTGAATCCTGGCCCCACCACTTACTGAGTTGTGTGACCCTAAGCAAAATGCCCCCCCACTTTTTTTTTGAGACAAGGTCTCGCTGTGTTACCTAGGCTGAAGTGCAGTAACACAATCATAACTCACTGCAGCCTCAGACTCCCAGGCTTAAGCAATCCTCCCACCTCAGCCTACCGAGCTGGGACTACAGGTGTGCATTACCAGACCCATCTAATTTATTTTTTGTAAAGATGAGGTTTCATACCCTCTTCACACCTAAGTGCTATTTCTTTGCAAATTATAGTTCTAACACAAATCCAAAGGGATTTTGGGAAACTGATCGGAAGTACTGTATTCATGTTTGGCTCAAAGAATTCACAGCTGAGAATAGCTAAATAAATTTTGAGATAAAACAGAATTAAGGTCAGGCACAGTGGCTCACACCTGTAATGGTAGCACTTTGGGAGGCCGAGTAGGGCGGATCACAAGGTCAGGAGTTTGAGACCAGCCTGGCCAATATGGTGAAACCCCGTCTTTAGTAAAAATACAAAAAATTAGCCAGGCATGGTGGTGGGCGCCTGTAATCCCAGCTACTCAGGAGGCTGAAGCAGGAGAATTGCTTGAACCTGAGAGGCCGAGGTTGCACTGAGCCAAGATCGTGCCACTGTGCTCCAGCCTGGGCAATAGAATGAGACTCCGTCTCAAAAATAAAGAGAATTAAAACATGACAAAATTGTAATAATTCAAAGTTAGGTGTCAGCACAAAGACTGAAACAGGATAGATACTCCAGAAAATGCCCTGGTTAATATAAGAAGTTGATATCTCATCAGGAAATAGCACAAAATGACAGGGAAGGGATGAGTTAATCAGTTAATGGTGTTGGGAAAACTGACTTCTTGGGGAAAAACACATTAAGTTAGAGCATCACCTCAGGTACCCGAATATATTGACATTAAAGACTTAAATGCAAAATGGAAACATTAAAAAACTGGTGGGAAGTATAGCGAGTACTTAACTTTATTTTTATTTTTTGAGAGACAGGGTCTACTTTGTCACCCATGGTGAAGTGGAGTAGTGTGATTGTGGCTCACTGCAGCCTCAACCTCCCAGGCCCAATTGATCTTCCAGCCTCAGCTTTCCAAGTAGTTGGGACTAAAGGTGTGCACCACCACACCCAGCTAATTAAAAAATTTTTTTCTTTTCTTTTTTTTTTTTTGTAGAGACAGAGTCTCGCTATGTTGCTCAGGAAGGTCTCTAACTCCTGGGCTCCAGTGATCCTCCGCCTCTGCCACCCAAAGTGCTGGGATTATAGGTGTGAGCCACTGCACCCAGCCTGAATATTTTTTATAAACATAAAGGCAATGGAAAATATATTTTAAAATAAAAGATTGATTATGAGCATAAATGTAAGCTTTTGTTTATCATCAATATAAAAAATATTGAAAATGGAACTGGCAAACAGGACAAATTTAATCCCTCCCACCCACAGAGTTCCTATATGTGGATAAGAAGGTTATATGCCAAATAAGAAAAATAGGGGGCCGGGCGTGGTGGTGCACACCTGTAATCTCAGCACTTTGGAAGGCTGAGGTGGGCGGATCACAAGGACAGCACATCGAGATCATCCTGGCTAAGATGGTGAAACCCCATCTTTACTAAAAGTATAAAAAATTAGCCGGGTGTGGTAGCATGTGCCTGTAGTCCCAGCTACTCAGGAGGCTGAGGCAGGAGAATCACTTGAACCTGGGAGGCAGAAGTCGCAGTGAGCCAAGATCGCACCACTGCACTCCAGCCTGGGCCACAGAGTGAGACTCTGTCTCCAAAAAAAAAAAGAAAAAAGAAAAAAAGAAAAATAAAAGATAGGACCAGGGAGTTTTCAGAATCAGAAATAAAAATTACCAACTGATATATGAAAAAAATGGCTCAACATTATTTTGTGAGATTCAAATTTTTAGAAGTTGCCAGGCGTGGAGGCTTATGCCAATAATCCCAGCACTTTAGTAGGCTGAAGTGGGTGAATCACTTGAGGCCAGGAGTTCGAGACCAGCCTGGCCAACCTGGTGAAACCCTGTGTTTACTAAAAATACAAAAATTAGCCAGGCGTGGTGGTGGGCGCCTGTAATCCCAGGTACTCGGGAGGCTGAGGCAGGAGAATCATTTGAACCCGGGAGGCGGAGGTTGCAGTGAACTGAGATCGAGCCACTGCACTCCAGCCTGGGTGACAGAGCAAGACTGTCTCAAAAATGGAAATGGAAAAGGAAAAACAAAAAAAAGTGATACTGTGTTTTGAATACAGTTTTGAAAAGATAAGTGGCTATTACTTGGGGTTGGGAAGTCTGAGATGACGTGCCCGCTCACATGCTGCTGCTGAGAGGTGCTAAAACATTCTGAAAAATAAGTTGGCTGGGCCTGACACAGTGGCTCACGCCTTAATCCCAGCACTTTGGGAGGCCGAGTCGGGCAGATCACTCGAGGCAAGGAGTTCGAGACCAGCCTGGCCAACATGGTGAAACCCTGTCTCTACTTAAAAAAAAAAAAAAAAAAAAAATTAGTTGGGCCCAGTGGCGTGTGCCTGTAATCCCAGCTACTCAGGTGGCTGAGGCATGAGAATTGCTTGAACCTGGGAGGCAGAGGTTGCTGGGAGCGGAGATCACGGCACTGCACTGTAGCCTGGGCAACAGAGCGAGACTGTCTCAAAACAAAAAAAGTTGGCTGTATCTATTAAGATCTTCAAAAGTGGTCCTAATTTTGGGTTTTATAATCCTGTTTCTAAACATATATTCAGAGGTAATAACAGTTGTAAAAGAGAATTTTCTTTTTCTTTCTTTTTTTTTTTGAGACGGAGTTTCACTTTTGTTGCCCAGGCTGGAGTGCAATGGCGTGATCTCGGTTCACCACAGCCTCCGCCTGCTACCACGCCCAGCTAGTTTTTGTATTTTTAGTAGAGACGGAGTTTCACCATGTTGGCCAGGATAGTCTTGAACTCCTGACCTCAGGTGATCCACCCGCCTCAGCCTCCCAAAGTGCTGGTATTACAGGCGTGAGCCACCGTGCCCAGCCTTAAAAGAGGATTCTTTTTTTTTTTTTTTTTTTTTTGGGAGACAGAGTCTCCCTCTTGTTGCACAGGCTGGAGTGCAATGGCTTGATCTCGGCTCACTGCAACCTCCACCTCCTGGGTTCAAGTTATTTTCCTGCCTCAGCCTCCTGAGTGGCTGGGATTACAGGCATGTGCCACCATGCCTGGCTAATTTTGTATTTTTAGTAGAGGGGGGGGTTTCTCCATGTTGGCCAGATTGGTCTTGAACTTCCGACCTCAGTTGAATCCCCCGCCTTGGCCTCCCAAAGTGCTGGGATTACAGGCGGGAGCCACTGTGCCTGGCCAAAAGAGGATTCTGATGCAACAATATGAAGTGTGGTACTTGGAGTGGAAGACAGTGAGGAATAACCTAAAGCCCTAATAATAGCGACTGGTTCATCACATCTTATTAGTTTCATTAGATGGAAAATTATGAAGCCTTTATAAAGCATACTTTTTTTTTTTTTTTGAGATGGAGTCTCCCTCCGTTGCCCAGGCTGGAGTACAGTGGCGCGATCTTGGCTCACCGCAACCTCCACCTCCCGGGTTCAAGCAATTCTTCTGCCTCAGCCTCCTGAGTAGCTGGGATTACAGGTGTGCACCACCATGCCTAGCTAATTTTTTTTTTTTTTTTTTTTTTGTATTTTTGGTAGAGACAGGGTTTCACCATATTGGCCAGGCTGGTCTCGAACTCCTGACCTTGTGATCTGCCTGCCTCATCCTCCCAAAGTGCTGGAATTACAGGCGTGAGACACCGTGCCTGGCCTAAAGCATACTCTTGAATTTTTTTTTTTTTTATGAGCCAGGGTCTCATTCTGTCACCCAGGTTGGAGTGCAATGGTCCAATCTTGAGGCTCAGTGCAACCTCAACCTCCTAGGCTCACGTGACCCTCACCTCAGCCTACTGAGTAGCTGGGAGTTACAGGCAGGCACCACCATGCCTGGCTAATTTTTTGTGTTTTTAGTAGAGATGTGGTTTTGCTGTGTTGCCCAGGTTGGTCTTGAACTCCTGGGCTCAGGCAATTTGCCTGCCTCACCCTCCCAGAGTGCTAGGATTACAGGTGTGAGCCACTAAGCCCAGACTTTTTTTTTTTTTTTTTAGACAAGATTGCTCCCTGTCACCTAGCCTGGGGTGCAGTGGAATGATCAGGACTCACTTCAGCCTCCATCTTCTGGGCTCAGGCAATCCTCCTGCCTCAGCCTCCTAAGTAGCTGGGACCGCAGAGGTGCCCCGCCATGCCCAGCTAATTAAAAAAAAAATTTTTTTTTTTTGGTAGAGATGGGGGTCTCCCTATGTTGTCCAGCCTGGTCTTGGACTCCTAGGCTCAAGCAATCCTCGCACCTCGGCCTCCAAAAGTGCTGGGATTACAGACATAAGCCACCTCGCCTGGCCTTGAAAAATATTTCAAGACATGGAAAAATGCTTGTAATATCATGAGAAATATAAACAGGATGATCTCAATTTGGCCAGAGAACAGTGGCTGGCAGCAAATTTTCAATAATTGTTAGCTACTATCATTAATAATTCAAACTCTCATATGATCTTCCTCCCTCCCTTCCATTCACTTCTCAGTTGACAAGTGTCTGAGCATCCGGGGTTCCAGCCTGGCTGCACCTGTCTGTGAGCCGGTTGGGGCCAGTTGTGGGGGCTTTGGCCCCTGGGCTTTCCTCACCCTCCCATGTGCAGCCTCAGGACTCAACAGCCTCCCGCATCCACCCGCTCTGGCTCTATTTCTGGCTGGGCACTGCCATCTAGAGGCTCCTGGAGCACAGGGCACATGACCCTTGGAGCCCCTCACCCAGTGCTGAGCTCCAGCCCCAGGGGCAGAGAAGCCTTTCTCATTACTGCACCCTCCATGCCTGAAAGGGCCGTTTGTTTTGTGGAAGCCTCTGAGAATGTCAGTGCTACAAAGACACTTCAAGATGCCTTATGCTGATTCTTAGGTAGGTCAAGGAAATCTTTGGGGTAACATTCTTAAAATATGGTCCTTGGACCTGCATCCGACGTCCAAGGTAGGAGACAGTTAGTGATAAAGATTTCAGAGCCTATCCCAAATGCGCAAGTCAGACCGTGCTGGGGGGTGAAGGGTACTGAATATCTAACTATTTACAGACTCTCCCGTGTTGTTCTTATTATTTTGAGACAGAGTCTCACTTTGTCTCCCAGGCTGGAGTGCAGTGGTGTGATCTCGGCTCACTGCAACCTCCGCCTCCCAGGTTCAAGCGATTCTCCTGCCTCAGCCTCCCCAGTAGCTGGGATTACAGGCACCTGCCACCACGCCTGGCTAGTTTTTGTATTTTTAGTAGAGATGGGGTTACGTCATGTTGGCCAGGCTGGTCTTGAACTCCTGACCTCAAGTGACCCACCTGCCTCAGCCTCCCAAAGTTCTGGGATTATAGGTGTGAGCCACCGCCCCCGACCTTTTCCCAGGTTATTCCGATGCACACTGAAGTTTGAAAATGATTGACCTGGACCCGGGATACTTATGATTTGGTGGTGATGGGCTTGGCATAGACCCTTTGAGAATCTGCTGACAACTGCAGACCCTCTCCCTGGAAGAATACACAGACATTTCAGTAGGTTTCTTGACTGTGAAGCTCACTCCTGTATCGATGGACTGAGGTTACGAATCTCTTCTCTGATTTAACCCAAAGTTTAGATGAGGACACTGCGGATCAAGTATTCATTGACCTCTTATCACCGGCCAGGCTCTGTGCCCTGCCGCAACAGACAGGATGTGGCTTCTGCTCTGTGCAGTTTACAGGCTAATGATGGCAGACAGCTAAATACAGGTGTTAGGAACAGCCCTGCCAAAGGTCCTGGGTCAGTGACCAGAAGGAAGTGCCTGGAGCCCCTGGGGAAGCCGGAGGGGAGTGGATGATGAAGCGGAGGGAGGAGCAGGCAGGGCTCAGACCATGCAAGACAGGACAGGTCAGGATAAAGAGCTCAGATTTCATTTTAAGAACGATGAAAAGCTATCAGACAACTTTGGGGCTAAGTATATACCCAAGAGAATTGAAAACATATGTTCATAGAAAAATGAATGGAAAAATGTTCATAGAAGTATTTTTCATATTAGCCCCAAAGTGGAATAATCCATGTATTCACCAGTGAATGAGTGGATAACAAAAGTGGCCTATCCATATAATGGAATATTATTTAGTTATAAAAAGGAATGAAGTACTGACACGTGCTACAACATAGAGGAGGCTTGAAGAGGTTATGTGGTGGTTTTTTGTTTTTGAGATGGAGCCTCGCTCTGTCGCCCAGGCTGGAGGGCAGTAGCAGCTATCGTGGCTCACTGCAGCTTCTGCCTTTTAGGTTCAAGCAATTCTCCTGCTTCAGCCTCCCAAGTAGCTGGGATTACAGGCGCCCACCACCACGCCTGGCTAGTTTTTGTATTTTTAGCAGAGACGAGGTTTCCCATGTTGGCCAGGCGGGTCTCAAACCCCTGACCTCAAGTAATCCGCCCGCCTTGGCCCCCCAAAGTGCTGGGATTACAGACGTGAGCCACTGCGCCCGGCCTTGAGTACAGAGGTTTGCTGAGGTTCCAATTTGACTGATGTGGCAAGACTGCCTCATAGGAGGTGTAGCGTCCTCCCGTCAGGATGCGCATAATGTCTGATTGTCACAGACATTATGTCACAGGATGCGCATAATGCTGATGGCAGCAGCTGTGGGTGTGCAGTGCCTGGATCCACGGATTCATTTGGGGTTGCAAAGTGATGGTATTCTCATTCTGTTATTCCTTTTCATTTATTACATGGAGGAGTTCTATGCACACAAACTTTCCCTCATCTCCCATTTGATTACTCAGCGGTGCAATTTGCAAAGAAAAGGAAGGATAAATACTTGATTCTTTCCCCCATAAAAAAAAAAAATGAATTGGCTCACTAGAATTTTCCAGCGGGGACCAGTGAGCATTTAAAAAATATTTTTAACATTGTTATAAACCCATGGATAGAAACATATTTAGTATGCAGTTATTTTTTTATTGATGCCCAAATGGTCCCATCTTTGGCTAGTAGGAGCCTCTTTAAGTTGGTCTTTGCTGTTGCTACTGTTTTTTGAGACAGTGTCTCACTCTGTCGTTGCCTAGGCTGGAGTGCAGTGGTGCAGTCTCGGCTCTCTGCAACTTCTGCCTCCCGTGATTCACGCAAGTGATTCTCCCACCTCAGCCTCCGAGTAGCTGGGACTACAGGTGTGTACCACCACACTCGGCTAAATTAAAAAAATAATAAATTGGGTTTGGCTCGGTGGCTCACGCCTGTAATCCCAGCACTTTGGGAGGTGGAGGTGGGTGGATCACTTGAGGTCTGGAATTTGAGACCAGCTTGGCAAACATAGTGAAGCCCCGTCTCTACCAAAAATACAAAAAAATTATCTGGGCATGGTGGCAGGCACCTGTAATCCCAGCCACTTGGGAGGCTGAGGCAGGAAAATCACTTGAACCCGGGAGGCAGAGGTTGCAGTGAGGCGAGATTGCGCCATTGCACTCCAGCCTAGGCAACAAAGGTGGAACTGTGTCTCAAAAAACAAACAAAAAACCAAAAACGTTATTTTTATAGGGAAGAGAGCTCACCCTATTGCCCAGGCTGGTCTCGAACTCTTGGTCTCTGCCCGGCGTGGTGGCTCACGCCTGTAATCCCAGCACTTTGGGAGGCTGAGGTGGGTGGATCACTTGAGGTTGGGAGTTCAAGACTAGCCTGGTCAACATGGTGAAACCCAGTCTCTACTAAAAATACAAAAATTAGCCTGATGTGGTGGCACGTGCCTGTAGTCCCAGCTACTTGGGAGACTGAGGTTGCAGTGGGCTGAGATCGTGCCATTGCACTCCAGCCTGGACAACAGAGTGAGACTCTGTCTCGAAAAAAAAAAAAAAATCCTGGTCTCAAACCATCCTCCTGAGTCCGCCTCCCAAAGTGCTGGGATTACAGGCGTCAGACACCACAGCGGACTGAGCCCACACTCTTAATCCCTCCATGTGGGGCCTCCTGTTGTGTAGACACAGTCCTCTGGCTTTCATTGTCCCAATAGCCCTCGAGTCCACCCGCCTCTCTTCACCCCTCCACAATTGACCTAGTTCAGGCCAACGTCCCCCCTCACCCAACATCTGCAGTGACCTCCTCACAAGTTCTTGTCCTGCCTGCTCCCAACCCGTGTTCCACCCAGAAGCCATGGAAATCTAAATCTAAACCTTCCTAAGTATAGACCTGATTGGGACACCGTCCCTGCCCATGGCTCTCTGGAGTGTCCACTTTGCCCCTGCCACCCTGGCCCCGCTTCCTCTCCATGGGCAGGCTCAGTCCTAGCTCACCTGGAGTCTTTGCACCTGCTGGTCCCTCGGTCTTGGGGGCTCCCCTTGCCCCTCTCCCACTCCATCTTCCCCTGGTCGGGTCCTCATCCATCTTCAGCTTTTGTTTCAAACCAGGTCCCACCCAGGCCCCTGCGAATTTTCCCACCTTCCCCCCATTCTTTGCCTTCATCATGCTTGTCCCAGCTTATTATTCATTGAATTCTAGGTGTCATTGTCCTGCTCCCTTTTTAGGGGTTGGGTGGGGACCCTCTCTCTCTTGAACCATTGCATCCTTCATCCCTGGCACAGTGCTTGATACAAGAGAGGGGCTGACGTGGAGCTGGCAATGAGTGAGCTGGTGGGGCCCGGCTGGGCAGGAGAGACAGTGCCTAAATGGGCTTCTGCAGTCTGGATTTTCTGGCATGTGGGGGAAGGTAGCCCCCCGTGTGACTCCTCAAAGCCACGTAGTCCTGATTCCCATGTTCCTCCCTGACCCGCTCCCCAATTTGCTCCCACGCTTCTCACAATCATGATCTTTCCTCATCGATCTCCCCACTTTTCTCTCCTTTTTCGCTCTTCCCACTGAAGTTTCCCCATGCTTGCCACGAGCAAGGTGGGAAGGAGGGGCTCCATTTCTCTGTCCCCTGTCCCTGGCGTAGACGCAGCTGTGGTTGAACTCCCATGTCGGGGCTCCAGGCGGCCTGTAGAGGGCAGTAATGCTGCAGCTATGGCCACAGGGAGCGCTGCCTGGATGGGGGAAAGCGGCATCGGAGCAGCTCACAAGCCCTCCGTGGGCATGAGCAAGGCAGACCCCTAAGCCCTCCGTGGGCATGAGCGTGGTGGACCCCTTTGCCCTCCTTTCCCCGGAGATAGAGAAACCCCATCTTTCTGTTAAGTCTGCACACGTTCTCTGCCTCAGGCATAGCTGCCCTGAAAAATTTCTATTTGATAAAATAAGCAATGACTTCAGTATAAAGAACAAAATTTTAAATGTGCGTTTTTCTTTTTTTTTTTTTTTTTTTTGAGATGGAGTCTCGCTCTGTCACCCAGGCTGGAGTGCAGTGGCGTGAGCTCAGCTCACTGCAACCTCTGCCTCCAGGGTTCAAGTGTTCTCCTGCCTCAGCCTCCCATATAACTGGGATTACAGGCGAGTACCACCATGCCTGGCTAATTTTTGTATCTTTAGTAGAGACGGGGTGGTCTCGAACTCCTGACCTCAAGTGATCTACGTGCCTCAGCCTCCCAAAGTTCTGGGATTACAGGCGTGAGCCCTGCGCCCAGCCAAAGTGGTGTTTTTGTCTCCTGGGCAATGTTGAAGGGTTAATAACTAAGACTTTACTAATGTAAGGTGCATGAAGAAAAGTGTCACAAAATATTTTGCAGTTCATCACCTATTCACACTGTGACTTTGATCAGGTCACTAACTTCTCAGTTTCCTCGTTTGTAAAAGGGGATTAAAGATAGGATCTACCTGTGGCAAAGACTTCATACTCATGATCCCTCAAGACCCATTCTCACTTGGTTTTCAGCTGGGGCAAATGGCTACACTGAATAATGACTACATCTCCCAGCCTCCCTTGCAACTATGTGTGGCCATGTGGTACGTTCTGGCCAATGGGATGTGGGTAAAACTGTGGGAAAGTCCTTGAGAGTGTTGCCCTATTTCTCCTCTTTCCGCCTTCCACTGATCTGGATTGCAGGTGCAATGGCTGGAGACGGAGCAGCCATCTGGAACAAGACGTCGTTTTCGGAATGGAGAATGAAGAACATGCAACAAGACAGAAGAAAGTCGTTTTCCTGATACTGTGGACCCATCACACCAGCCCTGCACTACCTCATACCAGATTTTTATGTCATAGAATCTTTTTTTTTTTTTTTTTGAGACAGAGTTTCACTCTTGTCACCCAGGGTGGAGTCCAATGGTACGATCTTGGCTCACTGCAACCTCCACCTCCCGGGTTCAAGCGATTCTCCTGCCTCAGCCTCTCGAGTAGCAGGAACTACAGATGCATCCCACCACGCCTGGCTGGTTTTTTGTATTTTTAGTAGAGACGGGGTTTCACCATGTGGGCCAGGCTGGTCTCGAACTCCTGAATCACTTGAACCCGGGAGGCAGAGGTTGCAGTGAGCTGAGACTGCGCCACTGCACTCCAGCCTGGCGACAGAGCTAGACTCTGTCTGAAAAAAAAAAAAAGAAAATGGTCTGATCACAAACAAATTCACCTAGAAATGATATCATTTGAGTTGTTCTGTTAATTAGTTTTAGCTGACAAAGCTCAGCCTTACACATTTGCATCACATTTGCATGGTATTTTAATTGGGAGGAAAGTCATACATTCTTTTCAATAGCCATGTTTACAAATACATAGCTTAATTGTCCCACATTTGAAACCCAGCTTTCAAAACAATTTTTTTTTTTTTTGCTAGGTCTTATAGGATAGGACTGATCAAAACAATTTAGTCACATTCTTTTCCAGGTCTTTCTCCATTTCCAAAAACGTATCTGGGCATTTTTTTTTTTTCAGGAGCTAATGGTCCTAGTTTAACTTTGTGCTTTGTAACCTATGGATGGGTTCATTTCATTTTTGTATTTTTAGTAGAGATGGGGTTTCACCATCTTGGCCAGGCTGGTCTCGATCTACTGACCTCGTGATCTGCCCGCCTCAGCCTCCCAAAGTGCTGGGATTATAGGCATGAGCCACTGTGCCCGGACAGTATCGTTACTTTTAACATTTAATAACCACAAACATTTAACAATATTAAATATAACATTTGGGAAGAAGATATAATGCCTGTTACTACCCTACATTGATTAAAAAACCAGTAAGTACTAATATTTTAATACTGGGATAAAGCAGTTATTTTATTTTTTATTTTATTATTATCTTTTGAGACAGTCTCATTCACTCTGTCGCCTAGGCTGGAGTGCATTGGTATGACCTCGGCTCACTGCAACCTCCACCTCCCAAGTGCAAGTGATTCTCCTGCCTCAGCCTCCCAAGTAGCTGGGACTACAGGTGTGCGCCAGTACACCCAGCTAATTTTTGTATTTTTAGTAGAGACAGAACTTCACTATGTTGGCCAGGCTGGTCTCGAACTCCTGTCCTCAAGTTATCTGGCCACCTAGGCCTCCCAAAATGCTGGGACTACAGGCGTGAGCCACTGCGTTGGGCCGAACCTGACTCTGACTTTCTCGTATTCCGCTCTGTGTCTCCTTAACAGCTTGAGTTTAGTATTTCTTAACATGGAAGGGGAGCCACCAGTTAATTGCTCATGAATTTTACGCAATGTTGAGTGCGGGAAAGGCTCTTTGAGTGAATCCAAACAGTACCCTTTCTGGGAGAGCAGGCTGAGAACAAGGAACCCGTCCAAGGTCCTCTGGACCTGGTGGCTGAGCAGGACTTTGGGAAAAGGCTTTGCCTGGAGGCTGCACAGCTATGAGGTTGAGAGGGAGGGCCTCCGGGCCACCTGCTGGAATGTGGCTTTGGAACCCACTAGACGTGTGACCTAGAGCAAGTCATGTGACTGCTCGGTGCCTCGGTTTCCTCATCTGTGAAACTGCTATGAATGGTACCCGCCTCATGAGGATTAGGAGAGGGAATGTATTTAGGGTGTTTAGTGCTGTGCTTGGCACTTGGTGATGGTTCAATCGTACACAAATCTTCCGAGATGTTCAGTGCAGGAAAGCATCTTTGGATAAATCCAGGAGGTGCCCTTTCCAGGTGAGCGGGCTGAGGACAAGGAACATGCCCAAGGTCTTCTTGGGTCTGGGGGCTGAGCAGGATTTGCCACTCATTTCAAGGCCATTCCTCTAAACTGCACCCTGGTGATGCTTGTCCTGCAGTCCCGCCTAGATGTGGGCATGGGGGAGCTTGGAGTTTGCAGCCAGGCACCCCCAAGTAAGAATCCGGGCTTCCCCACTTCTTGGATGTGTGATCCTGGGCAATTTGCTTCAGGTGTCTGAGCCTCAGTTTCTCCATCTTTTTACTTTTTGAAAGGAAGTCTTGCTCTGTCACCCAGGCTGGAGTGCAGTGGTGTGATCTTGGCTCACTGCAACTTCTGCCTCCCAGGTTCAAGCGATTATCCTGCCTCAGCCTCCCAAGAAGCTGGGACTACAGGCGCATGCCACCACGCCCATCTAATTTTTGTATTTTTAGTAGAGATGGGGTTTTACTATGTTGACCAGGCTGGTCTCGAACTCCTGACCATAGGTGATCCGCCCACTGTGGCCTCCCAAAGTGCTGGGATTAAGGCATGGGCTACCATACCCAGTCCAGTTTACCCCTCTTTAAATAGAGTGAATGATATTACTAATCATAGAGTCACCATGAGACATAAAGATCATTCATTCGAGCAAGGCACAGTGGTGCACACTTGTAGTCCAAGCTACTCAGGAGGCTGAGGTGGGAGGATTGCTTGAGCCCAGAAATTCAAGTTCAGCATGGGCAACTTAGTGAGATTCCCCATATCTCTCTCAGAAAAAGAGACCACTTATTCATTCATTCATTTATCCAGCAAATATTTGTTTCTGTCTTTCATGAATCAGGAGCCTGTCTAGAGATAAACATTAAAAAATTAGGGAATCATTTAGCAAATTGGAAGAATGTAGGTGCTATAGGGAAAAAGCAGAGAATGGGGAAGAGGTGAATCTTAGATAGCAGTTGAAGATACTCAGTTTACAGCCTAGGCAACATAGTGAGACACTTTCTACCAAAAAAAAAAAAAAAAATTAGCCAGGCATGGTGGGTGGCACGTGCCTGTAGTTCCAGTTACTTGGGAGTTTGATGTGGGAGGATTGCTTGAGCCCAGGAGGTTGAGGCTGCAGTGGGATATGATTGTGCCACCACACTCCAGCCTGGGTAATAAAGTGAGACCTTGCCTCTCTCTCTCTCTCTCCCTCTCTCTCTCCATACACACACACACACACACACACACACACACACAGCATAAGTTGGGTGGCTTAAACAATGGACATTAATTTTCTCACAGTTCTGGAGGCCAGAAGTCTGAGATCAGGGTGCCAGCATGGTCAGGTTCTAGTGAAGACCCTCTTCCTGGCTTGCAGATGGCTGCCCTCATGCTGTGTCCTCACATGGCTAGGAGAGGGAGCAAGTTCTCTGGTGTCTCTTCTTTTTTTTTTTTTTTTGAGAGAGTCTCGCTCTGTTGCCCAAGCTGGAGTGCAGTGGTGTGATCTTGGCTCACTGCAACCTCCACCTCCCTAGTTCAAGCGATTCTCCTGCCTCAGCCTCCTAAGTAGCTTGGATTACAGGTGTGCGCCACCATGCCTGGCTAATTTTTGTATTTTTAGTAGAGACGGGGTTTCACCATGTTGGTCAGGCTGGTCTTGAACTCCTGACGAGCCACTGCACCTGGCCACTCTGGTGTCTCTTCTTAGAAGAGCACTAAGGCCATCACGGGGGCCCCACCTTCATGCCCTGTTCTATCTTATTTTTATTTTTTAAAAATTTAATTATTTTGATTTGAGACAGGATCTCCCTGTGTTACCCAGGCTGGTCTTGAACTACTGGGCCCAAGTGATCCTCCTGTTTTGGCCTCCCAAAGTGCTGGGATTACAGGTGTGAGCCACTAGGCCAAGCCCCTTATGGCCTCTTCTAAACCTAGTTACCCCCCAAAGTCCCCATCTCCTTATACCATCCCATGGGGGGTTGGAAATTCAGTCCCTCAGAGGCAGAATGGGAAACAGCAAGTGGTAATTTTATAAAAGGACACTTCTGCAAAGCCCTGAAGGGGGCGAGGGAGTGAGGAAGTTGTGAGGTGTGGGCACAGAAAGTGCAAATGCCCCAGGGCAGGAATGTGCTGATGGTTTGAGGGTGAGGATGGAAGGCGGTATGGCAAGAGCGGAGTGAGGGATAGAGTTTGCCGGAGTGAGGGATAGAGTTTGCCGGAAGGACCTTGGCTGGGCGAGGTCAAGTTTAGCTGTTGAAAACCATCCACTCGCTGGGCGTGGTGGCTCAGGCCTGTAATCCCAGCACTTTGGGAGGCTGAGGCGGGTGGATCACCTGAGGTCAGAAGTTCAAGACCAGCCTGGTGAACATGGTGAAACCCTGTCTCTACTAAATATACAAAAATTAACCGGGTGTGGTGGTGGGCGCCTGTAATCTCAGCTATTCAGGAGGCTGAGGCAGGAGAATTGCTTGAACCTGGGAGGCAGAGGTTGCAGTGAGCCGAGATTGCACCATTGCGCTCCAGCCTGGGCAACAAGAGTGAAACTTCGTTCCAAAAAAAAAAAATGTTAAAACCATCCACTCATGTTTGTTGGGTGCCAGTTTTGTCCCAGGCACTGTGCTGGGTGTTAGGGACAGTTCAGGGCTCCAAGAACTCAGCCTTGCATTTGGGGGCAGTTGGGAGCTTGCAGATGGGCTTTCTGGGGAGTCCATGGGTCATATTGATACAGAATGGCTGGGGCCCCAGCTAAGCCCCACTCTCAAGCCTGGAACCTCAGCCCTAAGTGAAAACAGCTGACCCTATTTTTCACCCAAATGATTGCCTTTTTGGCCTGCCACACCCCTATCCTGTGCCCATAAAAAGACTTCAGCTGGTAGAGCAACAGGAGCGGCTGATGCAAGTGGTTGGGGATGTGGGCTGCTGAGCCTCAGGGATCCATGCGGCTGAGCGTTGGGGATACAAGCTGCTGAGGCTCGGGGATCCATGCGGCTGAGCGTCGGAGACTGTGGATAGATGTGGCTAACTTCAGGCGGTGCAGCTTCTGGGAAGGATCACCTTCTTCCCATACCATCCCCTTTCCAATTCCCCATCCCGCTCAGAGCCACTTTTATTGTCCAATAAAGTCTTCCACATACACTACCCTTCAAACAGTTCATGTGACCTGATTCTTCCTGGATGCCGAACAAGAACTCGGGTGTCAAAAAGGGCAGGTGCAGGAGGCTGTCACCCTGACCCTTTGCTGAGCTGTTAACACTTAGGCCATCACTTCAGGCTGAGTGAAACGAGTCACTTCAGTTCCTTCCTATGAAGGGGGTCAAGGGAACTATCCTGTCTCAAAACCAGGGTGTACTTCGTGATGAGAAACTGATGCTCTGAAGCAGAACAAATACACCCTTTCAACATCTCGTGGCTTATTTATTAGAAATGACTTTTAGGGTTTTTTTTTTCCCCCTAGGAGTAATTGATGTCCTTTGAGTCTGGGTCTCTTCTCCTCCTGTCCCCGCTGGCAGCAGAACTGGGTTCATTTTCCTTTTCCTGCAGCGCTCCAGGAAGAGCTGCCAGCCTTTGGGATGGATACAGATAATATATTCTTTTGAAGCACAGGCATTTTTATTGTTATTCAAATCTTTAAAATGTTAGTCTATTGAATTTGGAACTTGGATCAGATGGGGCCCCGGGACCAGTTCTTTTCTTTTCTCCTCCCCTCTCTCCCTTCCTGTTCCCCAAGTCGAGTTTTCCCTTCTATTAGCCTCACCAGATGCCAGTTCCTCTCTCTCTCTCTCTCTCTCTCTCTCTCTGTGTGTGTGTGTGTGTGTGTGTGTGTGTGAGAGAGAGAGAGAGAGAGAGAGAGAGACAGGGAGAGAGAGAGAGAGAGAGATTTTCTGTTTCTGATCTCTGTCTATTTCAGTGTCAACTTCAGCAGTGTTGACATTTGGGGGCTTTGTTGTGTGTGGGGAGCTATCCTGTGCACTGTAGATGTTCAGCGGCTTCCCTGGCCTCCACTCACTAGATGCCAGGAGCACCCCTTCCACCTCCAAGTTGTGAGCCCCTCTCCCAAGTGTCTCTAGACATTGCTGAGGGAGCCCTGGGAGGCACAGTCGCTCCCAGCTGAGAAGGAGTCTGTTCTCTTCTGCATCTCCCGTTAGCTTTGTCCCTGGTGATCATAAGCCAGTAACTGGGGACTGAACTGTCCTCGAGGCTGGGAACTCAAGGCCACACTGCATCACCCCACCTTTCTCTGATTCGGGGCAGCCTCCTCAGCTCCTCCAGGCCAATCTGGGGGATGGAACTCTGATCTGGCAAAGAGTGGGAATGAAGAGAGGGACCAGAAAGAGCTTTCTGCTAAGTGCTCCCGTTGTGGGCCCTGGAGCATGCACAGTGATCCGGGCCTGGTTAAAACTGGAGCTACAAGACCAGGCATGATGGTTCACATCTGTAATCCCAGCACCCTTGGAAGCAGACGAAGGCACATTGCTTGAGCCCAGAGTTTGAGACCAGCCTGGGCAACGAGGAGAAACCCCATCTCTATGAAAAATGTAAAAACTGGCGGGGCATGATGGCGCCTGCCTGTGGTCCCAGCACTTGGGAGGCTGAGGTGGGGGCATCGAGGCTGCAGTGAGCTGTGATTGCGCCACTGCACTCCAGCCTGAGCGACAGAGCGAGCCTCTGTCTGAGAAAACCAACAAAAACCATCTGGAGCTTCCTGGGCTCACCTCCAGCCTCTGGTGATCCATTTGAGGCCATTGTTTTGGGCTTTGAAAACATTCAAGTGATAGTGTTGTGTGTCCCATGTCCAGGATTCCAAAATGTGCCTCAGTAGGTGACTGTCCACTCTGCATGGGCTGCCTGCCTGTCGCTCTCAGGACCCTGCCTTTGCGAATGTCCATTCCATAAGGGCCGAGGGTCTCCTGAGTTTTTATGGCTTGGGCTCTGGCCTGTACCCTACTCAGTTATTTGGGACCAATCACATATAAATTCTAAGCTATTAGGCTGTAGCAGGAGAACATCATTGGCCGGGCGTGGTGGCTCACGCCTGTAATCCCAGCACTTTGGGAGGCCGAGGCAGGCAGATCACAAGGTCAGGAGATGGAGACCATCCTGGCTAATATGGTGAAACCCCGTGTCTACTAAAAATACAAAAAATTAGCTGAGCGTGGTGGCGGGTGCCTGGAGTCCCAGCTACTTGGGAGGCTGAGGCAGGAGAATGGCGTGAACCCAGGAGGCAGAGCTTGCAGTGAGCCGAGATCACACCACTGCACTCCAGCCTGGGCAACAGAGCGAGACTCTGTCTCAAAAAAAAAAAAAAAAAAAAAAGAAGGAGAACATCATTGTTCTCAATCCTGAATTCTCGGGCTAGAGCCCTGTGAATTAGATGAACAAAAGACTGGTGAGTAAGAGAAAAACAAATTCATGGACACGGGCATCAAATTTCCACTCGAGAGCACTCAGCCATGGGAGTGGTTAGAACTTGGGCTTCTAGAGCAGTGTTTCCCAACCTTTTTGGCACCAGGAACTGGTTTTGTGGAAGACAATTTTTCCACGGACGGGGCAGAGTGGGGGATGGTTATGGGATGATGCAAGCATGTAACATTTATTGTGCATATTATTTCTATTATTATTACATTGTAATATATAATGCAATAATTATACAACTCACCATGATGTAGAATCAGTGGGAGCCCTGAGCTTGTTTTCCTGCAACTAGATGGTCCCATCTGGGGATGATGGGAGACGGTTGACAGATCATCAGGGATTCGGTTCTCATAAGGAGTGGCCAGGTGAGGTGGCTCACGCCTGTAACTCAGCACTTTGGGAAGCCAAGGCGGGCGGATCATTTGAGGTCAGGAGTTCGAGACCAGCCTGGCTAACATGGTGACCACCCTGTCTCTACTAAAAATACAAAAAGTAGCCGGTTGTGGTGGCGCATGCCTGTATTCCCAGCTACTTGGATGGCTGAGGCAGGAGAATGACTTGAACCCGGGAGGTGGAGGTTGCAGAGCTGAGATGGCACCACTGCACTCCAGCCTGGGCGACAGAGCAAGACTCTGTGTCAAAGAAAAAAAAAAAAAAAGATTCTCGACCAGGCGCGGTGGCTCACGCCTCCTGTAATCCCAGCACTTTCGGAGGCCGAGGTGGGCGGATCATGAGGTCAGGAGATCGAGACCATTCTGGGCGACAGATCAAGACTCCGTCAAAAAAAAAAAAAAAAAAAAGATTCTCATGAAGACTGCACCACCTAGATCCCTCGCATGTGTAGTTCACAATAGGGTTCGAGCTATGACGATCTAATGGGGCCACTGATCTGGCCGCTGATCTGACAGGAGGCGGAGCTCAGGCAATAATGCAAATGATGGGGAGCAGCTGTAAATAACAGATGCAGCTTCACTTGTCTGCCTGCTGACACCTCCTGCTGTGTGGCCTGGTTCCTAAAGGGCCAGGAACTGGTATGGGGACCCCTGTTCTGTAGCCTTTTCACAAAAGAACAATACTTTGTAGAGAAGTGACAAGAGAAAGGAAAGTGACTTTGGAGTTTCTGGGGCGGCGAATTGTGGAAACACAGCTATATTGGGGAAAGTAATGGTGGGAGGGGCTTATTACTCAGGTTTGCTGTGTAGATACCTCCAGGCTGATGAGGGGCTAGACTTGTTCCAGGGATTAGCTCCTGTCCTTCCTGGTAGAGAGGGGGAAGGGACACCTTGACAAATGTATGTCCTGCTTTTAGGTAAATAGAGGGACAGCAGGGAGCTTTTCTGGTATCTGCTTCTTCTCGATTGCCTAAAATAATAAGGCAATTGCCTTAAATAATAATGAGCTTAAAATAATCCTTATGCCTACGTGGCATATTTTGGGGTGGTGTATGCTGCTACCCTTCAAGGCGAGCAGTGCTGCCCTAGAAACCCTCGTCCCTCTGTCCCACGTGTGGGCAGACTCGCTATCCCGGACACCGCACACAACACTCCCTCCCTGCAGACGCCTCTCCGCAGCGTGCTCACCTCCCTCTCCCTGAATTGCCACGTGTGGCCCTGCCTGCCTTCCCCAAGTGAGCTGTGAAGTGGCTGCTCTGATGTCCCTCAGCCCTGAAGGTCTCAGATGTCAAGCCCTTCTTTCGGGATGGTGGTGGGGGGGCGCCCACAGTGTGTGTTGAAGGCGGCAGAATGGCAGAATGGAAATGGATCTTAGTCCATTTTAAGTTGCTTATAACAGAATCCCTGAAACTGGGTTATTTATAAGAAATGCATTTTATTTCTTGCAGTTCTGGAGGCTGGGAAGTCCAAGATCAGGGAGCCACATACGGTGAGGGCCTTCTTGCTGGTGGGGTCTCTCTGCAGAGGCCTGAGGTGGCCCAGGGCATCACATGGGGAGGGTTTGAGTCGGCTAGCTCAGGTCTCTCTTCCTCTTCCTATAAAGCCACCAGGCCTGGCCGGGCGCAGTGGCTCACGCCTGTAATCTCTCAATACTGCCCCATTGAGGATTAAATTTCAACATGAATTTTGGAGGGGACAAATATTCAAACCACAACAGGATCTCACATTAGTGTGGACAGGCAGACCTGATTTGAATCCAGATTCTGCCACTTACGAGCAGTGTGACCTTGAACATGTTACTTCCCCTCTTAGAGCCTCCATTTTCTGCAAAATAGGGATATACCACCCGGTGGCCTTTATAGCTTATATGACACCCACACGGGATCTTTTTTTTTTTTTTTTTTTTTTTTCGAGATGGAGTCTTGCTCTGTCACTCAGGCTGGAGTGCATTGGTGTGATCTCAGCTCACTGCAACCTCTGCCTCCTGGGTTCAAGTGATTCTCCTGCCTCAGCCTCCCAAGTAGCTGCACGCCACCATGCCCAGCTAATTTTTGTGTTTTTAGTGGAGATGGGGTTTCAACAGGTTGCCCAGGATGGTCTGGATCTCTTGACTTCGTGATCTGCCCCCCTCCCCCCGCCGCCTCCGAAAGTGCTGGGATTACAGGCATGAGCCACCACACCTGGCCTGGGATCATTTTTTAACACTTCCTCTTCTTTTTAAAACATATATAATTTCCATAATGTACAATTCACTTCACTCATTTAAAGTGTACAATTTTTTGGCATATTTCATTATTAAAACATTTGTGGCAAAATACATATAACATTAAATTCACCATTTTGGCCATTTTCAAGTGTACACATCAGTGGCATTAATTACATTAACCTCTCCTCTTCTATATGACAAAATTATCTTCCGTAGTAGTCTTATAATAGTAAAAATAACTATTTTATTGTTCTTTAGCTTTAAAACAAATGATTAACAACGGAAAGAGAAGATATTTCAATTTTTTAAATTTTTCTTGAGACAGGTTTTTACTCTGTTGCCCAGGCTGGAGTTCAGCGTCACAATCTCAGCTCACTGCAGCCTTGACCTCCCGGGCTCAAGCCATCCTCCCACCTCAGCCTCCTGAGTAACTGGGACTACAGACATGCACCACCACACCCAGTTTGAGATGTTGTTGGATAATCTGTAATTAGATAGCAGAAAACAATTAGAATTTATTTTTATTTTTATTTTTTAGACGGAGTCTTGCCCTGTCGCCCAGGCTGGAGTGCAGTGCTGTGATCTCAGCTCACTGCAACTTCTGCCTCCTGGGTTCAAGCGACTCTCCTGCCTCAGCCTCCTGAGTAGCTGGGATTACAGTTGCCCACCACCATGCCTGGCTAATTTTTGTATTTTTAGTAGAGACGGGGGTTTCACCATGTTGGCCAGGCTGGTCTCAAACTCCTGACCTCAAGTGATCCACCCGCCTCAGCTTCCCAAAGTGCTGGGATTACAGGCATGAGCCACCGTGCCTGGGCAAAAATTAGAAAAAAAAATTTTTTTAAATGTTATTTGAATTCAATAAAATATTTCATGTGTGAACTAAAATCTGCACTCACCAGACAAAAATGGCACACCTCCCAGGTTCTGCTGCCATGCTGTTCTAACCTGTACACACGTATACAAATTCCAGGTTTTTACTTGCAGACAGGATATCAGAATGAAAGCCACTGAAGTTCCAGTTCTTTGCCATTGGGCTCTCCTTGTTTACATTGCATCTACTGTTGCAGCTCAGGGATACAAACTGCTGCAGGTAGTTGGAGCCCCGAGGAGACAGAGCAGCAATAATCCACACCGGCTGGGAACCTACTTACAAAACAAAGGTGCGTAGCTGTGTGCCTGGGGCTTCTCATAATAAACTTCCGTGTAGAAGACAATTTTTTTTTTGTTTGCTTGTTTCAGTTTTTTTTTTTTTTTTTTTTTTTTTTTTTTTTTGAGACAGGATCTCCCTCTGTGGCCCAGACTGGAGTGCAGTGGTGCCATCTCAGTCCAGTGCAACCTCTGCTTCCCGGGTTCAAGCGATTCTCCTGCCTTGGCCTCCCAAGTAGCTAGGATTACAGGAACGTGCCTCCGCGCCTGGCTAATTTATTTTTTGTAGAGATGGGCTGTCACCATGTTGGCCAGGCTGGTCTCTACATCCTGGGTTCCAGCAATCCTGCAGCCTCCATCTCCCAATATGCTGGGATTACAGAGGTGAGTCACTGACCTGGGCCACAGTGTTTACTAAAGAAGAAACAGCCACGTGCTAATCTGAAGGGCATGTATATATTATTAGAGCCCAACAGGAAGCGCAGCAGCTGTTTAGAACTTAGACCAAGGAAAGATTGTTTGGGGGTGGAGTATTGCATGGCTCATGTTGACAATAAAAAACAGACCAGCTTGTGCTTGGTTTTATTCTTGTTTTTAAGTTCTTTTTTCTTTTTAGAGACTGCTGTGCCACCTAGGCTGGAGTGCAGTGGCGTGATCATAGCTCACGGCAGCCTCCAACTGCTGGGGTCAAGTGATCCTCCCACCTCAGCCTCCCAAGTAGCTGGGACCACAGGCACACGCCACCATGCCTAGCTACTTTTTTTTTTTTTTTTGGTACAGTTGGGGTCTCGCCTTGTTGCCCAGGCTGATCTCAAACTCCTGGGCTCAATCAGTCCTCTTATCTCAACCTGCCAGAGTGCTGTGATTACAGGCATGAGCTACCATTTCTGGTCTTTACCCTTTTTATAGATAATGTGGCCCCTTATTGTCTGCACCAGGCGGTCTACTCCCACCACCCCACTAGGCTGGAGGAGGACTAGCATTGATGTGCACCATGCAGAATGGACAGTTGCTACAGAATTCATGCCTGTATTATGATTAACATGGGCCCATGCTGCCTATTTAGGAATTTCTGCATTTCTAGTCTTGTGTGTGGTCCTCATTCAAGCATAAATTAGCGTGTCCCCTCTAAAAAGACCCTTCTCCAACAGGACAAGAATATGGAATTTTCGACAGTTGAGCCTGCTGCTATTTTTCGATGTAATTTGCTGGGGAAGAAAGAGTAGCCCACATGGCTCTGAGTCTTCTGCTCGGGGGATATCAGCAGAAGCGCCAGTCAGATCCCCTTTTTATTAAAATCCTCAAAGTAAATTCCACCGACGAAGTGTCCACACATTACAGAGAGTATCGGAACAGCCAGGCATTTAAAGATGGGCTGGAGGTGGCGCCGGAAGTAGAAGTTTGGAGTTTTAGCTCTGCCCCGGATAATACTGGATGAAATCCCAGCAGAGTCCTTCCTGCCTGGCCCCACCTCCCTCTGCTCACCCCTCCCAGGGAGCCCTACAGCCCGCTTGCTGTGAGCTAGAATCAGATCTGTGCTAGGTTTCCTTCTATCCGTAGCACACCCTGCGGGCTGGACGCTTGCACCCCATTTCGGGGTGAGGAGCTCACAAAGGTTAAGTGAGCAAGTATCTGCGTCTCTAGTGCAAATCTTCCCACTCCTAAGTCCTTCTAGGGCACCCCATGCTTGAATTGTGCGTGTGCACGTGTGTATATGTGTATTTGTGTATGTATGTGTATTTGTGTGTATGTGTTTATGTGTGTGTGTATGTGTGTGTTTTTGTGTATGTGTATTTGTGTACGTGTGTATATGTGCATATTTGTGTGTATGTATGTGTATGTGTTTGTGTGTGTGTATTTGTATGTGTATTTGTGTGTATTTGTACGTATATGCGTGTGTATGTGTATTTGTGTGTATATGTATGTGTGTATTTGTGTGTGTATATGTGTGTATATGTGTGTGTACGTGTGTGTATGTATGTATTTGTACGTGTATTTGGGTGTGTGTATGTGTGTGTATGTGTATTTGTGTGTATGTATGTGTGTATGTGTGTGTATTTGTGTGCACATATGTGTATTTGGGTGTGTGTATGTGTGTATGTGTATTTGTGTGTATATGTATGTGTATGTGTATTTGGGTGTGTGTGTATTTGTGTGTACATGTATGTGTATGTGTATTTGGGTGTGTGTATGTGTGTATGTGTATTTGTGTGTATATGTATGTGTATTTGGGTGTGTGTCTACGTGTGTGTATATTTGTGTGTGTTTGTGTGTATGTGTATTTGGGTGTATGTGTATTCGGGGTATGTGTGTATTTGGGTGTGTGTGTATGTGTGTACGTGTGTATATGTGCGTGTGTATGTGTGTATTTGTGTGTATGTATATGTGTGTATGTGTGTTTGTGTGTATTTGTATGTATAAGTGTGTGTGCATATGTATGTATATGTACTTGTGTGTAATGTGTGTGTATTTGTGTGTGTGTATGTGTATTTGTGTGTGTATATGTATGTGTGCGTGTGTGCTTGTGTGTGTGAGAGTGAGAGTTCCTAGTACCTCTCACACGACCCCCCGCCATGGCCAGTTTCCCAGGTTTGTTTTCTACTCCTTGATTGTCGGTTGTTGGCTTTGTTTGGTCTCTTTGGGGTCCTCCTCTCACTGCACCCCACTCCTGGGCCCTGTTTGAGCTTCCTGAGTCTGCCATAAGAAATGACCACAGCCTGGGTGCCTGCATCAGTAGGACCACAGGGTTGGTTCCTTCTGGTGGCCCTGACTCTGTCCTAGACTCCAGGGCCCCCAGCAACCCTGGGTGCTCCCCGACTTGTGGCTGCATCACTCCAGTCTCTGCCTCCATTGTCACGTGGCGTTCTTGTGTGTCCCTGTCCACATTTCTCTCTTCTTAGAGGTCATTGGAGTGAACGGCTCACCCTAATCCTGTATGACCTTTTTAAACGTTAACTAAAGACATCTGCAAAGACTCTTTCCGAATAAGGGCCTATTCTGAGGTTCTAGGTGGACATGAATTTTGGTACATGCGCCCACCCATCCCGATTCTCATCCCAAAACCTCTTGGTAACCCTCTGCAGGCAAAGGGCCCAATGAGACACCCTCCAGAGCGCCAGGGCAGTGTAGCCAGGGGGCCGTCTAAATCGAATGGCGCACAGAACCAGAGGGCGGGGGGACGTGGCCATCCACCGGGAGAGGGGATGAAAAGGGAGCGGCCGGATGGGTGCGGGTGAAGCGCCCAGGGCTAGGATGCAAACCCAGCGAGGGAGCTGGAGACAATTTTTCCTGTGGCTTCTGCTTGTGATGCAGGAGGAGGGGGTGCGATGAGCTCAGAGACAGCTGGGCAGGATGCGATGCCGGGAACATTCTCCAAGAGTGGGTAGCTCTCTGCTCAGATCTGCATTTGGGGTCGTGGGAGAAGTGCCGCGCTAGCTACTGCGGTGGTTTTCAACCGCACACCCAGACGCCTTACATCAGAATCGCCGAGGGTGGGGCTCAGGCCCCGGGACTTCAAAATCTCTGCAGGTGGTTGTGTTGTGCAGTGGAAGACTGAGGATTTCTGAGCCCGCTTCCCCGCAGGACAGGCACGTTTCCCTGGAGAGGGTGACCAGGGTAGGCTCTGCAGACAAGCAACCTTGAATAGCCCTTTCTCAAGACGAATATTCACCTCCACACAGCTCAGGGCAGGGGCTTGGGGTTGCAGGGGCAGTAACTCATAGAGTACATGGGGGGCATGGGTGGAGGGGGGTCGCTGCTGAAATACTGTCCTCGGGACCTGTCCCTGACAGCCCTGTTTCTCTCCGATTACCCCAGTGACTGCAGCGATAAATCCTGTTCACAGGATCTGGGTGCCTGACAGACTGGAGGGATCCGTCACAGCTACGCTGTCCTGCCCCAGCCGTTAGCAGCCTCCTCTCTCAGTGGGCTCCACACCTGTTTCTCCCTCTGGCATGTCCCCCCTTCCTTCAGATGAACCCCGTGGGAGAGGTGACATTGCTTGCCCTAACACACTGTATTATGAAATGCATTGCATACTCCCCGAAAATTCTCATGTCGAAGTCCTGACCCGCTGTACCTCAGTGTGGGACTGTATTTGAGACAGGGTTTTTAGAGAGATGATTCCATTAACCAACCTAATTGGGTGGGCCCTAATCCAATAGGATTAGTGTCCTTAGAAGAAGAGGTGATTGGCCGGGTGCGGTGGTTCATGCCTGTAATCCCAGCACTTTGGGAGGCCAAGGCGAGTGGATTACCTGAGTCAGGAGTTCGAGACCAGCCTGACCAACATGGTGAAACCCGGTCTCTACTAAAAATACAAAAATTAGCCGGGTATGGTGGCGGGTGCCTGTAATCCCAGCTACTTGGGAGTCTGAGGCAGGAGAATCGCTTGAACCCGGGAGGTGGAGGTTGCAGTGAGCCCAGATTGCACCACTGTACTCCAGCCTGGGCAACAGAGGGAGACTCCGTCTCAAAAAAAAAAAAAAAAAAAAAAAAGGAATAACAAGAGGAAGAAGACGAAGAGGTGAAGACATAGGGAAAAGGCGGCCATCTACAAGCCAAGGAGAGAGGTCTCAGAAGAAACCAATTCTGCTGACACCTTGATCCTGGTCTCCTAGGCTTCAGGATTGTCAGAAAATAAATGTCTGTTGTTTAAACCACCCAGACTGTGGTCTTTTGTTATGACAATGTAAGCAAAGCAATAGACATGCCGGGTGCGGTGGCTCATGCCTGTAATCCCAGTGCTTTAGGAAGTCAATTTGGGAGGATGGCTTGAGCCCAGGAGTTTGAGGCAGCAGTGAGCTATGATCATGCCACTGCACTCCAGCCTGGGTGACAACAGCGAGACCCTGTCTCAAACAAAAGAAAACAAAACAACAACAAAAACACACAAAATAACAAACCAATAGACAGTCCCACTCTGCCCCTGGGGATTTTTGATTTAGCACCCATCCAAGTGATCATTTGCAAACTTTCTTTCTTTTTTTTTTTTTTTTTTTGTAGCCCAGAGGTCCTTTATTTTTTTTTTTTAACACCTATTATTCCATGAATTCATAGGGAATAGGTTCCAGCAGCTCAGGCTCCTTCCCATTGGTTCTCACAAAGTGTGCTACTCTGGGTGGAGCAGGCTGGCGCTTTAGTTGAACCCAGGTACCTTTCTCTTTGGCTTCTTTCTTTTTCTGATCATTTTCCTTCACACGTTTCAGGAAGCTATCTCGGCTCTTAGAGTGCTTAATGTGCTCAATACGCACATTAATTCTCTTGGCAAGAATCTTGCCCTTAACTTGTTTGTTTACAACAATGCCAACAGCATGCTGGGTAACATTGTAGACTCTTCCAGTTTTGCCATGGTAACACTTGTGGGGCATTCCTTTTTGAACAGTACCCATTCCCTTGATGTCTACAATATCACCTTTCTTATAGATTCGCATATATGTGGCCAAAGGAACAACTCCATGTTTTCTAAAAGGCCTAGAGAACATATATCGGGTGCCTCTCCTTTTTCCCTTTGTGTTTGTCATTTTGGCGAATTACTGGAAGATGGCAGTTCCGGCCGAAAGGCTGCAAACTTTATTTCTTAAGCCACGGAGCCCTCTTTTTTTTTTTTTAGACTTGCTCTGCTGCCCAGGCTGGAGTGCAGTGGTGCGATCTCAGCTTACTGCAACCTTCTCTTCCCGGGTGCAAGACAATCTCCTGCCTCAGCCTCCTGAGTAGTTGGGATTACAGGCACCTGCCATCATGCCTGGCTAATTTTTGTATTTTTGTAGAGGTGGGGTTTCACCATGTTGGCCAGGCTGCTCTTGAACTCCTGACCTCAGGTGATCCTCCCACCCCAGCCTCCCAAAGTGCTGGGATTACAGGCATGAGCCACCACGCCCGGCCCCATGCAGGCTTCTTTTCCAATGAAACCTTATCTGACAGGTCAATGAATGGAACAGATAAAAGCAGGCTTGTTCTGATGGATTGAAGTGGTGGGAGGGGCTGTGTGGCTTCACAAGTTGACATCCTTATTCTATTCTCCCCTCACCTCCTTCGGCCCCTGTGCTTTCCACAGGGGACAGTTTAAAACCCACTGTAGCAGAGTTTTATACCAATTTTGCAGAACTGTCAGTCTGGGGCTGGCTGGAGTAATCCCCGCAGGAAAATGTGAAGCCTGTTACCTCACTTCATTGAGCACACCCTTCCTTCCCTCGTGGTATCATGATTATGTTTCAGGCTTTTATTGTTACAGAGATAATCAGTCTGAGGGATTGATTCCCAATCAATGTTAGGAGAAACAGTCTAGGATACAATACGGGATTTGCAGTCAGACACCGGAGCTCAAGTCTGTCCTCCCTCATTCACTAGCTGAGCGCCCTGGGCAAGTCACCTGACCTCCATTAGCCACAGGTGAATCATCTGTAAAATGGAAACATACTAAGATTTTGAGCAGGGAGGCAGCTTCGGGTAATCGAATAAACATGAGTTTTGGAGTCAGACAGACTTGAGTTTGACCTCAACCCTGCTGCCTCTTGGCTCTGTGGCCTTGACCTTCCATCTTCTCACCTGTAACTTGTGGGTAATAAGGGCACCTGGAAGGTTGCCTTGGGGATTAGCAAGGTCATGTGTGCAAAGCACCTTGCATAGAAATTGTCTTATAGTTGCTCAACTAAAGCCAGTTCTTTAGTATTTTTTCTTTCTTTCCTTTTTTCTTTGTTTGAGATGGACTTTCGCTCTTTCACCCA
Organism: Homo sapiens; assembly: GCF_000001405.40. Classification (NCBI taxonomy): domain Eukaryota; kingdom Metazoa; phylum Chordata; class Mammalia; order Primates; family Hominidae; genus Homo; species Homo sapiens. The sequence continues at coordinate 9,158,085 of NC_000016.10, forward strand.
GGCTGGAGTGAAGTGGCGCAAGCTCGGCTCACTGCAACCTCTGCCCCCTGGGTTCAAGCGATTCTCCTGCCTCAGCCTCCCAAGTAGCTGGGATTATAGGTGCCTGCCACCACACCCGGCTTATTTTTTTGTATTTTTAGTAGAGATGGGATTTTGTCATGTTGGCCAGGCTGGCCTCGGACTCCTGACCTCAGGTGATCCACCCCGCTCCGCCTCCCAAAGTGCTAGGATTACAAGCTTGAGCCACCACTCCTGGTCTCTTAGTTTCTCTTCTTTTCCCCTCCCCTCCCCTCCCCTTCCCTCCCCTCCCCTTCCCTTCACTTCCCTCCCCTCCCCTTCCCTTCCCTTCCCTTCCCTTCCCTTCCCTGTCCTGCCCCGCCCCTCCCCTCCCTTCCCTTTCTTTCTTGTCTTGCTCTCTCACCCAGGCTGGAGTACAGTGGTGCTATCACAGCTCAGTGCAGCCTTGACCTCTCAGGCTTAAGTGGTCCTCCTACCGCAGCTTCTGGAGTAGCTGGGACCACAGTTATGTGCCACCGTGCCTGGCTAATTTTTGTATTGTTGCTAGAGACAGGATTTCAGATTTCACCATGTTGCCCCAGCTGGTCTCGAACTCCTGAGCTCAAGTGATCTTCCAGCCTCAGCCTCCCAAAGTACAAGGATTCCAGGCATGGTGCCCAGCCTCTTTTTTTTTTTTTTTTTTTTTTTTGTAAGAGACAGGGTCTCGCTCTGTTGCCCAGGCTGGAGTGGTGCAATCATAGCTTACTGCAGCCTCGAACTCCTGGGCTCAATCAATCCTCCTGCCTCAGTCTCTCAAGTAGCTGAGACTACAGGTTTATGCCACCATGCCTGGCTAATTAAAAGAAACAATTCTTTTTTTGTAGAGGCAGGGTCTCACTTTGTTGTCCAGGCTGATCTCAAACTGCTGGGCTCAAGCAATTCTCCTGCCTCAGCCTCCCGAGTAGCTGGGACCACAGGCATGCACCACCACCCACAGCCCAGTTGTCTATTTTTTTATTTTTTATTTTTTATTTCAGATAGAGTTTCGCTCTTGTTGCCCAGGCTGGAGTGCAATGGTGCGATCTCGTCTTACAGCAACCTCCGTCTTCCTGGTTCAAGCGATTCTCCTGCCTCAGCCTACTGAGTAGCTGGGATTACAGGCCGGCTCCACCATGCCTGGCTAATTTGGTATTTTTAGTAGAGATGGGGTTTCTCCATGTTGGTCAGGCTGGTCTTGAACTCCCGACCTCGGCCTCCCAAAGTGTTGGGATTACTGGTGTGAGCCACCATACCTGACCCATACATAAAGTTTTATTGGAATACAGCCACATTCATCATTGACATATCATCTACAGCTGCTTTCTAGATACAAGAGCAGAGTTGAGTCATTTGGACAGAGACTGCATGGCGCACGAAATGAAAAATATTCACTCTCCTTTTACAGAAGTATGCTGATCCCTGGTCTACCAGAAGAAAAAGGAGACTTCAGAGACAACTGGAGGCCGGGCACTGTGGCTCACGCCTGTAATTCCAGCACTTTGGGAGGCCAAGGTGGGAGGATCCTTTGAGGCTAGGAGTTTGAGACCAGCCTGGGCAACAGAATGAGATCCTGTCTCTACAAAAAAGTAAAAACAAAAACGCACTTTATATATGGACATCGAGAGTTGAATTTTGTATACTTTTCACGTGTTACAGAATATTATTCTTTTTTGGGGGGGGAGACAAGATCTCACTCTGTGGCCCAGGCTGGAGTACCAGTGGCACCATCATAGCAGCCTCCACCTCCCATGCTCAAGCAAACTTCCCTCCTTGGCCTCCCTAGTAGTTGTGTCTACAGTTGAGTGCCATCACTCCTGGCTAATTTTTTCATTTTTTGTGGAGGTGGGGTCTTGCTATGTTGCCCAGGCTGGTCTTGAACTCCTGGACTCATACACAGCCAGACTCCTTGCAGCACCCAGGGAACATTTGGTGAACGACCGGGATACTGAAGGTCTCTCTCTCAGAAATACAATTGTGGGAATTAGTGGAGAATATGAATGTGAATGGGCAGGCATAGTGCAGATACTGAAGGTAGTTTTGGAAAGGCTGGCTCATCTTCCAGGGGAACTTGAATCTTTCAAGAGGAGGCGGGGAGACTACGAGTCAGAGAGACCGGAGACTTTGAAGTTCCTGCATTCCCAGCTGCGTTCACTTCTCAGCCATTACCAATTCAGCCAGCAGGGGGCAGCAGGGGATCGCCGTCCTCGGGGAGTCTCAGGACCCAGGTAGCCTCGCCTGCTGCCGCCCAGACAGGAGACAGGAGATGCTGGGAGATGGCCCAGATGACCTCCGAGTGTCTTTGCTGCTGCTTAAATCCCTGTTCGTTTTTGCAGAGGAAGGTAGGGGGATGAGCCGCCTGGAGTCAGCCGGGGGCTCATATTCCCAGAAAGGGAGTGGCTTCCTTTCTCTCAGGAGATGGAAGAAAATGAAAACTCAGCCAGTGCTGCAGGTAGCTGTCACCCTGGCGTTTCAGTGTGTTCTATTTATCCTTCTTTTTGGTTAGTACGTATGTGTTTATAGAGGGATTCATGGGGGCGGGGGCAAGCCAGGGCATTCTTTAATTCAACGCAGACTCATTAAGCACATTGGCAAATACCAGGCAGAAAGAAAATGGTCACGTGGGCCGGGAGCGGTGGCTCACACCTGTAATCCTAGCACTTAGGGAGGCCGAGGCAGGTGGATCACCTGAGATCAGGAGTTCGAGACCAGCCTGGCCAACATGGCGAAACCCCATTTCTACTAAAATGACAGAAATTAGCCGAGCGTGGTGGTGCACGCCTGTGATCCCTGCTACTTGGGAGGCTGAGGCAGAAGAATCGCTTGAACCCAGGAAGTGGAGGTTGCAGTGAGCCGAGATCATGCCACTGCACTCCAGCCTGGGCAACAGAGTGAGACTCCGTCTCAAAAAAAAAAAAAAAAAAAAAAGAAAATTGTCACATGGATCTAGGCTAGGACACTGAGAACCCACAAATGACACCCTCTTAGCCTTTAAAACCTCAAAGGAAGCCGAGAGGCGAGGCTGCCTGACTGCCTCTACGGCTGCCTACGTGGTCTTGGGTGGTGATAAACGTGGTCAGCTCCATGATGCTTAGTGTCCCTCTCTGCAAAACGGGGATGAAAGAAAAGATAACGGACAGGTCCACGTGAGGGTGGTGTTTCTAAAGCACGGTCCCCAGACCACCAACATCAGCGTCTTAGAAAGGCACACTGTGGGGTTGGGGGGCAAGCAACTGGCCCCTAACAAGCCCTCCAGTTGGGTCTCATGGATTATTATTAATATTTTTTGAGACAGGATCTTGCTTTGTTGCCTAGGCTGAAGTCCAGTGGCACAATGACAGCTCATGCAACCTCGACCTCCTGGGCTCAAGCCATCCTCCCGCCTCAGCCTCCTGAGTAGCTGGGACTGCAGGTGTGCACCACCACGCCTGCCTAATTTTTAATTTTTTTTTTTTTTTTTTACAGATGGGGTCTTCCTATGTTGCACAGGCTGGTCTTGAACTCCTGGGCTCAAGTGATCCTCCCAGCTCAGCCTCCCAAAGTGCTGGGATTACAGGCGTGAGCATCCGTGCCTGGCGAGGCTGATGCATTCTTAAGGGCAGGAACCACTGGTATCCTGTAGCTGTTTTCAGCATTGGTTGCACATTGGAGTCAACTGGCTTTTTAAAATCCCTAATGTGTGTGTGGCTGAGGGGCCACCCTAGACCAATTCCATCAGACTAATTACATGCTTTAGGGTTGGGACCATAATTTGTGTGTGTGTGTGTGTTTTGTTTTTGTTTTTGTTTTTTGAGACAAGGCCTCACTTTGTTGCCCAGGCTGCAGTGCAGTGGTGGCATCATAGCTCACTGTAGCCTCGAACTCCTGGGCTCCAGTGATCCTTCTGCCTCAACCTCCCCAGTAGCTGGCGTGTGCCACTGCACCCTGCTAATTTTTAAATTTTTTGTAGAGACAGGGTCTCACTTTGCTGCCAAGGCTGGTCTTGAACTTCTGGCCTCAAGTGACCCTCCCTTCTCAGCCTCCCAAAGTGATGGGATTACAGGCATGAGCCACTGTGCCTGGCCCGTATGTTATTTATTTGTTTTTGAGACAGAGTCTCACTCTGTCGCCCAGGCTGGAGTGCAGTGGCACAATCTTGGCTCACTGCAACCTCCACCTCCCGGGTTCAAGATTCTCCTGCCTCAGGCTCCAGAGTAGCTGGGACTACAGGCATGCCCCACCACGCCTGGGAAATTTTTATATTTTTATTAGAGACAGGGTTTCACCATGTTGGCCAGGCTGATTTCGAACTCCTGACCTCAGGTGATCCACCCGCCTCAGCCTCCCAAAGTGCTGGTATTACAGGCATGAGCCACCATGCCCAGCTTGTTATTTTTAAAGTTCAATATAGTCATGATGATTCCAATATAGCCAAGGTCAAGGCCCAATGATATCATGGAAAATGATTTTGGGCTCAGCCAGACCCTTAGTTCAAATCCCAGCTTTGACACTTACTGGTTGTTTGACCCTGGGCAAGGCACAGTACTTCTCTGACCCACAATTTCTCTTCTGTAAAACCAGGATAATCTTTCCTCCCTTGCGGATTTATTTATTAATAAATTGTTTAACGATGGAACTAGGAAAGTATTTGAGTGTCCCATGCATGGAAGCATCTGGAACAATGCCTGGGACCTAGTGAGTGTTTAGCCCATGAAAGTTCCCCTTCCCTGCTCTCTGCTGTTGAACTGTGGGGTTTTCTAGAACAGGGACCACATCATATTTTTCTCTGCATCCTCAAGAAGCAATCAATTCCTTGTTTATACCACAGCCCTGGGGGAGAGCTGGGAAGTGAGTGTCTGACATGAATAACAGCTGGATTTCTTTTTTTTTCTTTTTGAGACAGTCTCACTCTGTCACCCAGGCTGGAGTGCAGTGGCATGGTCTCTACTCACTGCAACCTCCGTTTCCCAGGTTCAAGCGATTCTCCTGCCTCAGCCTCCTGAATAGTTGGGACTACAGGCACCCACCACCACACCTGGCTAATTTCTGTATTTTTAGTAGAGTTGGTGTTTCACCATGTTGGTCAGGCTGGTCTTGAACTCCTGACCTCAGGTGACCCACCTGCCTCGGCCTCCCAAAGTGCTGGGATTACAAGCATGAGCCAACATGCCTGGCCTTAACTGCTGGATTTCTTTTCTTTTCTTTTTTTTTTTATATGGAGTTTCACTCTTGTTGCCCAGGCTGGAGTGCAGTGGTGTGATCTTGGCTCACTGCAACCTCTACCACCTGGGTTCAAGCAATTCTCCTGCCTCAGCCTCCCAAGTAGCTGGGATTACAGGCATGTGCCACCACACCTGGCTAATTTTTTGTATTTAATGGAGACAGGGTTTCACCATGCTGGTCAAGCTGGTTTCAAACTCCTGACCTCAGGTGATCCACCCGCCTTGGCCTCCCAAAGTGCTGGGATTACAGGCATGAGCCACCGCACCCGGCTCCGGATTTCTTACCTTACGGTCTTGCTGGACTGGGGTGATCTTTCTTTGCCTTGTCCTAACTCAGGTGAGTCCTGATGTCTGTTTAAATTAAACATGCCTGGCTGGGCGCTGTAGCTCACGTCTCTAATCCCAACAATTTGGGAGGCTGAGGTGGGGAGATCCCTGAGGTCAGGAGTTTGAGACCAGCCTGGCCAACATGGTGAAACCCCGTCTCTCCTAAAAATACAAAAATTAGCCAGGTGTGGTGGCAGGCACCTATAGTCCTGATTACTTGGGAGGCTGAGGCAGGAGAATCGCTTGAGCCTGGGAGGCAGAGGATGCAGTGAGCCAAGATCAGGCCACTGAACTCCAGCCTGGGTGACAGAGCGAAACTCCATCTCAAAAAAAAAAGCCCGCCTGTAATCCCAGCACTTTGGGAGGCCGAGACGGGCGGATCACGAGGTCGGGAGATCGAGACCATCCTGGCTAGCGCGGTGAAACCCCGTCTCTACTAAAAATACAAAAATTAGCCGGGCATGGTGGTGCGCGCCTGCGGTCCCAGCTACACGGGAGGCTGAGGCAGGAGAATGGCGTGAACCCGGGAGGCGGAGCTTGCAGTGAGTCGAGATCGCGCCACTGCACTGCAGCCTGGGCGACAGAGCGAAACTCCGTCTCAAAAAAAAAAAAAAAAAAAAAAAGCCCAAAGTCCGCTTGACTTTTAGGAATCTATCCTGATACAAGCACAATCACCAGCATGTGAAGATATGTGTGCAAAGATATTACTGTGTTGTTTGCCTTGGAAAAAGTTGGAAAGACAAATTATCAATAGGTAAATAATAGAATAAACTATAGCACATGCAGTGTTATGGAAACCATGAACTATGAAAAAGAACTGGGTAGTTCTATGTGTAGAGATCTGGAAAGAGATGGACTGCCCAGTGTTAAGTGAAAAAGTAAATTGCTAAATCATGTCTGTATCATGATTCCTTTTTTGTCAGAGGTGGCAAGAGGTTCCATATTATGTGTACTGTATGCTTATTTGTGTGTGTTTTTGTGGGCATAAGGAAAAACATGGAAGAATATACTCCAGGCTGTTTGAATTGGTTACCTTGTGGGATTAGACAGAGGGGAGATTGACTCATTTATTCATGGGGGAGTGTGGTGGTCCATGCCTTTTATCCCAGCACTTTGGGAGGCTGATGTGGGAGCATCACTTGAGCCCAGGAGTTTGAGACCAGCCTGGGCAACGTAGTGACACTACAAAAATTACAAAGAATTAGCTGGATGTGGTGGTACATGCCTGTGGTTTCAGCTACTCGGGAGGTTGGGGTGGGAGGATCACTTGAGCCTGGGAGGTCGAGGCTGCAGTCAGCCATGGCACCACTGCACTGCACTTCAGCTTGGGTTACAAGAACAAGACTTTGTTTCAAAAAAAAAAAAAAAAAAAAAAAAAGATGGGGCGTGGTGGCTCACGCCTGTAATCCCAGCACTTTGGGAGGCTGAGGCCGAGGATCACTTGAGGTCAGGAGTTAGAAACCAGCCTGGCCGACATGGTGAAACTCCATCTCCACTGAAAATACAAAATTTAGTCGGGCTTGGTTGCAGGTGCCTGTAATCCCAGCTACTTGGGAGGCTGAGGCTCAAGAATTGCTTGAACCTAAGGGTGGAGGTTGCAGGGAGTGGAGATCGTGCCACTGCACTCCAGCCTGGGTGACAGAGCGAGATTCTGTCTCAAAAAAAAAAAAAAAAAGAAAGAAAGAAATTCATTTACTCATTTATATTTTGATCTCAGTAATATTCTTTGCTGTCCACTGTGCGCCAGGCACTGTTTTAGCCCTGGGGAAAAAACACAATCGACATAGACCAAGTCCCTGCCATCATGAAGCAAGAGTGTTGGTGACTGTCCTGGTTTGCCTGGGACCATTCTGGCTTCAGCAGTGCGGGTCCAGTGTCCCAGGCAGCTTCTCAGTCCCGGGCCAACAGGAGCAACCTGTCGTCCTATGGAGCTTGCATTTTACCACGAGAGACACACATAGGGGAGCGGGGCAGATATTTTGCTGGTAAAAGCGCCATCTTGGAGCCCTTCTAATCCGCTTCCAGTGAGGATAACCCTGTTGCCCCGGGCCGAGGTTCTCCATTAGGCTCTGATTGATTGGCAGTCAGTGATGGAAGGGTGTTCTGAGCATTCCGACTGCCCCAAGGGTCGCTGGCCAGCTCTCTGTTTTGCTGAGTTGGCAGTAGGACCTAATTTGTTAATTAAGAATAGATGGTGAGCTGTCCTTGTATTTTGATTAACCTAATGGCCTTCCCAGCACGACTCGGATTCAGCTGGAGACATCACGGCAACTTTTAATGAAATGATTTGAAGGGCCATTAAGAGGCACTTCCCGTTATTAGGCAGTTCATCTGCACTGATAACTTCTTGGCAGCTGAGCTGGTCGGAGCTGTGGCCCAAACGCACACTTGGCTTTTGGTTTTGAGATACAACTCTTAATCTTTTAGTCATGCTTGAGGGTGGATGGCCTTTTCAGCTTTAACCCAATTTGCACTGCCTTGGAAGTGTAGCCAGGAGAATACACTCATATACTCGTGGGCTTAGAGGCCACAGCAGATGTCATTGGTCTACTGCCTGAGTCCCGCTGGTCCCATCCCAGGACCTTCCATCGGCGAGTACCTGGGAGCCCGTGCTGCTCCGCACTGGGCTGTCTTTGCTGGAACTGCTAGGGAGGGAGGCATTTTGGGTTGAATTGTGACCCCACAAAATGTGGAAGTCCTGGCTGGGCACGGCAGCTTACGCCTGTAATCCCAGCACTTTGGGAAGCCAAGGTGGGTGGATCACTTGAGGTTAAGAGTTCAAGGTCAGCCTGGGCAAAATGGTGAAACCCCGTCTCTACAGAAAATACAAAAATTAGCTGGGCGTCGGCTGCCCCGTCTGGGAAGTGAGGAGCACCTCTGCCCGGCCGCCCCGTCTGGGAGCCTTTCTGCAGGTGTACCCAACAGCTCCGAAGAGACAGCGACCGTCGAGAACGGGCCATGATGACGATGGCGGTTTTGTCGAAAAGAAAAGGGGGAAATGTGGGGAAAAGAAAGAGAGATCAGATTGTTACTGTGTCTGTGTAGAAAGAAGTAGACATAGGAGACTCCATTTTGTTCTGTACTAAGAAAAATTCTTCTGCCTTGGGATGCTGTTAACCTGTAACCTTACCCCCAACCCCGTGCTCTCTGAAACATATGCTGCGTCAACTCAGGGTTAAATGGATTAAGGGCGGTGCAAGATGTGCTTTGTTAAACAGATGCTTGAAGGCAGCTTGCTCGTTAAGAGTCATCACCACTCCCTAATCTCAAGTACCCAGGGACACAAACACTGCGGAAGGCCGCAGGGACCTCTGCCTAGGAAAACCAGAGACCTTTGTTCACGTGTTTATCTGCTGACCTTCTCTCCACTATTATCCTATGACCCTGCCAAATCCCCCTCTCCGAGAAACACCCAAGAATGATCAATAAATACTAAAAAAAAAAAAAAAAAAAAAAAAAAAAATTAGCTGGGCATTGTGGCACATGCCTGTAATCCCAGCTACATGGGAGGCTGAGGCAGGAGAATCACTTGAACTAGGAAGGCGGAGATTGTAGTGAGACGAAATCGCACCACTGCACTCCAGCCTGGGTGACATAGCGAGCCGCTGTCCCAAAAAAAAAAAAAAAAAACAAAAAACTGTGGCAGTCCTAATCTTTGCACTTGTGAATTTGACTTTATTAGGAAATAGGGTCTTTGTAGACCCTATTTGTAGAGGCAGGGTCTCACTTTGCTGCCAAGGCTGGTCTTGAACTCCTGGCCTCAAGTGACCCTCCCTTCTCAGCCTCCCAAAGTGATGGGATTACAGGCATGAGCCACTGTGCCTGGCCTTTATGTTATTTATTTATTTATTTATTTTTGAGACAGAGTCTCACTCTGTCGCCCAGGCTGGAGTGCAGTGGCACAATCTTGGCTCACTGCGACCTCCACCTCCCAGGTTCAAGATTCTCCTGCCTCAGGCTCCAGAGTAGCTGGGACTACAGGCATGCACCACCACACCCAGCTAATTTTTGTATTTTTAGTAGCGATTGCACCTGGTCCAAATTTCCCTTTTTTTTTGTTTTTTTTTGACATGGAGTCTCGCTCTGTTGCCCAGGCTGGAGTGCAGTGGTGCGACCTCACCCCATCCAATTTGACTAATGTCTTATTGATTGATTTTTTATTTTTTAGAGGCAGAGTCTCATTCCATTGCCCAGGCTGGAGTGCCATGGTACAATCTCAGCTCACTACAGCCTTGAACTCCTGGGCTCAAGCAGTATTCTCACCTGAGTGTGCTAAGTAGCTGGAACTACAGGGATGTGTCACCATGCCTGGCTTTTTTATTTGCTTGTTTTTTTGTAGAGTAGGGAGTCTTGAACACCTGGCCTCAAGCGATCCTCCTGCCTCGGCCTTCCAAAGTTCTAGGATTACAGGCATGAGCCACTGTGCCTGGCCCCCCACCCCAGTGTCCTTATAAAAATGGAAGTTCTGGCTGGGCGTGGTGGCTCATGCTTGTAATCCCAGCACTTTGGGAGGCTGAGGTGGGTGGATCACCTGAGGTCAGGAGTTCGAGACCAGCCTGGCCAACATGGTGAAACCCCGTCTCTACTAAATATACAAAAAATTAGTCTGGCATGGTGGTGCATGCCTGTAACCCCAGCTACTTGGGAGGCTGAGGCAGGAGAATTGCTTGAACTCGGGTGGGGGAGGTTGCAGTGAGCCGAGATCGCACCACTGCACTCCAGCCTGGGCAACAGAGCGAGACTCCGTGTCAAAAAAAAAAAACAAAAAAAAGGGAAATTTGGGCCAGGTGCAATCTCTACTAAAAATACAAAAATTAGCTGGGTGTGGTGGTGGGTGCCTGTAATCCCAGCTACTCAGGAGGGATGAGGCAGGAGAATCGCTTGAATCCAGGAGGCAGAGGTTGCAGTGAGCCAAGATTGCGCCATTGCACTCTAGTCTGGGCGACAACAGCAATACTCCATGTCAAAATAAATAAATAAATAAATAAATAAATAAATAAATAAAAATAAAAGGGAAATTTGGACACAGAGAGAGACACACATATGCAGCGAGAACACCACCTTAAGATGAAGGCAGAGATGGGGGTGATGCATCTACAAGCCGATGAGCAGTGGGGGCTAGCAAGTGACCAGAGGCTGGGAGAGAGGCGCAGGGCAGATTCTCAGCCTTGACCTTGGACTTGCATTCTGCAGGACTGTGACACAATGAATTGTGTATGACTGTTGTCTACACCTGCCACTCAATTTGCAGTATTTTGTTACGCCAGCCCTAGCAAACTATTATAACAGAAGGGTTTGCACTGGTCCTGCCCTCAGGGAGCATCCTCCATCAGTGGCTGATGGGAGTTGCTGGGTAACTACTCCAGCTCACCAGCCTTCCGGGTGGGGCGCTCTGTCTCTCAGAGAGTGGCCTGTTCACAATACAGGGACATCCTGTGTTGACCACCCTTCCCATCTCATTTCTCTTCTTCTACCTGTGTTTTTGGGATCATAAGCAATTTGCACTTGAATTTCCCTCTCCCAGTCTGCTTCTGGGACAGAGGCTCTGGCTAATCTTGACCACTGGTATGCATAGGTGTATGTGTGTGTGCATGTGTGTGCATGCCTGTGTGTGAGCATGTGTGTGCATGCCTGCGTGTAAGCATGTGTGTGCATGCCTGTGTGTGAGCATGTGTGCATATCTGTGTGCGTGCATGTGTGTGCCTCCGTATGTGCTTGATACGGTTTGGCTCTGTGTCCTCACTCAAATCTCATATTGAATTGTAATCCCCACACGTTGAGGGAAGGAAGTGATTGGATCATGGGAGCGGTTTCCTCCGTTCTGTTCTCATGATAGTGAGTGAACTCTCTCGAGATCTGATGGTTTTATAAATGGTAGTTTCTCCTGCGCTGACAAACACACTCCCTCCCACAGTCTTGTGAAGAAGATGCCTGCTTCCCTGTCGTCTTCCACCATGATTGTAAGTTTCCTGAGGCCTCCTAGCCATGCTTCCTATAAAGCCTGTGGAAATGTGAGTCCATTAAACCTCTTCCTTTATAATTACCCACTGTCAGGTAGTATTCTTTATAGCAGTGTGAGAACGGACTAATACAGTGTTTGTGTGTGTCTAGGAAAGGAACCTTCAGGTCTGATCACTTTTTGCCTGAGCGGAACCCTCAGCCCCTGGGCTGGTGCAGTTGTTCTTGTCTACAGGGTCCCTGGGTTGCTCCTCTCCCAGGATTGTGTCTAAGTCCCGGCAGAGAGGCTTCTGGGGTCCAAGGCCTTTTGGGATCATGGATGTAAGCCACCACCTTCCTAGGATGAAATGTCCTTTCTTTCTTTGTTTTTTGAGACAGAATTTTGCTCTTGTTGCCCAGGCTGTTGGGCAATGGCGAGATCTCAGCTCACTGCAACCTCCTCCTCCCAGGTTCAAGCGATTCTCTTGCCTCAGCCTCCCAAGTAGCTTGGATTACAGGCATGCGCCACCATGCCCAGCTAATTTTTGTATTTTTAGTAGAGAAGGGGTTTCACCATGTTGGTCAGGCTGGTCTTGAACTCCTGACCTCAGTTGATCCGCCCGCCTTAGCCTCCCAAAGTGCTGGGATTAGAGGCGTGAGCCACCGCGCCTGGCCGAGATGTCCTTATTTCTTTCTGGATTGTGAGTTTCAGCTCATCTAAGTCAATGCGGTGGTGGTGTCTTTTTGGCCCAGCCTGGACTCAGCTGCTGCCGGGTCCTCCTCAGCTGTCCTGCCCCCACACTCAGGGCCCCAAGAAACACACCAAAGCTCCCTCCCAGAAGCCGTTCCCCACTTCCAAGCCCCTTTCAGCAGCACGAGCAGGCCTGAGACGCACTGTGCACCAGGCTGGATGTTTTCTTCAGGGGACAGAGCTGGTCCTGGGATGTGGCAGCCAGACCTCAGGGACAGTGTGTGCTGCACAGACTCCCCTGCAGGCCGCTCACATGTTCTTGTTTCTGTTTCTGCTGTGATACCGACAGGATTCACCACCGCCACCCAGCACACATTCCTGGGCGCGATCATGGCAGGGGTCCCCCGGAGCAGGAAGAGAGACTTGGCAGGATGGGACTCAGGGCCATGTGATTTTTGAAAACTCCGTCAGTAATATACACACGTACGGAATAACTCAGCATGGAAACATTTGGAGTCAAAAATGAAAGTTGGTGGGGCACAGTGGCTCCCACTTTTAATCCCAGCACTTCGGGGGGCCGAGGCAGGAGGATCACTTGAGCCCAGGTACTTGAGACCAGCCTGGGCAACATAGTAAGATCTTGTACCCCCTCCAAAAAAAAGTGAAAGTTGTCTTTTTCTTTTTTTTTTTTCTTTGAGACAGAGTTTCCTTCTTGTTGCCCAGGCTGGAGTCAATGGCGTGATCTCTGCTCATTGTAACCTCTGCCTCCAGGTACAAGTGATTCTCCTACCTCAGCCTCCTGAGTAGCTGGGATTACAGGCGCACACCACCATGCCCGCCTAATTTTTATATTTTTAGTAGAGATGGGGTTTCACCATATTGGTTAAGCTGGTCTCAAACTCCTGATCTCAGGTGATCCACCTGCCTCGGCCTCTGAAAGTGTTGGGATTACAGGCGTGAGCCACTGCGCCTGACCAAAAGTTTTCTTTTGATAACCTTCATTTTGTCTGTTGGTGACATTTCGTTTCTCAGACTTTTATGTAAATATGGATGTAGCTATAGACAGATAATAGATGTAGATGGATATACATATAGATAGATAGCTCTGCTATGGATGTAGAGTAGATATAGATACAGACACGTGTGTAGATACAGAATTCAAGACATAGACCAAGATAGACATAGATATATGTATGTAGATAGGGATACAGACATATCTATGTCTATACATATAAATAGGTAGGATGGCATAGTTTTAAACATAAATGTCACTGTGCTTTCTGTGTGGCTTGGTTACTTTGTGTTATTACTGCACAGTTGTCTTGAAGGTCTTCTGAAACAGGCACATACCCCCCTCGTTCCTTCTAATCAATCCCCTGTTAATTGGCAATCACGTCGTTCCCATTTCTTTCTTTTCTTTTTCTTTTTTTTTTTGGACAGAGTCTTGCTCTGTCGGTCAGGCTGGAGTGCAGTGGTGCGATGTTGGCTCACTGTACACTCCGCCTCCCAGGTTCAAGTGATTCTCCTGTCTCAGCCCCCTGAGTAGCTGGGATTACAAGCGCCTGCCACCACACCTGGCTAATTTTTGTATTTTTTAGTAGAGATGGGGTTTTACCATGTTGGCCAGGCTGGTCTTGAACTTCTGACCTCAGGTGATCAACCTGTCTCGGCCTCCCAAAGTGCTGGGATTACAGGCATGAACCACTGCGCCCAGCCAAGTTGTTCCCATGTCTTTTCCATACAATGCTGCAGGAAACATAGTTTAGGTCATCATGTATTGGTGAAAGTATTTCTGCAGGACGGATTCCTAGAAGTAGAATTTCTGAGTTAAAAGGTAAGCGTATTTCACATTTTGGGAGGTGCTATCAAAAATTGCCCTCCAAAAAGGTTGAACCAATATGTGCTCCCAGAGTAATTTAATTTGAATATTAAAAAGGATGGTGACCTCATTTTGTACTGTAAGCTGGTGAAGTGGGACAGATCAGTTACATGTAAATAGGTTATTATGGAGCAAGCAGGTCTGAACCGGCTCCTGCTTGGCCGTGCTTGGTTGTTTATTTTCAATGCACACACTTGAAGGGGAAACAAACTGCTTTTCTTTAATATGTTTCAGAATTCAAAATGTTTCTGGTAGATACAAGATTTTTCCTTCTTCCATGGCAGTTTTGGAATTAGTGAGGCCTTCCTTTACCAATTATAGCTGATTATAATGGAAGATTGTCCACGCGCTTATGTAATTATAATTCAGAGACAAGAAATTGGGCTTTTGATTCCATTCAATCTGCAGGAGCCCTCCCCACTCCCCCCATGACCTACTGTTTAAACTTATGCCTGGAGTTGTGAAAATGCAACAGAATCACAGACTCTAAGGTTGAACAACACCGGAGTGGTTCTCTCTCAATTCTTTCTAATTTTTCCTAATTGAAGAGAAATGGTGCCAGTAACCAGGGTCACCTCGACATGAGAGGGGGTGGACTCTTTCGCTATATCTGGGTTTCTATGCTATAACATATTACTTTTGGTTAATAGAACTGTTTCTGCAGGCTGGGTGCGGTGGCTCATGCTTGTAATCCTAGCACTTTGGGAGGCTGAGGTGGGTGGATCACCTGAGGTCAGGAGTTCGAGACCAGCCTGGTCAACATGGTGAAACCCCGTCTCTACTGAAAATACAAAAATCAGTCAGGCGTGGTGGCGGGTGCCTGTAATCCCAGCTACTCGGGAGGCTGAGGCAGGAGAATCGCTTGAACATGGGAGGCGGAGGTTGCAGTGAGACGAGATTGCAGCACTGCACAGCCTGGGTGACAGAGTGAGACTCTGTCTCAAAAAAAAAAAAATAAAAAAGACTAAAGTAATTTTTAAAATTTTCTTTATTTTTGTTTTTTCTTTGTTTTTGTTTTTTGTTTATTTCTTTTACTTTTTCTTAAAGTTATTTTTATTTCCTAAGTTAAGCGTTGTAATTTTTGTGAAATCTCTGAAAGTTATGAAAATGAATTAAAGATTATTGAGTGAGAAAAAAATCAGAAAGAAAAAGAAAAAAGATGGAAGACTATTGGGCGAGTGTATTATTAAAAAAGAAAATGGTCAAATGGCAGTTGTTTTGGTGCTGGCAAATCTATGTAAGGATTATTTATTAACTTACTTTTATTCTTATTATTTATTTGATTAATTTTTTTTTGTAGAGACGGGATCTCTCTATGCTACCCAGGTTGGTCTTGAACTCCTGGCCTCAAAAGGTCTTCCTGCCTCAGGCTCCCAAAATATTGGGATTACAGGCATAAGCTGCCACACCAAGCCTACAATCATTTATTGATTAATGGTGTGAGACACCTTTGTGTTAGCATTCTCTAGAGAAACAGAAACAGGATATACATGCAGAGAGAAAGAGATTTATTTTTATTTTATTTTATTTCATTTTTTTGAGATGGAGTCTTGCTCTGTTGCCCAGGCTGCAGTGCAGTGGTGTGATCTTGTCTCACTGCAACCTCTGCCTCCCCGGTTCAAGCGATTCTCTTGCCTCAGCCTCCTGAGTAGCTGGGATTACAGGCTTGTGCCACCATGCCTGGCTAATTTTTGTATTTTCAGTAGAGACAGGGTTTCATCATGTTGGCCAGGCTGTTTTCGAACTCCTAACTTGAAGTGATCTGCCTGCCTTGGTCTCCCAAGGTGGGATTACAGGGGTAAGCCACTGTGCCTGGCCCATGTATCATTTCCTTCCCTTGACGGGAAGGACCAATGACCAGATAGGCCAATGTCTTGCTCTGGGCTCCTCAACGAGCATGTGGTCTGAGGGGTACTTGTATCTGCTTCCCTAGCCCATGGTTCAGGGCTTCTATGACCCACCAGCTGCCTCCCTTCCCAACAGGTCCTGCCCTCCACTGGAATGATCTGAGATCTTTCTTTGAGAACCTCTGAGAGCTGCCAACCAGAAAGGGTCTATCAAGACAATCTCTTGCAGACTTCATCCATCCACATGCACAAGGAAATGATAATGAGATTTCAGGTCAGTGGCTTGGAGAGAAAAATGACACAATGAGGATGGATGGAGGAAGGCAGAGAGGAGGGTTGGTCGTCGTATAATATTTGAATCTATCCTCTTCCCAAGAATGTGTCTTTTCCCCTGGAATTCAGGAGAATAGAGTGTTACTTTTTTATGGCCAGGAAAACATTAATAAAAAATGAACCATCAGTGAAATTAATTTCAGAGGTTTATGCATTCACAGCGACTAACAAGCCTGCACCTGCTCATCTGACACCCTTAAGCCGCTCCCCTGTGCCCCGCTTCCCACCCTCTTAAAATTCTTCTCCTTCTCAAAAGGTACCTGGTTGTCGCGTTGAGCAGTTAAATAAATGTACGGTGGGATAGAGACATGGCTTATTAATTAAAAACGCTGCTCTGCCACTTTACAGTTACGAAGAAACAAGCCAGGCTGAGCAGAAAGAGTCTGTCGGGGAGACGCTGGTTGGATTTTTACGTGCCGTGTAAAGGGCCCTGGTATAATGGGATGAGACAGACATTCATTAGCTTTCCCACTGAGCATCCCACACCTTCCCACACAGGGTCGTCTTCTCTCCTGCCCTCCCCCTCTCTCCACCTTGGAACTAGCACTTTTCTTGGATGGTAAGAGTCACTTATAGAGTTACTTATACAGTAAGAGTCACCTGGGCCCCCTCTCTGACTATCCCATCCATCTGCTGTTGCTGTTTTCAGCATTTTTCTCTCCAAGCCACTGACCCTAAATCTCATTATTTCCTTGTGCACGTTGATGGATGAAGTCTCTAAGCGATTGTCTCATCGGACCCTTTCTGGTTGGCAGCTCTCAGGTTGGAAGCTCACTGATTGGAATTTCTTGGTTAAAAACTTACAGAAAGTCCTGTGCAGTGGCTCACGCCTGTAATCCCAGCACTTTGGGAGGCTGAAGTGGGCAGATCACCTGAGGTCAGGGGTTCAAGACCAGCCTGGGCAACATGGTGAATCCCCATCTCTACTAAAAATACAAAAATTAGCCGGGTATGGTGGCGCACCCCTGTAATCACAGCTACTCAGGAGGCTGAGGCATGAGAATTACTTGAACCCAGGAGGCAGAGGCTGCAGTGAGCTGAGATCACACCATTGCACTCCAGCCTGGGCAAAAGAGTGAGGCTCTGTCTCAAAAAAAAAAAAAAAAAAAAAAGAGAGAGAGAGATGTAAATAATATGTACCACGTCTCTCTTTCCTTTTTTTTTTTTTTTCAAATTGAGGCGGAGTCTAGCTCTGTCAAGCAGGCTGTAGTGCAGTGGTGTGATCTCGGCTCACTGCAACCTCTGCCTCCTGGGTTCAAGCGATTCTCTTGCCTCAGCTTCCCAAGTAGCTGGGATTACAGGCGTGTGCCACCATGCCCAGATACTTTTTTTTTTGTTTTGTATTTTTAGTAGAGACAAGTTTTCACCATGTTGGCCAGGCTGGTCTGGAACTCCTGAACTCAGCTGGTCCACCTACCCTGGCCTCCCACAGTGCCGGGATTACAGGTGTGAGCCACCGTGCCTGGTCGACACCTCTCTTTTTTTAAAAAAACTTTTGATCAAGGTATATCATACATGTATGTAGTCAGTATAAAGTGTGCACATCTTAGTATGTGGGTGCCTTTATAGCCAGGAGTGGAGTTGCCAGGTGGTGGGATAGGTGTATGTTTCACCTTGTAGGAAATGTATAAGCAGGTTTTCAAAGTGCTGGTACCAATTTAGACTCCCACCAACTGTGTGTGGGAGTTCTAGTCGCTCCACATCTTTGCCAACACTTGGCATTGTTAGTCTTTTTAATTCTAGCAGTTCTGGTGGGAGTATAGTAGTCTTCTCTCTCGTTTAACTGGCTCATGCATATTCATCTTTCAGGTGTCGGCTCAGGTATTGTCTCCTCCAGAACTCATCTGTCTTAGTCAGTTTGTGCTGCCACAGACGGGGTGGCTTCAACAGCAGACATTGATTTTCTCACAGTTCTGGAGGCTGGAAGTCTGAGTTCAGGGTTCTGGTGGGAGCTCCTTTCCAGCTTGCAATTGGACGTTTACTCTCTGTGTCCTCACATGCACGGGGTCGGAGAGGGAGAGAGAGAAAGAGAGAGATAAGCCCTGGTGTTTCTTCTTTTTTTTTTTTCTTTTTGAGTAGGTGTCTCACTCTGTTGCCCAGGCTGGAGTGCAGTGGCACAATCTTGGCTCATTGCAACCTCTGCCTCCCAGGTTCAAGCGATTCTCCTGCCTCAGCCTCCCAAGTACCTGAGATTACAGGCGTGCACCACCACACCTGGCTCATTTTTTTTTTTTACTTTTAGTAGAGATGGAGGTTTCACCATGTTGGTCAGGTTGGTCTTGAACTCCTGACATTAGATGATCTGCCTGCCGCAGCCTCCTAAAGTCCTGGGACTACAGGCATGAGCCAACGCGCCTGGCTTCTTCCTCTTCTTATAAATACACTAATCTCATCATTAGGGCCACACCCCCATGACCTCAGCTAAACCTCATCACCTCCCAAAGGCCCCACCTTCCAATAGCATCACGTTGGGGATTAGGGTTTCAACACATGAACTTTGAGAGGACACAAACCTTCAGCCCATACATCTTCCTTGACCACTTAGCCTGATTGGTCTCCTTGCTAGCTCTGATCCTGCTGAAATGTAATTGCCTGTCAACTTCACCATTGTTCCCACTAGACTTGGAAGTCCTCAATGGCAGGGACTGTGCTTTGTTTATTGTTTGGAGTCTTGTCCAACTGCCATCCTGTCCAGTGAGGGCGAGGCCCGTTGGAGCAGTCGCTCGCTCCACCAGCGTCCTAAAGCTAAAGCTTCTTTTGTGCCAGACTCCTCTCCCAGCAGGGAGGGCAGGACCTGCCTCCCTGAGGTCTTCAGCTGTTGCTGTTTGCTCTCAGCTGCCTCATTTCCAGTGCTTGGGTAAAACAAGCCACCCTAGAAGTGTTGGCTAAAGCCTCTGATTTCTTCCTTTCCTTCCCTCTTCCCTCCTCTCCCCTCCTCTCCCCTTCCCCTTTCCCATTTCCTTTTCCTTCCTTACCCCTTTCCTTTCCTGTTTCCTTTTCCTTCCCTTTCCCTCCCCTTCCTTTCCCTCCCCTCTTCTCCTCCCCTCTCCTCCCCTTCTCCCCTCCCTTCCCCTCTTCCCCTCCCCTCCCCTCCTCCCCTCCTCTCTTCCCCTCCCCTCCCATCCCCTCCTCCCCTCCTCTCCCCTCCCCTCTCCTTTCTTTCCCTTTGGTGTGTTCATTGCTTACTGCAGCCTCAAACTGCTGGCTCAAGCGATCCTCCTGCCTCAGCCTCCTGAGGAGCTGGGACTACAGGTATGCATCATCATGCCCTAAAGCCTCTGATTTCTGTGGCTGGCCTCATCCCGCTTCATATCCCCATTCACCTCAGGCACCATCAGAAATTCAAGCCAAACGCACAGCGTGGTAGTATAACTAACAATACTGTATTTATACTTGAAATTTGCTAAGAGGGTAGATTTTAAGCGTTGTCACCACACACACACACACACACACACACACACACACACACAAAGCTAACTACGTGAGGTGTTGGGTATGTGAACTAGCTTAATCATGGTGATCACTTCATATACCTATATCAAAACATCAGGTTGCTTCCTTGTTGTAGATACCACCTTCCTGCTGTGTCCTCTTGAGGTGGAAGGGCCAATGAGCTCTCCCAGGGCTCTTTTATAAGGACTCTGATCCCATTCAGGAGGCTCTGCCCCCATGACCTAATCACCTGTCAAAGGGCCCCACTTCCTAACATTATCACCTTGGCGGTTAGAATTTCAACATATGGGCTGGACATGGTGGCTCACGCCTGCAATCCCAGCAGGTGGGGAGGCGGAGGAGGGCGGATTACTTGAGGTCAGGAGTTTGAGATCAGCCTGGCCAACATGGTGAAACCTTGTTTCTACTAAAAATACAAAAAATTTAACTGGGCGTGGTGGTGCACTCTGGTAGTGCTAGCTACTCGGGGGGCTGACGTAGGAGAATCGCTTGAACCTGAGAGGTGGAGGTTGCAGTAAGCCGAGATTGTGACAGTGCACTCCAGCCTGGGTGACAGAGCGAGACTCTGTCTCCAAAAAAACCCCCAAAAAACCAAAACACAAAAAACAATGTCTTTTTTTTTTTTTTGAGACAGAGCCTTGCTCTGTCGCCCAGGCTGGAGTGCAGTGGCGCCATCTCGGCTCACTGCAAGCTCTGCCTCCCGGGTTCATGCCATCCTCCTGCCTCAGCCTGTCAAGTAGCTGGGACTGCAGGTGCATGCTGCCATGCCTGGCTAATTTTTTGTATTTTTAGTAGAGATGGGGTTTCACCGTGTTAGCCAGGATGGTCTCGATCTCCTGACCTCGTGATCCGCCCGCCTCGGCCTCCCAAAGTGCTGCGATTACAGGCGTGAGCCACCGTGCCCGGCTAAAACAATTTCAACATATGAATTCTGGGAGGACATATTCAGACCACAGCCCTCTGCATAGAGCCACTGCTTACCCACACTCTCCTCAATGTAGATTGATCGAGCCCAGTTCAGTTCCTCTTGAGCTTGGAAGCAGAGCCGTGGGTACGGTGACCTCGAGAGACTCTCAGGGACTGGGATGCCCTCTCTGACCTCCAGGTGCCCTTCCTGGAGGAGTGTGAGCCTGTTCTCTGTGGTGGGCAAGACTCCAGGGAGAAGGCGTGTGGCTGTGTGGCCAGGAGTACAGGCTCTGAACCAGACTGCATATGTTCAAATCCCAGCATCACCACGAACTAGCTGTGCCTTTGCAAAGCTACTCAACCTCTCTGCACCTTTCATTCTTTATCGGTAAGATGGGATGATGATAATCACAGGACCTGTCTCACAAGGCTGTTGTGAAGCTGAAGGAAGCTAATATGTGCCTGGCATACAGCAAACCCCATGTAAACCTCTGCTTCTGTTACTAAGCTTTGGAAAAAGATACTCAGCTTCAATCCCAGATCCAAAATTTATTAGCTGAATGGCTGTATCAGTCTGTTCTCTCTCCCTCTGTCCCTCTCTCTCTTTTTTTTTTTTTTTCAGACAGAGTCTTGCTGTGTCGCCCAGGCTGGAGTGCAGTGGCACGATCTTAGCTCACTGTAACCTCTGTCTCCTGGGTTCAAGCGATTCTCCTGCCTCAGCCTCCGGAGTAGCTGGGATTACAGGTGTGTGCTGCCACACTTCGCTAATTGTATCAGTCTGTTCTCACATTGCTATAAAGAATGCCTGGGGCTGGATAATTTATAAATAAAGGAGGTTTAATTGGCTCTCGGTTCTGCAGGCTCTACAGCAAGCATAGGGGCTTTTGTTCCTGGGGAGGCCTCAGGAAGCTTCCAATCATAGTGGAAGGCAAAGAGGGGAGCAGGCGTCTTGCACGGTGGGAGCGGAGGCGTCTCGCACGGTGGGAGCAGGGGCGTCTCCCATGGTGGGACCGGGGGCGTCTCGCATGGTGGGAGTGAGAGCAGAAGGGAGTGAGTGGGAAGAAGCTGCGCACTTTTTTTTTTTTTTTTGAGACGGGGTCTCGCTCTGTTGCCCAGGCTGTAGTGCGGTGGCATGATCTTGGCTCACTGTAACCTCTGCCTCCCAGGTTCAAGCCATTCTCCTGCCTCAGCCTCCTGAGTAGCTGGGATTACAGGCACACGTCACCATGCCTGGCTAATTTTTGTATTTTTAGTAGAGATAGGGTTTTGCCTGTTGGCCAGGCTGGTCTTGAACTCTTGGTCCAGGTGATCCACCTGCCTTGGCCTCCCAAAGTGCTAGGATTACAGGCGTGAGCCACTGTGCCCGGCCAGCTGCACACTTTTAAGCAGCCCGATCACATGAAAACTCACTCACTATCCAGAGGACAGCATCAAAGCGATGGTGCTAAATCGTTCCTAAGAAACCACCCCCATGATCCAATCACCTCCCACCAGGCCCCACCTCCAACACTGGGGACTACAACTGAACACGAGATTTGGTTGGGGACACAGATCCAAACCCTATCAATGACCTAGGGCAAGTTTCTCTTCTTTTTATTTTGGAGACGGAGTCTCGCTCTGTCGCCCAGGCTGGAGTGCAGTGGCACGATCTCGGCTCACTGCAACCTCTGGCTCTCAGGTTCAAGCAATTCTCCTGCCTCAGCTTCCCAAGTAGCTGGGATTACAGGTGCCTGCCACCACGCCAGGCTAATTTTTGTATTTTTAGTACAGACGAGGTTTCAGCATGTTGGCCAGGCTGGTCTCAAACTCCTGACCTCAGGTGATCTGCCAGCCTCAGCCTCCCAAAATGTGGGGATTACAGGTGTGAGCCACTGCACCCCATGACAAGTCTGTTTTCTGAAAAAAGGAAACAGTCAAATGATCTCATAGGATTGCAGTCATAATGAAAACAGGAATAACATAATCAAGAGCACATTGGGGGCGCTTGAGAAATATTCCTCCTTCCCAGACACAAGGGTGCGCTGAGTCCTCCAAATGTGCTCGAGGGTGCATGCTTTGAACTAGAGATGCCTTTTTCCAGAAGAAATCACTCTGGTGAACTGGTGGTGGTCCATGATAGCCCATTACATTGCATTTTTAAGGCTGAGAACATTTTCATTAGGAAATATTTCAAACCTTCAGAAAAGTACAAGAAATAATATGACACCCGTGTATGTACCCTAGAGAGTTAATAGATGTTAGCATTTTGTCACGCTTGCTTCAGATCTCTCTTTTACAGAAGGAAGAAAGTGTTACAGATACACTGAGGCGAAACTGTTAATTAAGAATGTAGCTGAACTCTGGTTCCGATGAGGAATTCTGGGCCAGGCCTTTGTGGGTACTAGGGATGTGAGTGAGTTCTCTGGCTTCTGTGAGCTCATCCTCCAGCCGGGAAGGCAGACTCATGAACGGACGATTGTCCTACAATGGGACAAGTGCTGCACTGGTGAAATATACAAGAGCAATGGTGGTGGTGGGGAGTGTGAGAGGTCAGAGAGGGCTTCCTGGAGGAGGTGACATCTAAGATGTACCTTGAAAAAGTGAGTAGATGGTGGGTGTGGTGGCTTTTGCCTGTAATCGCAGTACTTTGGGAGCCCGAGGCAGGTAGATTGCTTGAGCCCAGGAGTTTGAGACCAGCCTGGGAAACATAGCGAAACCAAGTCTATAATAAAAATACAAAAATTAGCCAGGTGTGGTGGCACATGCCTGTAGCCTCAGATACTTGGGAGGCTAAGGTGGGAGGATTGCACTCCAGCCAGGGCAACAGTGAGGCCCTGTATTTAAAAAAAAAAAAAAAAAAAAAAAGGAAAAGAAAATAAAAAGTGAATGGAATTTTGTTGGGCAGACAAAGGGAGAGGTGGGCTTTCTGGGGGAAGGGGCATCATATGTAAAGGCGGGGAAGCTGGAAAAGGTGTGTGAACTGGGATTATGATACACAGGGTAGTGCAGCTTTTTTTCTTCCTTTGAGACAGGGTCTTGTTCTGTTGTCCAGGTTGGAGTACTGTGGCACGATCTCAGCTCACTGCAGCCTAGACCTCCTGGGTTCAAACAATCTTCCCACCTCAGCCTCCCCAGTAACTGGGACCATAGACACGCACCACCATGGCCAACTAATTTTTGTATTTTTTTTTTTGTAGAGATGGGTTTTGGCATTTTGCTGAGGCTGGTCTCAAACTCCTGGCCTCAAGTGATCCGCCCTCCTTGGTCTCCCAAAGTGCTGGGATTATAGGCGTGAGCCACTGTGACTGGTCTGGGTGGTGCAACTTCTGTCTTTTTGAACTGTGAGATGTATCTGTTTCCTATGACTGCCGTAACAAATTATCACACACCAAGTAGCTTAAAATAACAGGAATTTATTCTCTCACAGTTCTGGAGGCTGGAAGTCTGAAAGCAAGGTGTGGGCAGGACCATCCTCTTTCTGAAGACTTAGGAGAGCATCGTGCTTTGCTTTTTCCTGGCTCTTGGTGGCTGCCAGCAGTCCTGGAGTTTCTTTGCTCGTAGATGCGTCACTGCAACCTTTGCATCTGTCATCACTGGCCTCTTCCCTCGGTGTCTCTGTCTCTTCTCCTATTTAGTTATTTGAGACAGAGTCTTCCTCTGGTGCCCAGGCTGGAGTGCAGTGGCATGATCTTGGCTCAATGCAACCTCTGCCTCCCAAGAAGCTGGCACTACAGGTGCATGCCACCATGCCTGGATAATTTTTTGTATTTTTAGTAGAGACAGGCTTTTGCCATGTTGGTCAGGCTGGTCTTGAACTCCTCACCTCAGGTGATCCACCTGCCCTGGCCTCCCAAAGTACTGGAATTACAAGCATGAGCCACCACGCCTGGTCTTACCCTCTTCTTGTAAGGACATCAGTCATAATGGATTAAGGACCCACACTACTTTGGTATGAGCCCATCTTAATGTAACTAATTATAGCTGCAAAGACCCTATTTCCAGATAAGGTCACATTCTGAGGTGCTGCAGATAGGACTTCAATGTATCTCTTTTGGGTGACACAATTAAACCCGTAACAGACGCTTTGCATGTAGCTAGACAGAGATCACTCCTGCCCCACATACTTCATGGAAGACCTGGCCTCTTCATTTCGGGGTTCCTTTCTTGGAAGCAAGCTCTAGAAAGAGGTTGAGCTTTGGAACAGTTTCAGGGAGGCCCAGCTAGTTTTTATTAACCTCCTCAGTGAGCCCCAACATTGGGTTCATCCTGCAATAGGATGGGAAGGGGAGATGATGGAGACTGTGACAGAAATACCAGAAAAAGAGGATACCCCAGAGGGCTGCATCAACATCAGAGGAAGAGGTGATGTGGCTCCCTCTGGATGAAGCTGGCTGTGAATCTCCTTACAGGGAGGATTCTTTGCGCCCCCAGCAAGAAGAGAAGGAGAGGGAGATGCGACCACCATGGAAAGGTGATTCTGGTTTTGGCTGAGTCCAGAGGGCCAGAACTGCCTTCTCTCCCAAGCGCCATCAGCACCAGGAAGCCAGAGGGAGTCGGGCAGGAATGCTGGGGTGGAGGCATTTGCTTTATGCGGTAGATGGTGAAATGGGGTAAGTACAATTTTCCATCAGAGAAGAGAGGAGCAAGGAAAGAACTTCACATTCACTCACGGCCCTTAACCTTTACAAGGACTCTATTGTGTCCGGAAGTGGTGGGTTCTTGATCTCATTGACTTCCAAGAACGAAGCCGCGGACCCTCACAGTGAGTGTTACAGTTCTTAAAAGCGGCGTATCTGGAGTTGGTTCTTTCTGATGTTTGGATGTGTTCGGAGCTTCTTCCTTTTGGTGGCTTCATGGTCTTACTGGCTCTGGAGTGAAGCTGCACACCTTTGCGTGAGTGTTACAGCTCTTAAGGTGGCAGGTCTGGAGTTGTTTGTTCTTCCCGGTGGGTTCGTGGTCTATGCTTGCTTCAGAAGTGAAACTGCAGACCTTCATGGTGAGTGTTACAGGTCACAAACACAGTGTGGACCCACAGAGCAAAAAAATAAAGCTTCTATACCAGGGAAACGGACCCAGACCGCTTACCGCTGTTGATTCCGGCAGCCCGCTTTTATTCTCTTCTCTGGCACCGCCCCCCCCCCCCCAATCCTGCTGATTGGTCCATTTTACAGAGAGCCGATTGGTCTTTTTTACAGAGAGCTGATTGGTCCGTTTTGACAGGGAGCTGATTGGTGCGTTTACAGTCCGTGAGCTAGACACGAAAGTTCTAAACCTCTCCACCAGAGTAGTTACATACAGAGTGTCCATTGGTGCATTCACAAACCCTGAGCTAGACACAGGGTGCTGATTGGTATGTTTACAAACCTTTAGCTAGATACAGAGTGCTGATTGGTGTATTTACAATCCCTTAGCGAGACATAAAGGTTCTCCAAGTTCCTCACTAGACTCAGGAGCCTGGCTGGCTTCACTGGGTGGATACCGCACGTGGGCCACAGGTGGAGCTGCCTACCAGTCCCGCACAGCGCGCCCGCACTCCTCAGCCCTTGGGCGGTGGATGGGACTGGGCACCGTGGAGTAGGGAGCGCCGCTCGTCAGGGAAGGTGGGGCCACGCAGGAACCCACGGCGGCAGGCCGGGAGGAGGCTCAGGCATGGCGGGCTGCAGGTCCCAAGCCCTGCTCTGCGGGGAGGCAGCTGCGGCCCGGCGAGAAATCAAGCACAGCAGCTGCTGGCCCAGGTGCTAAGCCCCTCACTGCTCGGAGCTTGTGGGCCGGCCGTCCGCTCAGAGTGCGGGGCGCACCGAGCCCACGCCCACCTGGAACTTGCGCTGGCCCGCAAGCGTCGCGCGCAGCCCTGGTTCCCGCCCGCGCCTCTCCCTCAACACCTCCCCGCAAGCTGAGGGAGCCGGCTGCGGCCTTGGCCGGCCCAGAAAGGGGCTCCCACAGTGCAGCGGCGGGCTGAAGACCTCCTCAAGCGCGGCCAGAGTGGGAGCCAAGGCCGAGGAGGCGCCGAGAGCGAGCGAGGGCTGTGAGGGTTGCCAGCAGGCTGTCACCTTTCACTATGAGGTAAGTGTTAAGGGAATGTTGTCATAGCTGTAGCATTTTTCTTTTAGAGAAAGATATTTTAATTATGGAATTAACAGCACAGTACCTTTGAGGTGATGTTAACATTTTATTTTATTTTTTAAATTATAGATTCAGAAGGTACATGTGCAGGTTTGTTACATGGATATATTGCGTCATGGTGAGGTTTGGGCATCTAATGGACCCATCACCATAGTGAACGTTGTACCCCAGAGGTGATTTTTCGACCCTCACCCCTTCCCAACTTTTCCCCTTTTGGAATCCCCAGTGTCTGTTATTACCATCTTTTATGTCCATGTGTACCCATTTGTTTAGCTCCCACGTATAAGTGACAGCGTGTAGTATTTGATTTTCTGTTTCTGAGTTATTTCACTTAGGATAATGGCCTCCAGCTCCATTCATGTTCATGCAAAGGACTTGATTTCACTCATTTTTATGGCTGCATAGTATTCCATGATATTTGAACATATGTATGTATAAATACCACATATATACACATAAATGTGTATTTTTACGTGTATATACACCACATACACACATGCGCACACACACAGCCCACATTTTCTTTATTTAATCCTGTCTTCATAACTACTTTGGTTGATTCCATGACTTTGCTATTGTGAATTGTGCTGTGATAAAACATATATGTGCAGGTGTCTTTTTGATGTAAGCGTTTCTTTTCCTTTGGGTAGATCACACCCAGTAGTGTGATTGCTGCGTCAAATGGTGTTCTATTTTTAGTTCTTGGAGATATCTCCACCCTGTTCTCTATAGAAGCTGAACTAATTTACATTCCCACCAACAGTGTGTAAGCATTTCCTTTGTCTAGCTTTAATCAACTATGATGGATGGGGCCTAGCAGGGCATGGTCTCTGGCCTTGGACCTGAAACATGTTTCTGAACCTGGAGGGTATAATTGTTCCTTTTGACTTATGGCTCCTGAGAACTCCCATCCCAGTGTCCCAGGAGCTCAGAACCAGGTGAAGGAAGAGGTGGTGGTTGGAGGCACTGCAGGGTGTCAAGTGGGCCAGTGCAAGACAGAGAAATGGGCAAAGGCCAGAGGCAGGAACCAAAGGAGATGCATAGATGCCAGGGTTTTAAAAGAATCACACTTTCAGGAAGGAAACCATTAATCACAGCCAAAATGGCAAATAAAACTGACAGTGAGTGAAAAATATGCATTTTAACAAATGAAAATGGCACCAAGGTTTGGCATAAGCACCAAAACTGTGCACTGATTCAGGGGGGTGAGTAAGCAGACTACTGCAGGAGGCTCACCATGGGCTGGTTAGGATAAAAATGCTCATAGTCTTCTTTTTAATTTTTTCTTGCCTATATTATTGAGTAATACAAGTGTGAGTTGTTTCATAATGTATATAGCTGTCTTGACACACATTTGATGGCTTGATCACATTGTCAACAATTAGAGTGCTTTTCCTCCTCTTTGGGAAGGCGTGGTGGTGTCATTTCCATGTAGCATTACTGCTACATGGACAGTAAGAAAGGTAAGTTAGTTAATAAGTTACTCAGCTGTTAGACGGTGGTTCTGGGATTTTAACCCACTCAAACAGTGCCTCATGGAGCTCAAGGACTTTTCCCAGGATATCGCTCTGCATGCTTTGGGTATGTATGTACATTTGCATGTATACATGTATGTATGTATGTATGGAGGTATATGCATATTATATGAGTTTTGCTTCTGCTGTGTTCTAAATTTCACCGTTCTAGTGATAGGCACGGGGAGACGTTTGTTGTCCTCATAAGTTTTTTTGTTATTGTTATTTTTGAGGCAGGGTCTGGCTCTGCTGCCCAGGCTGGAGTGAATTGCCACAATCACAGCTCACTTCAACCTCTGCCTCCTGGGCTCAAGACATCCTCCCACATCAGCCTCCCACGTAGTTGGGACTATAGGCACACACCACCACACCTGGATAATTTTTGCAATTTTTTGTAGAGATGGGGTTTTGCCATGTTGCCCAGGCCGGCCTTGAACTCCTGAGCTCAAGTGATCCGCCCACCATGGCCTCCCAAAGTATGGGGATTACAGGTGCGAGCCACCACACCTGGCTGTCCTCCTAAGTTTTAAGAGCATACACTTTTGTTTTGGTTTTGCATTGATTTTTTTTTTTTAAGAAATTCCCTCTGTGAATCTTGCCAAGCCAACCTGAGCCAAGGAAGCTAATGGATTATTGGATGTGTTTGTGAGTCAGTCCAGTTAATCCCATATTTCCTGGGCATCTGCTGGGTGCCACATGATTAAGCTGTGGCTGATGCCTTTGTGCCATTTTTAGGTGGCTGGTTGATGAATAGTCCAGGTGTCAGAAGGACTTAATTCATAAAAATGGGCTCAGGATATGGCCTGAAAAGAAATAAGTGTCAAGGGTAGGCAGATGGTTTCTGGAGCATTTATGGGTCTGAGACAGTGCACATAAAACAGTTGAATTTTGGGAGTTTGAATCAAGCTTCTGGAACTGCTAAAACCTGCGAATCATCTGGGAAACGCCAAGCAGCTGATGACAAGGCACTGCTGTGTCCCCTCATTTGTATAGTGCTTTGCAATTGACAGAGACATTGATTTTGCACATTTCTCCCTGGAGCCCTGAAGCATCTCTGTGATATAAGCAGTTACATGTTTTATGTTCCACTCAAGGGATGAGAAAACAAAGGCCTGGAGAGGCATTGTAGTTGACTGTTAGAACTTCTTTTATGAAGAGGGAAAAGTCGAGAAAATTGAAGTGTAATGTTCAAATCGGGGCAATTGAGCCATCCAGAGCCTCAAACATATTGCATACATGCATCAAAATATCACATGTGGCCGGGCGAGGTGGCTCACGCCTGTAATCCCAGCACTTTGGGAGGCTGAGGCAGGCACATCGCTTGAGCCCAGGAGTTGGAAACCAGTCTGGCCAACATGGTGAAACCCCGTCTCTACTGAAAATACAAAAATTAGCCAGGTGTGGTGGCACACATCTGTAATTCCAGCTACTTGGGAGGCTGAGGCAGGAGAATCACTTGAACCCGGGAGGCAGAGGCTGCAGTGAGCCCAGATGAGACTGTATCTCAAAACAAAACAAAACCAAATACATGTTCCTCCCAAATACGTACAATTATTATATATCAATAATGATTTTAAAAATAAAGAAAAGGGAAGTGGTTTTTTGGGGCATTTCTACCAGAGCCAGGAGTGGAGTCCAGGGTTCTGCTTCTGTGGCCATAGTTCCCTTACATGCCTTAATTATGGGCCTGTGGCTCCTCCTTCCTTCATCCTGGTAGGAGGTGTTGGCAGTGATTTTTCAGGCTGGGCTCATTGGGGGGAATCTCTCCTTTGTCACAGATTCAGAGTATCCCAGGGCTCCCACAGCAGGCTGAGGTGGGAGGATCATTTCTCTGCAGTAGCATCACATCTTAAAAACCTCAGGAGTTCGAGACCAGCCTGGCCAACATAGTGAAACCCAGTCTGTACTGAAAATACAAAAATTAGCCGGGCATAGTGGCACACATCTGTAGTCCCAGCTACTCGGGAGGCTGAGGCAGGAGAATCGCTTGAACCCGGGAGGTGGAGG
This sequence comes from Homo sapiens, assembly GCF_000001405.40. Classification (NCBI taxonomy): domain Eukaryota; kingdom Metazoa; phylum Chordata; class Mammalia; order Primates; family Hominidae; genus Homo; species Homo sapiens. Next base: position 9,188,315 of record NC_000016.10, read on the forward strand.
TTGCAGTGAGCCGAGATTGCGCCACTGCACTCCAGCCTGGGCAACGAGTGGAACTCCATCTGAAAACAACAACAACAAAAAACCAAAACCAAACAAACAAGGAAACAAAACACCTCTTTTCTACTGGTCAGGGCCCCCTGTCCATCTCCATTTTTTTCTTCCATACTTCCCTACACCTACTATTGCCACCTTTCATTAGGAGTAGGGCCTGGGGAAAACACTTTGTATCTATTTCATGCCTTCCCAAAGAGCAAGGGGCTGTTACTTCTATTTTGCAAGTGAAGAGACGGAGGCTTGTATACAAGAAGATGCTTATGCAAAGTCACTTAATGAGAACCCGATTCTTTCTAAGTCCAAAGCCACTTTCTTCCTTTTATACTTTTACTTTTGCCAGAGACCAAAAGATATTCCCCTGAGACCTAGAAGCAAGAAGCACCATCTTTTTTGGCTTATGAACAATTAATTCTTCTTTTGAGAGTGTGTGTACTCTTTCTGCATCTTCTTTTAAAAAAGCAGCTGTATTTAATGTATATAATTTGATGCATTTGGACATATGCACACACTCATGAACCACCTCTTTTTCTTCTTGCAATCGCTTTTTCTATGACATCCAACAAAACAACTCTCTTTGCTGGGTACAGCCTGGGTAACTGCCAGGTCTCTGATTTAAAAGCATAATATGCTCGCCAAATGCACCACAACAATAGTAATGATCAGAAAGAATATTAAAGCCCTGGAATTCTTTGCTGCATCTCACTTTTTTTTCCAGGGCTAGAGCGAAGGCTGAAAATACTGCAGTATTAACTCTGTCAGTCTGGCAGTCAGCAGAGTGCTGAAAATCCGAATGGGGGCTTTCTTGGCTGGGTGCTTAGGGGCAAGCTTCAGAGAATTTGTCTGTCCTGCTATGGTTCCTTGAGAACTTTTTCATTCCACCAAGGTTTGGCTGAGCAGCAGGGAAAGGGCGGTGAGACCAGTATGTGGAGTGAGAGCTGTGTTAGGACCATCAGCACACTTACATCGATTTTTGCTCTATGCCTGTGAGTTGGGTAGTAATGAGAAGAATGGTTTACATTTATGGATCTCTTACTGTGTGCCAGGCTCTGTGCTGAGCACTTTATTTTATTTTAATTAATTAATTAATTTTACTTTAAGTTCCGGGATACATGTGCAGAACGTGCAGGTTTGTTGCATAGGTAAACGTGTGCCATGGTGATTTGCTGCACCTATCAACCTGTTACCTAGGTATGAGGGCCCAGCATGCATTAGCTGTTGGTCCTGATGGTCTGCCTCCCCTCCCCTGCACAGGCCCCAGTGTGTGTTGTTTCTCTCCCTGTGTCCATGTGTTCTCATTGTTCAGCTCACACTTGTGAGAACATGCAGTGTGTGGTTTTCTGTTCCTGTGTTAGTTTGCTGAGATTGATGGCTTCCATCTTCATCCATGTCTCTGTGAAGGACTTGATCTCATTCCTTTTTATGGTTGCATAGTATTCCATGGTGTATATGTACCACATTTTCCTTTTTTTTTTTTTTTTTTTGAGATGGAGTTTCGCTCTTGTTGCCCAGGCTGGAGTGCAATGGTCCGATCTCGGCTCACTGCAACCTCCGCCTCCTGGGTTCAAGTGATTCTCCTGCCTCAGCCTCCTGAGTAGCTGGGATTACAGGCATGTGCCACCACGTCTAGCTAATTTTCTACTTTTAGTAGAGACAGGGTTTCTCCATGGTGGTCAGGCTGGTCTCGAACTCCTGACGTCAGAAGATCTGCCTGCCTTGGCCTCCCAAAGTGCTGGGATTACAGGCATGAGCCACTGTGCCCGGCCAAATCTGTTTTTTGTTTGTTTGTTTGTTTGAGTTGGAGTTTCACTCTTGTTGCCCAGGCTGGAGTGCAGTGGTGCAATCTCGGCTCACTGCAACCTGCGCCTTCCGGTTTCAAGCAATTCTCCTGCCTCAGCCTCCTGAGTAGCTGGGATTACAGGCTCCTGCCACCACTCCCGGCTAATTTTTGTATTTGTAGTAGGGATGGGGTTTTGCCATGTTGGCCAGGCTGGTCTCAAACTCCTGACCTCGTGATTCACCCATCTTGGCCTTCCAAAGTGCTAGGATTACAGGCATGAGCCACTGTTCCTGGCCTACATTTTCTTTATTCAGTCTATCATTGATGGGCGTTTGGGTTGGTTCCATGTCTTTGCTATTGTGGATAGTGCTGCAATAAACATACTTGTGCATGTATCTTTATAATAGAATTAATTATATTCCTTTGGGTATGTACCCAGTAATGGGATTGCTGGGTCAAATGGTGTTTCTGGTTTTAGATCCTTAAGGATTTGCCATACTGTCTTCCACAGTGGTTGAACTAATTTACATTCCCACCAACAGTGTAAAAGCATTCCTATTTCTCCACAGCTTGGCCAGGCTGGTCTCAAATTTCTGATCTCTGGTGATCCTTCTGCCTCGGCCTCCCAAAGTGCTGAGATTACAGGCATGCACCACCACACCCGGCAAGGTTGTGGTTCTTAACCAGGTGTGATTTTACTCCTCAGGAGTTTTGGTTGTCCTAATGGGGAGGGTGGAGTGCTACTGGCATCTAGTGGGTAGAGGCCTGAAAGGATGTTGCTAAACATTCCACAACGTACAGGACAGTGATCCAGCCCAAAATGTCAATAATGCCAAGGTTGAAAAATCCTACCTTAAAGTCACATACTTAGAGCCAAGTCAGAACTTGAGTTCTGGACTTTAGACTTTAGACTCCTTGCACAGTGCTCAGAGTAACTTCAAGTGAAGTAACATTTCTCCAAGTGAAGGTGATCTGTTTTTACCCTCAGTTTGTGCCAACACAGGTCATTCACTGGCTCTCCATCCAAAGATGATCCCTGTGCCTCTCCTAGGTAAATTATCTCTCCATTCCCTGTGCTCCTAACTTCTTGGGGGTGGTTGCAATGCTCATGACCCTGCCTTTGTTCTCTGTTTATCCCAGGGCCTTCCCCACTGAACAGTGAATTCTTGAAGAGAGAGATCAGGATGATGATGATGATGGTGGTGATGATATGGTGATGATGGTAATGATGATGATGGTGATGATATGGTGATGATAGTGATGATGATGATGACAATGGTGGTAATGATGATGGTGATGATATGGTGATGATGGTGACAATAATTATGATGATGGTGATGATTATGGTAATGGTGATAATGCTGCTGATGATATGATAATGGTGGTGATGATGGTGGTGATATGATGATAGTGATGATGAGAATGATAATGGTATGGTGATGATAGTGATATTGTTGATGATGTTGATGATGACATGGTGATGGTGGCAATAATGATGGTGATGGTGATGATATCTGATGATGGTGATGATAGTGACAATTATGGTGTTGGTGATATGGTGATGATGGTGATAATGAGGGTGATCATGATATGGCAGTGATGGTGACTATATGGTCATGGTTGTGATGATGATGATGATGGTGATGGTAATAATGATATGAAGATGGTAGGTATAATGGTGATGGAGATGTTTATGGTGGTAATGATGGGGATGATGATAAAGCTGCTGCTGCTGATGGTAGTGATGATGATGACAGTGATAATGGTGATGATGATAATGATATAGTGTTGATAATTATGGTGATGATAATGAAGATGATGATGATAGCAATGATATGGTGATTCTTCCTGGATTTTAGCGAGGGGAGTTCTTGGAGTGAGGAGCTGGGATGCAGAGGGCTCTATCAAGAGAAAGCATAGCCCTCTCAGCTGCGGCTCATGAGCTTCCCCATATGTAATCTGTGCCTTCCCTGCTGTGTTTTTCCTTGCTCGTCTTCAGACCAGTCAGTCATCCCTTGTGACATTAATAATAACTTCTAATCCAGTGGCACTTGATGGTAAAGGTGCCTGCCCCTTGCACAGCCCAGAGGTTATCGACTGGAAAGCGGCATTGCGAGTCTGGTTTAATTTTCCGCTGCATTAATATTAATAGGAAACAGTTGGCTCTGGGTGCAGATGTGGAGAAGATGCACAGGAACAAAGGCTGCCTGCAGTTCAGAAGGGTGGTGGGGGGCAGGGATCTTGGAGGGAACTCGACTTCTTCGCTCTGGGCCTCAGTTTCCCTCTCTATAAAATGAAGGGTTGGAATCAGTGATTCAGAAGATACTCCCCCTTCCTGTACCTGTTCTGCTCTGACATTTTATATCAGCCTGGATCCCCACCATCCAATGCATGGGTCCCTAAGGGTGAACAGTCTTCAGAATGTAGCTTGGTTTCCTCTAGTGGCAGGGAGCTCACTACCTTCTAGGACAGCCATTTCCACTGTTGCGCAGCTGTGAGCTTTGCCGTTATTGATGACAGTAATAGTAGCAGTACCACTTGTGGGATGCTGAGTGTTTCCTATGTGTTATCGCCTCCTGGCCTCACAGTGATACTTCGTGGGAGGTGTGGTTGGTCTCATTATACAAAGGATGAAGACGAAGCCTAGAAATGTCAAGAAACTTACCCACAATTGCCCAAGGAGGAAAGGCAGAGCAGGACCTTAACTCCAACTGGTTTGACTTGAAAACCCTGGTGTTTATTAACTGCAGGACAAAGGCACTCATGTGGGTAGCAGATGGAGGTAAGGTTAGTCCCAGCATTCTTGGAGGATGGCATCATCCTTAGTGGGTCGCAGAAGAAAGGCTGAGAAGGCAGGGCGTTGACGTGACACAACTAAGTCAGTCTGAGCACCTACTGTATGTCAGGTGCTGTGTGGTGATATTTCATTTAATTTCTCCAACAACCTCATGAGGCAGGTACTGTTATTTATGGCATTGTCTTAGTTTCCTGTGGGCTGTGATGACAAATCATTACAAACTTAGTGGCCTAAAACAAAACATATTTTTTTCCTTTCTTCCTTTCTTCTTTCCTTTTCTCTCTCTTTCTTTCTTTCTTTCTTTCTTTCTTTCTTTCTTTCTTTCTGTCTCTTTCTTTCTTTCTTTCTTTCTTTCTTTCTTTCTTTCTTTCTTTCTTTCTTTCTTTCTTTCTTTGTTTTGAGAGAGGGTCTCGCTCTGTGACACAGGCTGGAGTGCAGTGGCATCATCACTGCTCACTGCAGCCTTGAACTAACTCCCAGCCTCAAGCGATCCTCCCATCCTAGCCTCCTGAGTAGGCAGGACTACAGGGCACACCACCACACCCAGCTAATTTTAAACATTTTTTTTTTTGTAGAGATAGGATCTCATCATGTTGCCCAGGCTGGTCTTGAACTCCTGGGCTCAAACCATCCTCCTACCTCAGCCTCCCAAAGTGCTGGGATTACAGATATCAGCCACTGTGCTGGGCTAATTTATTTTCTTATCGTTCTGGAGGTCAAGAGTCTGAAGTGGTCTTAATGGGCTAAAATCAAGATTTCAGCAGGGCTGCGTTCCCTCTGGAGGCTCTAGAGGAGAATCTGTTTCCTTGCCTTTTCCAGCTTCTAGAGGTCACCTGCGTTCCTTGGTTTATGGCCCCTTCCTCCCTCTCCAAAGCCAGCAGTATTGCATTTTCAGATCTTTCTCTAAGTCTGACCTCCCTTCCTCCATCTGCATGTTTCCTTTTCTTACCCTCTCACCTCTCTCTTTCTCTTATAAGGCCTCTTGTGATTTGATTGGGTCACCTGGCTAATCCAGGATAATGTCTCTATCTTAAGATCCATAACTTAATCACATCTGCAAACTCTCATTTGGTGTGTAAACTGACATATACACAGGTTCTGGGGATTAGGATATGGACCCCTGATATAGTTTGGCTCTGTGTCCCCACCCAAATCTCATCTCGAATTGTAATCCACATGTGTTGGAGGAGGGGCCTGGTGGGAGGTGATTGGATCATACGAGTGGACTTCCCCCTTGCTGTTCTCATGATAGTGAGTGAGTTCTCACGAGATCCAATGGGTTAAAAGTGTGTGGCATTTCCCAATTTGCTCACTGTCTCTCTCTCCTGCTGGGATGTGAAAAAGGTGCTTGCTTCCCCTTCACCTTCCACCATGATTGTAAGTTTCCTGAGGCCTCCCAGTCATGCCTTCTGTTAAGCCTGTGGAACTATGAGTCAATTAAAGCTCTTTTCTTCATAAATTACCCAGTCTCAGTTAGTTCTTTTATAGTAGTGTGAGACTGGACTAATACAACACCTTTGTGGGGAGGAATGATTCTGCCTGCCACAACCATTTTACAGGTGAGGAAATCCAGGCTCAGAGAGGGTGAGTGACTTGCTCAGAGTAGTACAGCCTATAGGCAGTGGGGATTTGAGCTAAGCAGTCTCATACCTACTAACTATGTCACCTTACCAGCACCTGGCATCTTGCCACTGGTGCTGGAAAAGCTATGCTCAGAGAGTGACACCCTCTTTTAACCTGCCCACTGGGTGGAAATAAGAAGGATATTTCTGAATGGATACTCTCCAACTTGGGTGTACCGGTGTGACTCCAGGACCATTCATTCCCTTCATTCAGAAAATATTTACTGAGGTGCTTACTATGCCTCACAGATAGAAATACTGGTGAGCAAATAGACAAAAACCTCTCCCCCTGTGGAGCTCACATTCTAGAACGGGCGCACCAGATCATAAGCCAAATAAATCAGCAGATTATCTGGGAAGGTGGGAAGTGGTAGATCTGACCAGGTGTAGTGGCTCACGCCCGTAATCCCAGCACTTTGGGAGGCCGTGGCAGGTGAATCACTTGAGGCCAGGAGTTTGAGACCAGCCCGGACAACATGGTGAAACCCCGTCTCTACTGAAAATACAAAAATTAGCTGGGCATGTTGGTGCATACCTATAATCTCAGCTACTGGGGAGGCTGAGATAGGAGAATCTCTTGAACCTGGGAGGCAGAGGCTGCAGTGGGCTGAGGTTGCACCACCTCACTCCAGGCTCGATGACACAGTGAGACCCTGTTAAAAAAAAGCGATGGGTCTTGGGGTGAGGGCCTGGGGAATGGGTTGAGCCCTCCTGATTGATGGGCTCTGTTAGGGGCTGAGGAGGGGACCGTATCTTTGGATGTCTGCCTGCTGCCCGGCAGGGACCCAGGGCCATTGCCCCATCTCAGCTTTCCTGCGCCTGATGGCTCTAGAGGCAGCAGGCTCCCCTCTGATGGGGCCCAAGACTAATGCTTCCATTTATTTTTGTGAGCGTTGGAAACTGCCATGGCTTATAACTGTCAGCAGCTGCCACTGAAGAAAGCCACGCTTTGCTGAGGTTGCTCTTTCTGGGAAAGGGAGAATGATGACATTTCTAATAGCTGCCTCCCCTTTCACAGAGGCAAATGCTGTGTACCCAGAAGCTACCTCCAAGAGCCGGTACTTAATTACTTTTGACTTTGCAAATGACAGGAGGGAGAGAGGTAAGAAGTGGACATACTTTCTTGGTTGAAGATGCGTTGAGTCTGACCTAATACAGGAATGTCTTGCCTTTTGTAAGACGACCTTAGGTAAAGGTTTGGGCTATGGGAGAAAAAGAGATGTGAGTTTGAATGCTGGTTCCACCATGGGTGCTGGGTCACTTCCTTAACCTCTGTGAGCCTCAGGCTTCTCGTCTGTAGTGTGGGAATGAGACCACCCAGCTCTTAGGGTGTGGGGAGGACTTAGTAAGACCCCATGTGTGAAATGGCCTGTGATGGGCCAGGTGCCAGGGAATACAGTGGTGAGACAAAGCCCTGCATCAAATAGCTTATGCCCTAACATGGGAGACAGGCAAAAACAAGCAAACAGGCCAGGCGCAGTGGCCCATGCCTGTAATCCCAGCAGTTTGGGAGGCTGAGGTGGGCAGATCACTTGAGCTCAGGAGTTTGAGACCAGCCTAGACAACTTGGTGAAACGCTGTCTCTAGTAAAAAAAATTACAAAAATTAATGAGGGGTGATGGTGCATGCCTGTAATCCCAGCTACTTGGGAGGCTGAGGTGGGAGAAGCACTTGAACCTGGCAGGTGAATGTTGCAGTGAGCCGAGATTGTGCCACTGCATTCCAGCCTAGGCGACAGAGGGAGACCCTGTCTTGAAAAACAAGCAAAAACACAAAACAAAACAAAACAAAACCCAAACAAACAAATACAGAAGAATAAGCTGTGATAAATGATGTTTTTTTTTTTTGAGACAGGGTCTTGCTCTGTTGCCCAGGCTAGAGTGCAGTGGCGTGATCATCTCATTGTGGCCTCAAACTCTTGGCTTCAAGAGCTCCGCAAGCCTCAGCCTCCTGAGTACCTGAGACCACAGCATGCACCACCACATCCAGCTAATTTTTTTTTTTTTTTGTAGAAATGGAGTCTCCCAATGTTGGCCAGGCTGGCCTCAAACTCCTGGGCTCAAGTGATCCTCCCTCCTTGGCCTCCTGAAGTGTTGAGATTACAGATGCGTGCCACCACACCTGGCCTAAATTATTTTTTGTAGAGATGGCGTCTTGCTATGTTGTCCAGGCTGGTCTTGAACTCCTGATCCCAAGTGATCCTCCCACCTTGGCTTTCCAAAGTGCTGAGATTATAGGCATGAGCCACTATATCTGACCATAAGTGCTTTTAGGACATACCATGCGTTGTGTTAGGATCTACAGGGGTGGGAACCTACCTTTGCGAATGTGGTCAGGGAGATCTCTCTCATGAGAGAAGATTTAAGGGGAAACACGCAGGTTGAGAAGTAGTCAGTCACGGGATTATTGTAGGGAAGGGCAGGGATGGGGAGACAGCATGAGCAAAGGCCCCAGGGCTGGAAAGAGATGAGCTTGTTCTAGGGATGGATAAAAGCAGTGAGTGAGGGAGAACAGGATGTAAGACAAGGCGGGAGAAGAAGGCAGTGAACACTCATGCAGTGCCTTGTTGCTCACTGTAAAAATTTCAGATTTTTTTTTTTTTTTTTGAGATGGAGTCTGGCTCTACAATGGCACAGTCTCGGCTCACTGCAGCCTCTGCCTCCCTGGTGCAAGTGATTCTCCTGCCTCAGCCTCCTAAGTAGCTGGGATTATAGGCGCCCGACACCACGCCTGGCTAATTTTTGTATTTTTATTAGAGACAGGGTTTCACCCTGTTGGCCAGGCTGGTCTCAAACTCCTGACCTCAAGTCATCCACCCACCTTGGCCTCCCGAAGTGCTGGGATTATAGGCGTGAGCCACTGCGCCCGGCCAAGATTTTAGGTTTTTATCCCAAGTACAGTGGGACATTCCCCCAGGAGCAAGAAGGCCAGAGTACAGTGAGCAGGTCAGGGCTTGTGGGCCATGGCAAAAAATTTAGTTTTTGTCTAAGTGCAAGAAAAAGCCCCTTAGAGAGTTTAATTTAATTTATTATTATTATGTTTTAAATTTCCATAGATTTTAGGGGAACAGGTGGTGTTTGGTTACATGAGTAAGTTCTTTAGTGGTGATCTGTGAGACTTTGGTGCACTCATCACCCAAGCAGTATATACTGCACCCATTTTATAGTCTTTTATCCCTCACCTGCTTCCCATCCTTTCCCCTGAGTCCCCAAAGTTGATTATGTCATTCTTATATCTTTACATCCTCATGGCTTAGCTCCCACTTATGAGTGAGAACATATGATGTTTGGTTTTCCTTTCCTGAGTTACTTCACTTAGAATAATAGTCTCACTTGGAGAGTTTTAAGCAGAGGAGTATTGTTGCCTGTTTTAGGATTTTTTTTTTTTTTTTTTTAATGACACAGGGTCTCTCTCTGTCACCCATGCTGGAGTACAGTGGCGTGACTATAGCTCACTGCAGCCTCGAACTCCTGGGCTCAAGTAATCTTCCTGCCTCAGCCTCTCAACTAGCTGGGACAATAGGTGCCCGCCACTATGCTCAGTTAATTAACAAAAAATTTATAGAGATAGGGTCTCACTATGTTGTCCAGGCTGGCCTCTAATTCCTGGCCTCAAGTGACTCTCCTGCCTCAGCCTCCCAAAGTGCTAAAATTTCAGACATGAGCCACCATGCCTGGGTAAGTTTAAATTTTTTTTTTTTTTGTAGGGATGAGGGTCTTGCTATCTTATCCAGGCTAGTCTTGAACTCCATGGCTCAAGCCATCCTCCCTCCTTGGTCTCCCAAAGTGCTGGGATGACAGGCATGAGCCACAGTGCCTGGACTGTTTTAGGAATGAAAAGGTCAGTCTGGCTGCTGGGTGGGAATGCAGCACTGCCATTAGGAGCAAACGGCACATGCCCTGGGGACCTGGGAAGTTGTAGCCAGAGACAGGAGGAGGGGAATTTGATCTTCACGCAGGAGTGGCAGGTCCACGATGTACCACCCTCGTAATCCACAGTTCGTTCCTTTCTTCCTTCCTTCCTTCCCTCCTTCCTTCCTTCCTTCCTTCCTTCCTTCCTTCCTTCCTTCCTTCCTTTTTTTTTTTTGAGATGGGGTCTTGCTCTGTCACCCAGGCTGGAGTGCAGTGGCACAATCTTGGCTTACTACAACCTCCACCTCCCCGGTTCAAGTGATTCTCCTGCCTCAGCCTCCCAAGTAGCTGGGATTACAGGTGCCTACTACCACGCCCAGCTAATTTTTGTATTTTTAGTAGAGACTGGGTTTCACTGTGTTGGCCAGGCTGGTCTCGAACTCCTGACCTCAGGTGATCCACCTGCCTCGGCCTCCCAAAGTGCTGGGATTACAGGTGTGAGCTACCGTGCCCGGCCGGGATCCACAGTTTCTTGGGACAGCAAACCCTTGCCACCCAGAGGAAGTGGAAAGCTGGGGCTAAAACCGCTTGCCCCCCGACCACCTCCCTGGCCTTGCTCCACCAACCCCAGAGCACCTGAAGACACCTCCAGCAGACCACGAGGCCTCTTCTGCCAGGAGCACATCTGCCTGCTGGAACTCTCCTCACAATTCTATTTTTGCTCCCCTTGGCAGCTCTGTGGAAATTAAAAGGCTATTGGCAGTGACTAATGTTGCTAATTCTGATCAAACAATTTAAAATTCATCCTTTGCCATATCAGAGACCCGCTAGGGAACAGAATTAAGACATCATTTGTGGCAATTTCTGTGACAGTTGGTGGAAAACAGAAAAGACATTAAAATTGGTCTCAATTCAAACCACTGCTCATTAAATTGCCTCCTTGAAAATCCGCCATCTCGATCTATACACTAGCTCTCCGTCTGTTCCCAGCTTATTAACCCAGAGCAAGGACCTTGACAAGCCAGCAGCTGGATCCAAGATGCTGGGAACTTCCTGGGATGTCTGGGAGAGCACATCCTGACACCCTCTGCTCCCTCCCACCGGCGCCGCCTTTGAGCCTTCCTGCCTCTGCCCCAGGAGCGGATGTGCCTCACATTTCCAAGAGTTAAACTTCAGGAAGCCAAATATTAAAAAAAGAATCAAGCTTCCCAGTGTTACCCAAACTTGAGTCATTCGCTTACCACCTGTGTGATTTCTGCTGTATCTATATCCATGTTCTGTTTTTTTACTTGATATAAAGCCAACTCATTTTAAAATTAAATTAATAGACTATTTTAAACAGGAAACTTTGTCACTACTATAAATGGAAACCCAATGTCATAAAGAGGAAATAAATGCTAACGCTAAGCATAAAAATCAATACAGTGTTTTTAAAAAAGCGTTGGATGGTTTACATCCCTTAGGTTTTTTTCTACATAAGTCCTTCCTTCCTTCCTTCCTTCCTTCCTTCCTTCCTTCCTTCCTTCCTTCCCTCCCTCCCTCCTTCCTTCATTTTCCTTCCTTCTCTCCTTCCTTCCCTCCCTCCCTTTCCCTTCCCTTCCCCTTCCCCTTCTCCTTCCTTCCTTCCTCCTTCTTCCTTCTTTTCCTCTTTCTTTCCTTTCTTCCAATTGTAAAATATATGTAAAAATGGGCAAACATTCTGGGCATGATGGCTCATACTTTTAATCCCAGCACTTTGGAGGCCGAGGCGGGTGGATCATGAGGTCAGGTATTTGGGACCAGCCTGGCCAACATAGTGAAACCCTGTCTCTACTAAAAAAATACAAAAAATTAGCTGGTTGTGGTGGCGGGCACCTGTAATCCCAGCTACTAGGGAGGCTGAGGCAGGAGAATAGTTTGAACCTGGGAAGCGGAGGTTGCAGTGAGCTGAGATCGCACCACTGCATTCCAGCCTGGGAGAGAGTGTGAGACTCCGTCTCAAAAAAAAAAGGCAAACAACTAGAATGGAATTAAAGACAGATTTGCAAACCTTTCAACCATTATATAAATATTAAAAAGTTAAAAAATGAATTGCCAATTGAAAAATAAAAGCTTACATGTAAAAACAGCAAAGTGAAGACAGTGACAAAGGAGACAATGGTATTCCATTCCACTTGGGTACATTTGCTGGGGAAGACTCTTAGCCAGAGGCAAGGGCTCTGTAAGTTAAAAAGGATTAGGAAGGGTTCCAGTTCTTAAAGACAAACTCATCCAGGGAGACTTTCTCTTTGCATTAATTGGGAGGGTTGAAAACCAATAGACAGAGAGTGACCGTTTGACTGTGTGATGAGATGTTTTGCAATGCTGTGTTCAACTCGAATAATTTTATATGCCACGAGCACATTTTCTACACTTTGGAAAATACTGGTGTGATCTGGGAAGACAAACTCTTAGGAATCTTCTCCCTTCCCAACACCCCCTCCCTGTTTTACTGGAGTAAAACAAATCCCTGGAGTAAAATCCCTGTTTCCTCCAGGGATTTGACAATTATCTTAAAGCTGTATCAGTTTGAATGATCCACTATCTGCAGGTAGACCTTCCCCTCTTATTTGAATTCCTCTGCCTATTTAGGAAGTTCTCCCTAGGAATACTATGACTTTCTTTCCTTTCCTTTAAACACAATTTTAAAAAAATGTACAAATAGCCTGGGTGCCGTGGCTCCCACCTGTAATCTCAGCACTTCGGGAGGCTGAGGAGGGTGGATCACCTGAGGTCAGGACTTTGAGACCAGCCTGGCCAACATGGTAAAACCTCGTCTCTATTAAAAATACAAAAATTAGTCACATGTGGTGGCAGGTGCCTGTAATCCTAGCTACTCGGTGGGCCAAGGCAGGAGAATCGCCTGAACCTGGGAGGTGGGGGTTGTAGTAAGCTGAGATCGCGCCAGTGCACTCCAACCTGGGTGACAGAGTGAGACTTCATCTCAAAACATAATAAATAAAAAATGGAGAAATAATAATTGTAGATATTTTGGAGGAACAGTGTGATGTTTTGATATATGTATACATTGTGGAATGATTAAGTCAAGCTAATAGACATAGCCGTCTCTTCACATACTTAAACTTTTGTGCAACAGATGTCAAAAGCTCATTCCTCCTGTCTAACTGGAATTTTATACACTTCTGACTTTCGTGGCCATGGTAGGGCCTGAATCTGTCTCTAGGGCATAAAAGTGAGACAACCTGGGATCTTCAGAAGTGTCATGTCTGAGTTTCCTGAAATGAAGGAAAAGGTGTACAGCTGCTGTCTGCCATGAATGGCATCAAGGAGACCTAAGGATTAATCCAATAATGAGAGAAGGGGAGAGAGAGAGAGAGAGAGAGAAAGATGGGGTGGAGCTGAGAGAGACAGAGAGATTGGGGTGGAGGATGACATTACATTTCTATGTTCTGTGACTCCCTTCAGCATCCATCTTGTTTGCTAGATGGTAGGTGTGGGATGGTTTATCACTCCTTTGAAAATGTTTCTTCCACTCATGGGCGATTTCTGCTGAAGTATAGAGAGCAGACTCCAATTCTGCCATTTATTTATTTATTTATTTATTTTTGAGACAGAGTCTTGCTCTGTTGCCCAGGCTGTAGTGCAGTGGCACCATCTCAGCTCACTGCACCGTCTGCCTCCTGAGTTCAAGCAATTCTCCTGCCTCAGCCTCCTGAGTAGCTGGGATTATAGGCGCCTGCCACCACGCCTGGCTAATTTTTGTATTTTTAGTAGAAAGGGGTTTTACTGTGTTAGGCTGGTCTCGAACTCCTGACCTGATGATCCACTCACTTCAGCCTCCCAAAGTGCTGGGATTACAGGTGTGAGCCACTGTGCTCAGCCACTTATTATTGTTAAAGCAAACTACATATGGCCTGAGAAGGACTTCATACTTCTACGTTTGAGTCCTTGTGCACCACCTGTAACCTAGCTTAATAGACAAGATTGAAAAGCTCATTTAGGAGTATGTGCCTGTAACAATAGCTGAGTCTTGGCCAATCCCAGTGGCCGAACTTCAACCACTCATAGACTGTTAAATGCTCAAACTGTGTTTAAATAAGGCAAATGCCAACCTGTAACCAATCCAGCTGTTTCTGTACCTCACTGTTGATTTCTGTACGTCATTTCCCTTTTTCATTTTTTTTTTGTCTATAAATCTTCCACCACGTGGCCGCGCTGGAGTCTCTGAGAATCTGTTCCAGTTCTGGGGGCTGCCCGGTTCGCAGATCATTCATTGCTGAATTAAACTCCTTTACATTTAATTTGGCTGAAGTTTTACTTTTATCATTATTAATGTGCCTTTGTGGGGAGCTGCTTCACTCCTGTGAACCTCAGTTTTCTCTCCTGTAAAATGGGCTTTTGTGGAAGCCCCCATGCTGGATCAGGCCTCCTGCGTTTTGCGTGTGTGGCTTCCTCTGTCTGGAATGTCCTTTCTGCCCCTTGCTATTCCCAGGTAATTTCCATTGGCCCACCAAATATCAGGACTCAGGTATGATGTCAAGGTCTTCTGCAGCCCTTGTTGACCTTCCCTGTCCCACTGCAGTGGCTGCCCCTCCTCTGTGCTCCTGGCACCCTGTGAATCTGCATTGAGGTTGCTTGTGCCTCTGTGTTCTTCATTATGCACTGAGCTCTGTCAGAGCTGGGCCTGTCTCTAATTCATCCTTGTTTCCTTAAATTCCAGCGAGGAACTAGTAGATGGGGAATGTGGCTTGGGACAGGACCGTGGGGAGCCATTATTCCTTCTCCTGTCTCCTCCTTGGACTTGCTTCTGGAGGGCTACCTTCCAAACATCCTCCTGAAGAATTCCTTCTTTTCTGACCCACAGTGAAGTTCACCAAAGATGAAGCATTACAACATGCATTCACTTTGTCTCTGTTTCCCTGGAACTGTCTCACAGTTCCACTCTTGTGCCATCAGCATTTTCTCTGAGCCCAGTGAGGGACACTTATGATAAAGACAGGAGACAGGGAAATACTGGTTAGAAGAGGGTGGTTCCCTGGGAAAGGCCCCACCCTCAAGCCTGTAAACCCGTGGTCATAAATGAGAATAGGTATTCCTGTTTTTGTGCCCAAAAGTTGCCTTTTGGCCCACCATGCCCCCCATCCTATACCCATATATAACCCAGGCTCCACGAGGAGACAAACAGAAGAGCAGAATTGTAGAATGGCACAGCAGAGAGAAGAGAAGGAGTCTGAACACTGACAGTTCAGCTGGGGATGGTCAGAGAGGAGATCAGCTACTGGACGGCCAAACTCCAGGGGGCAATCATCTTCCCTCTCCATCCCCTTTCCAGCTCCTCATTCATCCCACTGAGAGTCACCTCCACCACTCAATAAAACCCCCGTATTCATCCTTCAAGACCTCATTTTTCCTGGATGCCAGACAAGAGCTCGGGATACAGAAAGCTGTTACATTGGCCTTCTACCCTTGGAAAAAGGCAGAGGGTCCACTGAGCTGGTTAACAATTAAGTCATCTGTGGGCAGCAAGCTAAAAGAGTGCACTGTAACACATGCCCTCTTGGGCTTCGGGAGTCGCAGACACTGACCCCTGGACGCTGCCATGGGGCAGTAGCCCAGGGGTGTTTGCCCTGGCTCCTGCACCTGCCCATCTGTCTGCTCCCCTTCCCGTAAGGGGTTTGAGCATGCATGGCGGCCGAACAGACAAGCCACACCCCTGTTGCACGTCCTATGACGGAAGTCAGGGAACTTTCCCATTTCACTTATAGGGAAGTCTCATTTAGCAATATGTCTATGGTGCAACTCAGAGAGGGGAAGAAAAACCATTTGGGATGATTGCGTTTAGGCTGTTGGTTTATGTAGGAAGCATGGAAGGCACCGTAGATTCTGCTGGTGCCCTGCCTGGCTCCCCTTCATCAGCTGGCAAATCCATCTTCAAGGTGCTGTGCATGTTGGCTGCTAAGAGCTCACCGCTGTCCAGGGAATTGTCTCCAGGGAACTGCCCTTTCCTGACAGGAGCCACCTCACCTTGGGAAGTCATACTCCTTCATATGCAGGGAGAGCACTCAGCCAATGACTAACACCCTAGTTATAAAGGTTGGACCTCTGAGTCAAACTGGGGAGGTCCCTGTCATTGTTTTTGTTTGTTTTTTTTTAGAGACAGGATCTTGCTCTATTGCCCAGGCTGCAGTGCAATGGTGTGCATCATAGCTCACTGCAGCCTCCAGCTCCTGGGCTCAAGTGATTCTCCTGCCTCAGACTCCTGAGTAGCTAGGACTATAGGTGAGCAATTTCTTTTTTTCTCTATTTTTTCTTTTTTTTGTAGAGATAGGGAGGGTTTCACTATGTTGCCTAGGCTGATCTCAAACTCCTAGCCTTAAGCAATCCTTCTACCATGGTTTCCCAAATTGCTGGGATTACAGACATGAGACATGGTGCTCAGCCGGTGTCATTTGATTAGTGCTGCAGAACCCCTACCAGGATCAGGCCGGGTGAACTTGACCTGAAGCCATATTCTTGCTCACTTCTTCCACGATCCCTTCCTGCTTCCCTCGCACTTCTCTTGAGAACCCTTCCTCAACAGATCACACTCTCCAATTCCCATCTCAGACTCTGCCTCTAGGGAATGTAACCTAAGGCTCAGGGTCAACATTCACTGGGGATACCCAACTGGCCTTGCAGAAATGGAAGATGGAAGATTGCTTAATGGCGTTATATGAGTTATGGAAGGGATGTCTGACCTGCTTTCTCTTTAACCATCGTGAGGAAGGAAGACGATGAGGCTCTCATGCTTCTGTCTTAGGGCTTTTTGGGTTTGTAGCTTGGTCTGACATCTTGGTTGTGTGTCTCTGGGCAAGGACAATTTTTGTCCCTCAGTTTCCCTGTCTATAAATGGAGATAATAATCATGCTTTATTTATAGGACTGTTAAGAGGATTAACTGAGATAATTAATATCAAGAACTTAGAAGGATATATGGTACTTGGTGAGTACTATATTACATTGCTGTTATTATTACTGATATTATTACTATTAGTATCATTGTCATGTTAAAATGCAGCTACAGAATGCAAATTGCTGTCTTTATGAAGAACAGTTTTCTGGCTTGAATCAAGAGCCTTCAGTATGTCTCTATCCTTTCATCCAGTAGTTTCCAAACTTGGAAGTGAGCCTTAGGGAATAATCTGAAATGCAGAAAAGGTTTTATTCATCCGTGTCTCATCATAGCATTATTTACAATGGGAAAAAAAGGAAATCATTCCACTGTCCAACAATAGGGCAAAGTTGAATTAGCATGTGTACCACAGCACTCACTCCCTTCACAGCAGTTCAATGTCCCTCAAGGATCCAAAACAATGAAGATGCTAAGTTGACAAATGCACTGCGGGAAGAAAGAGATAGAGATGGTTAAGTCAGTTTCCCAACATCTGTTGAGCACCTGCTGTGTGACTAGGCATTGTGCTACGTGATGGGGGTCCCTTTTCTCAAGTCATCTCCATCCCATGAAGGAGACAGACAGGTGCATAGCTGATTAGAGTGCAGACCAATATAGGCTGTGACAAGGATAAGAACAAGCTGGTTATGGAAGCTGAGAGGCAGAACACAGCTTTATTTGAAGGAGCAGAGAAGAATTCCCAGGGAGCCTACCATCCTAGTAGCTTTGTGTCTTTGGGGTGTCAAGATCAGCTAAAAAGACAGACGCATTACAACCAGCAGAATTTTAGAAAACTTAATTCATTTTTTTTGGATACCAGTCCTTGCAATACTCGGTTCTACATGCCCTGATCCCATGTGTGTGTGCGTTTGTGTGTGTGTGTGTGTGTGTTGGTGAACTTAGGTGCAGATTTTGTAAGAGCCACTATCATCATAATGTCTACAATTGCCTCTCAAATTTTACCCTTGCCATCACTATGGCAACCCACAAAACAAAAAAGGCAGAAGGAAAGGCTTTTGATCTTATCTTGCCTGGGGCTTTGCCATAGCCTTTGATATTCCCTGAGACATCCGGAAGTTCACCATTGTGCATCCAATATTCTGGGTCACCTGGATGTTGCTTCTTTCTGGCATTGGCTCCTCTCAGAGGGTGTGGGAAATAATGAGAAATTCTAAAACAATTAGTTGGAGGTTATGAAAAGCCATGTGCAAATTGTGGCAGATTGTATTTTCCATAGATGATTACAGTAAGGTCTCCTGTCGCACATGCGGTGCTATGGCCTTGGCATCCCCATTGAGTTGTAATTTTTGTGCCCTCCCTGTGAATCTGGATGGGTCTTGGGGACTGTCTTGACCAACTGAACGTAGAAGTGATGGTATGTGACTTCTGAGCCTAGCTTATAAAAATGCCATGCACATCTGCCTTGTGCTCCATCTTGGAAGCCAGCCATCATGCTGTGAGGAAGCCCAAATGTCCTGTGGAGAGGCCCATGTGAGGAAGACTGAGGTCCCCAGCCCATAGCCCTGGCTGAGGTCCCAGCTGATAGACAGCACCAACTTGTCAGCCATACGAGTTATGATTTAGTTCTCCATCTAGCTACCCCAGTGCGTGCCACCTCGAATGGAGATGAGCTGTTTTCACTGAGCCCTACTCAACCTATAAATTTGTGAGTAAAATAAAGCACTGTTGTATTAAGCCATTAAGTTTTGGAATAGTTGGCCACTTGGCAATAGACAACCCAAACAAATCTATGTCCTAACAAGATGTTTTGCTTTGTGGAGGGAGAATATGCACTCATTTTTATTTTGTATGTATGTATGTATGTATGTATGTATTTATTTATTTATTTTTGAGACAGAGTCTCGCACTGTCACCAAGGCGGGAATGCAGTGGTGCGATCTCGGCTCACTGCAACCTCCCCTTCCTGGGTTCAAACGATTCTCCTGCCTCAGCTTCCTGAGTAGCTGGGATTATAGGTGTGAGCCACCACACTGGGCTAATTTTTTTGTATTTTCAGTAGAGATGGGGTTTCACCATGTTGGCCAGGCTGGTCTCGAACTCCTGACCTCAGATGATTCACCCACCTTGGCGAGTGCTGGGATTACAGGCATGAGCCACTGTGCCTGGCCTAATTTTTATTTTTTATTGAATATTTAATTTTTTAATTTTTAATTTTTTTATTTAGAGACAAGGTTTAACTGTGTTGCCCAGGCTGGTCTTGAACTCCTGGCCTCAAGCATTCTTCTCACCTCAGCCTCTCAAAGTGTTGAGTTTACAGGCATGAGCCACTGCACGTGTCCCATCCCCAATTTTCTGTCTTCTACCTGCACTGATGCATTTCTAATTCTGTTTTAAAATTAGACCTCCTCAAGATTCTGAGTAGCTCTCAACAGTGACCTTGTAGCAGAGACTTGAAAAATGAGTTCAGGTGGAGAATGTAGGAAAGGCATGGGAGGTGACAGGAACTACTCGGGCCAAGGCAGTATAGCACAAGGAATTTAGTGGGCACAGGGAGCTAGGAGCAGTTAGCTGTTTCTGGCATGTAAGAAGAAGGTATAGAGAAGCAGGGCATGAGGGTGGACAAGTAATGGGGGCTACATCTGAGAACCTGATGGGGATGCAGAATGGGAGCTGGTGACTTGTCTCCAATTACATGGTAAACTCAAGTGCGGCTGGTTCCTTATTCTGGACTCCCTGATCCTCAGCATAGAACCCTGGCCACCATTTTTGGTTCCAGCATAAACTGCCCTTGATGGTAGTTTCCTTTAAGGCCCTGAAGGTTTTGAGTGAGAAAAGCAAGGAGGTCATACAGTATAATGATTATGACCTTGAGCTCTGGGCTCAGATGCAAGCTTCCTGCTAGGTTGACCTGGTGATACAGGACTTCTCTAGGTCTCAGTCTTCCTGTTTCCACAGTGGGGTGATGATAATAGCATGGACCTCATGGGGCTGTTTTGCAGGTTCAACGAAACCGTTAACGTAAAACCTTTAGCACATTGTCGATGTTCGTTACAGGTAGCTATTTCAACATCTGGAAGTGTGTGTAGAAGGAAGGTCGGGTGAACACAAGTGAATACAATTAGGCTTATAGAAAACTGTGAGGTTGGGCATGGTGGCTCATTGCCTGTGATTTCAGGGCTTTGGGAGGCCCATGGTAGAGGATTGCTTGAGCTCAGGAGTTCAAGAGCGGGCTGGGCAACATGGCAAAACCCCTTCCCTACAAAACATCAACAACAATAACAACAAAATCCAGAAATTAGCCAGGCATGGTGGTGTGCCTGTAGTCACAGCTACTTGGGAGGCTGAAGCGGGAGGATCGCTTGAACCCAGGAAGTGGAGGTTGCAGTACACTGACATTGCATCACTGCACTCCAGCCTGGGTGACAGAGTGAGATACTGTCTTAAAAATAAATAAACAAACAAAATAAAAAATAAAAAACCCCAGAAAACTCTGTGAAATTAGAAACAAAATTATTTTCTGATCCTCCCAAGAAAATGTCTTTTCAGGTCAGGTGTGGTGTCTCACGCCTGTAATCCCAGCGCTTTGGGAGGCCAAGGTGGGTGGATTACCTGAGGTCAGGAGTTCGAGACCAGCCTGACCAACAAGGAGAAACCCCAGCTGTACTAAAAATACAAAATTAGCCAGGCATGGGGGCCCATGCCTGTAATCCCAGCTACTTGGGAGGCTGAGGCAGGAGAATCACTTGAACCCGGGAGGCGGAGGTTGCAGTGAGCCGAGATCGCGCCACTGCACTCCAGCCTGCGCAACAATTCCATCTCAAAAAGAAAGAAAATGTCTTTTCAGATTTTTGAGACATTTCAGAGTTGAGAAGGGATGAACAATAACACCTTTCATGTAGAAAATGCAAACTCATACTCCTGAGAAACAGCCTGCCCTGTGGAAGGAGACGCCTGGAGGAATGGCTGTGCCAGATTATTTGATTGAGGTTAAACATGCCATGTGGGACTAAGATTTCCCTCCAGGCCCTTGGGTCGCTCCAGGAGAGTGACCCCTGGGGAAATTGGTGCTTTCAGGTGACTCTGTCAAAGACTCCTTAATGGCTTCCTTAATGGACTTCCACTGTCTCAGAAGTGGAATGGAATTGTTTCTGTGCAAAAATTGAGGTGTGATGTCTAGTTCATACCGTGTACAGAAGGAGAATGTTTTGCAGTTATAGCCCGCTCTTTTTTTTTTTTTTTTTTTTTTTTGAGACAGAGTTTCACTATGTCACCCAGGCTGGAGAAAATGGTGCAGTCTCAGCTCACTGCAACCTCCGCCTCCCAGGCTCAAGCGGTCCCCCACCTCAGACTCCCCAGTAGCTGGGGCCACAGACACGCACCACCATGCCTGGCTAGTTTGTTTTGTGTTTTTGGTAGAGACAGGGTTTTGCCATGTTTCCCAGGCTGGACTTGAACTCCCAGGCTCAGGTGATTCGCCTGCCTTGGCCTCCCAAAGTGTTAGGATTACAGGCTTGAGCCACTGCACCTAGCAGTCCACCTACTCTTATAAACAAAGAAAGCAGGATAGAAAAGTTTCCTTGGCCTGGCGCAGTGTCTCACGCCTGTAATCCCAGCACTTTGGAGGCCGAGGCGGGTGGATCCTCTGAGGTCAGGAGTTCGAGACCAGCCTGGCCAACATGGTGAAACCCCGTCTCTACTAAAAATACAAAATTTAGCCAGGTGTGGTGGCAGGCGCCTGTAATCCCAGCTACTTGGGAGGCTGAGGTAGGAGAATCGCTTGAACCTGGGAGGCAGAGGTTGCAGTGAGCCAAAATTGTGCCATTGCACTCCAGCCTGGGCAACAAGAGCAAAACTCAATCAAAAAACAAACAAACAACAACAACTAGAAAAACAGCCTCCTTAGCATGGTGTGTTTAAGTTCTTCTAAGAGTCTGTGTTTTAGGGTTTCTTTTAGTGCAAAGCCAACAACCCAAGTTCTAGAGTTATAAAAACTTAATTCCCAGTTGTGTCACTCAGTGCCTCTGTGACATTGGGCAAGGGACCTATCCTTTCTGAACACTGGTTTTCTCATCTGTACAATAGCATCAGTAACTCTGCCCCAGGACTGTTGCAAAGGCCCCAGGAGGCAAGGCATGCCGATGGCACAGTGTGTCACCTGCCTGTACGATGTGCCCATTCCCTTCCAGCCTCTGGCTCCTTCTTCTTGTCCCCTGGAGCAAAGCAGAGGACTGGCGGAGCTGGGGGATCTTGAGGGGCTGGGTTTTCACTCTTCACTCCCCCTCTCCTTGGCTGTGCTTTCCTGCAATGCCTGCAATTTTTGCTGCTTTAAAAACAAAATCAATACTCCATTAGCTCATACCTTTTGTAGTTGCTGAACACAGGCCACCATTGGGGGCTCACCGGGGCTGCAGGACAAGACCTGAAGCCTGGCTCCGGCAGAAGCAGCCCATCTCAGAGGCACAGGGAGCTGATGGCAGCTGGCAAGGCCCCGGCTTCTTTTGATGTTTCATCCCAATGCCCCTCTGCTAGGAACTCTTGCCAGCAGCAAAGAAATAGCGGCAGAATAAAAACTTTGAAGGAATTCATTCATTTGGCAAATATTGAATGAGTTTCTGCTCTGACGGGAAGTGGATTTAGTGTGAAACAGACATAGGTTTGGATCCTGGATCATCCTGGGCTGCTGAGGAGCTATCGTCTGTGTGCCTGGCATGAAGTAGGCGCCTGTTAGATAGAGGCTGAGTGATGGGATGCATTTTGTGATAATTGGTGAGGCATATTGCTTTTCAGAACCTTAGTTCTTTATCTCTGAAATGGGCGTAATCATAGTCCCTCCTCCACAATTCCCTTTGTGTTAGGAGATAGTGTAAGTGATGTGCAGAACTACCACACTGTTGCCTGTCTACAAGCGCTGGCATTGATGATAATGGGCATTTAAAGTCCACCCTGACTGGCTGCGGAGAACTATTTCCATCCAAAATTGTATTATACCTTCACCCCATCACTCCTGCAGCCAGTAATCCAAATGGTTTTTTCTGTCCCCTAATTATCTCCATTTGCATTCTCTTTCTTTTGTTACATAAGCTGAGATATTAGACGCATTGGCTGTGAAGATTGAATTCTCTTCTAATTACAAGAAATATGGCCTTTTCTTTCTTCCGTTAGTCCTAATGGAAATTAGCTGCATAAATCTCCCAGCTTTGGAGTAAATTTCTAGGCCTCCAGCAGCATCAGGGAATGCAGGCTTTGAAAGGAGGTTGGTGTGCATCCCTCAGTAGGGCGGAGGCTGGGGCAGTGGCTTTGGAGTTGGGTAGACCTGAGTTTTTTTTTTTTTTTTTTTTTCCCTGAGGTGGAGTCTTGCTCTGTCACCCAGGCTGGAGTGCAGTGGCACGATCTTGGCTCACTGCAACCTCTGCTTCCTGGATTCAGGCAATTCTCTTGCCTCAGCCTCCCAAGTAGCTAGGACTATAAGTGTATACCACCACACCTGGCTAATTTTTGTATTTTTAGTAGAGACAGGTTTCACCGTGTTGTCCAGGCTGGTCTCGAACTCCTGATCTCAGGTGATCCGCCAGCCTCAGCCTCCCAAAATGCTGGGATTACAGGTGTGAGCCACCACACCCAGCTGCCTATAGACTTTCTCTGCCACTCTCCCTAGACCACTGTGTCTCCTCATGTGCATGGCTTTTTTTTTTTTTTAATGTCATTGTCATTGTGATCATCCCAGAAGAGAAGCCAGACCTGCAAGGACACATCTGAGATGGTCTCTATGGATCCAACAATTTATTTGTCATCTTCAGGCCCCTGACAGAACACAGAATGGAGAGAAGGCCCAGATCTAATGCTGGGTGGAGGGAGGAGGAGGGTGGTAGGTGGGAGAAGAGAATGGTTTGATAATTCCTGCCCACCACCGATTAACTGCAAGAGCACAGGGATTTTACTTAATATCTCCACGTATCAGTTCTTCATCCACCATCCTGTGGAAAATTCCAAGTCCTGTCCTCATTCTCTGGATCTAGACACAGAGGCAGGGATAGAAAGGGGACCTTAAGAGTCACCAGACAGAGCCGGGAGGAGATTTCACATCGTGGTCCATGGTTCCTTCTCTAACCGCACTTCTGAGGTCTCTGCGGTGGGGACATTTGCTGTCATGGAATCCCAGCCATGGCCTGAGTGTGGCCAGCAAGTTCTTGTGATCAGCCAGGTCCTGAACATGGCTGGAGGGCAGGGGGAGCAGAAACAAGCACTGGGGACAGGTAAGGAAGCCTAGCTGTCCATGCCTTTCCTCCGGTGCTCTCAGAGAATAAAGGAACAAATAAAGAGAGAAAGGAATGAGAGGAGAGGGGATGATACGAAGAGGGGGGTGGAGAGAAAAGGAGAAACTGAGAAAGAATATTTCTTTCCTTGCTATGTTTTTTGGCTCTGTCTTATGGGAGAGAAGGGACCTGCCCTATGTCCCACAGCTGGGGAGCAGCAGACTCTGGACTGTGTCAACTGCATGGGCTTCAGTTTCCGGTGATGGCACCTGGTTATTGCTATTCTGTTCAGGAGGCTGGATGCAGCAGACTCTCATGGAAATGAATCCTGTAGACGTGATGAATTGCCCTCAGGGCTCAAAGCCACCAGCTGGGCAACCTCCAGTCCTGGTGCTGTGCTGGCTGAGGGACAGCAGCTTCCTATACGCGGCTCTTGGGGTGCAGAGATGGGGCAGTGGGAGGCAGGGCTGAGTAGCAAGGGACTGTCCTTGCTAGCTGCACCCTTCATGCCTGGTCTACCTTTCCGTGAAGCTGCCTGGAAGAGGAAATGAGAATCTAATGACATAAGAGTTCTGTTGGGGGGTTTGTCAGCCTCCTGCAGCTTGGTCACTGGTTGCAGGAATCCTGTGTCAGATAAGGGCAGATAGATTCTTTAATTGTCCTGGCAGCATGGAAGCCCACTGCCACGGGAGAAGTACAACCTTCCCTTCTAGCAGGCGCGAAGGGTTAGAAGCCAGCTGAGTGCCATGGGAGGAACAGGGATCTAGAGTCAGGCAGATGTGAGGCTGGGATCCCAGCTGTGCTGCCCTCCAGCTCTGCACATCCCTCTCTGAGTCCCGATTTCTTCACTTGCCAAGTGGGAATGATCATAGTAAAAGTGTATTTGCTGACATTTATGGAGTATTTGCTGTTCTGTGCGCTTTAGGGTATTAACTCTAATTTAATCCTCACAACAGCCACTTCTGGTTATCTGTGGCTGTGAAACTTAGTGGCTTAAAACCCCAGTGGGTCATTCTCTCCCACGCTTCTGTGGGTTGAGTGGGTTCAGGGGGGTGGTTCTGGCTTGGAGTCCCTCTTGCAGCTGTGGGTCAGTTGCAGCGGGGGTGGACTCATCCGAATACTCGGCAGAGCTGTACATCCCAGGGGTCGTCTTCATCCCTAGGTTCAGGGCCACAGGGCTCCCCGGCTTCTCTGTCAGCATGGGGCCTCATCCTTCAGGCCTCTCCGTGTGACTTGGGCTTCTCACAGTATGGGAAGCGTATGCATGTTCCTTTGCTGCTGTAACCAGTTTTCACGAATGGAGCAACTTAAAAAATGTGCATTTGTTATGTCAGAGTTCTGAAGGTCAGAAGACCAGGTACAGCCTGGCTCAGCTGTGTCCTCTGCTTACAGCCTCATGAGGCCAAAATCAGGGGGTCAGCAGGGCCACGTTCCATTTGTTGGCTCCAGGAATGAATTCACTTCCAGACTTGTTCAGGTTGTTGGCTGATTTCAGTTCCTTGTGATTGTAGGACTGAGGTGCCTGTTTCCAGCTGGGGGCTGGTCTTTGCTCCTAGAAGCTGTCTGCATTCCTTCTCATGGAGCCGATGCCCATGAATAGTGGCTCTTGGTATGTGGGTAGCATCTGTCCTACTCCCTGGCCTACCCCCTCTGCTGCAGCTCTCCTGTCCCTACTGAGTCAACTCAAGCTTGTCCTTTCAATCTCCATCTAAACATCACCTCTTCATGAAAGCCCTCCCTACCCTCTAATCTAGGTAGGTTTTCCATTCATGTTTTCTCTGCACAATGCTCATCTCCCTTTGCAACATCTCACCCTTTGGCATGATATCCAATTAATACCCATCTCCCCTTCCGGATTAGAAGCTTCAGGAGGGCAGGGCCTGTGTCCCCATTGTATCCCCAGTGCCTAGCTTAGCCCCAACCCACCATAGCCTCTCTCCTTTGCCCTCAAATAAATGATCAGCCTTGGCCAGGCATGGTGGCTCACGCCTGTAATCCCAGCACTTTGGGAGGCTGAAGTGGGTGGATCACTTGATGCCAGGAGTTTGAAACCAGTCTGGCCAATATAGTGCAACCCCATCTCTACTAAAAATACAAAAATTAGCTGGGTGTGGTGGCGGGCGCCTGTAGTCCCAGCTACTTGTGAGGCTGAGGCACAAGAATTGCTTGAACGCAGGAGGTGGAGGTTGCAGTGAGCCAAGATCGTACCAGTGCATTCCAGTCTGGGTGACAGAGCGAGACTCCATCTCAAAAAAAAAAATAAATAAAAAATTCAGCCACCATGGGCCTGATTGCTGTGAACCTGATGAACTACTGAGCTGTTTCTGAGCCCCAGAGGAAGAATGATCATGACGTGTATCTGCTGTCCCTGAACATGTCACCTCCCCCGCTGGGGTGACCCCTTAGGAAAAGGAATCTACTCATATGTGAGGGGTATCCGGTTTGCTGGGGCTGCTCTCGACCGCAATCAGTGTTCATCATCTGGGCATTTGTGGCATCCTAGCCGGGGAAGAGGTGCCCCAGATAGGTCCCAGGTAATGACTTGTGGCTGCTGTCGGTCGAGGGCAGGAAGGCATCCTGCTCCCTCATCCTGGGTGGGCATAATCTTGGCCCCACTTGGAGGCTGAAGGCAGGGATGTTGGCTTAGGGAGAGGACAGAGGGAAGGGGGGCGTTTTCATGTCAGCCTCTTGTCCCTTGCTAGGACTGAGTCTCAAACGGTGAGAGATGGCTGGGCGGGCTTTGTTCACTCACCCTGTCCCTGGGGGGATACTTGGGCCAATTGGTGAAGGCTCAGTTGACTCCACAGTACTCCTGAGACACACTTTCTAGGGACCATCTCTGCTTAATAATTGGCGATAATGACATTAGTTAGAACCAAATGTGTATTACCCGTTGGAAGATGTTATGCACGATTTATTTATTTATTTATTTATTTATTTATTTTTGAGACAGAGTTTCGCTCTGTCACCCAGGCTGGAGTGCAGTGTCGTGATCTCAGCTCACTGCAACCTCCATCTCCCCGTTTCAAGCGATCCTCCTGCCTCAGCCTCCCGAGTAGCTGGGATTACAGGCATAGCCACCACACCCAGCTAATTTTTGTATTTTTAGTAGAGACAGGGTTTCATCATGTTGGCCAGGCTGTTCTCGAACTCCTGACCTCAAGTGATCCGCCCGCCTCAGCCTCCCAAAGTGCTGGGATTACAGGCATGAGCCACCGTACCCAGCCTGGTGTGCAGGTTTTCTTGAAGCCCCTTTGGTAGTACTACACTTCAGTGTTTTAAAGCACCATCAGTCCTGGCTGGATCCTGACAAACCAGAGAGGTATTCAGGTTTCTGGGGACACATTCATTTCAGCCTCTTTTAGGCCAGCCTGGGAAATAGTCAAGAGGAGAGGAGAACTGGGTTCACATCCTGGCTCAGCCATTTCCCAGTTGTGTGGCCCTGGTCAGGCAACTTCATCCCTCTGAGACTCATCTTTCTCATCCGTAAAATGGGAACAATAACATTACCTGCCTCATATGTTAATTGTTAAGGTCAACTAAACTACACTACATTAAGTGAATGAAAGTGCTTAAGGGAGGATTCAGCCAACGTCAGACGCTGTGACTCTGTGCGTCCCTGTAGGTCCACTGCTCCCTGTCCTCCTGCTCTGTGCCCTCAGAGGCTGACCTGTATGAACCACATCAAAGGGCTCCCTTGATCTTAGGGCTTGGGTTGGGTTGGGCTGGGGAGCATTGTCAAGAGGTAGGAGTGAAGGAGCGAGGTCAAGATATTTCTTCTCTTTGCTCCCTCTTCGCAGGGCCGACTGGGGTCAGTCGCATTCCTTGACTGAGGGTCTTTGCTCCTGCTTTATGACCCTGCACTCACAGGTTTCTCTGTGTCCAGATTTTGATAATTGCTCCCTCCTCCTCACCCCTCCAGGCCTAAGGGGGTAACTGCTCCACTGCCACAAGCCTCAGGTTACTGCACTGTCCTTTGAGAATTTCCAACACCCTGCACATTTTTTCCTTTTAAATAATTCTTTATTCATCTCAGCTCAAGTTGGTCTCACCCCATTGGAGTGGCGAGCTAATTTCCTGCTGGGACCCTGACCGATCCAACCCTAATCCTTACTGTGGATGGTCCAATGAGTCTACTGAAGTTGACACAAGATTTTTCCATGATGTGTCCACCAGTGTTCTGTCTGGCTGGACCAAGGAGTTGGCCCAGTGTGACAGTTCAATTGAGGCATGACCTTCCCCAAATCAGGGTTAGGGGCCTTTCCTAAATAGTGATTAAACTGACTTTTGACTGGCACTCCCCTGGGGACCTTACTGGAGACCTGAGTTCTCTTAGGCTCTTAGGCTGTGTCCTACTAGGCCTTGTCCCTATAGGAAGGTCAAGGAGCAGACCAGGTTATTCCCAGGTGGTGAGATGGGATAAGAGCTCACAGTCAATGTAACTGATGTGAGATGGTATCTCATTATGGTTTTGGTTTGCATTTCTCTAATGGCCAGTGATAATGAGCATTTTTTCATGTGTTTTTTGCTGCATAAATGTCTTCTTTTGAGAAGATGTGGAGAAATAGGAACACTTTTACACTGTTGGTGGGACTGTAAACTAGTTCAACCATTGTGGAAGTCAGTGTGGCAATTTCTCAGGGATCTAGAACTAGAAATACCGTTTGACCCAGCCATCCCATTACTGGGTATATACCCAAAGGATTATAAATCATGCTGCTATAAAGACACATGCACACCTATGTTTATAGCGGCACTATTCAGAATAGCAAAGACTTGGAACCAACCTAAATGTCCAACAATGATAGACTGGGTTAAGAAAATGTGGCACATATACACCATGGAATACTATGCAGCCATAAAAAATGATGAGTTCATGTCCTTTGTAGGGGCATGGATGAAGCTGGAAACCATCATTCTCAGCAAACTATCACAAGGACAAAAAACCAAACACCGCATGTTCTCACTCATAGGTGGGAATTGAACAATGAGAACACATGGACACAGGAAGGGGAACATCACATACTGGGGACTGTTGTGGGGTGTAGTGGGGGATGGATAGCATTAGGAGATACACCTAATGCTAAATGACGAGTTAATGGGTGCAGCACACCAACATGGCACATGTATACATATGTAACAAACCTGCACCTTGTGCACATGTACCCTAAAACTTAAAGTATTTAAAAAAAAAAAAAAGAGCTCACAGTCTTAGCAGCAGTGGCAGGATTTTTGTATCTGACAGCCAACCTCCAACCACCTCCACTCAGCCCTGGAGAGATCTGATTAGTGAGGTGTAGAGGCTAAAGCACACTTAGCCTTAACTTAGCTAAAGCTTTCGACATATGGCTCTTCTTTTTTTTCTTTCTTTCTTTTTTTTTTTTGAGATAGTCTCACTCTGTCACCCAGGCTGGAGTGCAGTGGCACGATCTTGGCTCACTGCAACCTCTCTCTCCTGGATTCAAGCGATTCTCCTGCTTCAGCCTTGCAAGGAGCTGGGATTACAGGCACCCACCACCAAGCCCAGCTAATTTTTGTATATTTTAGTAGAGACAGAGTTTCACCATGTTGGCCAGGCTGGTCTCGAACTCCTAACCTCAGGTGATCCACCCGCCTCGGCCTCCCAAAGTGCTGGGATTACAGGCATGAGCCATCGAGCCCGGCCTGATATATGACTCTTAACATCCAGTTCTTGGTGTGATCTTGGGCTTGACATCTGACCACTCCCGCTTTTTGTTTAGTTCCCTGCCTTATAAAAAAATAAATGGGCCAGCCCCGGTGGCTCACACTTGTAATCCCAGCACTTTGGGAGGCTGGGGTGGGAGGATCACTCAAGTGCAGGAGTTGGAGGCCAGCCTGGAAAACATGGCAAGACCTGCACCTGCACCCCCCAACCCCAATCTCTACAAAAAAATTTAAATAAAATTGTCAGGACATGGTGATGTGCGTCTGTAGTCCCAGCTACTCAGGATGCTGAGGCAGAAGGATCACTTGAGTCTGGGAGGTTGATACTGCAGTGAGCTGTGATTGTGCCAGTGCACTTCAGCCTGGACAACAGAGTGAGACATTGTCCCAAAAAAGAAAAAAATAAAATAAAAAGCAACAACATGTGATAGTTTAATGTGTTAACCTGGCTAGGCTACAGTTCCCAGTTATCCAGTCAAACACAAATGTAGGTGTTACTTTGAAGGGATTTTGTAGATGTGGCTATGTAAGGTCTACAATCAGTTGACTTTCAGTCAAATTTGAGATAATCCTTTTCCCTTGGCTTACTTCCCAAGGTATCAGCTGATAGGAGATTCAAACAGTGGTTCTGTGTCTGGGGTCCAAAAGATGTGTAGAATTTTGTGTCTGTTAATATTTTTCTAGGAAGAAGGTCCATCCACGCTCCTTCATTCTTTTTTTTGAGATGGAGTTTCTCTCTTTGGTTCAGGCTGGAGTGAAGTGGCATGATCTCGGCTCACTGCAGCAACATCTGCCCCACAGATTCAAGCGATTCTCCTGCCTCAGCCTCCTGAGTAGCTGGGATTATATTATAGACGCCCACGACCACATCTGTCTAATTTCTGTATTTTTAGTAGAGATGGTGGTTTCACCATGTTGGCAAGGCTGGTCTCAAACCCCTGATCTCAGGTGATCCACCCGCCTCCTTCATTCTTAAACATGAAAAGGTTAAGAATCCCTAGATATTAGGTATGTGTCACTTCTCCTAGGATCATGTGATTTTACAGGTGGCATTTGAATAGCCAAAGGAATGAATCTTTAAGGGTGGAATTATGACAGGGGATTGCACAGATGCTAGGGTCTTGGGCAGCCTGGAGCCTCCTCATTTGGCCCTGTACAGACCATGCTTCTCTGACAGCTGTGTTCAGGCACTTTAATGTATAGCTGCTGGTTTTATTATCACACAGAGGGAAAACAAAGTCTGAAAGATTCATGTAGGATTATAAAGAAGCCAGATTTACTCTTCGCTAAAACTTTTCCAGAGTGAAGGAGAAAGGAAAATACTAATAAAAACTGACTTGCTAAATTAAATGGACAGAGAGCAGATTAAAAAAAAAACAACCTCACAATGAAGGGATTTGGCTGGCTGATGTTGGCTAGAGAATATTTAAGAGGACAAAAGATGGATAAAGCAAAGGAAAAGTTGCTTCCTCTTTTCTTGGGGCAATCCAGTCTCTATCTTTAGGAATTGGAGAGCAGAATGTTCATGTTCTCGTTTCTTAGCAACACCAGGTGGTCCAACACTAGGGGGTGGATAATCTTTTGAGGATGGAATTCTGTTTTTTATTCCTTCTCACACCCTTTACCTCCTCCCTCTCTGTTTTCTGGCTGTGTTTGTCCTTCGTATTTATTAAGCCCTGAGAAGATACAGGGTATGATGGTAGATAGTTTTGCCACCATTATCTCAGCTTTGCAACGTGCCAGCTATGTGGCTTTAGTCAAGTGACTTAACCCAGCTGTGATGTAGTTTCTTTTGTTCAGGGATCAGCTGTGGGGATTGCATGAAGTGCTACGTCTACAGCCATTCGTGTGGAGTCTGGGAGTAGCAGTCCGTTAATAAATGTTAGTTCTTCTTTCTCCTTGTAACAGAATTAGCCAGTGCCTAATGCATCTAACGAATAAATGTGCATTTTAAAGATGCTGACATGGTGAACAAGAAACTGGCTCCTTTTGTCACCTAAAAAAAGGGTACCTGGACACTAAAGGGCTGAAGTTGCCTATTTTTAAATATTAAGGTGGGATCTCGATTCTTGTTTTAAGGTGTGAAGTAGGCAGGGGTAGTTTTTGAAATGCAAATGGGCATTGTGTTGCCATGACGAAGATGCTGCAAGGAAAGAGAAAATCACAGAACTTCAGAACCAGAACAGATTTTCAAACAAAATAACTCTATTTTCTAAGCCCAAATTGGGACGGAGGGTCAGAAGGGTACAAGTGCTCTTATGGGGACAGCGGGACAAAGCCATATTGTATAGAGTTGGAGATGCTTTCTTTTAAACTTTTTAACATATCTGAAATTAGAATGCTTTTTGTATTCACTTAATGTAGTGGGTTTTTTTTAAAGTCTGGAAAAGCTGTTATTATATCCAAGGTGAGTATTACAGGCAATGGTGTCTTAAAATCAAGCAAATAGGGTTTGGAAATCACAGCGGCCAGGCGCGGTGACTCATGCCTGTAATCCCAGCACTTTGGGAGGTTGAGGCAGGCCAATCACTTGAGGTCAGGAGTTTAAGACCAGCCTGGCCAACACGGTGAAACCCCATCTCTACTAAAAAAAGACAAAAATGAGCCAGGTGTGGTGGCGGGTGCCTGTAGTCCCAGCTACTTGGAAGGCTGAGGTACAAGAATCCTGGGAGGTGGAGGTTGCAGTGAGCTGAGATTGTGACTCCAGGCTGGGCAACAAAGAGACACTTTGTCTCAAAAAAAACAAAAACAAAAACAAAAAAACCAAACAAAAAAAGAAAATCACAGCTCACAGTTGCCTGAATCAGTGCTTACTCCAAAATAGACCACATATCCTCTTCTGTACCTATTAAGAGGTGGACCAGTTGACCACTAGATGTCTTCCCGTTGCTGGTGTGGCAAAGGTTATCAGTTCCTCTGCTCATTCTTCAGTATCTACCTTGATGTGCCTTCATCTTCTTGGCCTTCTATCTGCAGGGACTTTCAGGCTAATAGCATGATCTATCTGCATATGGGGAAGGCTGGAAGTGTCAGGACATTGACACCTGTAGAAGCAGCCCTCAGCCAACCGGGGCTGGGAGTTGGTAGATGACACTGCAGACCGTCACCCTTAGACGGAAAGCTGATGTGTGCTGTGCACTTTCTGTCTAAAGTTCCCCAGTCATATGGGGCTCCAGTTTGCACGCAGGGTGTTTTGCTTAATATACATCCTCAATGGCCTGTCCCACCTTCCCTGTCTCATTTTCCCACTCCTTTTATTGATGTTTCCTGGGATCCCCTCCTTAATAACCCACTTGCACTGAAATCCTTGTTTCAGGGTCTGCTGCTGTGGACCTGGCCTGAGACAGCTGGCCATCTATGCTTTTATGGCGGCATCTCTACTGCTGCCGGGACAGACCCTGCAAAGCCTTCCTCTAGGGGATCTTGTCAATATCAAAACAGCTAGGTAGCTTTGGAGCTGTGGAAAGAGAGCAGCCTTTATTTATTTATTTTTATTTTTTTGAGGTGGAGTCTCACTTTGTTGCCCAGGCTTGAGTGCAGTGGCGTGATTTTGGCTCGCTGCAGCCTCCGCCTCCTGGGTCAAGTGATTCTCTTGCCTCAGCCTCCCAAGTAGCTGAGATTCCAGGCACGCACCACCACGCCCGGCTAATTTTTGTATTTTTAGTAAATACAGGGCTTTGCCATGTTGGCCACGCTGGTCTCAAACCCCTGACTTCAGGTGATTCACCTGTCTCGGACTCCCAAAGTGCTGGGATTACAGGTATGAGCCACTGTGCCTGACCCCACAATTACTTCTGCAGCAACCTGATATCTTGCCTTTTACAGAGAGTTTGCTGAACACTGCCGTACTACATCAAGTCATTCAATCTCACAACAACCTGATGATTGCCCCCATTATACCAGATGGGAAACCAAGGCACAGAGAGGCAAAGTTGCTTCTCTGAGGTCATGCAGCAGGGCTGGGATTAGTAACTCTAGTCAAAATGTGGCCCAGAGGTCATGCTGTAACCATTCTGGCCCCTTGCCCTTCCAGCCCCACCATCAATGTCTGCTCCTTATGTTTAATTTTTACATTCTGTGTAGCATGAGGAGGAAAAAAGCTACCTTTAGAACTGGTTGGCTGCGCGGTGGCTCATGCCTGTAATCCCAGCACTTTGAGAGGATGAGGCAGGCGGATCATGAGGTCAGGAGGTTGAGACCAGCCTGCCTAACATGGTGAAACCCCGTCTCTACTAAAAATACAAAAAAATTAGCAGGCATGGTGGTGTGCGAATGTAATCCCAGCTACTCAGGAGGCTGAGGCAGGAGAATCGCTTGAACCCGGGAGGCAGAGGTTGCACTGAGCTGAGACAGCGCCACTGCACTCCTGTCTAGGCAATAGAATGAGCCTCTGTCTCAAAAAAAAAAAAAAAGAACTGGCCTACAAGCAGATGTTGATATGGTTTGGCTTTGTATCTGCACCCAAATCTCATGGCGAATTGTAATGCCCCGTGTTGGAGGAGGGACCTGGTGGGAGGTAATGTGATCATGGGGGCGGATTTCCTGCTTACTGTTTTCGTGATAGTGAGTGAGCTCTCATGAGATCTGGTTGTTTACAAGTGTGTGGCACCTCCCCACAATTCGACATGAGATTTGGGTGCAGACACAAATCCAAACCATATCAACATCTGCTTGTAGACCAGTTCTAAAGGTACCTTGTTTCTTCCTCATGCTATACAGAATGTAAAAATTAAACATAAGGAGCAGACATTGATGGTGGGGCTGGAAGGGCAGGGGGCTAGAATAGTTAGAGCATGACCTGTGGAACACACTTTGGCTCTCTCTCTTCTGCCTGCCCTGGTCATGTAAGATGCTCCTCCTTCCTGTTCGCCTTCCACCATGATTGTAAGTTTTCTGAGGCCTCCCAGCCAGGCTTCCCGTACAGCCTATGGGACTGTGAGTCAATTAAACCTCTTTTCTTTGTAAATTACCCAGTCTCAGGTAGTTCTTTATAGCAATGAGAGAAATAATTCGTACAGATGTCAACACATTTTCTGTGGTGTCAGAAATGCGCATTGGGAGGGAAAATCACTAAGGCCAGAACTTTCAACATTTTCTTTGTGGTGACTACATAATGGGATCTTTGACAGCTGCCTAAAAAGGCCCATCCACAAGAAGCTGTTGAGACAGGCTGGAAAATGTGGATAATAACAGCACTGACCTCTTGGGGGTGCTGCAAGGATTAAAGGAGGGAATATATACAAAGTGCCCAGAACTGTGTTCGACACTTAGTGAGGTCTACATAAGCATTTGCTATTTTGTGTTCTCAAGAGGTGTTACCAAGGAATATTCTTAATTCACTGCAGAATTGGATTCATTCGCTAGCTTCTCTCTTGGCTCTAGGTCTGTGCAAGGGCTGGTACCCCTGCGTAGATTGTCCAGCCTGAAAGCCAGCACTGGTGTCTGCCTAACTCTTCTTGGTTATCCAGTCTCACCTCTGGTGTCAGCATCTGCAGGGAGCCTGTCTGGCTTCTCTATCCTATAGACTCTCTGTGCACCTCCCCCATCCACTCTATGATAGGCCATAATCCCTGCTAATTGTAAGTGCTCCTTAACCTGCCTGTCTTGCCCTCTGGGCTATAGGCTCCTACAGGGCACTGGCTGTGTCTTATTTAGCTCCATGCAGCAGAAGGTGAAATCAGAATGATTCTAAGCATGAGAAGGATTTGATGTGTTGGCCCTGAGATGGAGAGGCTCATAGGCAAGGACTTGAGAAAGTACCCTAGGAGATACAGACTGCAAGGATATGGGAACCTCAGTCCTACAACCAAAGGAACTGAATTATAAAAAAAAGAAGGGGAAAACTGTGGGATATAATGAGGTTTCTCTTCAAAGAGTCTGGTCAATCCTTTATTCTTTAATTCTAGTACCGCCCCCCGCCCTTTCCCTTTTCTCCTCTTTCTTCGTTTCTGCCTTTGTTATGTGCCCAGACATGCTACAGTACCAGGTGTTATCAATACCAACTCACATTCCTTTCCTTATTTGAAAAAAAGACTAGCTCTCTAGCTCATTACAGACACCCCTTCCCCTTTCCCCTCTCTCTTACGTGCCCATCTTATCTAAAGAAAGTTCAAATGTTTAGCCAACCAGAACTAGTTTAGATTGTGCGGCCCGACTCCAGCCAATGGGGAAAGGGCACACAGGCAGGACTTGCGTCAGGAATAATGGCTCTCGTTCCCCTTTGTTCAGTTGTGCTCTCATGGTGACTGGCCAAGGTGAAGCACCCATCTAAACAAAAGTAAAATTACTTTACTGAAAATCCTTTGAGTGTTCAATTTCCTTAGGATTTTGAACATTATTTCCATCACATGCTAGAATACATGCCAACTAGAATGCAATGTTCTTGTCAGACTTCCTGGGTTTAAATCTCAGTTCTACCGGTTACTAGCTCTGTAACTCAAGGCAAGTGCCTTATCCTCAGTAAGCCTCAGCTTCCTCATCTGTAAAATGGGAATAATTTTAGTACCTACCATATGGGGTTGTTGAGGGCTTGAAATGAGTGTGCATGTAAAGTACTTATAAGAGTACCTGGCACATAGTAAATGCTCAATAAATGAATGCTAGTTGTGATTGCTGCTGTCATTATTCTTTAATTACTATTACTTCTACTTGGCATCAAGTATTGTTGAAAATCCCCAAGCTTGGAAAAGTTTGTCTGTTTGGTTTTTTTTACTTGTTTGTATTCCGCCCGCCCCCAAACAGGCAAATGCCACACCTAGCATTGTTAAAATAACTTTAAAGAAACAAATCATAGTTAGGTTCTGCAATCTTGTCCCTCGCTGATGCCAAATGAAAGCTTCAGAGAAGATAAAAGGATTGCCTCTTTTGAAGCAGGGCTATTACTTCTATCCTTTAAAGTGATGAAATTATAAATGATCAAAGGAGAATGGATGGCAATGGAGGAAGGTTTCATTCACGTATCATTGTTCTGCAGGCACTGAGGGCCTGGGGAAGGGACAGCCACACTTTCACATGCTGAGATGGAGGAAATTGTGAGTAGGACAAATGAACTAATGGGTGGAAATCAGTTTGCATACTGTCTGGCACAAAGCAAACGCCTAGTAAACGTTAGCTATTACACAGCATGCAGAATAGAGCAGTCCCTGCCTGGGGTAACTGTGTCGAATATCTGTCGTGTGCTAAATGTTAGTCTTCCGAAAAGATATGTCCACCCAGAACCAGTGGATGGGACTTTATTTGGAGAAAGGGGCTTTACAGATGTAGTTAGATTAGGAATCTCAAGATGAGATCATCCTGGATTATCTGGGTAGGCCCTAAATCCAATGACTAGTGTCCTTATAAAAAGTTTAGAAGATGCAGAGGAGAACACCAGGTGATGATGGGGTGATGATAGATGCAGGGATCAGAGTGCGGGGCCTACATGTCAAGGAGCACCCAGGACTGTGGCAATCCCCAGAAGCTGCAGAGAGGCGAGAGACACATGCTCCCCCTAGAGCTTGCAGAAGGAACCAACCCTGGGAACACATTGATTTCTGGCTTCTGGCGTCCAGAACTGTGAGAGAATACTTTTTTTCCTCCCTTCCTTCCTTCCTTCCGTCCTTCCTTCCTTCTTCTTTCCTTCCTTCCTTTCTCTTTCTTTCCTTCCTTCCTTCTCTCTTTCCTTTCCTTTCCTTTTCATTTCTTTTTCTCTTTCTTTCTTTTCTCTCTCCTTGCCCCCTTCCTTGCCTGCTTTCTTTCTTTTCTTTTTCTTTCTTCTTTATTTCCCTTTCTTTCTTTTCTTTCTTTCTTTTCTTTTCTCTTTCTTTCTTTTTTCTTTCTTTCTTTTCCTTCCTTCCCTCCTTCCTTCCTTCCTTCCCTCCCTCCCTTCCCTTCCTTCCCTCTCCCTTCCTTTCCGTTTTCCTTCCTTCCTTCCTTCCCTTCCCTTCTCCTTCCTTCCTTCCCTTCCCTTCTCCTTCCTTCCTTCCCTTCCCTTCTCCTTCCTTCTTTCCTTCCTTCCTTCCTTCCTTCCTTCCTTCCCTCCTTCCCTCCCTTCCCTTCCTTCCTTCCCTCCCTTCCCTTCCTTCCTTCCCTCCCTTCCCTTTTCCTTCCTTCCCTCCCCTCCCCTCCCTTCCCTTCCTTTCTTCCTGACAGGGTCTGGCTCTGTTGTCCAGGCTGGAGTACAGTGGTGTCTTCACAGCTTACTGCAGCCTCTCCCTCCCAGGCTCAAGCAATCCTCCCACCTCATCCTTCCCAGGAGCTGGGACTATAGGCGCACACCACCACACCTGGGTAATTTTTTTTTTTTTTGGTAGAGACAGGGTCTCTCCATGTCATCTGGGCTGATCTCAATATCCTGGGCTTCAGTGATTGGGTCTCAAGTGGTTGGCCCACCTTGGCATCCCAAAGTGCTGGGATTACAGGTATAAGCCGCTGAGCCTGGCCGAGAGAATAAATTTCTGTTGGTTTGTTGTAAGCCACCAGTTTCTGGAAATTTGTGACAGGAGCTACAGAAAATGAATATCACATCCCACTTAGATGTCATAATTTTCCTTTCAAATAAACCTGCTTCCTCCTCCACCTGGGTGTTTTTCTCCCAGTGTTGATCACAGGGTAGATATATGTTTAGCTTTACAAGAAACCAAGAGGCATGTGCATTAATCACCCTCTCTTGACAGATGGTGAAGCTGAGGCATGGAGGGGTTGAGCAGGATGTCTGAGGTCACAAAGCTGGTCAGTGGCAGTGCCAGGATTTGAACCCAGGTAGACTGGCTTCAAAGTTCATGCTCATAGACACTTCAAGATGCTACGTGGCATGTTTGCATAAAAACATCTCATGTACCCCATAAATAGATATATCTATGTACCCACAAAAATTTTGAAAAGTAATAAAAAAATTTAAAAAAGATGCTACCTCGTACCCCATGGAGCTCTCCATGGTGGAAGATTTTACAAAGCTGCACGAACTTCTCATTTCTCTTTGCTCGTGCTTTATCTGTGGAGGATCAAAGGTCTCGTCCTCCCTACACCCAAGCCCAGCCCTCCACACTGACTCCCATCCCTCGCTGCGGGGGTGGGGGTAAAATGGTCTGTGCTCCATTTTCTGATTTCCTTTTTCCCAGTATAGGGAAGTTCATCTCACGTGGAAAAGTTGAAAGAAGTCTGACTACAGCCTCACATGTAGGCTGAGTTACCCAGTTCACTCCGTCAGCAGCGCACCTCCGTTTGTCTGCATCCTTCATCTTTTTCTCAATTGGGTCTCTTTCTAGAAAGGAGTCAGGGCCAAGCGTGGTGGCTCATGCCTGTAATCCCAGCACTTTGGGAGGCAGAGGCAGGCGGATCACGAGGTCAGGAGATTGAGACCTTCCTGGCTAAAACGGTGAAACCCCATCTCTACTAAAAATACAAATAATTAGCTGGGCATGGTGGGACACGACTGTAGTCCCAGTTACTCAGGAGGCTGAGGCAGGAGAATTGCTTTAACTGGGGAGGCGGAGGTTGAAGTGAGCCGCCGAGATTGCGCCACTGCACTCCAGCCTGGGCGACAGAGCAAGACTCTGTCTCCAAAAAAAAACAAAAAACAAAATAAAAAAAAAGAAGGAGACAGAGCCCCCATCTGAACCCCAGCAGTGGCCACATGGTGCAGGGGTTTCATTTATTTATTTTTATTTTATTTTTAAAAATTTATTTATTATAGAGACAGTGTCTTGCTCTGTTGCCCATGCTGGAGTGCATTGGTGCAGTCATAGCTCACTGCAGTCTTGAACTCCTGGACTCCAGTGATCCTTTTGCTTTGGCCTCCCTAGTAGCTGGGACTGTAGGCATGGTGTCCAACATGCCTGTCTGATTTTTAAATATTTTGTAGAGATGGGAATCTTGGTATGTTATCCAGGCTGGTCTCAAACTGCTGGCCTCAAGTGATCCTCTTGCCTTGGTCTCCCAAAGTGCTGGGATGACAAGTATAAGCCACTATGCTTGGCCCATACAAGATTTTAAAAACCATGTTGTGGAATTTTGACTTTATCCTGAGGGCAATGGGGAGTCATTGGGCAGTTTCAAGTGAAATGGTGATGTTTGTTTTTTAAAAAATTCTGGCTGCACTGTGGGAAGAATTTGAGGGCTGGAAGGGGGGAGTTAAGAGTAGGAGTGTAAGGACATTATAAGACATTGTTCTCTGGATCTAGGTGAAAAATGGTGGTCGCTAACCTAGGGTGGTGGTAGGGAATGGAGAGGTGAAGAAAAAGATGAAGTCAAGGAAAATATAGGATGTAGAGTGGACAGGAATTGGCTTGATTGGATGTGAAAGGTGATGGGAGATATCAAGGACTACTTCTGAACTCTTGCATAGGTTAATGGGAGGACGTTGGTTCTATTTATAAGACAAGGAAACAAGGAGAAGAACTTGGTTTGGGGAGGGAGGGACAGGTGGTAGTTTGGCTTGATTCCTTCATCTAAAACTAGCTGTTTGGGGACTTGGATGAACTAGACCAGGGTTCTAGTTTCTAGTCTGGAAAACTTTTTGTGTAAAGGACTAGATAATACCTTTTTTAGACTCTGTAGCAACGACTTGACTGCGGTTGTAGTGTGGAAGAAGCCGCAGAGAGCGTGTGAATGAGTGGACAAGGCTGTGTTCTGATAACACTGTATATACAAGAATAAGCAGCAGTGGAAACATGTCCATCAACAACAAATAGATAAACAAAATGTGATCGACCCATATGATAGAATATTATTGCACTATAAAAAAGAATGAAGTACTGACACATACTGTGATGCGATAGACCTCAGACACATCATGCTAAGTGAAAGAGGCCAAATACAGAAAGGGTCACATATTGTATGATTCCATTTAAAATAGACTGGGGAGGGAGGCAATGGGGAGTGACTGGTTCTACTAAAGAAAATTGGTGGCCGTGTGTGGTGGCTCACGCCTGTAATCTTAGCACTTTGGAAGGCCAAGGTGGGCAGATTGCTTGAGCTCAGGAGGTATTTTTTTTTTTTTTTTTTTGACAGAGTCTGGCTTTGTTGCCTAGCCTGGAGTGCGGTGGGGTGAGTCCATCTCACTGCCACCTCTGCCTCCCAGGTTCAAGCAATTCTACTGCCTCAGCCTTTGGAGTAGCTGGGATTACAGGCACCTGCTACTACGCCCAGCTAATTTTTGTATTTTTAGTAGAGACGGGGTTTCACCATGTTGGCCAGGCTGATCTCGAACTCCTGACCTCAGGTAGTCCATCTGCCCTGGCCTCCCAGAGTGCTAGGATTACAGGCATGAGCCACTGAGCCCGGCCTTAAAGACATTTTCTTTTTTCTTTTATTTTGAGATGGAGTCTTGCTCTGTGTTGCCCAGGCTGGAGTGCAGTGGCACGACCTCTGCTCACTACAGCCTACCTATCCCGGGTTCAAGCGATTCTTCTGTCTCAGCCTCCCAAGTAGCTGGGACTACAGGCATGTAGTGCCACCACACCTGGATAATTTTGTATTGTTACAGGTGTGGTGGTGCACGCCTGTAATCCCAGCTACTCTGGAGGCTGAGGCAGGAGAATACCTTGAACCTGGGATGAGGAGGCTGCAGTGAGCCGAGATCGCGCCATTGCACTCTAGCATGGGTGACAGAGCGAAACTCTATCTTAAAAAAAACAAAAATTAGGTGTCACTTGTCAATTTTTGTTTTTTGTTGCAGTTACTTTTGAGGACTTAGCTATAAATTATTTGCCAAGGCTGATGTCAAGAAGGGTATTTCCCAGGATTTTTACAATTTGAGGTCTAACATTTAAGTCTTTAATCCATCTTGAGTAAATTTTTGTATATAGTTATAGGTAGGGATTCAGTTTCATTTCTCTGCATATGGATAAGCCAGTATCCCAGCACCACTTCTGAATAGGGAGTCTTTCTCCCATTGCTTATTTTTGTCAACTCTGTTGAAGATTAGACGGTTGACACACATTAGAGGTGTGCCGCATTATTTCCGGGTTCTCTATTCTGTTTTGTTGGTCTGTGTCTGTTTTTGTACGGGTACAGTGCTGTTTTGGTTTTAATAGGCTTTCAGTATAGTTTGAAATTTTGTAGTGTGATACCTCCAGCTTTGTTTTTGGTTTTTTTTTTTTCTTTGCTTAGGATTGTTTGGGTTATTCCGGCTCTATTTTTGATTCCATATGAATTTTAGAATAGTTTTTTCTAAATCTGTGAAAAATGGCATTGGTAGTTTGATAGGAATAGCATTGAATCTGTTAGTTGCTTTGCTTAGTATGGCCATTTAAATAATATTGATTCTTCCTATCCATGAGTATGAAATGTTTTTTCATTTGTTTGTGTCATCTTTATTTATTTCAAAATCTTATGGACTTCATTTCTCTTCTTATTTGAATAGTCATCCCAAGATTTTCATCAAACTCATCTTTATTTGGAAAACAAAACACATACAGAAGAACAAAAATCAAGTACTGCCAACTCTGTCTTTTAAACTTTGAATGTATTGTTTGGAATCCTGCATCCACTTTTATGTTGAAAAGTTCAAGTTAAATCTTATTCTTTTTCTTTATATTTGTTAGGATTTGCTGGGTGAGATGAATTTTTATTGTACATTTTAACATAATACAGCTAAGATTGTCATTTTGATATGTAATCAATATAAAAATATTTATGAGATATTTGCATACTGCTTTTACATTAAGTCTTTGAATTCTGTTGTATGTTTTACACTTAGAACACATGGCAATTTGGACTGGCCTCATTTCGAGTGCTTGAAAACCATGCGTGGCTCATGGCTACGGCGATGGACAGAGCAGGACTAATGCTTTAGGGCCTGCCCCAATCTAATCGTGATACATTCTGCCATAAGGCAGTAGACTTGATTTTTGGAAACCCTTGTTATTAGAAATCAGTCCTTTCTATAGAGCTGAAATTGCTTCTCTTGAAGCCTCAGCTGGTGCTCTTCAGTCATCCTTTTGGGCTAAGTAAGTCTGTGTCCTTTCCTTCCTGACAGCCCTTCAGGGGCTTGGAGATGGTGATGGATAAGCTCTCTTCCTGGCCAATGGTCCAGCTCAGCAAACATTTACCAAGCCCCCACCACACTGGGCTCACTGCCCTGGGGAAGCTTATATCAAGACAGATAGACCTGCGGAGGCATCTTTTTCCTTTAAAGCTCAAAGGAACATCCCCACTGTTTAATTTTTTCTGGGGAACATTGTCAGACTGGAGTCTAAGAAACACGTGGCTCAGTGGCCTCTCTGCAGTTCCCAGGGCGACCATCTCTGTGGCTCTTGTGAATTTTCCTCCTCCTTGTGTACAAATCTTGGGTCAAAATTTCCTTAAGTGGAGAAGGTTGCTCAAAGGGTAAAGTTATTGTATAATGTTAGTTTCAAGGTCAAAAAAGAAGGAGGGGCTGGGTGCAGTGGCTCATACCTGTAATCCCAGCACTTTGGGAGGCTGAGACGGGCAGATCGCTTGAGGTCAGGAGTTGAAGACTAGCCTGGCCAACACGGTGAAACCCAGTCTCTACTAAAAATACAAAAAATTAGCTGAGCATGGTGGTGTATGCCTGCAATCCTAGCTACTCAGGAGGCTGACGTGAGAGGATCGCTTGAACCCAGGTGTCGGAGGTTGCAGTGAGTCGAGATTACGCCCCTGCTCTCCAGCCTGGTGACAGAGTGAGACTGTCTCACAAAAAAAAAAAAAAAAAAAGAAGGAGTAAGTCTTTCCAACAACGGTAAATGGCAAATGGCAACAGGAACAATAACAGCAATGACAAAGCATTCATTGCGCATTCACTTTCTCTTCACATTCTCCCAATGCCTTTGCAATTGGTGTTATTTTCTTCTTTATAAAGATGACAACATTGTGGCCAAGAGAGGTGATGTAATTTGCTCAGGGTTATACCTAGGCAAGGGAGG
This sequence comes from Homo sapiens, assembly GCF_000001405.40. Classification (NCBI taxonomy): domain Eukaryota; kingdom Metazoa; phylum Chordata; class Mammalia; order Primates; family Hominidae; genus Homo; species Homo sapiens. Next base: position 9,232,089 of record NC_000016.10, read on the forward strand.
GGCAGGGAATTGAATACTCACCTGTCTGAATCCTAAACCCTCATTTTCTTTCCATTGAAATCCAGATAAGCCACAATAGAAATTTAATTCTGCAATCCAGGTTGCCCTCTTCCCACACCTCCTTTCTTTTCTTCTTCTCTTCTTTTGCTCTTCACTCCTCCTTTCTTCCCTCTTTATTCTTTCTCCTCCTTCCCCCATCCCTCCTCCCTCTCCCTCCCTTTTTTCTTTCCTACTTTCTCTTTTTTTTGTTCCTCACTCCCCACTCTCTTTCTTCTCTTTACCTTCCCTCCCTCCCTTCCTTTTTCTCCACCTTTCTTTTCTCAGGCATTTATTCGTGCAGGGTAGTGAAGATACAAAATAGGCACAACTTCTGACTGTGAGAAACACAGCAGTCTTCAAGCCATCCTTCTGGGCTGAATAACTCTGTGTGCTTTACTCCCTTGGGAACGGGCTTGGAAATGGTGACTTGTAAGCCCTCCTCACTGTGAGAATAAATGACCCAGCTCAGCAAACATTTACCAAACCCCGACTGTGCTGGACCAAGACAGACGGAAGGGCTCAGAGTCACAGGAAAATAGCCACAGCTAACTTTGGAATCTCATTCCTTATTTAACATTATATTTACAGCGATAACTTGGGAGGCAAATAAAGCTGCAGGAGAAAGCAAGAACTGTGGATCAGCCTCACCGATTTCAGCTCCAGGGCCCCCACTGGCACCCTACCCGAACTTGCGGAATGCCCTTATACCCCAGAGGAATTTTCTCATCTGTAAAATGAATATAACAAGAAAGGAAAAAAGAAAGATTAAAAAAACAAACAAACAAAACCCTGCACCAAAGTTTATTGTTGGGACCAAGCAAGGTGATGTTTGTGGGAGTCCTTTGGAAATGAGAAATACCATTGATATTGATGATGGTTGCTCTTAAACTACATGGCATGAAATTGCTGACATTAGACCATTTTCAGCCTACAAAAATGGCAATTTCAACGTAATTCAACCTCAGTTCTTGGTGAGGGTTTTACCAGAGGACAGCGCATCTGGCATGACACGATAACCAAGTTTTCCAACCAAATACTAAATACATGTCATGTAACTTAGGGACTGATCTTTGAACATGTTATTCAAAAGAAAAAAAAGAAGCCCAAAACAGAAAGACAGAATTCAGTGTCTCCCAAAATGCAGTGTGTGTGCCTGTTGGTGGGCACAGAAGATTGTTCATTTGAAGTGAACTCCAAAGCCAACATTAAATAACTGGAGTGGAAAATGAATCCCCTTTCAGTGTCCTCTAATTTCTCTCATTACTCAAAGCCGAAAGTGTCAGTTTGGCTTCTTCTGTGTTTAATTCTTGCTGATCTTCTGTTTAAACAAGACAGAGCAGCCCTCAGGCTCAGAGCCTTCATCAGGCCTCAGGATCAAGGTTTTCACTGTATTTATTTTTCAGCTGATTATGGAAAACAATGCCAGTTTTTCATCAGTAAGGATACAAGGTTTTATTGGAAAACATTTTTATCTAGGCAAGAAAAGCAATTTATGTAAATAAAAAATATAAAATACAGATATGGCCAAAATGGTGAAAGTGATATGAACTGCCTGATGTTGGGAGGTAGTGGCCTAATTAAAAGTGTGATTTTGTGTGTAAGCTCAAATCACACAGCTTATAAGTTTACTTTTCTTGCTGTAGAGAAAGTCCTTGCAATACAGGTGTTTATGAACCAAGGTAAATCACTTTGAACAGCAAACAGCAGTGCAAAATTAAAATCCCTCAGCAATTAAAGGGCAAAGTTGTCACCTGTTATGAAATATTCACTGGAATTAATAAAGCAGCAAGAAAGGCGTCAGGATATATCAACAGCCCCGGACCTAAGTGGATTTTCTCTCTTCTTTGTGTAGGCAGTGGCCAGCTAGATGACCTGGACTTGACTTTGAATCAAACTCATTGGGCCCACTTTATAGTTGGCAACCACATTTAATGAGGGAAACTGGAGAGAAGAACTAGGTGCTTTGAATTCATTCTTAATGGAAGAATCAGAATTAAATCCACCATGCATAAGATGCTTACTGAAATCTCATCATCACAGGCAGATTTGTGGGGAAGAGCCTTTATATTACTGAGATATCTAAATGTTAAAGTCTTTTTGAAGAGCTGTGCTCCTTTCAAAAGGTAGGATCCTTCTGCAAGACCACTAGCCTGGACTCTGAAGAAATGTCAATGACATGAAAGTTAGAACAAAGCAGTAGGATTATTCTAGATTAAAGGAGACCAAAGAGACAAGACAACTAACCCTTGATTGGTTTCTGGATAAAAAGACAAGTAGGCCAGGCACAGTGGCTCACGCCTGTAATCCTAGCACTTTGGGAGGCTGTGGCTGGTGGATCATGAGGTCAGGAGATCAAGACCGTTCTGGCCAACGTGGTGAAACCCCGTCTCTACTAAAAATACAAAAATTAGCTGGATGTGGTGGCACATGCCTGTAGTCCCAGCTACTTGGGAGGCTGAGGCAGGAGAATAGCTTGAACCCGGGACGCAGAGGCTGCAGTGAGCTGAGATAGCACCATTGCACTCCAGCCTGACGACACAGTGAGATTTCATTCAAAAAAAAAAAAAAGACAAATAGCTGGAAGGAATGTTTTGGGGACTACTGGATTGGGAAGCTTTTAATATGGACTGCATATTGGGTAGTATTATTATATGACTTTAATTTCTTAGATGTGATAATGGTGTTATTATACAAAGGATTAACCTGCAGAATGTATTTGTTCTTAGAACATGTACGCTGATGTATTTAGGGATGAAATGTTATTATGTTATGTTTGTTTCAAGTATTACGTTAGTGCAAAAGTAATTGCAGTTTTTGCGGTCTCAGCTCATTGCAGCTTCAACCTCCTGGGCTCAAGTCCTTGGGACCCTCCCAAGGAGGGTGATCCTCTTGCCTCATCTCCCAAGTATCTGGGACTACAGGGGTGTGCCACCATGCCCAGCTAACTTTTGTACTTTTTGCTGCCCAGGCTGGTGTTGAACTCCTGAGTTCAAGCAATCCACCAGCCTCAGCCACCCAAAGTGGTAGGATTACAGGTGTGAACCACCTTGCCCAGCCGAACTCTTAATAAATGTAAACCCTGAAAATCTGAGACAGGTCTCAGTTAATTTAGAAAGTTTATTTTGCCAAGGTTGAGGATGCGTGCCCATGACACAGCCTCAGGAGGTCCTGATGACATGTGTCCAAGGTGGTCAGAGCACAGTTGGGTTTTATACATTCTAGGGAGACATGAGACATCAATCAGCATATGGAAGATGAACACTGGTTTAGTCTGGAAGGTGGGACAACTCGAAGCAAAGGTGGGAAGACTCATTGCAGGGAGGGGGCTTCCAGGTCATAGTTGGAGAAGAGACAATGGTCACATTATTTTGATTTTGTGATTAGCCTCTCCAAAGGAGGCAATCAGATATGCATTTATCTCAGTGAGCAAAGGGGTGACTTGGAATCGAATGGGAGGCAGGTTGGCTCTAAGCAGTTCCCAGCCTGACTTTTTCCCTTTAGCTTAGTGATTTTGGGGGCCCCAAGGTTTCCAAGATTTATTTTCCTTTCACATAAGAACATTAGTTCTCCAGGTTGCACACAATGCTCAGCTTGTCCTCGGCTGTGTCCTGTTCTGGAAGACATGGAACCATCTCAAGTCCAACTGCTGACTGCTCAGAAGTCAAAGCATGAGCAGTGAGGGGTGGTGATAGGAAAGCAGCTTTTATTGGTCAAATGCTAGCAGATGGGAGAATGGCAAAGCTCAAGCTTCAAAGAAACCATCTCAGCCTTTTGGGCTGATTGCAAGGGTTTAAGAAAGGAAAAAGTGTGGGAACTATGCAGGAGTAGTGAAAAAGAGGGTGCAGGTGTGTGTATCTCATTCTGATAGTTATCTTGAGTAATCGCCCATCTGGAGTCTAGTTTGCATCATCCTGACTCTGGCCCAGTGGTGCTGTGCCAACTGTTTATAGCTCCCCTCAAGAGAGAAGATTCTGTAGCTACGTCTCTCTGCTTGGTTTGTTTCAAGACAGGCCCCTGGAATTCCTAAGCAAGCACATAATTCAATAAGCAAACACTTTGCACAGATGTGCCTGGTGGGAAAGGGAAGGAAATAGAGTCTTACAGTACAAGGCCACATTCTGAGATTAGGAAGGAAAGGAAAAAAGTTTTAAAATGCATTTCAGGGCTGGGATACTCGGTTATAGGCCGAGGGGCACAATGGTTATATGCACAGCTTCTGTGGGTAGATAGCCTCAATTTAAGTTGAGAAATAGAAAAACAGCGCCTCCTGGTACTATCAGCTAAGGCTTCGTATTGGTAGGAGCTGGCCTACCAATACACAGATAGACTTTGGTGTTGTCCTGTTCAACATGAATGATTTCCCAGAACACCTGCATCAGGCAGGGCACTCTGTGACTGTGATGTATCTGGACAGAACAGGACACCCCCTACCCTCGACCGCAAGCATGTTTGAAACCAGACAAAACATGAACATTGTCCAAGCCACAAAATGTCAAACCTCTGTCTCTGTTCCAACTGATACGAGTGACTGCTGTTTCTTTACCAGTGTCAGCTTTAGTCTTGCTTTAGTCTTCTTTTTGTCTAGATAAGATTTACTGAGGCCTGGCACGATGGCCAAGGTGGGAGGCTTACTTGAACCCAGCCTGGGCAACATGGTGAATGAAACCCCGTCTCTACCAAAAATACAAAAATTAGCCAAGTGTGGTGGCACAAACCTGTAGTCCCAGCTACTAGAGAGGCTGAGGTGGGAGGACCGCTTGAGCCTGGAAGGTCGAGGCTGCAGTGAGCTGTGATTGCACCACTGCATTCCAGCTTGCGTGACAGAGGGAGACCCTGTCTCAAAAAAAAAAAAAAAAAAAAAAAAGATGGGTGGAGATGCTCAACCATTCCTGCTTTTTGGCAGCATCGAACCCATAGCAAAGCCCTGCCTCCTCAAACCCTCCACCAAATCACCTAACACAAGACCCAGTCCAGTACGTCTTTTCTAACTCCTTCTTACCGAGACACCCCCTAGTTCCCAAGGGCATGCATTCTTCCTTGCTGCAACAAGTAACAAGCCCAGCATACTCATCTGCAGGTGTTTTTCTGGGGGCTTTTGGCTGGAGGGCTGCCTCAGACAGTGTGAGCTGCTGTAACAGAGCACCATAGACTGGGTGGCTTGAACAATAGACATTTATTTCTCACAGTTCTGGAATCTGGAATCAGAGATCAAGTGGCCAGCATGGTTGAGTTCTTTGTGAGGGTGCTCTTCCTGGCTTGCAGATAACCACATTCTTGCTGTATCCTTACATGGAGGAGTGGGGGAGAGGGAGATAGAGAGAGAGCGAGTGAGCTCTTTGGTATCTCTTCTTATAAGGGCACTAATCCCATCATGAGGGCCCTTATGACCCAATTACTTCCTAAGGCTCTGATATAGTTTGTATATTTGTCCCAGCCCCAATCTCGTGTTGAGTTGTAATCTCCAGTATTGGATGTGGGGCCTAGTGGGAGGTGATGGGATCATGGGGGTAGATTTCTCATGAATGGTTTGGCACTATCCCCTTGGTGTTGTCCTCATGATAATGAGTGAGCTCTCATGAGATCTGGCTGTTTAAAAGCATGTAGCACCTCCTTCTCTCTCTCTTGCTCCTGCTCTGGCCAAATGACATGGCTGCTTCCTCTTTGCCTTCCACCATGACTGTAAGCTTCCTGAGGCCTCCCCAGAAGCTGAGCAGATGCCAGCATCATGCTTCCTGTACAGCTTGTAGAACTGTGAGCCAAGTAAACCTCTTTTCTTTCTAAATTACCCAGTCTTAGGTATTTCTTGATAGCAATTCAAAAACTGCCTAATATAGGCCCCATCTCCAAATATCATCACATTAGAATTAAGTTTTCAATATATGAATTTTGCGGTGACATAAACATGTGGTTCATAACAAGGATGTTCATAGAATACTTTATTTCCAAACTTTACCAGTTATCTGACTTTGGGCATGGAGTTTCACCATGTTTGGCAGGCTGGTCTTGAACTCCTGACCTCAGGTGATACACCCGCCTCAGCCTCCCGAAGTGCTGGGATTACACGTGTGAGCCACCACGGCTGGCCAGAAGGTACTGTTTAGATATTTTTTTTTTTTACGTATCTATTGCAGGAGATATAGGGGCCTCAGATCCTGCAACCAGTGAGTTACTTCTGTATCTAGCATCTGTGTCTCCAGCTTTAAGTTGGGCCACTCTTAGAGGCAGTGGTGGAGAACTGGCCATTTTCTTTTCCCATCTCTGTGAGTAAATAGAGGGGAAGCACAGGTGTGCTCTGGGTTTGCTTTTCCACCATCACATGGCTGGAATCTGCAGAAAGGCCTGGGGCTGCAATGTGCAGCTGGTGGTGGCAGTGAAAGCTTCTTTTGTGCTTGTTTTTCTGTGGCTAATTCTGGAAGCACAAAAGGCAGGAGACACTGGCAGATGGAGTGCGGTAGATGCCAATGGAGAGAAATACCTGGAGAAAAGCTCCATATAAGGAAATCCAGGTCTCTTTACCCAAAGCAAACACCATGGAATTACAAGGTCTTGGAGCTGCTGGAGAAATGAGGGACATTGGAAAAGCTGCACAGATAGGCCTGGAACATCTGTTAAGCCCCCTTTGTTTCCTAGGCCATTTTGCTTTCCATAGCTCACAAAGCCCTATTTCAATATCCAAGGCTGGATCACCTCTATAGCACCTCTGATGGCTAGTCATTCTTCCTTAACTTGATTGCCCTCAGAGATGGGGTACTCACTGCCTCACCTGGGTCAGGGGAGCCAAGACAATGCTCTCCTGCTTAAATATCACCATGTGCAGAAATGACGCCTGCATTTTGATGAAGAGCATACAGAAAAGTGTGTGTCTTTTCCACTTACCTTTTTTAAATGCCAAGTTCCTATTAGAGGTGAGTGTGCAGATGGCAAGATTTGGATCTGTTTCGTTTGGCTGTGTTTCTTTCTTTCTTTTTTAAATTTTATCTATAGAAGTTTCTGCAGCAACTTTTACATTTTTCTGGCATTCTTGGTTATTATACCTTGGGTTTTCTCCTCACCGCTCCAATCAGGCTTCTGTGACTCCACTGAGACCTCACTTGTCAATGCCACATGGCCTCTATGTTGCCAACTTCAAGGGTCAGCATTGCTATTATTTTACTTTCATCTCAGCAGTAGTCATCACAATTGATCATTCCTGCCTTCTTAAAACACTTTCTTCTCAGAGGTTGGTTAATGGGAATAAACATACAGTTAGATATAAGGAATAAGTTCTAATATTTGATTGCAGAGTAGGGTGACGATAGTTAACAATGTCTTGTAGGTTTCAAAATAACTAGAAGAGAGGACTCGCAATGTTCCTAACACATAGAAATGATAAATACTCAAGGTGGTGGACAAACCAAATACCCTGACTTGATCATTACGTGCTATGCATGTAATAAAATGTCACATGCACCCCATAAATATGTACAAATACTATATATGAATTAAAAAACCCACTTTCTTCTCTTGTTGTTGGTGTCCACTCACTCTCTTGGCTTTCCTCCTGTTCACTGGCAGCTCCTTTGTAATTTACTTTGCTCCCTTCTCCTCCTGCATTTCTTTGCTGTGCTCTGCCCCCGACATATTATCAGTCTTTTCTTCATTGATCCCTGGTTTCTCTAGGTGGGGAGTGGCACTTAGTGACCACAGTCTGAGTGCTGGGGGTGCTTGTTGTTTCTTGGATGGACATTGTTTCTCATCTTTTTATTGGCTAGAACCAGTAACTCAAAACATTTTCTTTTTGTTTTTTTTTTTTTTTGTAGCTAAAATACAACTTGATTTGATACTGAGATTTCCAATTCAAATTCAGCACTAGTAGGTTTTTACTTAGTGTCTTCAATTTTATATCAGCATCTTCTTTCTTCTATACTAAAATTCCTGATTCCTTCCAAAACCAACATATTCACTCATTTTCTTCATCTCATAATGCATACAGAATGTTTGCAGGAAAACAATAGCAACATATCATGTCATATCGATGATGTGATTAATGAAAACAATGTAAGATATTTTGCAGTCTTTTTTTGGTTTTGAACGCATATCTTAATCTTACTAGGGATTTACAGTCAAATATTATGTTTAAAGTCACTGGAATAGTTAATTTTTAGGAATTGATATAAAAAATTATAATGTTTAAAAATCAAATTTACACAATCTATTTAGTGAAATTTAGTTTCTGTGTCTCCGCCCTTCAACAATTTTCTCTATCCCTCTGTAGGTAACCATTTTTAAAATTTTTGATTTATTCTTTCCATGAAAACATGTGTTCATATCCCACCTCTTTCTTAGGTAAATGTCAGCATAATATACATATTTTTTCTCTACTTTGCATTTTTATTTAATAATATATCCTGGAGATCACTCCATAGCACTAAGTAGAGACATTCCACATTCCTTTAACACTAGGAAGTGGATGGTATTGTGTCAATGTACAGGATTAATTTAACCAGGCAACTGTATAGGTGATTCCCAGTCTTTGCCATCACAAATGATGCTGCAAAGAATAGAGTCATCCCCCTACAGTCTTTTTTTTTTTTTTTTGGTCTTTTTGGTAGTGTATTTTTTGAATAGATTTTTGGGAGTAGGATTGCTATATTTTGCAGGTTTGTCCACACAACCTTATGTCGAGATTTGATCCTCAAAGTTGGAGATGGAGTCTAATGGGAGGTGTTTGTGTCATGGGAGTGGATTCCTCACAAATAGATTAATGCCCACTCTTGGTGAAGAGTGGTGAGTGCGTTTTTATTAGTTCCTGTGAGAGCTGGTTGGTTAGAAGACCCTGGCACTCCCATCTCTGTCTTGCCTCTTCTCTTGCCATGTAATCTCTGCACACACCAACTCCCTTCACGTTCTGCCATATGTGGAAGCAGCCTGAGGCTCTCACCAGGAGCAGATGCTGGCGCCATGCTTCTTGTACAACCTGCGGAACTGTGAGCCAAATAAACCTCTTTTCTTTATAAATTAATCAGCCCCAGGCATTCCTTTGTAGCAACACAAAAGGACTAAGACAGGGATTGATGAGTCAGTGGCCAAATGCATATGTAAATTTCCTATATATTGCCAAATTCCCCCTTATGGGAATGGTACAATTTTACATTCCCACCAATAATAGCTGAGAAGGCCTGTTTCCTCCTGACCTACAACAATAGGTTGTGAAACTTTGGGGTGTTTGCCAACTGAATAGGGGCAGAGTTCCCTTAACTAGCCTTTGCTCCTGCCTGACACTCTGTTCTGTCCATGGCAGGCAGAGAACTCTTTGGTAATATCAACAAGATCATAGCATTCTCTTGTCTAAAAACCTGATTGCTTCCAATGTGAAAATCCAGCCCTCTCACTCTGGCATTAAGACCCTACAACACCTAGCTCCTTCCTACTTCTTTGACCTCATCTTGTTTCTCTCCCCTTGGTCCACTCTGTGCTGGCCATGCTGGCTTTCCATCTGCTGCTTTCATCACTGGAGTCATCCCCTCTTTAGGCCTTGCCATTTGCTTTTCTTTCTGCTTAGAACGATTCCCTATCTTTACACGGCTGGGACTTTTCATACTTATATACCAGCTTTTCTTTCCCGACTGAGAACCCTTTCCCAACCAAGCATCTCGGTCATTCTTTACCACTTCATCCTATTTTTCTGGACTGATTTTTTTTGTTTTTCACACGAAGTCTCTCTTTGTCTCCCAGGCTGGAGTGCACTGGCATGATCTCGGTTCACTACAACCTCCACCTCCCGGGTTCGAGTGATTCTTCTACCTCAGTCCCCTGAATAGCTGGGATTACAAGTGCACATCACCATACCCGGCTAATTTTTGTATTTTCAGTGGAGACAGGGTTTTCCCATGTTGGCCAGGCTGGTCTTGAACTCCTGACCTCAGGCGTTCTACCTGCCTTGGCCTTCCAAACTGCTGGGATTACAGGCATGAGCCACTGTGCTCAGCCCTGGACTGAAATTTTTTTTTTTGATATTGATCGATTGTAAGCGCCTTGAAAGCACAGCCCTTCCCTGCCTTTTCATCCTTGACTTTGCAGTGCCTGACATATAGTAGGGGATGAATACATATTTATTTAATGATTGAATGAATGAATAGCAAATATTTTCCCTGTGAAATGATCCTCATACTCATTCTCAATTTTCTGCAATGGAGGGAAGCTCCTTCAAGACATGACTACTTTCTTTTTCTTTTGTATTTTTAAATCACCTCCTTCTTTGACATATGAAAAGCATATTTAATGTATGCAACTTGATGAATTTAGAGATCAGTACTCACCCATGGAGTCATGACAGCCATCCATGTAATAAACATTTTCATCACCTCCAAAGGTTTTCTCCTTTCTTATTTATGGCAAGAACACATACCCTCAGATCTGTCCTCTTATTAAATACACAATACAGTATTATTAAATCCTCTTCAAATACACAACACAGTATTGTTAGCTGCAGGCACTAGGCTGAACTCTAGGGCTTATTTATCTTGTATAACTCAAGCCCTGCAGGACAGGACTGCCTTTCATCTCTGTACATTCAGCCTCTCATCACTCTGCGCATAAAAGGACTCATGGAGGCAAGTCCAGGTTTTTGTGGAGCCTGAGGCTTATACAATTTAGGGGGGTCTTCCTTAAGGAAAATAATTCAGAGTTACAAATATCAAATTAGGTAGAAGGCCTTGGAAGAAACCTATTTCCATGAGGGTCCCTGGAGCTGAAGCTTCATTAGCGTGGGGGAACATCCATCTCTAGGGCTCATTAAATGTCTATAGAACAAATGAACGAGTTAAAGGTAGACTTTATTTTTTATTTTTGAGGCTGAGTCTTGCTGTCACCCAGCCTGGAGTGCAGTGGCACGATCTCGGCTCACTGCAACCTCAACCTCCAGGGTTCAAGTGATTCTCCTGTCTCAGCCTCCCAAGTAGCTGGGATTACAGGCATGTGCCACCAAGCCTTGCTAATTTTTGTATTTTTAGTAGAGATGGGGTTTCACCATGTTGGCCAGGCTGGTCTCGAACTCCTGACCTCAAGTGATCTACCCGCCTTGGCCTCCCAGAGTGCTGAGATTACAGGCATGAGCCACCTCGCCTGGCCAAAGGTAGACTTTAAATGTCTGATTGTCCTGGATTCATTTTTGGTAGGTAGAAACACAAAGGAAACTCTAGCAGCAGGCCGGGATGACCTGCTCTGTTTTATTCTCGCACATAATTAGGATATTTTTTATCATCTCAATTTAAGGCAGCTTCAACCTTAGGTTTGTCTCTAATAGGAAAGAAAATAATCCGGTATTGTGGCATTTCATGGAGGTCACTTTATCAGACAGCAGCTGTGCTGGCCTTTCTGCTCCGAATTCTCCTTTCTTTGCTAACTGTACATCCATTTCCTGTAGGGGAATCATCCTCTGCCTCTTTTAATTCTTGTGACTCACGTGGGGCAGAACCAGGCTTCAGGCGAGGGCATGCACCTGTCAATTCCTACTTCTGGTAATTCAATTAACAGTCACCTTCATGTACCACTACTACTGTGTGCTAGTCACTATTGCAATCACTTTATAGATGCATTTTTTTCCTTTTTGAGGTGGAGTTTTGCTCTTGTTGTCCAGGCTGGAGTGTAATGACATGATCTTGGTTCATTGCAACCTCTGCCTCCTGGGTTCAAGCGATTCTCTGGCCTCAGCCTCCTGAGTAGCTGGGACTACAGGCACACATCACCACGCCCAGCTAATTTTTGTATTTTTAGTAGAGATGGGGTTTCATGATGTTGGTCAGGCTGGTCTCGAACTCCTGACCTCAGGTGATCCGCCTGCGTCGGCCTCCCAAAGTGCTGGGGTTACAGGAGTGAGCCACCGCGCCCGGCCCATAAATGCATATTAATCCGTTTAATCCTCATCCCAATCCTTTGAGGGAAATCTAATTCTTACATCTATTTTATAGATGGAACAATGGAGGAAGGGTTAAGGTTACTGTCCAGAGTCACCAGCAGGTGAGTGATGGAGCAGGGATTTGAAGTCACATAGTATTGTGGCAAGCCAGGTCTCCCTAACAGCTGAACTGGTAGGCCTCCATAACAACTGTTTCAGCACTGACTGAGTGGTGAAGTTAAATATTAAGAGCTGAGAGGGCCAGTGCCCTTATACAAAGGCTGGAATGTAACAAAAGCCCCCCAAGAGTTTTGCCTAGGCCTTTCCTGGGCCTTGAAACATGACAAGATAACGAAGGAATTCTTAACAGGACCCATTTGGGATTAAACAAGTTTATTGGGAGGTCTGAAGAAACTCCCCAGGCTTCGACAAACAAGTTTATTGGGGTTCTGAAGGGACTCCCCAAACCTTCATGATTTAGCAGAAGACAAGATAAGGGTAATCTCCCCAGCACCTGGACCCATTTAGATTAAGTAAATTTAATGAGACTCCAGAGGAAGTTCTTCAGGACTTAGCTCTTAGTTACAGATGAGAAGTTAATCACTTATGTCTTCAGATGAATGCACGCTTACACGTAGACATATAGCTTAGAAGGTATATGAGCTCTGGAAAACTTTGTAATTTTGAGTTGGTCTGGTGTTATTTTCCAGGCCTTCTCCCTGTACCTGGTTACAGAAATAAAAACTGTCTTCCTCCCCAGTTCATCTGTATCTGGTTATTGGGCGGTGAGAGTAAGCAGCCTGACCCTCGGTTTGGTCCAGGAACAGTATGGCCTTTGTTGGGTTGCATCTCAGTTAGTTCTGGCAAGAGAGAAGAGAGCTAAACCAGGCCCACAATTCTTAATTCCAAGTCTTTAAACTCTCAGGGAGGATTTCTCTTTCCAGAGAAACTGCTGGCAGTTCCAGTGATGAAAGCTGCAGGCTTCCAAGGCCACAATGAGGAGCTTGGGATGGTTATCATCCAGAGGAGGGATGGCAACAGAAATCAAACTCTCATGATGCTCTTGGCACCTCTGTTCTCAGCTCAGGTGTTAAGATCTGCCGCTGGGCCTCCCACACATGGGAGTGGAAAAGTGCCCTTTGTTACCCAAGGGAGCTTGAGTTGGGTTTTCCATTCTTTGCATCTAGAAGAAATGCATGTTGGTTTTTGACCTTGATGACTTTTCACGGAAGGACTTGAGAAAGAGCTCCTTTTGGCATTCTGGAAAAAAGTGATGCTCCTGGACTCTCTGATACCATGTTTCTGAGGGCACTGTAGTTGGTGCATGAAAGAGTGTGGATGTTGGAGGCAGACAGTTATGGGTTTGATTTTCAGTTAGGTGACCCTGGGCGAGTCACTTAAGCTCTCTGAATCCTGGAGAAATGGCAAAACTGTCTTTATGGATGGTGGGTGAGGATTTGATAACACATACAAAAGCTCCTTGAGCATAGTAGGGGCGTCATTCTTGAATTCCTCCATGGTCTCCATCCCCAGGGGCTCTGTCTGCTTTATTTGCTGTATTAACTGAAGTTCTACAGAGAAACAGAACCAGTAGTGGGGTGTATGTGTGTGTGTGTGTGTGCGTGCACACGTGTGTATTTTAAGGCATTGGCTCATATGATTGTAGGGGTTGGAAAGTCTGAAGTCTGTAAGGCAGGCTGACAGGCTAGAAGTTCAGGTAAGAGTTGATGTTGCAGTCTTGAATCTGAAATTCATGGCACAAGTCAGGCGGGCTGGAAATGCAGGCAGTTTATCTATGTTGCTCCTTCCTCCTCTCCTTCTCCTTCTCTTTTCCTTTCCTCTTTTCTTTTCTTTTGAGATGGAGTTTTGCCCTGTCACCCAGGCTGGAGTTCAGTGGCATGATCTCAGTTCACTGCAACCTCTGCCTCCTGGATTAGAGTGATTCTCCTGCCTCACCCTTCTGAGTAGCTTGGATTAGAGGTGCCCCCCACCACGCCCAGCTAATTTTTGTATTTTTTGTAGAGACGGGGTTTTGTCATGTTGCCCAGGCTGGTCTTGAACTCCTGGCCTCAAGTGATGCACCCGCTTTGGCCTCCCAAAGTGCTGGGATTAGAGGCATGAGCCAGCGTGCCCGGCCCTGTGTTGCAGTGTTTATTTTTCTTGGGGAAACTTCAGTTTTGCTTTTTTTTTTTTTTTTTTTGTAGAGACTGGGTCTCACTATGTTGCCCAGGCTGGTCTTGAACTCCTGGCCTCAAGCCATTCTCTTGTTTAGGCCATCCAAAGTGGTTGGATTACAGGCATGAGCCACCGTGCCCAGCCCAATTTTTGCTCTTAAGGCCTTCAGACAATTCGATGAGTTCCATTCAGTTATGAAGGGTAAAATTGGCTGGTTGTGGATCTTACTCACATCCCCCAAAAAGCTTCACAGCTACATGCAGACTCGTGTTTGACCAAAACAACTGGGCACCACAGCCTGGCTGAGCTGACATATAAAATTAACCAGAGTCTCCATGGACCTCAGTTTCTCCATCTGCCAAGTGGACAGGACTGGCCTTGATCTTTAAGCTTCTCCTGTATGAAATGGGGATAATAAACCAGGAGGGAGCTGGGGGGTGAGTGAGGAAGAGCCCAAGTGTAGGATGAACATAATTTCTAGACAGGGCGTTCTCACTATTATTCCTGAAAATTGTGGTCTTCTGTTCCCTGAATTCCTGGGTCATCACAGGGAGGAGAATATAACACCAGGGCTTGAAGGTGGTGGTTGGCCTGTACCAGAGCTATTTATAGGACTTTTTCTAGCTCTTCCACAAAGTCAGTTTTAGCCCCAGAAGGGAGAAAGCACAGCCCTCCTCTGTTGTTACTCTGAGCACATAAACAGTCAGTCTCTCATAATCCTATGGAGACACCCCATTTCTAGTCTTGGGTGCCCAAATTAGAGGAAGAGGAGAAGGAGGTAAAGGAGGAGGAGGAGATAGATGATTGCCTATTTTGTGAAAAAGGACACATACACAGGCACACATCTTTGCAAAGTAGAGAAATGATTGTTGGGACTATCAGGAACACATATCAAAGGGAAATGAAAAAGAAATCTTCCTTTGAAAGATCTGGGCTTAGTGTAATGGAGTCAGACAGAGCAGGGTTTACATCCTGGTTCTGACGTTTCCTTGCTGTGTGACTTGGGCACGTCAAGGAGCCTCTCTGACCCTCAGTCTCTTCATCTGTGAAAGAGAAGACATGGTAATAAAACTTGCTTTATAGGGATGTGGTGAGGATGACACCAGATAAAATGTATGCAGGGCCTTTCATTTCCTTCTGTCTCCATATAACCTGGCAGGCAAGGGCTCCTGGATCAGCAGATCAAAGGGGTGGCTCCAGGTTGGACTTGGTCACGGCCACTGATATGGTTTGGCTGTGTCCCCACCCAAATCTCATTTTGAATTGTAGCTCCCATAATTCCCACATGTTGGTTGGGGGAACCTGGTCGGGGATAATTGAGTGATGGGAGTTGTTTCTCCCATACTGTTCTCATGGTAGTGAGTAAGTCTCATGAGATCTGATGGTTTTATAAGGGGAAACCCCTTTCATTTGGCTCTCATTCTCTCTTGTCTGCTGCCATGTGAGTTGTGCCTTTTACCTTCTGCCATGATTGTGAGGTCTCCCCAGTCCTGTGGAAATGAGTCCATTAAATCTCTTTTTCTTTATAAATTACCCAGTCTCAGGTATGTCTTTATCAGCAGTGTGAAAATGGACTAATACAGCCACTGAATGCTGGATCCCTGGTCCCACCCAGTACAGCTGCTGGTCACTCTGTGGTGAAGTTCAGCTCTCCAACATCCTGGGTCTCGGTGTTTATGTTTATTTTTAGCAGGAGACTGTTATAATAAAGGAAGGGGAGAGCTATTAATGAACATATTATTCAATAATAGAAGATAATAAGCAGTTGCTCTAATTGTATTATGAGCCTGTCACTTGAAGTTCATACTGTGATTCAAGCTCACTGTTTGAAGTATTCTTAAGTGGGAGCCCAGATTTTCAAGTACAATTAAAAAAAAAGAACAATTGCCTAAAAGTGGTAAAATTAACATCCCTTCCTTCTTGGCTCTCTAAAGAGCTTTCTGATGATACATCTTTCCTAGTTTTCATTGAGGCAATTGGGGTTAGGGGAATGAGACCGTTCCCACCCAAGTAATGAAAAGCTTCCACAAATTAATTCTTAGTATTTGACAAGGCCAGATGGTGAGCAGGAACGTTTCTTGAATGCATTCAAAGCCACAAGATGTGTTTACCTTTATCCTGTCTGATCCTCTCAGTGACCCTGTGAGGCAGACATTATTATGCTCATTTTGCAGATGGAGTTCACTGAGACCCAGAGAGGTGAAGTGACTTGTCCTAAGGGGGCAGAGCAAGTGCAGGGAGTTGCCTTAACCCTGACTCTAACCTGCCTGCTGAGGACCAGGCTAGGTGAGGACTGACTAGAGGCATTTTAGATATCTGCTTTGAAAAGGGCCAACCTGTGGAAAATGACTGTCTCCTACCTGCCCTTTGTTTTTTTTTCTTTCTTTTCTTTTTCTTTTTTTTTTTTTTTTTTGAGACGGAGTCTTGCTCTGTCGCCCAGGCTGGAGTGCGGTGGCGCGATCTTGGCTCCCTGCAACGTCCACCTTCCGGTTTCAAGCCATTCTCCTGCCTCAGCCTCCCAGGTAGCTGGGACTATAGGCATGTGCCACCATGCCTGGCTAATTTTTTTTGTATTTTTAGTAGAGATGCAGTTTCATGGTGTTGGCCAGGCTGGTCTTGAGCTCCTGACCTCAAGTCATCCGCCCGCCTTGGCCTCCCAAAGTGCTGGGATTACAGATGTGAGCCTACCTGCCCTTTCTTAATGGCCCTAGGGCACAGTGTGATGGGCTTAGATGTGGAGTCCATACAGCAGGCTTCTGAGCCCTGACTCCATCTTGCCTTGTTCCTCTCTGTTTCTCAGCCTATTTCCACTTGTATGGAGCAAGTGGGCTAGAAATCAGGGTTTCCAAAGGGTGTTGGCATCCCATTAGTGGGGTGTTAGCTGCTTCTACTTGGTAAATAGTTACACACTTATGTTTACAGTTACCTTCTATTTATGATTAACAGGACTGGCTTTCCAATTAGGGTAGTGATGTACCATTTAATTTTACAATAGATGCATTTAAGCCTTTTAAGATTGTGTAGATCTAGAAAATATTTAAATAGATACTAGAGGTAGTGGCAGATATAATAAGAGCAAAGGTTTATTGAGTCCTTTCCCTGGGATAGGCATGATTTTAAGCATTTTCTATTTATTAACTCATTAAATTCTCATAGTCATTGCAGTTAGTTCCATTATTAGCCCCATTTTACACTTGAGCAAAAGGAGGTGGAGAAACTTCAGTATCTTTCCCAGCCTGCGTGACTGACTGGTGGAGCGAGATTTGAACCGAGACCCCTGACTCCAGAATCCGTGCTCCTAAGTGGTTAGGCGTGTGGGGTATGAACAAGTGGTATTTGGGGACTGCTGACCTTGGTGGTGTCTAGGTTGACCAACTAGTCCTGCTTTGCCTAGGACTTTCTTGGTTTTACACCTGAAAGTCCTGACCCCAGGGAAACCCCTCAGTCCCAGGCACACTTGGAGAATGGGTCACTCTAGCTGTGTCTTCCTCAGTCTCTTCTGAGATTGTAGCACCGTGCATGCTGGTGACAGGAGCCAAGCATATTTAACCAACCCAAACATGCCAGATCTGTAGGGATTGTGAGAAGTAAATATACACATATCTTAACTACATACATAACATCCAGAAACTCTGGCTTAAAAATAACAGAGTAAAGTGCCTGATCGCTATGTACGTAACCAACAGTGACACCTTCCCTATCGGTATAAATAACAAAGTGAAAATATCCCATGTCTCTGTCTATAGCAGAATAACAGTGTCATGTACAGAAATACTAAATCCTGGCACACTGGCATATATCACTTGGAATAAAAGAGACCCTACTGGCACATCTGAAATAACTGAAATAACAGTGATGTTAATAAGAGTAGTGATGATGGACGGCCTGTGTTCAGCACCCACTTGGTCCCAGCACAGCGCTAAGTACTTTATGTGTATTGTATTATCTTTTTGTTTTGTTTTGTTTTGTTTTTGAGACAGGGTCTTGCTCTGTCGCCCAGGCTGGAGTGCAGAGACACAATCACAGCTCACTGCAGCCTCAACCTTCTGGGCTCAGGTGATCCTCCCACCTCAGCCTCCCAAGTACCTACAATGACAGGTGTGCACCACCACACCTGGCAAATTTTTTTATATTTTTAGTAGAGACAGGATCTCACTATGTTGCCCATTTCTTTTTTTTTTTTTTTTTTTTTTGAGACAGAGTCTCACTCTTGTCACCCAGGCTGGAGTGCAGTGGTGTGATCTTGGCTCACTGTAACCTCTGCCTTGGGGTTCAAGTGATTCTCCTGCCTCAGCCTCCTGAGTAGCTGGGGTTACAGGCGCCTGCCACCACGCCTGGCTAATTTTTTATTTTTAGTAGAGACGGGGTTTCACCATGTTAGCCAGGAAGGTCAGGAATTCGAGATCAGCCTGGCCAACATGGTGAAACCTTGTGTCTACTAAAAATACAAAAATTAGCTGGGAGTAGTGGCAGGTGCCTGTAATCTTAGGTACTTGGGAGGCTGAGGCAGGAGAATCGCTTGAACCTGGGAGGCGGAGGTTGCAGTGAACCAAGATTGGGCCATTGCACTCCAGCCCAGGTGACAGAGTGAGACTTCGTTTTCAAAACAAACAAACAGCAAACTATTTATCTATCTATCTATCTATCTATCTATCTATCTATCTATCTATCTATCCATCTGTCTCTCATATGCCCATAAATATATACACCTACTATATACCCACAAAAATTAAAAATAAAAAATTTTTTTTAGAAGTGTTCTGCTGTGTGACCTTAGGCTGATTATTTCATTTCTCTGAGCCTCAGAGCACCCATCTTTCCAAAACACACAATGTTATCAATCATGATTTTATTCCTGAGGCCCATTTTATAACATAAAAAGCAGGAACACAAAAGAAAGCAGACCAACAACATTGCCTTCCTTCTCTGGTGACTCACCCGGGGCCAGAGAAGTCAGCCTGCATTCTATCTTCAAGGAGTCCTTTGAGTTGTGCTCAAAATTAGGGTCACCTCTCTGGAAAATATCGATGTCATTTTGACATTCAGGAATGCCACAAAAGTTCCTGAATGGCAAGTGCTGGGGGGTGGTGTGGTTTCCATGGTGATGGGAGAAGCCAATGTTAGGCTGAAGGCTCTGGGAGGTGGGCAGGGAACACATGGTGTTTTTTTTTTTTTCTTTGAGACGGAGTCTTACTCTATTGCCCAGGCAGCAGTGCAGTGGCGCCATCTCGGCTCACTGCAACCTTCGCCTCCTGGGTTCAAGTGATTTTCCTGCATTAGCCTCCCGAGTAGCTGGGACTAGAGGTGCATGCCACCAAGCCTGGCTAATTTTTTGTATTTTTAGTAGAGGCGGGGTTTTACCGTGTGAGCCAGGATGATCTCGATCTACTGCCCTCATGATCTGCCCTCCTCGGCCTCCCAAAGTGCTGGGATTACAGGTGTGAGCCACCGCGCCCGGCCATGGTTTGGCTTTTTTAACTTGGGAGTCTTATTTGCAGTGAGAATGGACCTGAAGGCATGTGGGTGTGTGGGGTCTTCATTCCAGGTGATGTGAGGTGTTCTTTTGTCCTCAGCAGCTCATGTGAGGAGCCTTTATGTATGTGTATGTGTGTAGATGTGTTTGCATGTGTCTCTGTGTGAGTGTATGTTTATGTCTGTCTGTGTATGTATGTGCATGTGTGTATACATGTTTCTGTGTGCCTCTGAGTTCGTGTGTATGTCTGTGTAGGTGTGTGCATGTGTTAAGGTAAGTGTGTATAGATATGTTAATGTGTGTATGTGTGCACATCTGTGTGTATGCATATGTGTATGTGTATCCTTGTGTGTATGCCTGCACGTGTGTGTATGTGGATCGCTGTGTGTTTATGTATGTGTACATGCATATGCATGCATATTTATGTTCTATGTTCATATCTGTGTATGCATGGCTGTATGTGTTTATGTGTCTCTGTATGAATACATATGCATGTGTAAATATGTGTTTATATTTGTGAATCTATGTATGTGTCTGTGTGTGTGTGTGCACATGTGCTATGTGTCCTGTGTGTGTGTGTGCATGCATGTTGCTGGTAACTTCAGTGGGAGTGAGGATGAAATGTGACTTCCAAGGGGATAATGTGAGTCTGGGCTGGCTCAATACACAAGAAAAGAAGGTGATGATGAAATGATGTTTCCTGACCTGGTTCAGACCCAGGTACCACCCTTGCAGGGTGATGCTCGAACCATGTCCAGGAGAGAACCTAGAAGGTGGAAGTTCTGCAAATCATGTAGATCAAATGCTATTTACTAGAGCGTTCCCTTCTCAAGCCAACTTCCTCTCCCTTTCTCCCATTCCTCTCCTCTCAGCTTTCTGGTAACTTCCAATATGCTGGGAGCCTTTCCCTGCTTTCCCCCTACAAAGAGATAGGCACATCACCCATGACTGGCCACAGGAATTCTGAATTCCTCTGGCCACAATGATTGGCTCAACAAAAGCATGTTACCCACCCCTCCTCCCCCAGGCAAATCGGAACTCTTCCTATCATGGGCGAGTTGCTGTTAATTGGTATAATCAGCTGTGAAGATGATGTATGAGCTGTCAGGTCCATTTTCTAGGTGGAAAGAGTTTATCTGTGAACACAGCCAAGACTGAAGAAATTAGAACAAAGAAAAGGTGAGATAGTGTCCTGATGATTTATTTCATATGTTCCCCTAGATCCAGCCTTGCCTGAATGCAGATGCACCATTATACCATGTCAAATGCAGAACAGTAGGTTGAACTCAGGTGCTCATCCAAGCAAAGAGGTGGCTTGGGGTTAGTGTGTGTGTGTGTGTGTGTGTGTGTGTGTGTGTGTGTGATGTGCCTGGGGGAAGGCATGCATCTTGCAAATGCATGTTTAGCAGATATTATACAGCAGTGTCATAGATTCAGACTGGGGAACTCCAGAGGGCAGAACCAGAATTCAAGGGTTGGAGGACCCATGAGGGAAATTTTGGCTTTTTCTAAGAAAGAGATTTCTGGCAAAGTGCCTCAAAGTAGAAGGGTTACCTCAAGAGAGTGAGTCCCCCATCAGTTCCCCAATCCCTGGAGGATACCAAGTGGAGATGTGAGTCATGGATGATGTATCAGTCAAAACTCTTCTGGAAACTTCTAGTATTTTGAGTAACCTCCAAACTGTTCTCCATAGTGGTTGTACTAGTTTACATTCCCACCAACAGTTTACAAGGGTTCCCTTTTCTCCACATCCTCACCAGCATTTGTTATCACCTGTCTTTTGGATATAAGCCATTTTAACTGGGGTGAGATGATAACTCATGGCAAGCGTATTAGTCTGTTTTCACGGCTGCTTGATAAAGACATACCTGAGACTGGGTAATTTATAAAGAAAAAGAGATTTATGAACTCACAGTTCCGTGTGGCTGGGGAGGCCTCACAATCACGGTGAAGGGCGAAAGGCACTTACATCTTACATGGTGGCAGACAGGACAGAATGGGAGCCAAGCGAAAGAGGAAACCCCTGATAAAACCATCAGATCTCGTGAGACTTACTCACTACCATGGGAACAGTATGGGGAAAACTGCACCCATGATTCAATTATCCTCCACCAGGTCCCTCCCATGACATGGGAATTATGGGAGCTACAATTCAAGATGAGATTCGGGTAGGGACATTGCCAAACCGTATCAGCAAGGGAGGAAATGTATTGGTTCATGTAGTCAGGAAGAATTCTCAGATAGCTTTTGTAGAATTGAAGGAGGTGGAGACTGTCTGCTTCCCTCTGCCTGGCTCCATCTTCTGCTTTGTCCATGTGGTGGGGAAGATGGCCACCATTGCTCCTGATTCCACATCGTCCTTCACAACCCTGACTACAAGAGAACGTCACAGGAGAGGACTCTGTGTGGCTCTGCTTGGATCGTATGCCCACTCCTGGAGCAATCACTGAGCATGATTGGCCAGGTCTGGCTGGGTCATGTGTCCATCCCAATGATTGGGAGTAGAAATTACTAGAAGTTACTAGAAGAAGGGTAATGGAGGAAGATGTGCTGGGCTTCTGAAGACATTAGTCACTATGGTCCACTATGGATGGTGTGGGGTGGATTCAACATAAAGTGGGAAGATGTCTGTATCACTTCTAAGGTACTTTGACACACAGTAAGGATGTTAAAAGCACTTGTTGAAGGAATGTATAAAGATTCATTCCTGTGTCTCTGTTTTATGATTTTAGTCTGTCTTGTTAATACCTTGCAGTTGACTTTGCCATGGTAGGTTTTTTTTCTGACCAGCACAGGAGCTCTTTTGCTTGTGTGCTGTGGGAGGGACACCTTGAGGTGCCCTCTGGCTACTGGCCACCTCACTCCACACCTCTCAAATAAGGCACCTTTTGGAGAAGACATTTCCATGTTGGGACACTGTGGATAGTAATTTAGAATTACCAGATGGTGATTAAATCCTTCTTGCTTATTGTCGTGATTCCCTGAGCCTGTCTGCCACCCCTTCCTTCCCAAGTGTTCTAATTAGTCAAAGTTATATGAGAACAAAATTATAATGAGGAATATTCCTTGGTGGGGGGGAAGCACTGTTGGAGTTCCTTGGACTTGCCATCAGTGGAACTCTTGAATGAGGTTAGTAGAGTTAAAACAACTATTCAGGGAGTGGAGATAATTGTAAAAATATTTGATCAAGTTTGTTGGAGCAGGTTGCCTTTTGCAGGTTCCATATTTTGAAGAAAATGCTGCTTTCCGTAGAATCCCAGCTATCTCTGCTCTGGTCTCTACTCTTCATATCATAGCCTGAGTAGTCCTACTAAAGCACTCCTTGCTCAGAAACTTGTAATGGCTCCTTATTGCCCACATCAGGAATGGCAAGTGTAGACTAAGTGTGCTGTTATCCCCCATTCCTACACTCAAGGCAGACATCACTAATCAATTACAGCAAGCCTCAAACTCCTCTCCTTACTGCTTCTCCCCATAGCTAGCTATCAACTAGGGTGGATCACAGGAGGAAACCTATGTGCCTTCCCAGTTCTACAGTGTCAAGGGTCAGGCTGCTTAGTCCAGCATTTGATGCTTTTCAGAGCCTGTCTCTTTACTTCTTCCAGTAAATTTTCTGCTTCAGCTAGCTCCCTGAACTCTCATATGCTCATTGCTTACTGGGCTTTTGAACAGTTTTCTTCTCAGCTAATAGGGGAGCTGTTAAGCATATAGTTTTTGGAATTAAACTCCATGGGTTCTGGCAAAATCAAAATAAAAATGTGGTGATGAATTTCTTAATTTAATGTTTTATTTGGGAAGAAAGAATTGCAGTTTGGGGCTTGCACACAGACTGGGCGGACTTTGGTACATTTGAAGAACAAAGAGAAAGTTGGAGGTTTTATGGCAAAGAGAAATGTTGTGTATTGCTTGTTGAGAATGTTCATTGGCTCTAGACGTTTCTGGGGAGCTGGCAAGCTTGATTGGTGGGCGATGGCAGTAGATGAAATTAGTCCTAGAGTTGCAGCACTTTATCTCAGCAGTTATCGATAAAACTAGTCTCAGGTTACAACAGGCAGTCTCAGCAGCTGGACTTGCAGAGAATAACATTCTTGCAGCAATATTATGTGTCCTGAGTGCATTTTCCCCCCTGACTTTTCAACTCTTTTTTAGTTGGGTGTGACAAGAATGATGAAGTTCATATGATCAACATTCACAATCCAGTTTCAGCTCTGCCACCTTGGAATTGGGCAGCTTTGAGTAAAATATGTAATTATGAAGCCTCACCTTCCTTATCTGCAATTTGCAGATGATAATAATATCTGTTTCCAGGGTTAATGTGTGGGCAAAGGAAGATAATTCGTGAAGGCCCCTAGCACATTATTAAGTCTTGAGTGAGCTTTATATTGTAAAGTGGTATTGCAACGTCTATTGTAGTGGTTTTGTATCTGACACTCTTGTTGGTATGTATTAGACATATGTCCGTTCATTCCACTATCTGTCCATATTATTCCCTGTCTGTTCCTTGTCCTCCTCCATTGCCTTTAAGGCACAGCTAAAGCTCCCCCTCCCCACTGATCTGCCTTTTCCTGTTTTCTAGCATTTCAGAGGCTGCCACATTGGTCAACCCCAGAGGCAACTTCACCTGCTTTTCTGAAGCCGTCCTCCAGGGGCGCCATTCCCATAGACTACAAGGTGAGAGGTGGCGCCCCTGGAGTCGTGGCACCTGGTGTCCTATTTCTCCAGTCACATAAGGGGCCAAACTTGCCTTCTGCAGGAGACTGAATGCTTCTGAGAGCAGAGGCTATGCCTTAAGCACCATCGTGTGCCTGGCATGCATTAGGTGCTCAGTCCACGTGGGTGGAATGAATGGAGAATAGGAAAGGGCTGAGGTACCATCTGATTTTTCCCAGGAATTGGGGCAGTGTTGATGGTCAGTGATGGGGTAAAATACTGAAAACCACATGGATGAATAATGCAATATGGTAAAAATAAAGTCAGATAGAAAACTTCACATCCCCTTTCCCTCCATCTCTATCCAGGAGGGCTCTGAATGCTCATCAGTGGCCTAATGGCTTCCTTTAGTGCCCTCCATGGTCAGCTCAACAGGATGCAACAGGGTTTTACCACCTCTGGACTAGTGGTGTCTTGGGCCACATCGTTCTTTGTGGTAGGGGCTGTTCTGCGCACTGTGGGATGTTGAGCAGTGTCCTTGGCCTCTACCCACCAGATGCCTGTAGCAACATCTCTCTCACCCCCTGGTTATGACAACCAAACATGTCTCCAGACATTGCTGGCTATTTCCTGGAGGACAACATTGTATCAGTGAAGAAACAGTGAGATATTAAACAGTTGTACCTGCAGGTCCCCGACTAGGTGACAGCCATCTGCAAGCAAGGTAAAAGATAGGAAAAGTGAGCCTGTCATTTTACCTATATTTAATTTAGCATTTTGAGGCTTGGCATGGTGGCAGCAGGGATGGATAGCCTTCCAATGACCTGTCCAAAATCTTAAGGCATGAAATTGGACCTTGGCTGACATGGACAATGGCTAATTTGTTGTTGTTGTTGTTTGTTTGTTATTAGGTGAATAGTGACTTGGTTGCTTTGGAAAGCAGCGGGAAGGGAAGGAACTTGAGAGATTTCTAGGATTCTGGAGATGGTGCAGTCTGGTAAAGCTTCTGTCTTTGGGTCAGGTTGACCTCCAGGGCACTGGCATGTCACGTGGCCTGCAGATCTCTCAAGAGTCTTCTTTTCTTTCCTTTCTTACCTGATTAACAGCTTTGTGGGCTCCACTAGAGTCAGATCTTCTAGGAAGGCTTCTCTGGTGCCTATCCTGTCAAGCTAGATCGGGGACCTTCTGTGATCCCATATCCCTCTCCTCCACCCCATATTTATTCCGTCACAGTCCTTAATGTATAGGGGTCCACGTGGCTACCTGTCAGTCTCTGCCACATGGCCATGAACTCTATGTCTCACTTACGTTTGCACATCCAATGCGCAGCATAAGGGCCTGACACATAGTAGGTGGTCATCTCTTCAGTTTCCTACCAGGGGCTAACTAAGCTCTTTGCACAATGGTAATCAAACAAATGGCAGTCCCCAGCTCATGGAGCAGAGTTTCATGTGTCACGATCCTGAGCCTATCCTCATCCATCTCCTGGAATCTGTAGAACACTCTGGGAGTCTGATGTCCCCCAGGCCAGGAAACAGAACCACTGAGTCAAAGGATATCAGATTTCTTCTTGGATCCTCATATAACCTTGTGAAGCAGGATCTATGAGGAACACACCCATTTTATCATCGAGGAGACTGAGACCCAGAGAGGTTAAATGACCTGCTCAAAGTCAGACAGTGAATTGGCAGCAGAGTGTGGGTGAACCTGGGACTTTGAACTCTTGATTAATGCTTTGTTTGGGTTCTGGGTGTAGAGGACAAACTCTGGAGTTGCAATCATGGCTCTGGTAGGTACCAGCTCTATGACCTTGGCCAAGTCACTTAACTTTCCCAACTCTTGATTTCCTCATCTGTAAAATGGGCATCATTCTAAATGTCTTTGTAGGGTTATTTGTAAGCATCAATGAAATGATCCATATGAAGAAAGCTCTTGATCCACATGAAGAAAACTCTCCCAGGACACAGTTGCTGCCATGTATAAAACCCAAATACTCCTTTGCAGGGTGCAGTGCAGAACCCAAAGGGATCCATGATCTCATGGCCAGAACAGCCTCCAGGAAGAAGATGCACAGCTTCCTGAAACCGCACATCCCTCCTTCCTCCTGGGAGCCCAAATTCCAAGAAATGCAGCTAAAATTGGCCCTCAAACAGCTTTTGCAGAGCACGTCGCAGCTTTTTTTGGGTCTAGAGAGCCAGTTTCCATGATGAAAGTGGCACAGAAGGAGAGACCCAGCTAAAAACAGCCACCGCCCAGACTGGTGTTAACAGAATGCAGCCTACCCTGTTGTTTTGGGGGTTTAGACGCTTCGACTTCCGCAGCAGACCTCCACATTGCCACTAGGTGGTAGTATCGCAACACCTGGCAGGAACTGCACCCCAGGACCTTGACAAAGGGGCTGGGAGCCACTTCTGAAAATCATGCCCATCAAATACGCACCAGCTACAAAATTCTGCACCAGATTATTTCCCTTTTATTTGGGGGCATTTATTTGCATTACATGGGCTCTGTGGAAGTGTCTCGTCTAAGGGCTTAGTGCTTTAGTGTCTCAGAAGCAAAGCGAAAGAATTGTCCATGGGTAACATCCTAGCCACATGGCCCCGTGGGTGTCCCTACTGCTAGCAGATATGTGATCCCTGCAGCCCACTTCACTTAGGAGGTTCATGATGCCTTGAGTCCAATGTAGTTGAAGAGCTTGCCTCGATTAGGAGGACGCATAGCTTGCCTAGGTGGTCCGTTGCTGTCCTCTTTGAGTGCAGCGATGGAGTTCTAGCTCTGCAGTGTGGCTGCCTTGTGCTGAGGCCATTAAATCGTCTGGAGAACGGGGGCACTCGTGAAGCCTGCCTCATGGCTGGTCCTTCCCCTGCGAGGAATGGATGAGTGACAGATGGAGGTTTCTTAGGTGGTGTCTGGCTCATAGCAAGGGCTCAAATGTTAGCTCCTTTTGCTATTTTCTCAGTATCTCCAGTGACTAGTGTGTTTTAGTCACTCAACCAAATGGTAGCACAGTGATCCTCACTGTCCTCGTTTAGGTGACAACAGACGTTAGAGGAATGAGTTCATGGTCTCGATTTTCAAAGTGTGGTCCTGGGCTGGCAGCATCGGCACCACTGGGCTCTTGTTGGAATTGCAAGGTCTGGGCCTCTAGTTCAGCCTGCTGCAGCAGAATCTTACTTAACAGCCTCTCTAGGGGGTTTGCGACACATTGAGGTTTGAGGAGTGCTGC
This sequence comes from Homo sapiens, assembly GCF_000001405.40. Taxonomy (NCBI): domain Eukaryota; kingdom Metazoa; phylum Chordata; class Mammalia; order Primates; family Hominidae; genus Homo; species Homo sapiens. Next base: position 9,259,527 of record NC_000016.10, read on the forward strand.
TCTGAAGCTCCTTCTGGCTCCCGAATGCAGGGATTCACCCCAGCCTGGGGTGAGCTCTGTCTCTCAGATTCATATCTTTGGGAACAACAGCAGCCAGTCCAGCCCTGCATTTTAACCTTTTACTCTTGCTTTTCCCAAATGTTGTCTCCAGATGCCTCTGCGCTTGGGTGTGTTGGGGTGGGAGGGTGGGGCGATGGGGAGTCGATGGGGGGCCTCATGCTGCCGCAGATTCGGATTTTGCTGGGCTCAACATGCTTTCCCTGAGCTTCCAGATCCAGATCCTCACTCCCCAAGATCCTGCCAGCTTCCCTGTCTTTGCCTACAGCATCCTCTTCATCACCCCAGTGACCAGAAAATGCACTGTTTCCAACCAACCCCTCCTTTTCCCTCACTACCTTGGCCACCAAAGCATCTCTTGCACCCCAGTTTTTCTCTTTGGGTGCCGCTGCTCTGGCTCTTGGTTGTCTAGAACTTTGGGAGCCACCCCAAATCTCCTAAAGGTCCCCCTGACCCCACTTCTCCTCCCCCAGCTCCTGATCTTATCTCACACATTTCTGTCTGATGGAGTCCTCCAAGCTGACCCTTGCACTTTAATGTCCAACATAGAGCTTCCCACTGCTGATTCAAGGTCTGCCCTCCCTTGCGTGGTAGCCAAGGCCTTCTGTGATCTCCTAACGACCTCCAAGTTACCTTTGCGGCTTCATCTCCAGCTTTTTCCTCTCTTATTCTAGATCAGGGGCCTTCGGGCCAAATCTGGTTTGCAGCCTGCTTTTGTAGATAGTTTGATTGGAATCCAGCCACCCATGTGTTTACTGATTGTCTATGTCTGCTTTCACAGTATCAGGGCAGAGTCGAATTGTTTCAACAGAGACTGCATGGCCCACAAGGCCTGAAATGTTTACTCTCTGGCTCTGTGCAGAGAAAGAGTGCTGACCAGATCTAGATCCAGCCAAATGGCACCATGCACTTGGTCCCTCACACACATCCTGGCCTTTACCATAACCTGGTTTGGCCCTGGGGGGTCTGTCGATTTGCAAAGTCCTGGCTCATTTCTGCCCATAGTAATTTTTCCCCACCTGGAAGGTCCACCTCCAGTGCCACCGAATTTGGCATTCTTTCAGCAAACATTTATGGAAATCTGGCAGGTGCCTGGCATGTTGTGTGCTGGGGAGAGGTCCTTGCTCTCAGGGAGCTGGTGCTGGAGTTGCTGACCTGGCCCCCGTTCAGAAGCACCTCTAGAACTTCATCGTGAGAGCTCTTGGCCTTTCATTTTATTATTGTCATGTCTTATTGGCCTTGAGGCCAGGTGCCTGCCTCCTATTTCTGTAGCACTTGGCACAATGCCCAGCACACAGGGAAGGTCATTATAGTCCATTGGAATAAATGAATGAATCTCTCTTCTCCCCAGAGTCCTTGTCCGGGTTATCATGCTGGGGGCTGGATTCCACCTCCCCTGTGCTTCCAGCTGTTTCTGGAATCCCATTTCAGGCCAGATGCTATTTACATCCATGCTTCTCAAACTTTCACGTGCAAAGGAACCACTGGGAAACTGTGTTACAATGCAGAGGCTGGTTCTGTGGGTCTGGGATGCAGCTCTCATTCATTACCAGATAGTGCTGAAGATGCTGGGCCGTGGACCACACTTTGAGCAGCAAGGATTGGTTTTCGCCCCGGATTTCACACTAGAGTCATTTGCAGGCTTCTCAGTGCTCACACCTAGACCTTACCCAAGATCAGATGAATCAGTGAAGGGGGATGTGGTGGGGCCCAGTCTCTCCAGGTGATTTTAATGTGCAGCCAGCATTAAATCTTGACCTAGAACCACCAGCCTAGAACTGTGAAGCTGCTTTCCAAATGAACCCCCCTTCTAACATCACTACCACCTAGAGCAGTGGTTCTCAAAGTCAGGTTCCCAGACCAGCAGCACCTGCATTGCCTGGGGACTTGTTAGAAATGTGAATTCTTGGTTGCAGCCCAGAGCTACTGAATCAATCTGTGCTCTAGCAAGCCCTACAGAAGATTTCCAGGCATGTGTAAGAACCACTGTCCTAGAAATGTTTGACCTTGGGTCCACCCAGCGACTCCAAACTGGTCTTTCTGCCTCTGGTCACACACCATCCAATCTACTCTTTATTTTGTAGTGAGAGTAATTTTCCAGAAACGTCAATCTGACTAGATTACTCATCTGCTTAACACGTTCCAAGGCTCCCTCCCCATTGCCCTCAAACCCGTGCGTGGCAGAAGTCTGAGGACTAAATCTTCCTAGCCCACCTCCCACCACATCCTGTCTTGGCTCCCCTGTTCCAGGAACATAGAACCATTTATATACCATCTTTGGAGAAATGCCTATTCAAGTCCTTTGCCCATTTTTTAATTGGGTTATTTTATTTTATTTTTTGTTGTTGCATCTGGGAGCTTTAAAAAATACTGACATCTGGGTCCCATGCCCAGAGAATCTAACTGGTTTTGGGTACAGCTTGGGCACAGGGTTTTTCAAAGCCCCCCATCCCTCATCTGATGACCCCAATGAGTATTCAAAGTTAAGAACTTCTGAATTTAGCCAGAGGTCTGTTCTTTGAGCCTAGAAAAACCTATTTAATAAGAGATAGAGGAGGCCGAGTGGGGTGGCTCATGCCTTTAATCCCAGCACTTTGGGAGGCCGAGGCGAGTGGATCGCCTGAGGTCAGGAGTTCGAGACCAGACTGGCCAACATAGCGAAACCCCATCTCTACTAAAAATACAAAAATTAGCCGGGTGTGGTGGCAAGCGCCTGTAATCCCAGCTACTTGAGAGGCTGAGGCAAGAGAATCGCTTGAATCCAGGAGGCAGAGGTTGCAGTGAGCCAAGATTGAGCCGATGGACTCCAGCTTGGGTGACAGAGTGAGACTCCGTCTCAAAAAGGAAAAAAAAAGAGATAGACAAATTGTTTCTTTTGCTTAAGGAATCAGGTATCTTGGTCCAGCTAGCAGAGGTTAAGGTTCTTGATGGAAGACTCAGCTATTTGAGTCTCACTGCTGGGCCAATCAGACACAAGCCTGGGTATATTTGGATGTTGGAGGATTTCACTCAAGCCCACTCAAAGGGGAGGAGATTGGAACTAACAGTCATTGCATACCACACACATTCGTTCACTCTTTTAAAGGCTGTCAGGCCAGGTAGGTATTAATGTCTTGAGATCATGAACTAGTGAACGGTTTATGAGCTTTTTAAAAGCTACCTTTCATCAGGAACTTTAACCTCTGTGAAGTACTTTACGTCCATTTTCTTATTCAATTATCACATGAAATATAAGTATTTTTATAGACGAAGTACTAGAGTTAGAGAAGTGCAGTTAAGGCTGCACAGCTCATGGAGACAAATGAATCTGCATTTGAGATCCTAGATCCCCTCCCCCACCCTCTTTTTGAGACAGGATCTCACTCTGTCATCCAGGCTGGGGTGCAGTGGCGTGATCACAGCTCCCTGGAGTCTTGACCTCAGGGCTCAAGCAATCCTCCCACCTCGGCCTTCCTGGGACTATAGGAGCATGCCACCATGTCCGACTAATTTTAAATTTTTTTTTTTTTTTTGGTAGAGATAGTGTCTCACTATGTTGCCCAGGCTGGTCTTGAATTCCTGGGCTTAAGCAACCCTCCTGCGTCTGCCTCCAAAGGTTCAGGGATTACAGGCATGAGTCACTGCGTCTGGCCCCTAGATCTCTTTTAAAAATAATCCCTAACTCCAGTTTCCCAGCCCTCTCCAATATTAAGCAAACATTAAAAAAGAAAAACAACTTAGTTAAATTGAACGCAAGGAATCTGCAACTTAGCAGGCAGCATTTATCTGCATGCAGATTTCCCCTGATCGGCTCCCGCTATCATGGGAGAGATTCTAACCCTTGTTGGAGGACGCGTTCAAAGTTGTGTTAGTAAAAATTACTTTATGTAATGAACCCTTAGATCAATTCTTATTGAAATGAGCTGGAATTAGATTTTTGCTCTTCCCGTATGTAATGCTTTCAATTCAATGATGAATTACTGGAGTCAGCAGCTATCTGACATTGCGATGCCGTGCACAGCATGCTATGCCTTTCTTGTTTGCTAGCCCTTTGCGGAGGGAAAGCAGACCTATTGAAGTGCATTTTTTAATTTAGTGGGGCTGTTCGATAGAAGCTTTTTACTTTATTGAGGGAGAATTTGCCATTTTAACATTTAAATTCACTTGTTTTCACAATCTTTTTTGGGTCCTCGTGTGAATATTAATGATTATATGTACATGCAAATACATTATTTGTGTGACTTCGGGCAAGCCACATCACCTCTCTGTGTGTTTTCTGTTTTCTCATCTTTGAAAGGAGAGGGCTGGATCAGGTCTCTGTTTGCCAAAATTTTGTAGATCTGTGTTAAGAAAAAAAAATCAGAGGAATATTAGATTCAACAAAGTCAAGGTTTCTGCCTTTTCAATTCAAATTGTTTCTCTCTTTTATTTTTTCTTTTTAGGGACAGGGTCTTGGTGTGTCACTCAGGCTGGAGTGTAGTGGTGTGATCATAGCTCACTGCAGCCTCGATCTCCTGGGCTCAAGCAATCCTCCAGTCTCAGCCTTCCAAGTAGCTGGGACGACAGGCGTGCCACCACACCCAGCTACAAATTGTTTCTTTATTCTTTTCAGTGTTCCTGTCCCCAGCCTGTAAAGTAGGAGCTTAATCTAACACTTCTGCCTTCTCAAGGGATTATGGAAAAGACGCTTCAGCTCTGACCTCTTTATTCCTCATGCAAAGAAGAATGACTCATATCTCTAGAAAGATGGGGAGAAGTTATCATATCTTGGCCGTTTTTACCAGGGCTGGGGACACTTCATCCAACAGCTGACCTGGCCACCCACAGTCATTTCTCTCCACACTTGTTAGGGTGTGAGGCCAGCTGAGATCCTCTGTAGAGAAGTCTGAGGAAGCATCTGCAGTATGTATTGTAAAGTTATTTGACTATATGCAAATGTTCTTAGAATCATGTCTTCATGGAGAAGCAAATGCTTTATTATGTTGCAATGACTCTCTCTCCCTAATATATATTTTTTACTAAAAAGCCATTTTATTTGGTATTAATATGGCCACTCACCTTTATTTTGTTAGTATTTGGCTGATGTATTAGGTTGGTGAAAATGCAATTATGTTTGCACCAACCTAATATCTTTGTCTGTTCCTTTACTTGCTATATTAAAACCTTCCTATATTTTTACGTTTTAGCTTTTTTTTTTTTTTAACAGTAGATAGCTGGATTCCCTGCCCCGTCCCATCTAATTTGATAATCTCTTTTAACTGAGATGGTTATTTCCATTACATTTATTGTGATTATTGATCTATTTGGATTGTTTCTCCTGTTGTAACTTTTTTGAGGTTTCATTGGTACAGCATTTTTATATATATATATATATATATATATATATATATATATATATATATAATTTATCTTTTTTGGTCTATAAAAATTAAGTTTTTTTCTTATTACTTTTTTTTTTCTTTCCTGAGATGGAAGTTATAATCTCTGCTTTTACTCTTTAAATTATTATCTTTGAAATTTTACTAGGCACATGAGACTTTTAATGTTAGTATCTTTTACTTTTAATGTCAGTTTAACTTTTAATGCAGTATCCTTTTTTTTTTTTTTTAATTTTAGAGGCTGTCCCTCAGGCTGGAGTGCCATGGCATGATCATAGTTCACTGCAGCCTCAAACTTCAGGGCTCTAGGCAGCCTCCTACCTCGGCCTCATGAGTATTTTGGATTACAGGCATGCACCTCCACAACCGGATAATTTATTTTTTATTTTTATTTTCTGGAGACAGGGCCTCACTGTGTTGCCCAGGCTGTAATGTTGGTATCTTGACTGCCATCACCTTCCCACCATGCCTGATGATATGAAGATCTCAGACTACTTTAACCCTAGCCATTTCTTTCCTAACTGACACATTCTCATTGCTGAGGACTTCAGTTCTTTTTATTAAGCCTACTTGTTAGACAGCTATATTTTATGAATACAGTGGTTCTTTAGATTAACCTACGTGTTTTATCCTTTTTCCCCTTTGCTAATCTTCTTGAATCTCAGGCCTTCTTATTTGGGTTCATTTTCATTCTCTCTCAACTACATCCTTTAGAAATTATTTTAGTTGGCCTATTGGTTAAAGCTTTATTTTTATAAGTCTGAAAATGTCCTTATTTTGCTCTTATTCTTGAGATACAGTTTTGTTAGATCTGCTATTCTAGCTTGACAGTTCTCTTTTTCTCAACCCGATGAAGAGAGAATTTTGATGACTCTTGTCGCTACCGTTAAGAAAAGTCCAGTTGTTGATGGTCTAATTGTTACATCTGTGCTGAGGGTTGTTGCTGGTTTCTTCCATCTGCTGCTGGTTTAAGACTTCCTATTTGTCTTTGATGTTCTATAGCTTTACTACATTGTATCTAGGAATAGGCTTCTTTTTAACTTAGTCAGTTTGGTGTAAATGGTACCCTTGTATCTGTAGATTCATGTCTTTACTAGTTCTGGAAAACTCTCAGTTTTTGCCTTTTCAAATAAACTCATTTTTATTCTCTCTCTTTTATTTTCTGGGATTCAAATTAGAATATATGTTACAATATCATATTCTGCCCTTCACAGCTCTGAATGTCTTATTTGCTTATTCTTGCCTTTGTGTTGCCCTCTATCTTCCAGTTTATGAATTTCCCTTTTTAGCTGTGTATAATCTGCTTTTTTTTAAAAAGAAAAACCATACTTACTGAGTTCTAATTTCAATAATCATAGTTCTATTTTATAGATTTTCTTTGGTTTCAAGTGTATCTGATCATTTTTTGTTGCTTGCTCATTTGTGAGTTTATATTGGGCCAATCTTAATCTGTGAGAATACTGAGGACATAGATTAAAAATGCTTTCCTTTAGAGAGGATTTTGCATTTTTGCCTTGCGAGAGCCAAAGGCACTGTCTGTTTTTAGCTACCTGGATTAATAGTGTAGGGTCGGGTCCAATCCCCACATCTTGCTCTTATCCTGAGACTTGTACTTGACTGCCACACTGATGTTGCCTTATGCGTGTTTGTCTGATCTGCTTAAGCTTCAACTTAATTTTTTGGCCCCTTGGAGATTTCCCTTGCTTCTTGTGATCCCACTAATAACATTTTATTTTCTTTAGGATTTAGTCGTCTTGTGTGAAGAAGTCCTTTAGAATATCTAGTCCATATATTGTCAGAGCAGAAGTCAATGTCTAGATTCCAGACTCCCTAGTAAAGTAACACAAAGCCTTCCTTTACCATAGGTCATCCCAAATAAGCCAGAAACTCTCCATTTGGGGATAATAAAGCATTTCATTCCTCCTCTGGCTTATGGGTGGTTCAGAACCCAGAGGGGCAGAGGGGTGAGGCCAGTTGCTGCCTCCAGACCACCACACTAACATTCACCATGAGCCCCCAAGAGAAGAATGTGGAACTCATATTTGCCACACTTTTTGGTCCGCAGAGCAGTGTACAGAGGGCCCCTCAGGGCTGGTGCTCAACAATACACCTGTTTAGATTAAAAGGGGCGGGCGAAACAATTTCTAATGACCCTTCTGGAAATTTTTGAGGCTCTTATTTCATATTAATGTGCAACTCCTTGATTGTATTATTTGATGGTCAGGAACATACAGACAAGATGCCCCCTTCTCCTTGGTAGATTGTCTCATTTTAACACATGAGAACAACGTGGAGATGAACTGTAGGAGGTGAACACTATGTTCATATTTCTAGGGTATCTTCTCCCCCTCTCCAAATTGCTGCTGGCTTTTATGAGGCAGTAACTTACAGTTAAATACACAAATACAGGCTGGGCGCAGTGGCTCATGCCTGTAATCCCAGCACTTTGGGTGGCCGAGGTGGGTGGATCACCTGAGGTCAGGTGTTCAAGGCTAGCCTGGCCAACATGGTGAAAACCTGTCTCTACTAAAAACACAAAAAATTAGCCAGGTGTGGTGGTGCATGCCTGCAATCCCAGCTACTTGGGAGGCCGAGGCTGGAGAATCGCTTGAACCTGGGAAGCGGAGGTTGTAGTGAGTTGAGATCGTGCCCTGCATTCCAGCCTGTGTGACAGAGTGAGACTCCATCTCAAAACAAAACAAAACACAAAACTCCACACAAATACAGTTAAATCACAAGGGTGAATGTGTGAGGGAGGGAAATAATATGGCAAGTCTCTGTATGAGCATACAAATGGGTGCGTGGGAAGGGAGAGGGAGGCTGTAGGAAGAGCTAAGGACCAGGAGTACCTTCTGTTATGTTCATGGATCATTCACAGGTGTGCTGTGCTGGAGTGCGTCTGGAAATTCTGCTTTTAAGCTGCTTGCAAACTTCATCAAGATTTGGGGTGTGTGGATGGGGCTGTCTTTTCCTGAGCTTTACTGAGTGCCTGGAACTGTTCTACATGTAGTGGAGGCAGACACAGTCCCTTCCCTTTTGGAGGTGACATTTTAGTGGAGAAAGACAATTTCAAGGAAACAGATAAATAAAGGTAATTTCTGATTGGTTTAGATTCTGTGACGCAGATGAGGCATAGAGAGTGCTGAAGAGGTGATTAGGTTGAATGGTGAGGAAGGGCATCTCTGAGAAGGGTATTTGAGCTGAAGTTGGAAGGAAGAGAATGAGTTGGCTCTGTACAGAGCTGGGAAAAGGCTGTATCTGGCAGAAATAACAGCCTGAGTGAATTCCTTGATGGATGAAGGGGTACAGCACAATCAAAGTGGCAGAAAGGAGACCTGTGTGTTTGGCACAGTATTAGCTGTCTATTGCCACATTCACTCCATCCGTCTATCCACCCATCCATGCATCCATTTCTCCATTCATGCATTCACCTACCCATTTACACATTCACTCATTTAATTCAGCCATTCTCTCTTTCCCTCTCTCCCTTATCATTTGTTTTTTCAACAATTCCGTTTCAACAGTTGCCACAATCTTGGCTGCATAAAAAAACCCCGTACTTATTATATCACAGTTTCTGTGGGTCAGGAGTCTGAGCATAGCTTAGCTGGGTCCTCTGCTCTGGGTATCACATGGCTACAATCAAGGTGTTGGTCAGATGGTATTTTCATCTCAAGGCTGTACTGGGGAAGGATCTGCTTCCAACCTCATTTAGAGTGTTGGCAGAATCCATTTCCTTACGGATGCATGATTGAGCATCATGGCTTTTTGCTGGCTGTTGGTTTGAGGCAGCTCTCTGGTCCTAGAGTCTGAAGTTTCTGGAGTCCTCCTTCATCCCTTTGCCATATGGGGTTCCTCAACGTGACTTTTTATTTCATCAAGCCAGCAAGGAGGCTCTCTCAGCTATGGGAACCCAGTCCCTCTTTTAAGAGTTTTTACCCGAATAAGTCAGGATGATCTCCTTTTAAATTAATTCAAAATCAGCTGACTTGGGACCTGAATTAGAGCTGCAAAAATCTGTTCACTGTTGCTACAACCTACAGGCAAGTCTAACATTTTAACCGCCCTTTCTTCTTATCAACAAAACCTTGGTTTTGTTTAGGAGGCAAAGTACTCAGCTAAGAAGACTGGCTCCCTTGAAACTGTCATTGGTAATGTAACAAAGTTCTGGCCAAAAACCTGTAAGTTGCAGTCTAAAGAAAAGTTATCACTTTAGTGATAAAAAGGGACAGACCCAAATGGCAATGCCTTTTTTCCTTTGCTCTTCCCTACTTTTTCCCTGGAACTTGGAAGTAAAGCCCTGAGCTGGTGCAGCCGTCTTGTGACCATGAGGGTCTCTATTTTCTGATGATGGCAGAGCAGGAGGATAGAAGGAACATGCGTCATTCATGGCATTTTGGAGCTTCTCTGGACCATCTCTAAACTTCTTGTCATGTGAAAAAAGTACCCCCTTGTTTGGTTGCACAAATATACTTAGGTTTTTGTTATACGCAAAAGTTAGATCAAGGAAGTCCTTGTTGAGCATGTTCGGAGTGTGTGCTTTATTCTAAGTTAAATGGGAAGATGTTGAATACTTTTAATCCAATAGGTTCCTGGATTGATTTATGCTTTTAAAAAATCTCTTGTACTTAGCAAAGAAAGAACTGTGAGGTGAGGTGTGTGTACACAGTTGGAAGTGGAGGCTCAGAGGAGGTTATTAAGTCTCCCAAGGTAACACATCTAGATAGGGACGGAAATGGAATCCAAAATGCACAATTGTTTGACTCAACAGCCTTGGCTTCGGTTGATGTCTCTGATTTTAGTCGAGATCTTTGTCTACCTATTGCTGTTGGAAGAGCCCTGAAACTATTGTTTCACTCAATTTATCTCTGGCATCCAATTCTCTGAAAAAAAAAAAACTAATGATTTTCACAATCATAAAAGATAAATTAATTCTGGGTCTGGAAATTTTTTCATATCAATCTGAGCAAAGCTAATTAAAGCTAAGAAAAGAAAGGTGTGTGTGTGTGCGTGTGTGTGTGTGCGTGTGTGTGTGTGCACGTGTGTGTGCATGCACGTGTGTGTGTATGTGTAGGGAAGAACTTTACTTTCTGTTGTTGCTTTTAAATCCCTATTGACTAATGCCCCCTTGATCCTAAATACTAATGCTTAGAAATAAAAATAATTCCAGCATCATAATCAGAACTCTAATCAGCCCCGGCTGAATGCTAAATGAGCTTGGAACAGGGTACCTTTCTTAGACATGGTGTTGCATTTTATCCAGGGGTCTCCAAGGGAGTCACACATTGTTTGATGTGTTAAGGCAGTGCAGTGGCAAAGTGTAATAGATTATGAAGGAAGAGATCTGGGCTCCAGCTCCTGGCCCTTTACTGATTTACTGGGGAAGTCTTTTTCCTTCTCCCTTTCAGGTCCTCAGTCTCCCCATCTTCAAAGAGATGCTGTCTAACCAGAGCAAAGTTTTTTGATTTGTGTTCCCCAGAGTCTCGGAGTTCTAGGCATTACTCCTGAGAGATGGGCTGCCTCTTTTGATGATTTGAGTCTGGAATAGGAAGATGAGTAGAAGACAAGACAGGAGCTCCTAAGGTAGACACCTGCAACCGTGTCTGTGAGAGAGCTCACCTTCCACCATGGCTCCACTGTTTTGCTCCACTTGGGGGCACCAAGCTCTGTAAATCACCAAATAAAAACATCTACTATAATTAGATCCATCATGGGTGAGCAGGTGGCCTCCTGTCTGTCCTCCTGGAGGGCTGGACACTGGCCATCTGCTTGTTTCCCATGAAGGAATTTCCTTTTGCCTTCTTGGCTTCTTTGGCAAAGCTGACTTGATGAGTCAAGGAGAGCTGATGCAGCCTCTAGAGAGGAGGAATGAGGGAAGGTTGGAGAGATACAATGAGAAGAAGAAACACTCTTGGAACTATTATACCTGGAGTAGAGAAGCCTGAGGTATGGGACAGCTCTCTGTAGGACAGCTCTTTCAACCAGCTGTTGAAAGGTCTGAGGATATCATTCACTTCCTTCATAACTTCAATACAGTCACTTCCACCCAACCCAATTTAATCCAATCTATCCATCTATCCACCCACCTACTCATCCATCCATCCACTCAACTATCCATCCATCCACCCACTTGCTCAACTATCCATCTATCCACCCGCCCACTCAACTATGCATCCATCCACCCACCTATTATACATCATCCATCCATCCATCCATCCATCCATCCATCCATCCACTTAGCCACTCATTCATCCATCCATCAATCCACCTACCCACCCACCAAAATATCCATCATCCATCCATGCATTTCTCCATTCATGCATTCACCTACCCATTTACCCATTCACTATTTAATTCAACCATTCTCTCTTTCTCTCTCATATCATTTGTTCTTTCAACCATTCCATAAACACTTATTGAGCACCTACTATGTATCTGGAAATGTAGATGAGAATGAACTCTTCAGGGAGCTTGTAGTCCCAATGCTGTAAGTAGACGTGCAAGCAAGTCTGAGAAGTGATTGTAATACAGCCAGGAGCAAAGTGCTATTAGAGTTTGGAAGAGGGAGAGGGTTTAGGAAGGTGGATCAAAGAGGGCTTTGAGAAGGCAACAAAAATGAACTGACTCCTGAAGAAGGAGTTTAGCTTTATCAGCTGGACAAGTGGGACAAGGCGTTGTTTTTTGGAGGCATTTCCAGTTCGGGGAGCTGAAGTCATGCTCATCCTTAATAGATAATATTAGCTTTACTCTCCTTTCTCCCTCCTTCCAAGACTCAAAAAAAAGTCTAGATTATTCATCTCAAATTTCTAGGTTGATGAAATTCAGGTTTAATTCAACAACTGATTTTTCTTGTTCAAAACGTTGGATGGGAAGAAAATTCAAATAAAAATCACAGAAGCTCATAGCAGGAAGTTATCTTAACCCAACCTATCTCTGTAGCATCTCCTTTAAATTAGAACTCAACATACCATCCACCAGCTATTCATTTTGTTGAGAGGCGAGGGTGTGTGTGTGTGTGTGTGTGTGTGTGTAGGCACACGTTTCTGAGCTGATTTTGTTTTATACAATCAGTCTGTTTCTTTTGATTTGGAACTATCTTGCCAAAAGTGTCTCTTATGTGCGAGCATTGTCACATTGTCACAGAGCTTGACACTTATGTACTCAACATTCATCAAATATTCCATTCATCAAATATTCATTAAACTGCTTCTATCTCCCAGGCCCAGCACTAGATGCTGATGGTAACACACTGAGGAACAAGACAGGGTGCTTCCTCTTAGAGAGCCCATAGTCTGGTGCAAGGGCCAGCAAAATTTTTCTGTAAAGGAGTGGATAGAAAATATTTTAGGCTTTGTGGACATATGGCCTCTGTTGCGGTTGTTTAATTCTACTCTTGTAGTGCAAAAGCAGCTGTAGCTAATAAGTAAAAAAAGGGACATGGCTGGGTTCTAATAAAACTTTATTTACCAAAACAGATTTTACTCCTCTCCCAGCTGTAGTTTCTGACCCCTTGTCTAATGGGGGGCAGACACGCAAGTAACTAACAATGATAAAATAGCCTATTATGGAAGCTCAGAGTTGAGCCTCAGGCGGGCTTGGACAATGGAAAAGACTGCCTGGAGAAGGTGATGTGTGATCTTAGACCTGAAAGGTGAGTGGAGTTGGCAGGGTGAGGAGGCTGCGGTGGGGAGGACCCTCTAGGCTCAGTACACAGTGTGCAAAGAAGTCCGAAGGCAAAAGGAGATACGACAGGTCTGGGGAATGCAATAGACTGGGCTGGCAAGGTGAATGAGGCAAGACAGGAAAGGATCTTATAAAACAAGGACATGGCACGCCACTGACAGGTTTGCAGCATCATCTTCTATTTTGTCTTGTTTAAAAGATTCAACAGTGCCATCGCAGCAGGCCTCCGAGGTGGCATCTTGCCACAGAGCCTCAGTGGCACTCACAATATGGATGTGCAGCTCTGGAATAGGTGGTTAGGTCTTCCTTCCTCACCCTGATCTATGAGGGTCCCCCAGGCAGCCTGTGGCCTGGTCCGGGAGGCAGGTCACTCAGGATAGTTGCATAATGGGACACAGTTTAGGAGGAGACAGAGGCAAAACAAAGATAGGCACAGATGTGGAGTTGGGATAAAACATGATGCTTACTTAGGCCAAAGCTACATCCCTTATTTATTTATTTTTTTGAGGAGTTTCACTCCTATCACCCAGGCTGGAGTGCAGTGGCACAATCTTGGCTCACCGCAACCTCTGCCTCTTGGGTTCAAGTGATTCTCCTGCCTCAGCCTCTCGAGTAGCTGGGATTACAGGTGCCCGCTCTCACGCCTGGCTAATTTTTGTATTTTTAGTAGAGACAAGGTTTTGCCGTGTTGGCCAGGCTGGTCTTGAACTCCTGACCTCAAGTGATCCTCCTGCCTTGGCTTCCCAAAGTGCTGGGATTACAGGCATGAGCCACCACACCCAGCCCACAGCTACATACTTGCAGGCATTGTGGAGAGGATCAAATGCTATAATATGTACTTATTTCAGCCTAGTCAATGCTTAAGAGTAATAAAAGCTAAGACATTTTCATGCTCCTCACCTCCCCTCCTCTTCCCCCTCTTCCTCTCTCATCTCTCCCCTCTATTATACTGGCCTTATAAACCAGAATTACTAAGTGTCTTTTGTTGTTGGCATCCAGTGAGCAGTGGCCAGGGATGCAGCTAATCATACCATAATACACAGGACAGCACCACAACACAGAATTATGCAGCCCCAAATGTCAGTAGTGCTGAGGTCGAGAAACCTGCTCTCGTACCATCTTCCCACCGTCTACGGCTCACCATCCTGACTCAATCATTAATGTATGAACACACCTCCACATCTTCACATTTTTGCTTCCCTTTGTCTTGATCACTCTGTCTCTCTCTGCTCGGACACATGGGCCTCTACTTCCACGAAAAGCTATAGGATTCCCCTAGATTCGAATTAATTGCTTCCTTCTTGTGGAGCTCATGGGACTTCATTCATACCTGTCACGATCCTTAACAACATAACAATGTTGTAAATATTAGTATTATAGTGTATATGTTAGGCCCCTTCCCCCATTCATTTCTGAGCTTCTTTAGTAAAGGAACTGGGTCTTGTTCATCTCATACCCCTTTGCTCAAGATAATGTGTCTGCTGAATGGATGAATAAAACATTCAACATTATAAATGTGCAAAATATTCCCTCTTTTGAGATAAATACTCTGGGCTGGCATGCAAACCCACATATTTTTCCACTTGTTCCTCATCTCCCCCATCTTCCAGGCAAATTTTATGCAGGCAACCTTCAAAATTTTCTGAAACTCAGAAATGATTTGTGTTCGTGATTCAATTTTAATTTCATATCTTCAGCATTTTTACATTCAGTAACATTTTCCATTTTGCAGTAAATCTACCGATGCAGCTTGAACACATTCCCCCCTGCTCCTTCCCATGATGCATTTACCACCACCAGTCAAGGGCTTTCTTTTATGAGAATGGAGGCGAATGCTTCCCGTGTGTCAGCCAACGTCTCATTCGCATTCGAACCGTGATTGTCTCTTACTGGAGCTTCATTGTCCCACCTGGCGAGCAATTGAGGTCCTTTGAACCCACCCTGAAATCTGAGTTAGTCTTCGTCATTGCTGTATCTCTAGTGCCTTGCATGGCACCTGGCTCATAATAGGTGCTTACTGAATACTTGTTGAATGAATGCTAAACACATGAGCTGTGCTAAAGCTGCTTTGGTTTGCAAGACCAAGATGATTTGAGAATTGGAGAAGTAGTGGAGAGAACACAGACCTTCGGTCATATAAACGTGAGGTCTAGTCCCAACTGTACTAATTATATATGTGTTGTTGGGCAGGTGAGCCTCAGTTTCCCCTTTTTTCCGATGGTCCTAATTCTTTTTTTTTTTTTTTTTTTTGAGACGGAGTCTCGCTTTGTCGCCCAGGCTGGAGTGCAGTGGCGTGATCTTGGCTCACTGCAAGCTCCGCCTCCCGGGTTCAGGCCATTCTCCTGCCTCAGCTTCCCGAGTAGCTGGGACTACAGGCGCCCGCCACCATGCCTGGCTAATTTTTTTGTATTTTTAGTAGAGACAGGGTTTCACCGTGTTAGCCAGGATGGTCTGGATCTGCTGACCTCGTGATCTGCCCGCCTCGGCCTCCCAAAGTGCTGGGATTACAGGCGTGAGCCACCGTGCCCAGCCCCGATGGTCCTAATTCTTACCTATCTCTTAGGGTTGTTGTAGCAAGTGAAATGATCAGTACATAGTATGCTATCCAATAAGTACCATTTATTAACAATGACAGGACGTGCAGCTGGGGTGGATCATTCCAGGGAATTGATCAGATATTGGGAGCCATTCAGGTAAGTACAGTCACTGCTGCAGTTAGGGACTTTTGTAGATTCTCCTGTAAAGCACTGTTCTTGGTTTCTCAAGATTCCCTCCTCATTTGGGTTCCAGTCATGTAGGCCTGAAATTCAATGCGCAGAGGGAAGCTCAAACCAATTCATGATGTGTATCTCCTCCAGTATGTGGGCACAGGAGCCCTGGATGTCAGAGGCAGAGAGTTTAGAGAAACCCTGACTCACCACACTCCACGACTCATCACACTCCACGTGCACAGGAGCCTGAGGCTCAGACAGGTGAATTGACTTGCCCCAGGTCATCCAGTGAGTCAGGGATGCCTCAACTTGATCTGAGATCTCCGGATTTTTAAGCCCTTGCTCCATTTCCCGCGCTGAGAGGCTAGTGGTTTGCATTTTGTGCTTTAGTGGCCAAAGCGCAAATGCTGTTAGAGTTGAGCCTAGGGAGACCCACACAGCACCTTTTCCCGCAGCATTCAATTAAGTCCCTGATTCAGCTCTTTGAGGCCTGACAGCCCCTCATGAGAATGGGGCATGGAGGAGAAGCATTTCCAGAAGGGGTTTCTTAGAGCGATGCCTTAAAAAAGCAGCTCTGGCCCTGGCTCCGATGTCCTTGTGCTGCAAGATCAGCTTCTCAAACAGGAGCCTTTGATGGCAGAGCTGCTTCCCTGCAGGAAAATATCAGCTCCTACAATCAACCCAGCCTCAGGGCACTTGGCTTCTCTCTGCCATGTCGTCAGTCCTTATCCAGGGAGGGAGTTGCTCAGAGTCTGTTCTGAGATTTTGGCTTACTGAGAGGCCTGGCACTTAGGAGAGAGTCTTGGAAGCCAGGCTCTCCCGGTTCAAAGTCTGCCTCCACCACCTTTAGTGGGGTGAGCCCTGGTGAGTCATTCAGTCTCTCTGCATCTCAGTTTCCTCATTTGTAAAATGGGGCACTCCTCCTAAGGTTGCTGTGAGAATTAAGTAAGTCAAAGACAAATGTGCTTAGAAGAATCTTTGGCACATAGTAAGTGCTCAGTAAACACCATCTGTTGTCATTAAACATAGGTGCTCAATTCCACCTTGATTCATTTTCCCAGCTCTGCTCCTCATTGTGTGACTCTGGGTGAGTTACTTGACTGCTCTGAGCCACAATATCCAATCAGACAAATAAATATAACACTCATACTGAGAGCTTTTGGTTGCCACATATTCATCTTTAGGACCAACTGGGCTTTGGGGGCATTTACACGGATACCCATACACTGCTTCTTACATAGGAGTTTGAGTTTTTGTGTATCAGGGGCTGCAAGGCCATCTCAAGCTCGTATGATGATGACCCCGTGGCAGAAATTCCTCTCCAGGAGGGTCTCTGTCTTTGCCTGTGCAGCAGGGTTTGTGCCAAGGACTTTAATATTTTATTGCATTTTTGTGATTACTATAGAAAACCAAGCAAAAATAAGAAGTGCTGATCTTTCTGGTAAAGAAACATGAGTCTCATAAACTAAATACAACCAAGCCAAAGAAAGAAACGAGAAGATAAAATCATAAAAGCCACCTAACACAGCAGATCTTTAACTTTTAGCTGGAAGATCTTTGAGTTTAGCTTATTGCCCATTTCTCAGTTGTGAAAGAAAAGAATAAAAGACATGTATTAAAATAAAACTACATGGTCGAAGATTGCCTCAGAAAAATAAGGTTAAATTGAAGATTGTAAACAGATGTTATATTTTCCTCCCCCAACATTGGAATTGATTATTTGAATTCTGTACACATTTTTTAGTTGTGCGTTTTATATGTAGGGAGGGCCGGTGATCGCGCTGTGTGTTAGGGGCACAGCACAGCGCATGGTACATAGAGGTGCCTCATAGGTGATGGCGATCACAATTCTTCTTCTTCTTCTTCTTCTTTTTTTTTTGAGATGGAGTCTCACTCTGTTGCCCAGCCTGGAGTGCAGTGGTGTGATCTTGGCTCACTGCAACCTCCACCTCCTGGGTTCAAGCAATTCTCCCACCTCAGCCTCCTGTGTAGCTGGGATTACAGGCATGCGCCACCACGCCTGGCTAATTTTTGTACTTTTAGTAGACAGAGACGGGGTTTCACCATGTTGGTCAGGCTCCTGTGCATGTGAAGTGTGATGAGTCAGGTTTTCTCTAAACTCTCTGCCTCCAACAGTCGAACTCCTGACCTTGTGATCCACCTGCCTCGGCCTACAATTATTATTCTTAAGGTTGCTTGAGAATATTTTGAGTTGATTGAGTGTAGACTGAAAGCATTAGAACATCAGCCATCATCTTAGTAATTCATAAATTAACTCTGGCATCCCTGATGGGCGTTCCCTCAGCCTCTGCTTGCATACCCCCAGTCTTGTGGAGTCCCTTGCCTGTTCCTGCAGCCCATTCTTTTTTTTAGGTGTGGTTGAGTGCACCCATTACGTGTCAGCATATTTCCCTGGGAGTCTTTATCCACTAGTGGTCTTCAAGCCCTATGTGGACCCACAGAATTAATAAAGTCCCTTTTGTACATGGAAGGGTACCTAGGTGGGCTACCCATCCTTTAATAACTCATTTCGTTCACAAACATTTCCTGAGCACCTACTGTGTGCTGGCCTCTGAGCTGGACCTTAGAGGAGTTCCAGGGTCCATGAAAGAGACAGATAATTACAATGTGGATTTATAATTACAGGGGAATTTTAAGCTGAAAAAATAAGGAGGGGAGTACTGTGGAAGCCCCAAAGAGGCATCTAGCCCTGTGCAGTGTGGTCATGGAAGGCTTCCTGGCGTAGGTGACACTAGAGCTGAGTTTCAGAGGGGGATGTGTGTGTGGTAGAAATGGAGAAGGGGAAGGCATTTTAGGTAGAATGAAGAGTATGTATGAACAGATATGGAGTTCAAAAGACTGGCAGGTCTGAGTAGAGATGCAGGTCTAAAGTGTGTCTGCATGTATGTGCGTGTGTGTCTGTATGTGTGTGTCTGTTGACGGGGGGATTGGAGTGCGTGACGTACCTGAGGATAAAGACAGGAAGGTTGGAGGGCTCAGGAGAGCTTTTATGCCAAGGTAGAGTTTGGCCTCTATTCTGAGGATGAGAAGTTCCTCAAGCAGTCCTTTTGGTCACTCTAACCCTGAGATAGGGTCTCCTTCCTCTGGGCTAGATCCTTCCTATGTGGGTTCAGTGCAGACTGCTGGTCTGCTCTTGGCTTTGTAAAGTGAGAGCCAGTTCCAGGGTTCCCAGTGCTCTGGCAGTTTCCCAGAAGCAGCTGTGTATCCTTTCCTCCTTCCCCCCTTTAATGATCCAGTGGTAAGAAATTAGCTTTGGAGTCAAACAGACCAGTGTTAAGTCTCAGCTTTGTGGCTGACAATCTCTGAGCCTTGGTCAGCCTCCTTAATCCTTATCAACCCCAGGTTCCTTGCTTGAAAAATGAGGATAATAATAAATGTAGGCCGGGTGCAGTGGCTCACACCTGTAATCCCAGCAATTTGGGAGGCTGAGACGGGTGGATCACGAGGTCAGGAGTTCAAGTCCAGCCTGGCCAAGATGCTGAAACCCTGTCTCTACTAAAAATACAAAAATTAGCCGGGCGTGGTGGCACTTGCCTGTAATCTCAGCTACTTGGGAGACTGAGGTAGGAGAATCACTTGAAGCCGGGTGGCACAGGTTGCAGTGAGCCGAGATCGTGCCACTGCACTCTAGCCTGGGTGACAAAGCAAAACTCCGTCTCAAAAAAAAAAAAAAAAAAAAAAAAAAAGCAAACCCTTACTGGCAGTTACTGTGTGCCAGGCACTATTCTAAGCACTTTGTAGACATGAATTCATCAAAGCCTTGCAATTCTTTGAGGTAAGAACTATTATTATCCCCATTAAACAGATGAGAAAACAGAGGCACAGAGAAGCCCAAAGGCTTCCAGTTGGTAAGGAGCAGGGCCAGGGAGCCAGTAGAACCTCTCTCCTAGAGTTGACATGAAGATCAAAAGAGCTAAGACATACCGAGTCCTCAATGCACGGCCCGGCACATAGTAGATACTCAGTAGACAGCAACTCTCAGAGTGATAAATGCTCTGAGAAATGCATGGAGCAACATTATCAAGGAGAGAGCATTCCCCAGAGTTAAGCAAGCTTCCTTTATCCAAGGGAGGCCATGGAAGCAACGCCTGATCAAACTGACTCATTAACTGCAGACAATAGAAAATGACAGATCAAGCCTTTGATGAAAGAGACTGGAACAGCCATTGATTAGAAGCCAGACGTGCCTCTTTCTTCCTCAGCTGATTGACTGGCTTCTGAAGGCTCTTCTTTCCATGTAATTAAAGAGCTAACTGAACTGTCAAGCATGTTCCTTCATCAGTCACCATCATGTGGTGGCAGGAGGGCCATCTGATAAGCCACAGATATCCTTCTGTCCAGTTCTTTGGCTAAAAGTCCAGCAAAGCTTGGGGGTTTGCAACCTGTTGCTCTGTCCAGTTTTGAATCTCTAAAGGCACATGTCACCCTCTCTTTTGCCATCAAAGTAAGATATTGGCAGTTGAAACCAGTGATTGTACAAGAAAAGAGGATAGTTGCAAAATCACTAGATGTGAAACTTGGTTGTAATAGGCTGCAGAAGGAAATGGGGATGATGGAGGGGAGGAAGCTGGTATGAGCTGGGGACTGCAGAGCGGACTTGTGCTTCAGAACTAGCAGATCTGAGTTTGGATCCAACCCTGGGCACTTCCTAGCTATGGACCTGGGGCAAGGGACCTTAGCTCTGGAATCTCAGCCCCTGCATCTGTAAAACCTGCATAAGCAATTCACAGGGCACTTGTGAGGATTAGAGGAGATGATATTCAAAGGTGCCTGGCACATGGAAGGTACTCAAGAAAGTCAACCGTTGTGAACTATAACGTGTTCTTCATCTGTCAGAGCACATAGCTGTTCCCTGAGGGCTATTTACACCTATGCTATTACCACCTTGTGGGAAGGAAGTAGGAGAATGTATTCCTTGAACTTAGACCCTGGGCTTTCCTTACAACCATTGTTAGGGCAAAAATCCCTGATAAGCAATGGAAGAGTAGGTCTGGTCACAGCCATAGGAGTGAACCTTTCCTAATTCCCAAATTCAAGCTCACGGTTTAGTACAGGCATTGATGGATGAATCCCCTTTGAAACAGATGCTGGATGGTGGGTGGGAAGAGGGCTTAGCTTAGGGTCAGACTGAATTCACATCCACTGGACCCCACAAAAGCTATGCAGTGTTGGGGACTTGCCTTCCTCTTTGAGCCCTGGTTTCAGGCTGAAGATTGGGGACTAACAGCAAGGAGTTTGGATCATGTAGCAATGAGAGGAGTGAGCTTTGGACTCAGCCTGGATTCAAATGATTGTCCTATTGCACTGGTTCTCAAACTGCAATTGGCACCCCACCTCCAGGGGACATTTGGCCATATCTAGAGACATTTTTGGTTGACATAACTTGCTGCTGGCATATGTAGTGGGTAGAGGCTGGGGATGCTCTTCAGCATCCTACAATGCATAGGACATCCCTTCACAGCAGAGAATAATCTGGCCCATAATGTCAACAGTGCTGAAGTCAAGAAACCCTGCTCTATTGCTTACTAGCTTATGAAGTTAATTAATTTGGCTAAGACTCTGTTCCTTCGTTGATAGAATGGAAATGATAAACAGTTCCTGGCTTGTGTGGTTGTTTTCAAAACAGAGCTATTGTGACACATAGCACAGCTTCACGCACCTGGCAAATCCTCAATAAATATAAACCTGGATTTTCATGGGATTCAAAGTCAATGGCATATGGCTGGGCGTGATGGCTCACGCCTGTAATCTTAGCACTTTGGGAGGCTGAGGTGGGCAGATCACCTGAGGTCAGGAGTTTGAGACTATCCTGACCTGAGGTCAGGAGTTTGAGTTTGGCCAACTGATGAAACCCCATTTCTAATAAAAACACGCGCACAAAAAATTAGCCAGGCGTGGTGGCATGCGCCTGTAATCCCACCTACTTGGGAGGCTGAGGCAGGAGAATCACTTGAGCCCAGGAGGCGGAGGTTGCAGTGAGCTGAGATTGTACCACTGCACTCCAGTCTCAGTGACAGAGTGAGACTCCATTAAAAAAAAACAAAGTCAGTGACATATAAGCATATATTAACTGCTTCGATATCATTTAAGTCTACCAGTAATGGCAGGGACATGAGGATGACAGTGACATGTTTGATTTTCACAGGACCTAGCAGTGCCTCTGAGGTCCTCCCTCAAGCCTGAGCTTCCTGATGGAACCCTGTCCCTCACATGCCTCCACTTCAAGGTGATGTTCAAAGTTATTGTAAACATTTCAAAAGTAACAGATGTGTCCCTGGAGATGGAGATTGTGCATCTCAGGTCTGCTGGTGCTGAGAATCAAAGGCAGCTGCCTGCCCCTAGGTTTTCCTCTCTGCTGGTTTTCTGAAAGCTGTCTCCACCATGAGCAGCTCTTGTCATTGAGACTGACTTCCCTGGAGGTGAGGACTTTGTCCTCCTCTCTTCTGTTCTATCTGGGCCCTTAAAATAGGAATTTTGCCCTGCGTTCTCTGGAAAATCCTGGGGAGGGGTTCTTCCCTATCTCTTCACCCTTTACTCTTCCCTGTGGGAGAAAGAGCGGATTTCCCCTGAGCTGCAGCTTGCCTTCCATGACCTGTGCTGGCTGCAGGTGTAGAAAGCGTTCCCTACGGTGCGGAAGAAGAAGGAATGCGAGAAGCTGGCTGTCTCAGGCTTCTGCCCCTTCTCCAGCGCTGACCACCTCACAGGCCTCGGAGAAGGGTCAGGGCTCTGAACAGATGCAGCCCCGTGGCGAGCAGCTTCAGGACGGTCTCCCATCGTCTTTGTCTTCTGCTTGCATTAGGCTGAATCAACGGGGTGTGGCAGGGGAGAGGCTCTGGTGCATTTTTCAAATCTGTCTGTTCCATAACCAAAGTACAGTCAACTTCATTATTTGCAGGTTCTGTATTTGCAAATTTGCCCACTTGCTAAAATTTATTTGTAATCTGACAATACTTGCCACACTTTCTTTTTTTTTTTTGGACATAGTCTCACTCTGTTGCCTAGGCTGGAGTGCAGCGGTGCAACCTCTGCCTCTTGGATTCAAGCACTTCTCCTGCCTCAGCCTCCTGAGTAGCTGGGACTACAGGCATGTACCACCATGCCCGGCTAATTTTGTGTGTGTGTTTTTA
Source organism: Homo sapiens (assembly GCF_000001405.40). Classification (NCBI taxonomy): domain Eukaryota; kingdom Metazoa; phylum Chordata; class Mammalia; order Primates; family Hominidae; genus Homo; species Homo sapiens. Next base: position 9,282,483 of record NC_000016.10, read on the forward strand.
GTAGAGAAGGGGTTTCACCATGTTGGCCATGGCTGTTCTTGAACTCCTGACCTCAGGTAATGGGCCTGGCTAGGCCTCCCAAAGTGCTGGGATTACAGGTGTGAGCCACTGCACCTGGCCAATACTCGGCACACTTTCACAGTTGTTCATGGACAGGCACTGAAATGCTGAGAAGCTGAGTCGTGTGACGTGCACCTTCCCATCTGAGGCTGAACAGGGCGATGTCCTGCCTCCTTGTATCTGCAAATAAGTGTTATCATTGTGGACTATTAAGTGTCACCTTAATTTTTTGCATTTTTGTGTTTTTTGGGGGTGCTTTTTTGCTGCTTAAAAAGGCCAAGTGTAGTGCTGAAGGCTGAGGCAGAAGGATTGCTTGAAGCCAGGAGCTTGAGACCAGCATGGGCAAAAAAGTGAGACCGACCTCTACAAAAGAAAAAAAAAATTTAGCTGGGTGCAGTGGTGTGTGCCTGTAGTCCCAGCTACTTGGGAGGCTGAGGTGGGAGGATAGCTTGGGCCCAGGAGTTTGAGGTGCAGTGAGTTATGATTGTGCCACTGCACCCTAGCCTGGGCAACAGAGCAAGACCACATTTCTTAAAAAGAAAAAAATACACACACACACACACACACACACACACACACACCACACACACACAGCCTCTATGATTAGTAATTTAAAAGCACACACACACACGTATATATATAGCATCTACCCTTGATAATGTGGTTGGTTGGCTTCATGCAATCCGTTAAGGGCCTTAAGAACAAAAACTGAAGTTCCCCTGAGAAGAAAAAATTCTGCCTCAAGACTATAACATGGAAATCCCACCCGAATTTCCAGCCTGCCAGTTTGTCCTGCAGGTTTTGGGCTTGCCAGCTTCCACAATCTCATGAGTCAGTCTCCTAAAGTTTCTTTCTGTCTCTGTGTTTTTGTCTCTCTCTCTCTTCCACCTCCTGTTGGTTCTGTTTTTTTTTTTTTTTTTCTGAAGAATTGACTGATACAGATACCCAGGGCCGCATACACCATGCTTGTTTTATTTATTTATTTTTGAGACAAAGTCTCACTCTGTCACCCAGGCTGGAGTGCAGTGGTGTGATCATGGCTCACTGCAGCCTCAACCTCCCAGGTGCAAGCAATCCTCCCATATCAGCCTCCCAGATAGCTGGGACTATAGACATATGCCACACCTGGCTAATTTTTTGTATTTCTTTTTTGCAGAGATAGGGTCTTACTAGGTTGCCCAGGCTGGTGTTGAACTCCTGGAATCAGGTGATCGGCCCGTTTCAGGCTCCCAGAGTGTTGGGATTACAGGCGTGAGTCACTGTGCTGGGCTCACCATGCTTCCTAACCATTCTGAGGGCATAGATCCATTGAGAAAGTGATGTAGGACTTGGGCCTTCGCTCCTAAAAAATGCACATGAATACGTAATCTTGTGTGCAAGCTGAGGGATCTGACACAGGTTTAGAATCCTTGAGCCAATGCTGATGAATCCCTAAACTCTCTCCTCCCTGACTGCTCTCTCAAGCTGCAGTCCTACTTGGCATCTCATCTTGCCTGTTTGACAGGACCTCAAACCCCAAAAACAAAACTCTTCATTTTTCTGCCCTGTTTCTCCTCCCCTGTTCCGTTTGCTGGTGAATGATGCCGTCACCCACCCAAGAGAGTGATTTTGGGTCATCCTTGCATTTTTCCCTTCCCCTCTCCACCCATATCTAAACAATCACCAAAACCTGTTGAATCCATCCCCACTGCCAGGGGCCAGCTTCAGGCCTGATTGCCTTCCTCCCTTGGATTATGGCGTTGGTCTCCTGATTGGAATCCCTGCTTCCAGTCCTGCTCATGTTCAATCTGTTGCTCATTCAGAAGCCAGAGTTGAAGTTTAAAGTGAACATTAAAAAACCATTTCTGAATTATGACTCTTTCCTGATTAAAAACATCTTCAGTGTTTCCACCTTGGTCTTGGGTATTGCCAGAGCCAGCATGGCTTACAAGAGTTTGGCTCCACTTCTGTGAATCCATTGTTCATTGATTCCAGAAGCATTTCCTGAGCACCTTTATGTGCTGGGCGCTGTGTTAAGTGCTGGGAATATAGAGGAGAGTGGTCCTTGTCTTCAAAGCACTAGCTGCTCTATCTTTTTATCTTCTAGCCATGCTAAGATAATTCCTCTCTCCTCTCCTCTCCTCCCCTTTTTCTTTTTCCCTTCCCTTCCTGTCTCTCTCTTCCTTCCGTCCCTTCCTTCCTCCCTCCTTTCTTTCTTTCTTTCTTTCTTTCTTTCTTTCTTTTTCCTTCCTTCCTTCCTTTCTTTCTTTCTTCCCTTCCTTCCTTCCTTCCCTCCCTCTCTCTCTGTCTCTTTCTTTCCCTCCCTCCCTCCTTCCCTCATTCCTTCCTGCCTTTCTTTCTCTCTCTCCCTTCCTTCCTTCCTTCCTTCATTCCTTCCTTCCTTCCTTTTTCTTTCTCTCTCTTTCTTTCTTTCCTCTTTCTTTCTTTCTTTCTTTCTTGCTCTCTTCTTCTTCTTCTTCCTTCTTTCTTCTTCTTCTTCTTCTTTTTTCTTTCTTTCTTTCTCTTTCTTTTTTTTGGAAATGGTGTCTTGCTTTGTCACCCAGGCTGGAGTGCAGTGGTGCGATCTCAGCTCACTGCAACCTCTGCCTCCTGGGCTTTAGCAATTCTCCCACCCTAGCCTCCAGAGTAGCTGGGACTACACGCATGTGACACCATGCATGGCTAATTTTTGTATTTTTTGTAGAGATGGGATTTTATCATGTTGCTCAGGCAGGTCTTGAACTCCTAAGCTCACGTGATCCACCTGCCTTGGCCTCCCAAAGTGCTGGAATTACAGACCTGAGCCATGTACCTTTTAGAAAACTAGTATTTTAAAAATCATTTCTCTGACCATTTTGAATTTTGATTCCTTATGTACTTTGCTTTTTTACTGAACTCATATGTCTCTGTGAACTGGATACCAATCACTGTGCCTGGCACACAGTTGGTGCTCAGAGATGGTGGTGGTGGTGAACGGATGAGTGTGAAAATGAACATTCAGAATTTGGTGTTTCAAGGTCCACCTTTAGATACGGATTCTTTTTTTTTTTATTATACTTTAAGTTTTAGGGTACATGTGCACAACGTGCAGGTTAGTTACATATGTATATATGTGCCATGTTGGTGTGCTGCACCCATTAACTCGTCATTTAACATTAGGTGTATCTCCAAATGCCATCCCTCCCCCTCCCCCCACCCCACAACAGGTCCCGGTGTGTGATGTTCCCCTTCCTGTGTCCATGTGTTCTCATTGTTCAATTCCCACCTATGAGTGAGAACGTGCGGTGTTTGGTTTTTTGTCCTTGTGATAGTTTGCTGAGAATGATGGTTTCCAGCTTCATCTATGTCCCCACAAAGGACATGAACTCATCATTTTTTATGGCTGCATAGTGTTCCATGGTGTATATGTGCCACATTTTCTTAATCCAGCCTATCATTGTTGGACATTTGGGTTGGTTCCAAGTCTTTGCTATTGTGAATAGTGCCACAATAAACATACGTGTGCATGTGTCTTTATAGCAGCGTGATTTATAGTCCTTTGGATATATCCCCAGTAATGGGATTGCTGAGTCAAATAGTATTTCTAGTTCTAGATCCCTGAGGAATCGCCACACTGACTTCCACAATGGTTGAACTAGTTTACAGTCCCACCAACAGTGTAAAAGTGTTCCTGTATCTCCACATCCTCTCCAGCACCTGTTGTTTCCTGACTTTTTAATGATTGCCATTCTAACTGGTGTGAGATGGTATCTCATTGTGGTTTTGATTTGCATTTCTCTGATGGCCAGAGATGATGAGCATTTTTTCATGTGTCTTTTGGCCACATAAATGTTTTCTTTTGAGAAGTGTCTGTTCAAGATATGGATTCTTAAGAGCAATGTCTGGTTTTGACTTTTCGACTGTAGTTTTTTATCCCCCTTTCTCAGGAAGCTTTGAGTCTTAGAATGTTGCCTATAAAGAGAATTTGGGATCATTAAAATTGATTTACTGAATGGTTTTCATGATCATAACCAGATATATGGTGCCCAAGGACAGAAGAAGAAATTAGCCCTTGTTCATACCAAAGCCACTTACACGCATAAATCTAAAGGAAAAAACGATCATTTTGGATAAAAAATGATGCACAAAAAGTTATAGAATATAAATGCAAAGTAGCCCGGGTTTATGTTATGCTTGGGGAAAGAAAAGGAAAACCCAAGTTTAAGATTGTAAATGGATGGAGCATGTGGCTTGGAAAATGTCCTCTCTTCTCCTGTTACTGACACCTACTGTGTGCCTGGTACCGAACCAAGCACTTACACACAGAATCAACTTTTACCCATACAAATCCCTGCTTGATGGGAATTACCATTTCCATTTTACAGCTGAGGACACTGAAATTCAGCATATTTATGCCAGTGGCCCCAAGTTCCTACAGTTAGGAAGTGGCAGAGGCAGGATTTGAACCCTTGTCTCCCTGGTGTCAAAGCTACAGTTCTGGGTCCCAGTTGTAATCTCTCAAAACATGGGGCAAAAAGCCCAAAGCCTGGACTTCACACTTAGTCCCAGCAGTCAGCCCAAGGCTCTTAAAATTCCTTCTTGCCAAGATCAGCACTGGCTCCAAAGTCCAGGGAGGGCTGGGCTTTTTTGTTGGGGGTCAAAGGATCAATGGGAAGACTCCACCTTGGCGGGATGTGCAGGTGAAGTGCTCCAGCTCTGAGGACGAATCCTGGAAGAGAAAACCTGATCCCAGTAAGAGAAAGGTTTCCCTCCCTCTGCTTCTTGGGTCAATGAGGGTTACGTGTGTGCCTGCATGCCACAGGGAATGTTTGCATGTGTATGTGAAGCCCATGTACTTCTGTGTAAGAGGGTGTGCCTGTCTCTGTGTGTATTTTGTGTGTGTTTTGGTGTTGTATGTTTTGTGATCATTTATGCCTGTAGGGATAAAAGGGATAAAGGGAAGAGGAAGGAGGCTGTACCTACTTATAACTTAATATCTTTTTTTTTTTTGGAGACGGAGTTTTGCTCTTGTTGCCCAGGCTGGAGTGCAATGGCATGATCTCGGCTCCCTGCAACCTCCGCCTCCTGGGTTCAAGCGATTCTCCTGCCTCAGCCTCCTGAGTAGCTGGGATTACAGGTGCCCACCACGATGCCCAGCTAATTTATTGTATTTTTAGTAGAGATGGGGTTTTACCATGTTGGTCAGGCTGGTCTTGAACTCCTGACCTCAGGTGATTCACTTGCCTCGGCCTCCCAAAGTGCTGGGATTACAGGCATGAGCCACCGCACCCAACCTAATATAATTTATTTTATTTCTGTTATACCTGGTTTCTTCGTGCTTCTTGTGTTGCTATAACAGAATACCACGGACTGGATAATTTATGTGTGTATGTGCGTACACATACAGGTGTGACCGCATGCACGTGCTTCCTATGAAGTATAAGTAGGTGGGTCTCTGTGTGTGTACTCACCTATATTCCTGTGTGGTGTGTGTGTGTGTGTGTGTGTGTGTGTGTGTGTGTGTGTGTGTGTGTGTGTAGAACCACTTGCAACAATGAGGAAGTCTGTATATAGCCAGTCTGATTTCCTGCCAAGCTGTTTAGCAGGTTTCAGAGAGTGTCTATTTACTTCTTATTGAAACTGCTCTGCAATTTCATTTTCCATTTGATCAATTGGGTTTTGTTTATCTTCCATAAATCTCACTTTGGCAACTCTAACTCTGCTGATTCTCACATCTCTCATTGTTCTCAACAGTGTAGTGTCTCTTATGAGGACTCGTATTCTGCCCCAGCCTTCCTGTGATGCCAGTTTCCCACTGGGCTGTGGTCGTGTTTCATTGGCCTCGACACTGGGAAGCCTGGCTTCAGGAGCAATGTCCAGACCTGTCCTCTTAGCTCTCTTGAAATACACAGATTATCTTGGCTACTGGTAAATTTGGCATTATCTTAGGCGGCATGATATGAGGCACAGAAAGGGACGGATTTTGAATTAAATGGAGCTATTTTCAAATCTGGCTTTGGAATCTACCAGATAAATGACCTCAGGCAAGTCCTTCTTTTTCTTTTTGTCATGAAATCTCATATAACAAAGAGAATTATAAATCCTCAGTTGAAAGAATAAAAATAATGTCTTCAAAACATTGATTACTTAGTGTGTCAGGTAGATGTTGCTGCGTAACAAACCATATCAAAAGTTAGTGGCTGAAAAACTATGAACTTGTTTTTCTTGTTCGTGATTCTCAGTGTTGGCAATCCAGGTGGGTTCTTCTTGGTAACTCTTCTATACCTGGTGGGGCTTCCTCATGTGTCCATGGTCAGTTGAAGGTTGAGTTGATGACCTTGCTTTTGGAGGTTGGCTTGCTGTTAGCTGTGCTCTCTTGATTCTAATGTGCATGGTCTCTCAGCCTCCAGAAGGCCAGCCTGGGCTTGTCATCATGATGGAGGCAAAGGCCCAAGAGAGACAGTAGAAGCCTGCAAAGCCTCTTAAGAGCTCAGCTTAGAGCTGGAATGCTGTCAGTTCCACTATGTTCTATTTGCCAAATGAAGTTAACCAGGCCATCTTAGGTGCAAATGGTGGGGAAATAGACTCTACTTCATCATGGAAAGAAGCTGCAAATTCACAATGGAAAGGATGTGGAAGCAGGGAGGCCATTAATTGGAGCAATCAGTACAATCATAATACTGCAATAGGCCGTCAATGTTTGCTGAATTGCTTGGAACCTAGGAGGCACTTATTGAATATTAATTAATGGTAGTTAGTGTAACCTGTATAAGTCAGGATATCTACGTAGTCCAGTCTCAGCACAGATTTGCCTTAAAAGAAGTTGCCAGCCAGGTGCCATGGCTCATGCCTGTAACTCTAGTGCTTTGGGAGGATGAGGCAGGAGGATTGCTTCAGCCCAGGAGTTCAAGACCAGCCTGGGCAACATAGCAGGACTCTGTCTCTACAAAAAAAAAAAAAAAAAGAAAAGAAAAACAATTAGCTGGGTGTGGTGACACATGCTGTTAGCCCTAGCTACTTGGGAGGCTAAAGGAAGAGGATAACTTGAGACCAGGAGTTCCAGGAGTTTGAGGTTACAGTGAGCTATGACACCACTGCACTCTAGCCTGGGTGACAGAGCAAGACCTTGTCTCTAAAAAAAAATTGCATTATGGAAGACAATTTAGTTGAAAGAAATTAAAACTTTTACTCAGTCTGTCAATCATCTTAAAAAATCATAGCTCATCTCACTCACCTCAAATCACTTCCTAAATCTCCTGGGAAAAGACCAACTCATCTCTCCTCTCTTACTTTCCTAAACCATGACACTCAGCCCAAAAAACTTTCCTGTCTCCCTTTTACTTCATGTTTCCACCTTTGTTCTTTATTATATAAATCAACTTAGCCTTTCTGGATCGTCAGATTTCTTTCTACTTTGCCATTTTAACGCACACATAAAGGGGAACCTAAGAACTGACCCAGGAAGAAAGAATTTTTTTCTCTTTAAAAGGCCAAAAGGGAGTGAGAAGAGGAGGGCACTGTACCTACTAATAGCCTAATAACATTTGTTTTATTTCTGTTATACCTGGTTTATTAGTCTATTTTGTGTTGCTATAACAGAATACCACAGACTAGGTAATTTATAAACAATAGAATTATATCTGGCTCATGGCTTTTGAAGGCTGGGAAGTCCAAGAGCATGGCACTAGTATCTGGCAAGAGGCTTTGTGCTGTGTCGTCCCATGGTGGAACATGGAAGAGCAACAGAGGGCGAGAGTAAGTGAATAAGAAGGAGCTAAATTCACTTTTATAAAAATCCACTCTCAAGATAATTAAACTTTTATCCCAATAACAACCTTAATCCTTTCATGAGGGCAAAGCCTTCAAGACTTAATCCCCTTTTATTAGGCCCCACTTCCCAACACTGTAGCATCGGGGATGAAGCATCCAACACATGAATTTTGAGAGACAAATTTGAACTGTAACATTGGGGTATTGTTATGTTTAGAAGATCTCTTCTGCACTCTGCTTCAAACTGTTTTTTCCAGCTTTTTGCCTTCTCTTAGCCTGATTTTTTCTTTTGATTGCAGAAAACTCTGCTACAATGTCAGTTTCTTGGGGATCTATCATCAGGTCCCAAGAGAATATTTCTCAGAATGGTCAAAGAGGAGGGTGAGAAAGAGCTGGGGTATTGGGCGATCTACCAAGGGTGTAGGCATCCAGGGCGGTCCATTTCCTTCAGCCAGACTCCTAGTCTTCCTTCTTCCCTCAACAGGGAGCCCCCACTCTGTCAAACCCCTGAGACTTCAAGGACATAGCACAGAGTGTGAGAGATTAGTCCTACCTCTTTCCCCCATTCATCCCCACCACTATCTATCCTAGCCTCATCTCTACGTTGGTCTTTCTGACCTTCTCAACTGCCCCAGTTGTTAATTCATGGTCTTTGGTTTCACCGTCTCATTTTCCTGGATCCCTACATCCAGGCTTGTTTTTTCTTTCTTGTTTGGGAGGCATTCAAAATGTACCCTGCTAACTCATTTCTTCAGAACGATGACAATAAAACATACCGACTGCCTCCTGTGTGCCATACACTATGCTACACACTTTGCTTGCATTATTAAATATTACCTTCCTACATGACTATCTTACATACCTATGAGGTAGGCGAACGTGACCATTTCCATCTTACAGAAGAGGGGAAGTGATGCTGCCTGTCCAAGGCCATTTAGTTAGCACAGCTGGGATTCAAGCCCAGGCCTGTCTTATTTTAATGTTCATGCTTTAGAAACTACATCAAACTGTCCCTCCAACCTAGGGTGAACAACTCATCCTAGTTTTTTTTTTTTGAGATAGAGTTTTGCTCTTGTTGCCTAGGCTGGAGTGCAGTGGCACGATCTCAGCTCACTGCAACGTCCGCCTCCTGGGTTCAAGCAATTTTTCTGCCTCAGCCTCCTGAGTAGCTGGGATTACAATTCAGGCACCCACCACCATGTCCAGCTACTTTTTTGTATTTTTAGTAGAGGCGGGGTTTCACCATGTTGGCCAAGCTGGTCTTGAACTCCTGACCCCAGGTGATCCGCCTGCCTTGGCCTCCTAACTCATTCTAGTTTTATGGGAGCTTTCCTGATTTTAAAACAAAAAGCCCTACATCTCGGGATATCACTCTATCCCTGGCAAGGTAGGGTGGTTGGTCACTCTGCCCCAACTTGAGCCTTCTTTTGTGAAGAGCCTGGGTAAACAGTCTCATCAGGGAGGTCTGGCTCAGCACCGAAGCCTCCTCCTGCTTCCCCTGATCAGAAAAGGAGAGTTCCCAGACCCTCCGTGTGTCCTGCATCCTCTCCAATTCCTGACACCTGTCTTTTTTTTTTTTAAATATATATTTATATATTTTCTTTTTATTTATTTATTTATTTATTATTATTATACTTTAAGTTTTAGGGTACATGTGCACTATGTGCAGGTTAGTTACATACGTATACATGTGCCATGCTGGTGCGCTGCACCCACTAACTCATCATCTAGCATTAGGTTTATCTCGCAGTGCTATCCCTCCCCCCTCCTCCCACCCCACAACAGTCCCCGGAGTGTGATGTTCCTCTTCCTGTGTCCATGTGTTCTCGTTGTTCAATTCCCAACTATGAGTGAGAATATGCGGTGTTTGGTTTTTTGTTCTTGCGATAGTTTACTGAGTATGATGATTTCCAATTTCATCCATGTCCCTACAAAGGACATGAACTCATCATTTTTTATGGCTGCATAGTATTCCATGGTGTATATGTGCCACATTTTCTTAATCCAGTCTATCATTGTTGGACATTTGGGTTGGTTCCAAGTCTTTGCTCTTGTGAATAATGCCACAGTAAACATACGTGTGCATGTGTCTTTATAGCAGCATGATTTATAGTCCTTTGGGTATATACCCAGTAATGGGGTGGCTGGGTCAAATGGTATTTCTAGTTCTAGATCCCTGAGGAATCGCCACACTGACTTCCACAATGGTTGAACTAGTTTACAGTCTCACCAGCAGTGTAAAAGTGTTCCTATTTCTCCACATCCTCTCCAGCACCTGTTGTTTCCTGACTTTTTAATGATTGCCATTCTAACTGGTGTGAGATGGTATCTCATTGTGGTTTTGATTTGCATTTCTCTGATGGCCAGTGATGGTGAGCATTTTTTCATGTGTTTTTTGGCCACATAAATGTCTTCTTTTGAGAAGTGTCTGTTCATGTCCTTTGCCCACTTTTTGATGGGGTTGTTTGTTTTTTTCTTGTAAATTTGTTTGAGTTCGTTGTAGATTCTAGATATTAGCCCTTTGTCAGACGAGTAGGTTGTGAAAATTTTCTCCCATTTTGTAGGTTGCCTATTCACTCTGATGGTAGTTTCTTTTGTTGTGCAGAAGCTCTTTAGTTTAATTAGATCCCTTTTGTCAATTTTGGCTTTTGTTGCCATTGCTTTTGGTGTTTTAGACATGAAGTCCTTGCCCATGCCTATGTCCTGAATGGTAATGCCTAGGTTTTCTTCTAGGGTTTTTATGGTTTTAGGTCTAACGTTTAAGTCTTTAATCCATCTTGAATTGATTTTTGTATAAGGTGTAAGGAAGGGATCCAGTTTCAGCTTTCTACATATGGCTAGGCAGTTTTCCCAGCACCATTTATTAAATAGGGAATCCTTTCCCCATTGCTTGTTTTTCTAAGATCAGATACTTGTAGATATTTAGCGTTATTTCTGAGGGCTCTGTTCTGTTCCATTGATCTATATCTCTGTTTTGGTGCCAGTACTATGCTGTTTTGGTTACTGTAGCCTTGTAGTATAGTTTGAAGTCAGGTGGTGTGATGCCTCCAGCTTTGTTCTTTTGGCTTAGGATTGACTTGGCGATGCGGGCTCTTTTTTGGTTGCATATGAACTTTAAAGTAGTTTTTTCCAATTCTGTGAAGAAAGTCATTGGTAGCTTGATGGGGATGGCATTGAATCTGTAAATTACTTTGGGCAGTATGACCATTTTCACATTATTGATTCTTCCTACCCATGAGGATGGAATGTTCTTCCATTTGTTTGTATCCTCTTTTATTTCCTTGAGCAGTGGTTTGTAGTTCTCCTTGAAGAGGTCCTTCACATCCCTTGTAAGTTGGATTCCTAGGTATTTTATTCTCTTTGAAGCAATTGTGAATGGGAGTTCACTCTTGATTTGGCTCTCTGTTTGTCTGTTGTTGGTGTATACGAATGCTTGTGATTTTTGTACATTGATTTTGTATCCTGAGACTTTGCTGAAGTTGCTTATCAGCTTAAGGAGATTTTGGGCTGAGACAGTGGGGTTTTCTAGATATACAATCATGTCGTCTGCAAACAGGGACAATTTGACTTCCTCTTTTCCTAATTGAATACCCTTTATTTCCTTCTCCTGCCTAATTGCCCTGGCCAGAACTTCCAACACTATGTTGAATAGGAGTGGTGAGAGAGGGCATCCCTGTCTTGTGCCAGTTTTCAAAGGGAATGCTTCCAGTTTTTGCCCATTCAGTATGATATTGGCTGTGGGTTTGTCATAGATAGGTCTTATTATTTTGAGATACGTCCCACCAATACCTAATGTATTGAGAGTTTTTAGCATGAAGGGTTGTTGAATTTTGTCAAAGGCCTTTTCTGCATCTATTGAGATAATCATGTGGTTTTTGTCTTTGGTTCTGTTTATATGCTGGATTACATTTATTGATTTGCGTGTATTGAACCAGCCTTGCATCCCAGGGATGAAGCCCACTTGAAGCAGAACTGAAGGAAATAGAGACACAAAAAACCCTTCAAAAAAATTAATGAATCCAGGAGGTGGTTTTTTGAAAGGATCAACAAAATTGATAGACCGCTAGCAAGACTAATAAAGAAAAAAAGAGAGAAGAATCAAATAGATGCAGTAAAAAATGATAAAGGGGATATCAGCACCGATCCCACAGAAATACAAACTACCATCAGAGAATACTACAAACACCTCTACGCAAATAAACTAGAAAATCTAGAAGAAATGGATGAATTCCTTGACACATACACTCTCCCAAGACTAAACCAGGAAGAAGTTGAATCTCTGAATAGACCAATAACAGGAGCTGAAATTGTGGCAATAATCAATAGCTTACCAACCAAAAAGAGTCCAGGACCAGATGGATTCACAGCCGAATTCTACCAGAGGTACAAGGAGGAACTGGTACCATTCCTTCTGAAACTATTCCAATCAATAGAAAAAGAGGGAATCTTCCCTAACTCATTTTATGAGGCCAGCATCATTCTGATACCAAAGCCGGGCAGAGACACAACCAAAAAAGAGAATTTTAGACCAATATCCTTGATGAACATTGATGCAAAAATCCTCAATAAAATACTGGCAAACCGAATTCAGCAGCACATCAAAAAGCTTATCCACCTGACACCTGTCTTATTGCCCGCTTCTTGCCTGTGCAGTCTTGTGTACCATCAACATCTGGTTTGTTCCACTTTACAAATGCACACAGCAGTGAAGGCTGCTACTGGCACTGGGATTCTTTGCATCCACCTCAATAGCTGAAGCCTCCTTGGGGCCCTTGGGTGATGTAACAAGGTAAGAATTCCATCTGGTTTGCAGAATCTTAGGAAACTTACTGTCCTCTCAATGCCACCCAGTAGCACCAGGGGGATAGGCAATGCCTTCTGCTGATTGAGACATCTTTCTTAAATCTCTCCCAACACCTAACCAACCAACCATCATCACAAATGATGGAGGATTAGCAGAAAGGAGAGGGTTGGGCATGATGGCGCATACCTGTAACCAAGAAATTTGCCAGGCTGAGGTGGAAGGATCGCTTGAGGCTAGGAGTTTGAGACCAGCCTGGGCAACATGGTGAGACATTGTCTCTACAATAAATAAATAAATAAATTTTTTTTTTGAGACAGAGTCTCACTCTGTTGCCCAGGCTGGAGTGCAGTGGTGCATTCTCGGCTCACTGCATCCTCTGTCTCTTGGGTTCAAGAGATTCTCCTGCCTCAGCCTCCTGAGTAGCTGGGATTACATGCGTGTGCCACCATACCCAGCTGACTTTTCTAGTTTTAGTAGAAACGGGGTCTCACCATGTTGGCCAGGCTGGTGTCGAACTCCTGACCTCTAATGATCCACCCGCCTCAGCCTCCCAAAGTGCTGGGATTACAGGTGTGAGCCACTGTGCCTGGTCTACAGGAAATAATTAAAAAAAAATTAACTAGGTATGGTGGCATGTGTCTGTAGTCCTAGCTACTCAGGAGAATCACTTGAGCCTGGAAGTTTGAAGCTGCAAGTGAGCTATGATTGTGTTACTGCACTGCAGTCTGGGTGACAGAGCCAGATCCTGTCTCTAAAAAAAAATAATAAAAAATAAATAAAAAAAAAAATGAGGGGAAAAGCAAATATCCAGATGATTCCCTCCACCCCCAAAACAAACTGATTTGTCCTTAAGAATCTTATTTTATTTTTAAACACTTTGGGATTTTAAAAATAGAATTCCCCTGATGATTCTCTCACTTAAAGACTTGCATTTAGATCAAGTAACTTCAAGTGTCCAGGCACCAGAAATACTGCTCAGAACCATATATTTCCCCTCCAACATGCAGCATAGGTGTCAGTCTCATAAATAGGGGGAATGCCAGATGTGCCCAAGTATGGACTTAGCCAGTACAAAAGCGCAAATATATCGGACACGCAGACTTAGACAGGTTTGCTACATAACCAGAGAGATCACTGGATTTACTCAGTTCCAAATGAGCAGCTCCCCTTTTAAGCTTCTTCAAGCTTGGCATCTGTGGGACTTTGTAAATCCCCAGCAGAGCTCAGGGGAAGTGGTCCTGAATTGTTTAACAGCCACAGCAATTACTTTGTTTTATACACGACATTCTTACCTCATCCATCTGGGAGGACAACAGGTGGAGCAACTAAAAAAAAAATTGTGTGAGTGCTTGAGTGGCTCCAAGTTGAATATTAAACAGAAACCCTCAGTGCCCCACGATTCTGGAGATTGGTGTGCATTTGTGATATACAACAGAAGTCAAATCAATATTCAACCAGAGAAACAAATCAGGAGTGAACAGTTTCATACTTAGTCAAGTGTGCTGAGCTCTCCAAGGATGTAGAAAAGAAAGATTTCCTCGGTCCTCTGTGCATGCCCCAAAGGACATCTAAAATCTTCCCAAGGTTAACACCAGAATAAAAGAGACCTTTGGCAATTGTGATATTGTGAGAATTTCCATTCGATAAAGATAATGGAATTTTTAAAGTACTTCTTGGTTGCTATTAGGTCCATGCTGGGAAAATGATGGAAAAAATCCAGTAAAAATATTTTTTTAATATTAGTGGGAAATAATATAGAGAAAAAGAAAATCCCCCGCTAATGAGGAACAATCTAATTTCTGGAAATGGCCACTGTGTTGGATAGATTTTCTGTAATTTCGATTATTGGTATGATTGATTAATCTTGGGATGGCCAACAAGAATGTAAAGAGTTGTCTGGTCACAGATTCTTTTTTTTTTTTTTTTTAATTTTATTGTACTTTAAGTTCTGGGATACATGTGCACAATGTGCAGGTTTGTTACATAGGTATACACATGCCATGGTGGTTTGCTGCACCCATCAACCCGTCATCTACATTAGGTATTTCTCCTAATGCTATCCCTCCCCTAGCCCCCCACCCCCCGACAGGCCCTGGTGTGTGATGTTCCCCTCCCTGTGCCCATGTGTTCTCATTGTCTGGTCACAGATTCTAGGGAATGGGAGATTGAGAGTACATCAGTTTATGCCTTTTTCAGCATCTCGTCTTATCTCACTTTGTAAATTCTATGAGCTGAAGGAAAGGTCATGTGTCTCTTCTTTTAGGACACAGTCCAGTCCAGGTATCTGAGTGGTCACCCCATGTCTGTGTGTCTCCTGAAATGGCGATGTCTTGTGGGGTTTCTAGTTGCAGGTGCCATCAGAATTTGGAGGCCAAAAAAGTAATGGTGGTGGTCCAAGGTGGACATCTGTCAAATGGGTAGTTTGAAAGATGGATTCAGGAGCTGAGATGCTGTGTCTATTATGGATGTTGAGACAGAGAATCATGTTATCTAACTTTTGGGAAGAGTGGAAAACGTCATCTCGTCCCACAACTGCCAGGAGCGATGCAATGGAGGATTCGAAATCACGTGCCGCGACAAGCTAGAGTTACTCCTCCAAGCCACCAGGTGTCACTGGTGTGCCAAGGCGGCAACGAAGCCAAGTTTTCCCGGTGGATGCGGACACTGGAAACCAGCAATCCTTTTAGTTCCCCAACCTGGTTGCCCATCAGAATTCCTTGAGAAATTTAAATAATAATTCTTGGAAATCACTTCAGACCCACTGAATCAATCGAGGCCCAGAAGTGAGTATCTAAAAAAAATTGTTATATGGAAATTGTCATTATTTGGGATGTGTGTGCTGGGGGATTGCTGCTGTATATTATATCTCTATTTAAATAAATGTCCCAGGTGATTCTGTAGTTGCAGCAGGTGTTTGGAAAAATGGAACCAATTTCTTTAACAAAGAAGAAGACTAATTTTCCAAGAGTTGAGGGACTTGCTTAATGCCACCCAAGACAGAGCCATGCTTAGAGGCTGGGCACCTCAACTCAAGTGGGGTCCCTTCCCTCTAGGCAGGGCTGCAGCTCCTAAAGTAGTTCCGGAGACTTCTGGGAAGTTTTGTGCCCTCTCTTGCACTCCCCCCCCCGCCCCCACCAAGCCCAAAAGACACATCCACAGAAGAACTGGTTTATTTGGCAGAATATAATCTTCTTATCCTCTCTGATAGCTCTCCTCCCACCTCATTCTCCAGAGCTCCCACATACAGAGGTCTGATCCCCCTCCTCCAGGTGAGTGATCTCCATGGGCAATTGGACAAAGCAGAATGGCCTACGCTCTGGCACAGCTGATGGGTTAACATGTAACATTTATTGAGCATCTAGTACGTGCCAGGCACTTTCCCATCCATTTGAATGTCATATCAACATTCTGAGAACTACAAATTATTATTTCAATTTACCAAATGAACAGACAGGCTCAGAGAAGTGAAGAAACTCAATCAAGATCACAAAGCTCAGAATTACAGAGATTCAAGCCCAGGTATTTTTTTTTTTTTTTTGAGATGGAGTCTTGCTCTGTCGCCCAGGCTGGAGTGCAGTGATGTGATATCCCCTCACTGTAACGTCTGCCTCTCAGGTTCAAGTGAGTCTCCTGCCTCAGTCTCCCGAGTAGCTGTGACTACAGGCGTACACCATCACACCCAGCTAATTTTTGTATATTTAGTAGAGATGGGGTTTCGCCATCTTGGCCAGGCTGGTCTTGAACTCCTGACCTCAAGTGAACCACCTACCTTGGCTTCCCAAAGTGCTGGGATTACAGGTGTGAGCCACTGTGCCTGGCCTCAAGCCAGGGCTTTTGGGCTTCAAAGCCATATTAATCATCATCATACGGGGTCCCCATAACTCTCCCATCACATCCAAAGAATTTCAGCTATTCTCACCTAGTTTAGAAACTAACCCACTCTCCGGGTTAAAAAAAAATAAAGTCTGTGAGTGTCTTTTTCAGGTGAAAGTAAGATCCAGGGATATTATTTAATACTTTATAAAATTTCCTAAAATATTGAGGTTTGAAGGAAATAAACTATACAGCAAACTTAGTGCACAAATCATCACTTTTCTCTGGTGGATCTCAAAGAACTTTTAAATCAGAGAATTCTTAACTGGGAGTAGACCTTGGTGAGGTCGGCATTAGTGTTAATGAAGTCTTTCATGTTCTTGACATCCGAGACATTTTCCCGAGGATGGAGGTCAAGTCCTGGCATTTGTAATCAGTTGATAAAAGACATGTGTGCACAGCCACATGGGAAATTTATGAATATTATCAAATAACGATGTAGGGTATAATTAAGGTTGAGCTATTAAGTACTAATTAATTAAGCTGTCATATTTTAATCAAGGAATTGATTGTTTCTGTATAGAGCTCTGATGGTTCCGCATCTTTGCAAAGCTCTGGAACCCTGATTTGCAAAGATTAACAAATTAAAAAGCCACACTTTAGCTATTACGTCCTCTGCAAGAGGCAGTGAGCTTTTCTGCTTCCTGGAGAGTGTGGATTCAACAAATTTCTGATTCTTTCCAAAAGCCAAAAAGGTAGGTGAGCGCTCTTGGATAGGCCCAGACCCAAAGGTTGTACTTAGGGTGGTCATTATTCAGATTTTTTTAAAAAATAATTTTTTGAGTACCTACTCTGTGCTTGAAAATACGTTATCTTGCTTTATCGTCAAAGCAACCCACTTTACAGAAGAGGAAACTGAGGTTTAAAGAGGGATTGAAACCTTCTCACTGTCCTGTAAGTGAGGCCAAATGTCTTCAGGGGAGGAGCAGTGGGTTTGAGTTTGTTTTCTCTGAGACTGCAAGGACTGAGCTCTCTTTGCTTTTGATGGTACCATTGTAGCTTTTTAATTTTTATTTATTTATTTATTTATTTTTGAGGCAGAGTCTCACTCTGTCGCCAGGCTGGAGTGTAGTGGCGCGATCTTGGCTCACTGCAACCTCCGCCTCCTGGGTTCCAGCAATTCTCCTGCCTCAGCCTCCTGAGTAGCTGGAACTACAGGTGTGCGCACCACGCCCGGTTAATTTTTGTATTTTTACTAGAGATGGGGTTTCACCATGTTGACCGGGATTGTCTCAATCTCTTGACCTTGTGATGTGCCTGCCTTGGCCTCCCAAAGTGCTGGGATTACAGGCATGAGCCACCACACCAGCCTATTTTTATTTTTATTCCATTTTGCATCACTACTTCCTCTCTTGCCAATCTCTCTTCCTATTGCGTGAAGATTGCTTATCTCATGAAAAACACACCGATTTTTGGAGTCATACAGATCAGGGCTTAAATTCTGACTTGGCTAGTTACTGGTATCAGAGTTTGAATATATTATTTTCATTTTTCTGAACCTCGGCTTTCTCATCTGTGAAATGGGAGCAAAGCCACCACCTTGCAGAGGATTAAATGGCATAACACCCTCATTGTATTGAGCACTTCCTATCCTTCAGGTGTGGTGCTAGGCACATTATATTCATCAGTTCATTTAATATTCCTCACAGTAATCCTGTGCTGTCCAGTAGACTTTCTGCAGTGATGAAAATATTCTATAGCCGCCCTGTCCAACGTGGTTTTCATTAGCCAAGCCTATATAGCTGTGTGCTTGAAATGTGGCTCATGTAACTGAGGGACAGAATTTCTAGTTTTCTTTAATTTATAATGAATTAAAATTTAAATAGCCATATTTGGGTGTTGGCTACTGTATTAGATGGTACAGTTTAAGGATGTTCTATTCTTTTGTTTTTTGAGATAGAGTTTCACTCTTCTTGCTCAGGCTGAAGTGCAATGGCATGATCTCGGCTCACTGCGGCCTCCGCTTCCCAGATTTGAGCAATTCTCCTGCCTCAGCCTCTCGAGTAGCTGGGATTACAGGTGCCTGCCACCATGCCCGGCTAATTTTTGTATTTTTAGTGGAGACGGGTTTTCGCCATGTTGGCCAGGCTGGTCTCAAACTCCTGGCCTCAGGTAATCCACCCGCCTTGGCCTCCCAAAGTGCTGGGATTACAGGCATGAGTCGCCGCATCCAGCCAGGGATGTTCTATGCTTAACCTCATTTTATAGATCAGGGCTCAGAGAAACCATGTGACTTGCCTGTAGTCCTATAAATTGTAAGTGGCAGAGTTGGAGTTTGGGTGCAGGTGAGCTGACTCCTTCACTGATGTACTATGCCACTTTTAAGGCATCAGGGTTTATGGAAGCAGGGATGTTGCAGCACAAGTTGATGACCCGTTGTTGACATGCTGGGCTTCCTGCCTTGTAGCTTGAGCGTTCCATCCCTTCAGAAATGTTGCTGGGTCTAGCAGGGACAGTGTATCTTGCACAACCTCATCTACCCTGGAGGAGTCATCTGTTTATAGGCAGGAGATGAAATGGACTTGGATGGTGGGTCAGCTGAGAGGGCCTTGCAAAGCGTGGAGATTGATTACGTGGTGTGTGTTGGCCTCTTGGCAAGAGTGGTCCCGTGCTTTGGCATTTGGTCAGTTGAAGTGAAGGGTGGTTGTGTACCAAGTTCCATGTGGAGCTCTTTACATGAATGATCTCATTTAGCACCGTAAGATAAGTGCTGCCACTGACCTGGAGTTGGAGAAATGGGAGCTCCAGGAGGCTAACTGATTTGTCTCTGATCACTCAACATCTCTGTTGTGAAGAATAAGCTCTTGATGGGACAGGCCTTTGGGATCCATCCCTGTGGGCAGGAGAGCCACAAGAGGAAGCTGTGGTTTTGCACGATTTGCCCTCGGTAGTTGTGAACAGGGTGGGAGAAGGGAGGTGATGAGCTAAGGAGGAATATGAACAAAAGGGAGCAACAGAAAAGAAAGTCATTATAATAATCATCATCATAATTATGCCAGTTCTCCCTGTCCTCTCCCTGGAATCCCTGTGACTCCCCTACACCCAACACAGTGGCCCTTTCTGGAGACATCTGGGACCACAGCATCTGTCCTCCTCAGAGTAATCATTAGAAGAGAACAGCAGTTATCTTTAGAGCCAATGGAAGCAAACTCACCAACATTTAAGGAAATGTGTCTGTATTTAATACTTTGTTTCTTTAATGGAGCCATAAGAATGCCAAGATTCACACATTTTGGGATTCCTAATTGAATCATGTAAGTGGAAAATGTGAGCCCTGGGAATCTTTGGAAAAACGGGCAAGAGGTTTGTCAATGTCAGGTTGCCGAGCTGGCTTCCTTCCAGGACAGCTTGGTGCCTGCGCCGGTGAGTCTCCTGCACTGGGGCCTGTCTGTGCCGGTTAATTTCCTTCCGGGACAGCACTGTTCTGCAGGAAAACTCTAAGAAACAAATGAAAACAAAACAGTCTTTTTGGCTGTTGGAAGGTGGTGCATCTGAGCCTTCTGTCCCTGCCCCATCTGACTGCCAGGGGTGTAGTTTTCTGAGATTTTGAAGCACTGGGCAAGGAGTCAAGGCCTTGGTGCTTGAATTTTGACTCTGCTATGTTCTAGCTGTGTGACTTTGCATGAGTTACTAAACCTCTCTGAGACTCAATGCCTAATTCTGTTAAAATGGGTAGCCCTTGGGACCTGTGAATGTGACTTTGTTTGGAAACAGGGTTTTTGCAGATGTAATTAAGACGAAATTATACTGAAGTAGGGTGGTCCCTTAATCCAGTATAACTGGTGCCCTTATATGAGGAGAAAAGACACAGACACATGGGGGGAGGCAGCCACATGGAATGGAGGAAGAGATTGGAGTGATGCTTCCAGGAGCCAAAGAACACCTGGGGCTACCAGAAGCTGGAAGAGGTAAGAAGACTCCTCTCCTGACATGGAATCAACCCAAATGCCCATGAGTGATAGACTGGATAAAGAAAATGTGGTACATATACACCATGGAATACTATGCAGCCATAAAAAGGAACAAAATCATATCCTTTGCAGGGACATGGATGAAGCTGGAAGCCATTATCCCCAGCAAACTAACGCAGGAACTGAAAACAAAACACTGCATGTTCTCACTTATAAGTGGGAGCTGAACAATGAGAACACATGGACACGGGGAGGGGAACAACACATGCTGGGGCCTGTCGGGTGGCGGGGGAGGAGGTGGGGAAGAGCATCAGAAAAACATAGCTAATGCATGCTCAGCTTAGTACGTAGGAGACGGGTTGATAGGTGCAACAGAGCACATGACACACATTTACCTATGTAACAAACCTGCACATCCTGCACATGTACCCTGGAACTTAAATCACATCAATCAAATAAAAAGAAGATGCCTCTCCTGGAGGCTTCAGAGGGAGTATGGCTCTGCCGTCACCTGATTTAGGGCTTCTCGCCTCCAGAACTATGACAGTAAATTGCTGTTGTTTTAAGACATCCAGTTTGTGGTACTTTGTTATGGCATCTTCAGGAAATGAACACAAGGGTGGATGACTTTAAGGAGTCAAAGGACCTATTTCAGTGCCTGGCAAGAGTAGATGTCCAGGAAATGTATGTTTTCGACTTCCTTCATAGCTTTTGGGGTCCTGCAAGGTGAAGGAAGAGAGACAGGTGATGTAGTGGTTTAAATCACACTCTAGAATGGGCCTGCTGAGGCTTGTATCCTAGCTCCACCACTTGCTTTGTGACTTTAGGTAGTTGTTAGACCCTTCTTGTCTCAGTTCTAAGAAAGACAAAAGCAGCCCCTTACATCCAGGAGCTGACCTGGTACTATCGACAAGGGCTTGGAGTTGCTAGGAGCTGCCTTGGCACTCTCAGGTAGACCCTGGTGCTGTGTTGAGCATAAACAATTTCGCACTCTCAGGTAGACCCTGGTGCTGTGTTGAGCATAAACAATTTTGCACTCTCAGGTAGACCCTGGTGCTGTGTTGAGCATAAACAATTTCGCACTCTCAGGTAGACCCTGGTGCTGTGTTGAGCATAAACAATTTCGCACTCTCAGGTAGACCCTGGTGCTGTGTTGAGCATAAACAATTTCGCACTCTCAGGTAGACCCTGGTGTTGTGTTGAGCATAAACAATTTCGCACTCTGAGGTAGACCCTGGTGTTGTGTTGAGCATAAACAATTTTGCACTCTCAGGTAGACCCTGGTGTTGTGTTGAGCATAATCAATTTCGCAGAACGCCAACGTCAGAAAAGGCCACTCTGTAACAATGATAGGTCAAGATGAAAAGAAGATCACTTTGTAACCATGTTTGTGCACAAGCCAAACATGAGCATTGTCCAAACCACAAAAATGACCAAACAGTTCCTTTTCTTGGCTAACGGGAGTAACCTCTGTTTCTTTACCAATCACAGCTTTAGCTGTGCCTCATTCTTCATACCTTCTAAAGGAGATTTATCAAAATAGAATTACTCCCACTTCATGACAACATCCAACCCAGAACAAAGCCCTGCTTCCTTAAACTCTTCCTAAAATCACCTAACACGAGCCCAAATAAGCCTTTCCAACACCCCTTTACTGACATGCCTCGTGACTCCCCACCGTGTGTGCTCTCCCTCATTGCAATGAGTCCATAATCCTAACTTGCTCAATGGCAGGTGTGACTCTGGTGGTCTTTGTTGACTGTCAGATGGGGAATAAAACAGACCGATCTCCCTAGGGTGCAGTGGAGGTCACAGAGTTAGCATATTGCTTTGAGCAGTGCCTCCTGCATGTTGAGTAGTGGATAAATATCTGCTAGAATTAGGATTTTTGCAGACTGACACTCAGCATCTATTTCCTTTGCTTTCTATAACAGTATTCCACATTTCCTTGGGGAGCCATCTTTCCTCTATTCTCATGTCATATGCTTTGGTTCTGATTGAGCCATTCCCATCTCTGGGAGTATACATGTTACTCAGCCCTGTCCAGTCAGCATGTTCCATTCCCTGACTGTAGTGACTGGTTCAGGGGGAGCATGTGGCACTAGTTGGTCCCATCAGAGTGTGTCCTGGGACTTACGTGGAACTCCGGGGAATGGCTTCTTCCTTTTCCAGCAGTGCGAAGAGGATATGGTCAGGGTCTGTGAGGGTCACCAAGTGGAGCCCAAAAATGAGGCTGGTGAAATGGAAGGCATACTTATGGATCTTAAGTCTCATGCCCTGTAAAATGGGGTGGGGATGGTGTCCTTTAAGAGATATTCCTACAGAGCAGTAGTTTCCTGGGTGCCAATATGGGTAATTTAAATCTTACCATGGAAAGGAGGAGGCAAAATATGCTGCATATTTTTCAGTTCTAGCAGTGGTGTGTTTTGTTTTAAAATGGGGTGAGTCTCCTGCTTTGCTATGACCTTGCTGTTGTTTGGTCTCTGAAGCTTATCCCGGCAATTTAGGCTTTCCCTTGTACCCTGGAAATCATCATGGTACAGGAGAGGTCACTACATGGCCTCAACCACCAAGCGCAGTCATCTAGAAGAGACAGCAGTTAAGGTGTGAGAGTGGCCTGCCCTGTGACCAAGGTGGATGATGGGGAGGGATGGGAGGCAGGCGTCTTTTCTTCCTTGCTCAGCTGGACCAAGCAAATTGAGGCCTCTTGCTGCTCTCAATGGAATTGTGTGCAGCCTTGTGGTACAGTGGATGGAGTTAGGTTTCGGAGTCCGAAAGACATGGGGTAGAAACCCTCTTACGGCTGTGTGACTTGGGGGAGACTCGCTTCCCTTGTCTGTGCTTCTGTTTACTCATTGGCAGAATGAGAAAGACCACAGTATCAATATTATAGCACAGTCACCATAAGTAGTTTTTACCTTCTGTCTGCATCAAAATCCTTCAATTGGACACTGTGTGCTTCTCAATTGGGGTCATATAGCAGGATATCGCAGCCCGAGACTAGATTAAATGTTCTCAACCTAAGGTGATGTTGCACCTCAGGGGACGTTGGGCAGTGTTTGGAAACAATTTTGATTGTCGCAGCTAGGATGGGAGTGGTGCTTGCTGCTGGCTGGGATGCTGCTAAACATTTTACAATGGACAGGACAGCCCCTCACAAAAAAGAATGACTCCAATGTCAATAATGCTGAGCTTGGAGTCCCTGGACAGGGGGAAAAGGAGATGCATCTTCTTGTGTTGTCAGTTGTCCTCGATGGTAGAAAATTTACTTTTTAATTTTTTTTTTTTTGAGATAGGGTCTCACTATGTCGCCTAGGCTGGAGTGCAGTGGCATGATCTCGGCTCACTACAACCTCTGCCTCCCAGGTTCAAGCGATTGTTGTGCCTCAGCCCCCCGAATAGCTGGGATTACAGGCGTGAGCCACTGTGCCCGGATAATTGTTTTGTATTTAAAGTAGAAAGGGGGTTTCACCATGTTGGCCAGGCTCATCTCAAACTCCTGGCCTCAAGTGATCCACCTGCCTCGGTCTCCCAAAGTAATGGGATTACAGGTGTGAGCCACTGTGCCCAGCCAGTGGTAGAAATTTTAAAACATCATATTTATATTACAACAAATGCAAATATCTTATGGAGGAAAGAGCAGTATTTGCCTGACTTTTTCATGAAAACCTGATATTTACAAAAATTACACTCTGGGTGGGCTGCTTTGAGCTCTGCTAACTTGCTTTTCCACCCTTTGTGACTCAGAGTTCTGTAAAAGCTTCCGCCCTAGGATTGGACTCCAAATCCATAATATAGCCTGGGGTTCTTCCAGACTCAGTCCTTTGCTTCCCCTCCTGCCTTGCATCAGAAATATTCTCTGGTCCATCCACACCAAGCAAGAATGGCGAGTAACATGTTTACTATGGGCCAGCTAACATTTTACACACATTTTCTCCTTCATTCAAACTACCAGGAGTGCCTTCAAAACAGACATGAACGTTTTTGCCTTTGAGCTTGAAAGTCCTCCATGTTCCCTTTCTCAATCACTCCTACTCACCCCTCAAAACCCCATTCAGGCACACTCTCCTCTGTCAAGCAGTTAAGAGCATAAACCCTGAATCCAGCTGCCTATCTAGGTTTGCATCCTCCTCTGCCTCTTACTTGCTGTGTGTTCTTGAGCAGGTTGCTTCACTTCTCTGTGCATCGGTTTCCTTTTAAAACATGGGATGATGATAATATTTACCTCACAGCATTGAAGATTAAATGCGATAATGAGAGTGTGTGAAATAGTACTTGCTACATAATAGGTGCCCAGTGAGTGTTAACTATTACTATTATTACTTGACTTTCTTTGACCTCTCCCCCATCACCATCCTATTGCACCTGCTAGGAGCTAGGTCTCACAGGGTATTTCTGGATTTATTAGGAGGTGTTCGTAAGAGTTTGTAGAAGGAAAGAATGTGATATAGATACGTAGTAGCCACATTTTATAGGATTGGTTGCTAAACTCAGCAAGCAAGCAAGCAAACAAACAAACAAAACAACCCAACCCCAAATAAACTTCTCAGCTCCATGTAAACAGATTCCGCTGCCACTGAGGAAATTCTGTTACGGTTTTCCTGGGCAGATTGAGATTCTAGATAGTGTTTGGGGGCTTTTAAGAATTTAGCCTAATAAGGGGTGTTAGCTAATGATAAGGAAGGAGATCAGGCTTGGGAACTCCACCCTGGGCAGCTCTGAAATTACTGGCCCTGGAGCTGGCAGAACTCCAGAAGTCCAGGTTCATTAGTTCTGTCTGCCCAGCAATGATGGCAGCAGTAGGAATAATAATCTCTCGTATTCACAGAGGGCTTTACTCGTTCTCATTTTCGCCCTCTCTTGCTCTGTGCAGCCATTGCATGCTGGAGTTTATAGTATTACAGCTCTGCCCTGGCTGGTTGTCTGACTTGGCCAACCCTCTTTACTTGTTTGAGCCTCATTTTCCTAATTTATAAAATGGAGCCCAATACTACTTATCTTATGGGTTGTTGTGAAAAGTGAGGTTTAGATCAGAAGAGGCATAGAGTTGGTGGTGGGCTGTTAAATCAGCTCTTTGAAACAGAAGCCCTGATGTGTAGTGTTTGTCAATTTCCAAGGTATACACAGTCCTTCCATGGTGGATTCCAAGCAGCCAATGTGACATCACTGAGTAGATTTGGGAAGAGATATGTGCCATCTACTTTTCTGTGCAGCTGTGAGCTGACTCCAGCACATTCTGTTAAACCTCTTACACTAACTCTGCCTTATTAGTCAGTGGCTTCCCGATGTGGTGCTGAGAAAGATTCTGAGGCTGTGTCTGGGAACAGAGGAAGGGGGTAATTAAATTCATTATGGCTGTCTGCCATGGCTGATGGAGGAGAGATGGCACATATATGTAGGGACTTATTATCCCTGGATTTATGAGACTGTATGCAAAAGTCCTTTCAGGGTTTGACACCCAGTAGGCATTCAACCAATGGTACATATTGCAACTGGGTGAAGTGACAAGGATCGTTTCTTGTTTTTCATACATTGGCACTTGCTGAACACACAGGCAGCAGTTAACTGTGCCAAGGGTTGATAAGTGCCACCGAAGCACAAGGCAGTGTGGTGTAAAGGACAAAGGTTGGGCTTTATGACCTGGGCTGGTATTCTAGCCCATTGGTCATGCGACCTTGGGAAAAATGGCTCATCCTCTCTGATACTCAGTTTTCTCACCCACAAAAAGGAGACATTACTGGAGAGATTGAATATTACATCCATTAAAATGAAGCGTGGGAGCTATCGCTGGTGTGTTTTGTAAGTGGCGGTTTCCTTTCCCCTGTTCACTTTGAAGCTGCAAGTGGATTGTTGACCCGTGGCCAACTCAGTGCCATAAACCCTGAAAATCCTGGTGATGATTTCCAAGCAGCAGTAAAACTCAGAATCACTCACACGACTTCTTGTCCCACTTAAAATTTTCCCTGAGTTATTCTTTTCCTTTTGCAAATAGAAACAAGAATACAATGGAAAAAAGTGCTACCTACCCAAACTCTGCAGGTAAATATCCATAAGTAGTTCAAGCCTAGGAACGGCCTTCAATGACGGACAGGGCGGTTTTGTTTTTGTCACATGCCGGGTTCATTATAATCCTTGGAAAAGCAGGTTCCCAGAGAAATGCTGATACAGCTTGTCTCTGTGTTGCTATGATACATGCAAAGCATCACACACAATTAGATCCTGAAATACGGACCCAAGTTTTTAATTACCGAGTTCCTGCCTGTCTTGCAGGGGAGCTTTGGTCACTGTGTACTGATAAGTGCTGCCTTTTGTGTTATTTCCTTTGTGGATAACAAGACTAATTGATCCCCACAATTTGGCTTCTTTTTATTTGGAAGATGTAGGCAGGAACTTGGGCTCAAGTTGAGGAGCCAGTTCCTCCATGAAACAGACTCTCAGGAGGGCAGTGAGGGGCAGGCAATGAGGGGTGCAAGATTCGAGCGTGCAAACACGGAGTGGCACTCACTGTTAACTCTGTGTGTATTTATAGAAGTCATTTAACTGCTGTGGTTACAATGAGGACTTTTTCCTTGGCTGATTTGATCGAGGGGTCTATGGTTTTGCCTTTGGGATGCTAGTGGACACGTAAATCACACGGGTGGGTGGTGTCCTGATAAATGCAAGATTCTAAGTGAGTTGGTCTAAGGTGAGGGCCGAGACTCTGCATTTCTGTCTAACAAGTGCCTGGCTGATGCCAATGCTGCTGGTTTCTGACCCAGTCTGTACTTTGAGTAGTTGAAAGGAGCATGAAAGCAGTTTGGAAAGTTATTGTACCTTGTAAGGCATTTTATATGGAAAACACTAACATAGAAATTTCATCAGCTGCCCAGCTAGATAATGCTTACTATGTACCTTGGAAATACCCAGTGGTGCACTAAGATTGGAGGCAGTGACCTGGATTGTAACTCACTGATGCCTCTGGGCAGTAAAGGGAATAGACAGTAAGGGCATTGGCCCCAGAAAGACCTGAGTTGGAGCCCTGGCTCTGCTCTTTTATGGATGTGTGATCATAAACAAGTCAGCTCTCCTGTCTTGGCCTCAGTTTCTCTGTCTGTTACATGGGTATGACATCACCATCCCAGGGTGGGTTGAGAGGTTAAGCAAGATGAAAAGTGTAGTGGCTGTCCCAGTGCCTGGCTCATGGTGGACCCTCCTTCAGCACGTGTCACAGGTGCACACTGCTTGAGAGTCCCCACCCTCTGTGACACTGGTTCCTCAGGTCAGGGCTCAAAGGGGAGGAAGTGATGGCATCTCCGAGGCAGCCTTCAGCTCTCACAGCCTTGGTCCAGGATGGAGTGATCTGACTCTCCAGGGACCTTGCAGGCTGTTCCTCCTAAGTCAGCAGAAAGGGCTGCAGTGATGACAGCCCAAGCCTATCCCAAGTCTCATTATCCACCCCAGCATTCCTGCCAGCCGTCAGCAGGCTCCATTCCCATGAAGACCAGTGATGCTTGCACCAAGGCCAGTAGCCTTTGAGATTCCTGAGTCAGAAAGACCTAGGTCTTAAACCTCATCCAAGAGCCTTGGTCTTCTCATCTGTAGAAGGAGGTTAATCTTGCCTGCCTTGCATTATCATGTGAGGATCAGAGAGGATCGTGATGAAAATCAGAGTAGCTCCCTCCTTCCATCCGCAGCACTGGGCTCAGAGCTTTGCATGGAGCATTTGAGTCCAGGCCTGAGACTCCCACAAGCATTAGTCTCATTAAACTGCCCAGTTTACAATAGAGGGAGCTGAGGCTCAGAGAGGTTAAGTAACATGCCTGAGGGCACACAGCTGGTGAGGGACAGAGTCAGGATTTGAATCTAGAAGCCCAACTCCTGGGAGTTAGAAAAGCCAGCAGCTAGGTGCTACTGGCTCCCAACTTGTTTTTTTCCAGAATCTAACATGGGAGTGACAGGCAGGGCTGGGCCAGGGTGGAAAGAGTACCACTGCTTGATGAGGGTATTAACATACGCAAAGGCATCTCTTTTTGATGACTTTGTGTCTGGGTCCTCTGGGCTTATTGTTACATGATCTCTCCAGCACATTTTAATCAAATATTATGGTTGTGTGATCATAAGAAGGTCAGCTCACCTGTCTTGGCCTTGCTTTCCCTATCCCTTAAATGGAATGATGTCACCCTCCCTCGATGGTCAGAGGGTTAGTAACATGATGGATGTAAAGGACCTGCTGGTCAAGGTATTATGTTAGCAGCTGAAGAATATGCTCAGTGAATGTCTGTACTCCCTGTGCCTGTGCTCCACTAGACCCTGACTCTCCAAACTCTCCTGCCTTGTATGTGTCTAAGATAGCTTGGGCATAGTTAGGGTTTCAACATTTGGAAGGTGTCATATTTGAGCAGCAAGACCTGTGCCCAGGTTGTCTCCAGTCCTGACTGTAGCCTGTGTTGTCAAGGAGAAAGATTCAGGGGCCCTGTCAATCTTTCTAGCAGGAAAGAAAAAAATCCTTAAGACAGCAGGGCCGTAGACAGGGCAGGCAGGATGATGGGCAGCTGCAGAAGCCAGCTGGCTCTGCAGCCAGTCTGTGAGGCAGCAGCTACAGCTTCCTAATGTTAAGGAGGCCCGGCTTCCTGGAGTGCCACTGCGCATTGCAGCAAGTCATGACTAACAAAGCTGTCAGGGGGAAGGGCTTGTTTCCCCCAGCGCACATGTCTCACCAGCTCAAGACTTGTCACTACAGTTATGCCTTTGCTCTAGGCACATGGCCTCTGAAACACCCTCAGGAACCCCCAGGCAAGGAATATACAATATCCATGTCTCTGGGAGTTGGGTGAGGGTGCATTAGGCCAGTATGTGGAGCAGCTGGGGTGCAGGAAAGAGAACAGAAACTTGGAGACTGACTCCAAGCAGCTTAAAGCTGTCTGGCCTCAGCTTTCTCACCTGTAAAATGGGACCAAACACTTTGATTCACAGAGGCAGTGTTATAGAGGGCAAGAGCCTGGCACGTCTGAATTTGTATCTTGGCTCAGCCACTTGGAAGCTGTGCACCCCTGGGAAAATTCCTTCACCTTTCTGAACCTCAGGTTGTTTTTCTGTAAAAAGGGGTCTAATGATGGCACCTAGACCTCATAGAGTTGTTGTGCACATTAAAATAATTAAAATAATGTGTGTAAAATGCTTAGCCTATTGCATGGCAAACAATAAATATTTTTTCCTCTTATTCATGAAGTTGTTCATTTATTCCTTCCAGGCACTGGGAAGGGGCTGGGGATGCAAAAGCAAAAAGATCAACAAGAGTTGAACAGACATTTCAAGAGTTTTTGGGAGAATTAGCTGAGAAATGCATGTGAAGGACCTGGCTCCTGTGCTCAGGAAGCCCTAAGGGTCAGTTGAGGCAAGTCCCTGTATGCTCATCCATTCCTGTCCCCTGAAAAACTAATAATAATGAGATCTGTGCCAGGGATTGTTAGAAATGTTAATTCACTTAATTTTATGATATAGAAGGTGTTATTATCCTCATTTTGTAGATGAAGAAACTGGGTCACAGGGAAGTTAAGTAACTTGCCCAGGGTTACAGAGCTGTTGGATGGTGGAGCCAGGATTATAAAGCAGGTAATCTGGTTCCCAGGTCCTTGCTTTTCACTCCTCCACCAGACAGCTTCTTAGGATGGCAGGCTGGGCTCTTGACCTTGCTTTCCATGCCCATCTCCTATCCACTGGCTGCAAGGTCCATGCTGCCCCCAGATTGAAGCCTTAAGAGATGCCTTCTCCAACTTGAGTCAGCTCAGCTCAGCTCAGCTCAGCTCAATTCAGCTCAGCTCAACTCAATTCAGCTCAGCTGAACTCGGCTCAGCTCAGCTCAACTCACCTCAGCTTAACTCAACTCATTTCAGGTAAGCTCAGCTCAGCTCAACTCAACTCAGCTCAGCTAAGCTCAGTTCAACTCAGTTCAGCTCAGCTCAACTCAACTCAGCTTAGCTCAGCTCAACTCAACTCAATTCAGCTCAGCTAAGCTCAGCTCAACTCAGTTCAGCTCAGCTCAACTCAATTCTGCTCAACTCAACTCAATTTATCTCAGCTCAGCTCAGTTCAGCTCAGCTCAACTCAACTCAGCTTAGCTCAGCCCAACTCAATTCAACTCAGCTAAGCTTAGCTCAACTCAGCTCAGCTCAACTCAACTCAGTTCAGCTCAGCTCAGCTTAATTAAGCTCAGCTCAACTCAATTCAGCTCAGCTCAAGCCACCTTAGCTTAACTCAACTCATTTCAGGTAAGCTCAGCTCAACTCAACTCAGCTCAGCTAAGCTCAGCTCAACTCAGCTCAGTTAAGCTCAGCTCAACTCAGCTCAGCTAAGCTCAGCTCAACTCAATTCAGCTCAGCTCAGCTCAGCTTAACTCAATTCAGCTCAGCTAAGCTCAGCTCAACTCAACTCAGCTCAGCTCAACTCAGTTCAGCTCAGCTCAACTCAACGCAGCTCAGCTCAGCTCAGCTCAGCTCAGTTCAGCTCAGCTCAACTCAGTTCAGCTCAGCTCAACTCAACGCAGCTTAGGTCAGCTCAGCTCAATTCAGCTCAGCTCAACTCAGTTCAGCTCAGCTCAACTCAATTCAGCTCAGCTCAACTCAACTCAATTCAGCTCAGCTAAGCTCAGCTCAACTCAGTTCAGCTCAGCTCAACTCAGTTCAGCTCGGCTCAACTCATTTCAGCTCAGCTAAGCTCAGCCCAACTCAGCTTAGCTCAGCTCAACTCAGTTCAGCTCAGATCAACTCAATTCAGCTCAGCTTAACTCAGTTCTGCTCAACTCAGCTTAGCTCAGCTCAACTCAGTTCAGCTCAGCTCAACTCAGTTCAGTTCAGCTCAACTCAGTTCATTTCAGCTCAACTCAATTCTGCTCAACTCAACTCAATTTAGCTCAGCTCAATTCAGCTCAGCTCAATTCAACTCAACTCAGCTCAACTCAGCTCAGCTCAACTCAACTCAGCTCAACTCAACTCAATTCAGCTCAGTTAAGGTCAGTTCAACTCGACTAAGCTCAACTCAATTCAGCTCAGCTAAGCTCAGCTCAACTCAATTCAGCTCAGCTCAACTCAGTTCAGCTCAGCTCAACTCAATTCAGCTCAGCTAAGCTCAGCTCAACTCAATTCAGCTCAGCTCAACTCACTTCTGCTCAACTCAACTCAATTTAGCTAGCTCAGCTCAACTCAATTCAGCTCAGCCAAGTTCAGCTCAACTCAGCTCAGCTCAACTCAACTGAAGTCAGCTCAGCTCAGCTCAACTCAGCTCAGCTCAACTGAAGTCAGCTCAACTCAGCTGAGCTGAGCTCAACTCAACTCAACCCAAGTGAACTCAGCTCAGCTCAATTCAGTTCAGCTCACCTCAGCCTGGGTAAGCCCAACTCAACTGAACTCAATGGAAGTCAGCTCAGCTCAACTCAACTCAGTTCAGTTCAGTTCAGCTCAACTAACTTCAGCTCAACTCAGCTCAACTCAACTAAGTTCAGCTCACCTCAACTCAGCTTAGCTCAGCTCAACTCAGCTGAACTCAACTAAGTCCACCTCAACTCAACTTGGTTTAACTGAACTCAACTCAGCTCACCTCAACTGAACTCAGCTCAATTCAACTGAACTCAACTTGGCTCAACTCAGTGCAGCTCAACTCAACTAAAGCAGAACATGTACCGAGGGGATCCTCAGATGTGAGTGACTACAATGAATGATGAAAAACTTGGGGTCCATATTATATGCTTGTTTTATTCCCTTTGGCTTGATGGGAATCTCATCTCGCTCATTCATGTAAAATAATACCAAGACATTATGTGAGTACACTGCTGTACAGTTTACAAAGCCCTTTTACATATGTAGCTTACTTATAACTATGTTTTCTAAGCCAAGCCAGCTTGGAGGTAGGTAAAAAATGGGAGGGACTGCATGCAGGACAATTAATAATAATACCTACTATTAAATGGACAGCTACTATGTGCTAGGCACAGTGCTAGGTACTTAACAAGCATGATCTTGTTAATCTGGCAACCTGGAAAGTGAGATTATTCTGGGCATTTTACAGATGAAGGAACTGAAGTGTGGAGAGGCTGAGTAGCTTTTCCAAGTCACAAAGCTATAGGAGGTGGAATGGTCGGCTTTCAAAGGCCATATCTTTTCTGCAGTTCCACCCTACTCCCAAGAGCTCACCACTATCTAGGGAAACCAGTCTCCATGTCTCTGAGAAATTAGGGCTCAGAGGACAAAGGATGACCAGGGTTATGTCTTTCCACTACTTGTGAGCCAAGAGCTAAAGGAACTGTAAGCTCCATGCCATAAAGGTTTTGAAAGAGCGAACTTCTGGAACTCCCACTTTATGGACCTAGTATGATTTCACTCCTTACCTAAACATATCCTTGCTGAGCTGACACAATGCCTGCAACCTTCCATTCTTGCTGATGGCTGTCTTAGAGTTTGGGCTGGAAGAACAATTGCAGTGCCTCTACCTCAACCTCCTTCTTTTCAGATGTGCAAACTATGGCCACAAGAGACAAATCCTTAGAGCAAGATAGATGAGACACCAGAGCTCAGGCCTCTAGCATTTGCTGGGGTTAATTAAGTCAAAAGCCTGAGAAGGAAGAAGGATTGAAATTCGGCTCTTAAAAATGAACATCAATCACATTATTGATCCTTTCTTCTTTTCCTTTTTCCTCTTTGTGTTTGGGATTCCTGGATCCCAAAGCCTGCTTACTGCAGGCTTCACACACAATAAAAACCATGTTAATTAAAATGCCAATTTACATCAAGAAGGAGACCTTGTTGTGGAAAGGGTGGAACCCATCAAATAAGCCTGGAAATGGTGTTCTGCTGAGGTGGGGCTCTGTGACATCAAAAGGGAGACGGATTTTGCTGAGAATAGATATTCAAGAGCCCATTCATTTTTTCCCTTTTGTCTAGATTCAAATTCTCATTTCTGCTATTTTGAGGTGTTCTCTGTGAGAAGTGCCATGGCTTAGTGGCTTGGTGGAGAAGCCATTTCAGTGTCAGATTAGAATTACTTGCTCACTATTGATGGTGTAACCTTGGCCGTGGCTCTTAACTTCACCAAGCCTCGTTTTCCTCATTTGGATAATAATTCTCAACATGCTGGGGTTTCAGAAGGATTAAATGAATACATAAGAACCAGCATTACTCTACAGTTGGTTATTTATTATTATTATTGTTTTTGAGGGGGAATGTCTCAGTCTATTCAGGCTGCTATAACAGAACACCATAGACTGGGTAGCTTATAAATGACAGAAGTTTGTTTCTCACAGCTCTAGAGGCTGGGAAGTCCAAGATCAAGGTAGATTCAGTGTCTGGTGAGGTCCCACTTTCTGGCTTATAGTGCCATCTTGCTGTGCCCTTACATGATGGAAGGGGCAAAGGACTTAGCCTCTTTTATAAGGACACTAATCTCATTCATGAGGACTCCACCCTCATGATGTAATCACCACCCACCTCCAGATAACCTCCCACTAAGACTTAGGTTTTAAAATATGAATTTTGGTGTGACACAGAAATTTAGTCCATTGCAGGGAGCACCTTGAGCTGTAGAACAACTTGATGGCTATAGAAGAGGCTTTTCTGTTGGAGGATATTATTGATTAGTTACCTCCTGTCTCTCAAATTATGATACATTCTTTCTCTCCTGGGCCATCAAACAATTTTGTGGAATTTCAGACCTCACGATGCCTTAACTGGAGTCATATTTATCAGTGAGCAGGCCTGAAATGATGCCATATGCATAAAGCAGATGCTGCAGACGTTCTTTCACCTTGCACCACACTTTTTCCTGTGGCCACTTTATAGCTGGAAAGCAGGAAACTCTACTTTCTGGTGTTTTCAGAGGTTAGAGCTCTTTCAGCTCTTGGCTCATGGGTGATGAGTGGTCCTCTCTCTGGCGAACCCAACAATGTCTCTTTGTTTTTCTGTTTGCTCAGCTACTCTGATCATGCACAGAAGTTACAGATTTAGCATGTGGCTAGAGGAATTGGCTTTAGAGCCAGACAGAGCTCAGTTTGCATTCTAGCTCTCCAGCCCCACCTGTGTAATCTTGGTTAATATGTAACTTTTCAAAGCCCATTCTCTCTATGATTAAATGTGGTAGAGTAGTCCTGTCTTCCTTACAGCATTGTCAAAAAGAATAAATAAAATTAATTTCAGACAAGTATTTAGTTTAGGGCCCACATGTTAGCTGTTACAATAATAATACATATATTTACAAAAAACCCTATTTTTTTTCTTTTATTTATTTATTTATTTATTTATCTTTTATTATTATACTTTAAGTTTTAGGGTACATGTGCACATTGTGCAGGTTAGTTACATACGTATACATGTGCCATGCTGGTGTGCTGCACCCACTAACTCGTCATCTAGCATTAGGTATATCTCCCAATGCTATCCCTCCCCGCTCCCCCCACCCCACAACAGTCCCCAGAGTGTGATGTTCCCCTTCCTGTGTCCATGTGATCTCATTGTTCAGTTCCCACCTATGAGTGAGAATATGTGGTGTTTGGTTTTTTGTTCTTGCGATAGTTTACTGAGAATGATGGTTTCCAGTTTCATCCATGTCCCTACAAAGGACATGAACTCATCATTTTTTATGGCTGCATAGTATTCCATGGTGTATATGTGCCACATTTTCTTAATCCAGTCTATCATTGTTGGACATTTGGGTTGATTCCAAGTCTTTGCTATTGTGAATAATGCCGCAATAAACATACGTGTGCATGTGTCTTTATAGCAGCATGATTTATAGTCCTTTGGGTATATACCCAGTAATGGGATGGCTGGGTCAAATGGTATTTCTAGTTCTAGATCCCTGAGGAATCGCCACACTGACTTCCACAATGGTTGAACTAGTTTACAGTCTCACCAGCAGTGTAAAAGTGTTCCTATTTCTCCACATCCTCTCCAGCACCTGTTGTTTCCTGACTTTTTAATGATTGCCATTCTGACTGGTGTGAGATGGTATCTCATTGTGGTTTTGATTTGCATTTCTCTGATGGCCAGTGATGGTGAGCATTTTTTCATGTGTTTTTTGGCTGCATAAATGTCTTCTTTCGAGAAGTGTCTGTTCATGTCCTTTGCCCACTTTTTGATGGGGTTGTTTGTTTTTTTCTTGTAAATGTGTTTGAGTTCATTGTAGATTCTGGATATTAGCCCTTTGTCAGACGAGTAGGTTGCGAAAATTTTCTCCCATTCTGTAGGTTGCCCGTTCACTCTGATGGTAGTTTCTTTTGCTGTGCAGAAGCTCTTTAGTTTAATTAGATCCCATTTGTCAATTTCGTCTTTTGTTGCCATTGCTTTTGGTGTTTTAGACATGAAGTCCTTGCCCATGCCTATGTCCTGAATGGTAATGCCTAGGTTTTCTTCTAGGGAAAAAACCCTATTTTTAACTATTACTTCACCTATATTGATGAAATTCTCTGAGATAAAACACAAATTGCTCACTAACAAGGTATCCATAGTAAAATGCCTCATTCTCCATTTGCCTTGGGACAAAGGGCAAAAAGAGCTCACTCTGCCATTTTCCTCATTCAATAAAGAAGATTCAAGTGGGCCAACTTTTTCAGATAGGATGGTAAGTATCATTAGTATGAGAAACCAGCAAAGGATACATGTCAACCCCCTTGGCTTGGTGTTTGAGACCTTCCATGATCTGGCTTTCACCTCTCTTTTGGCCTTCTTTTCCTCTGCTCCTACTCATAAGCGTGCAGGGTTAGTTTGGTGAATGGCTTCACACTTTGCCACCTCTGTGTTGATGCTTCCCTCAGGAAAATTGCTCCATGCCTCTGCATTCATAAATCCAAACAGACACACCCTTACTTTCTCTGTGTCTTGCCTTCTCACACATAAGGAACATCTATTATATTGGCATTGTTAAATAATCATCTCACTAGTTTTGACAACACTCCTTCCCATTGGAGTAAGGATGGAGTTCGCTATGATCTCCAGCTTACTGGGATAGTCTCAGTCAGAGCTTTCCATTCCTGTAGCAGCAGGAAAGGGGAAGAGAGGAATGAGAAAAAGGGGACACTTCTCACTGGAGTCAACTCCTTTTAAGGAGCCTTCCTGTAAGTCTCTCTTCCTCCCTTTCTGCCGTTATCTCTTTACATCTCATGGGTCAGAATGTGGTCATGTGGTCATGCCTTGCAAGGGAGTCTGGGAAATGTAGTCTTTTAGCTGAGTGATAAATGTTTCTCATACTAGCAAATAAGAGGACATCAAGTAGGCACTAGTGTTTATGTCACTGTCCCCTTGAACTCACCCACCACATAAATAGCTAGGGCAGTGATGAATGTTGGGTAGAGAACTTAATTTGAGAAGAAAACACTGAACTTCAGTGCTGATATGCCTTCCCTAGTCTAGTTTTCTGTGGAAACTGGAAATCAGCCTGGCTTGAGGAAAGCCCCCTGGAGTGAGTGTCTTGACCCAGATTCCCATGTTTGTTTTGCCCTCCATGACCTTAGGAGCAGGGGACTGAAAGGTGACTCTTCAGTTTCCTCCATCCCTCTGTGGTTCTCATGGAAGCACCCTGCCTATTCTGATCCCAAGCCATGCATGTTTCTGTTGTTACTAAGCTTCTTACCACTGTCTTTGGCTCCTGCTTATAAATGTTTAAAAATATTCGCTTGACGCACAGTGGGATTATAGACTCTCTCATTTCCGAAATGAAAAGCAGCTCATGCATTATTCAAGAAAAATATTGTATTGTTGAACAAAGGATGGGTACACTCATCCCTTATTATGCATTCCGGTCTTTGCTACCTTATTAGTAGATGTGTTCTGTGAGAATTTTACTGATGGGGTTTGTAAACAAAGGCAGAGAACAAACACTAATGTGTTGAGATGGCATGATTAAAAGATTATCATAAAATCATCAACTTGCATGCCTGGGAGGTCTACAGTCTACTCAACACTTGGGCTCCTTCTACCTATTCCTACCACATGGAAGCTCAACCTTGGCTTGAACACTTCCAGTTGTGGGAAACTCACTACTCCCAATTTCACCTTTGTGCAGTTTGATTATAAGGAAGTTTGTCTCAAATTGGGCTGAAATCTCTTTCCTTGTGGTCTTTACCCATTGGATTTAGTTTTCACATGGAACAATTCTGTTCCCTTTCTCCCTGATGACCCTTTAGTTTTATACAGATGGCGATTGTTGAAATCCACTTGTGTCATTTCTTTGAAAGGTCAAAAATCTTCTAACTTTTCAGCCATTCTCCATGACGAAAAAGGAGAGTTCATTGGATCTAACAAGGATTTATCAAAGAGCTTTCTCTTTATGATCCAGACATGGTGATAAGCATGTTTATGGCTTATAACACTTTGCAGTTAAGCAAAGATTTGCAGGGTATTCAACTATCAGGATTCAAAATTCCACACCTTTCCAGTCCTGTCTCCCACCACTTTCCCTCTCACCCTTCTTCTTCAGAGTTCCTGAATTTTCTTTTTTTTTTTTTCTTTTTTCTTTTTGCTCTATTGCCCAGGCTGGAGTGCAGTGGCACCATCTTGGCTTACTGCAACCTCCAACTCCCAGGTTCAAGAGATTCTTCTGCTTCTCAAGTAGCTGGGACCACAGGCATGCACCACTACACCTGGCTAATTTTTGTATTTTAGTAGAGACGGGGTTTCACCATGTTGGCCAGGCTGATATTGAACTCCTGACCTCAGGAGATCCACCCGAGAGTTCCCGAATTTTCTATTCTTCAAACACACCAAGATCCTTCCTGCCTCAAGGCCTTTGTACATGCCATCCTTGCTGCCTGGGATGCCTTCCCAAATCTTCATAACTGCTGCTGCTTCTCACCATGCAGCTGTCATGCACAAGACATCTTTTTAGAGAAGCCTACATAGATTTCTATCTAAACTAGGCCTTCAATCCTACTTCTCCTCCATTACCCTCTGGCTTAGTCCATTAGGGCTGTTACAGCAAAGTACCATAGACCAGGTGGTTTATAAACAACAGAAATTTATTTCTCACAGTTCTGGAGGCTGGGAAGTCCAAGATCAAGGAACCAACAGATATGTTGTCTGGTGAGGGTCCACGTCCTGGTTCATAGGGAGTGCCTTTTTGCTCTGCCCTCACACCACAGAAGCGAGGAGGGAGATCTCTATGGTCTCTTTTACATGTGCACGAATTGCACTCATGAGGGCTTCACCCTTATGATCTAATCACCTCCCAAGGGTCTCACCTCCTAATATTATCACATCAGGGATTAAGTTTTCAACATACGAATATTTTTTGGCGTGGGGGACCATAACACTCTCTATTCCATTACCCTGCTTAATTTTTCTGTAGCACTTTCCATGAAATAAGTCAATTCAACAAATATTTACTGAGCATCTACTATGTGCCAGCACAGTAATTGTTCTAGGCACTTTGGCTACAGCAGTGAACAAAACAATGATTCTTGCCTTCATGGAGCTTACATTCTCACAGGAGAGACAGAAAATATATGATACACATAAGAATAAATTATCTGATACATTAAAAGGAATGAGTTATGGAGAGGAAAATAGGGAAGGTAAGGTTAGAGAGTTGTGAGCACAGGTGGGGCAAGGTTGTGCATTAAATAGGGAGGCTGGATATGTCTCTCTAAGAGATGAGATTTGAGCAAGGACAATTTCATTACATCAAATTATCTTTTAGATTTGTTTATATATTGATTTTTTGCACCCACCCCCCACTCCCCACTGCAGCTGACCTCAGTGTAAGATCTATAAGGCCAGGACCTTGTCTGTCTTGTTTTCCATCAGTATCCAGTGTCTGGCACAGTGTAGGCTCTCAATGGGATGTTGGTTGAATGACTGTCAAATGCCTAAATGATAAGATAGGAGGCAGTAGCAGAGGTTTTGGTCCTAGGTGTACTGTAAAATCCATGCACCTGCATGCTTCACTTCCCCCTGTGAATGCTCCTTTTAGGTCTTGCCTCCCTCTTTTCTCTCCCATAGAAGAGTGAAATCACACCTATTTCCAGCAACACATCCTATGGTTATGGCTAGGTAGAACAAGTGCTATCATCCCCATTCTGCAGATGAAGAAACCGAGGCTCAGAGAAGTTCAAGGCTGTGCAGCTCTAGTGACAGAGGGTGGGTTTGAACCAGAGTCATTGCCACTAACAGGAAGGCCAGCAGTTACCTGTAAGCCCCATCTCTCAGTGAGTTTTCTGCACCATCCTTGGACTAGAGCTTCCCTGAGCAGCACAGAGGATGGGCCTTGCCCGGGAGAGCTGACTCTTCCTCTGCTCCCTCCACTCATGTTCTGAGATGGAATTTCCCCCACGGTGAACTTGATGCTTCAAAGCTCTCTCTGAACCAATTCAGTTAAGGCAAATCTGGCTGTGTCTGATGGGTTCTCTTAAACTGACCAAATAAATAGGCAGGGAGCTTTGAATAATTGGCTTTTGCTTCTCAACGCCAATTGTTATAACAATGAATCCTTCATCCTGCCTTTTTCAAGACAACTAAATTGTCTTTCCGGTCTCAGGAGAAAGATTAACTCTTTGACTTCCATATGTTTTCAGGGCAACCACTAATTCCTTACCTTGCTACAGAATTGTAAGATTCAAAAGTGCTTTCATACAAAATATATTATTTCAGTCCAGGCATTATGAACTGTGCTACAATATATACAGGACACTTGTAGAAACTGTGTATCCATGGATGCATTCATTTTTTTTTTTTTTTTTGAGGTGGAGTCTTGCTCTGTTGCCCAGGCTGGAGTGCAGTGGCGCAATCTCAGCTCACTGCAATCACTGCCGTCCAGGTTCAAGCGATTCTCCCACCTCAGCCTCCCAAGTAGCTGGGATTACAGGTGCCTGCCACCATGCCCAGCTAAGTTTTGTAGTTTTAGTAGAGACAGGGTTTCGCCATGTTGGCCAGGCTGGTCTCAAACTCCTGACCTCAGGTGATCCGCCTGCCTCGGCCTTCCAAAGTGTTGGGGTTACAGGTGTGAGCCACTGTGCCAGGCCAGATGTATTAATTTTTAATAACAGCAAACTTAACTGCAATGGTCATAAAAACAAAGGGAACTGCCTGACTCATAGAACTGAAATGTTTAGAGGAAGAACGAGCTTGAGGTGCAGAGTGATCATTCCTATGGCTTAATTTCCCTTGTAATTTTTTTTCAGTGACTCCTCTTTATTTTGCAAGTCAGATTCATTCTCAAACTAACTCCTGTCATGAATGCAGTATGGTTACAACAAACTGCTTCTTGCCTTCTCACTCATGTCCAGGGCCAGAATGAGCACTTTTGCTTTCACATTCAAGCAAGGGTCCTGAGATTCACCTTGGTGGTACCTATGTCGATCACATGCCCAAGTCTGAACTGGAGACTGGGCTGGGGGACTAAAAGATGCTGATTGCTTTAAGCCAGTCAGAGCTCACTCTTGCTGCAGGCCAGGGCATGTATTTCCCTTAAAGCATATTGGTTGTATTAGGGGGAGAAAGAGGAAGGGATGGATGTGGGAAGGCAGCCAGCACATATTTGCTACAGACTCACTTTAGAATAAGAACAACTGAGGATTGAGTAACTTATTAAAGGGCATTTGGCTATTCAGTAGTGGATCAGGGGCCAGAACCCAGGCGGTCATCTTTGTATTCAGAGTTCTTTCTAAATATCAGATTCTCTCCGCCCTTTGCCTGTGTTGAATTTGTGATCCTCTTTTCATCGGAGGCTGGGCAGCTATCAGCAGAGTAACGTATTAGGGGTGAGAGAAGGTCTCCTTCCTGTCTTGCTGATGCCAGAAATTCTACATAATTACCTTCTTTTGGGTTACAGTATTGCTCATTCATTCAAAAACAAATATTCATTGAGCTGGGAATACTGGCTGGCCTGGGCCATCTGAAAACCTATCTTTTAATCAGGAGTCTTTTCATTGCAAGTAATAGAAACCTGCTCAAGTTACTTTGGGCAAGTAAGAGAGGGGAATTTATTCTAAGGATACAGGATACTTTATCCCATCTACTAATCTCTCACATATTATAGAATAATTTTATATGCCAAATGTTTAATAACAATGCACACATTGTTTATTGGACATATTGATTGACAGTTGAGGTCTCTGTAGCACGTTTGATAGTTCACTGCATCTTCCTTAGTGAATACCCTGTAACTGTTATTATATCTGGGTTTAGGGAACTTCAGATAAAATCTAGCCCCATTTGCGTGCACTTCCAGATAGCCGATTTAGGCTTAATTACATGGACATGTTCAAGAAAAGTGAAGGGACTGAACAGTTTCTCAGGAGGAAAAGGAGGGATGCATCAGAAAGCTGGATAGTGAACTCTGCTCATTATGAGGCTTAGATATCCAGTGGCTGCAACCTCTGCAGCATGCATGTGTTTTACTGAGCTTGCTTTCTGATTCCAGTCCCACAGGTGCAAGCAAAGACCACTCCAGGCTTATAGGAGGTGTGTTGGTTTTATAAAGTTTTCTCAACTCACTCCCATGTACGAGCTGGGACCATGGAAAAATTTCTTGGCCATTCAAGTCTTCAGACACTGTCAAAAGAGGATGAGGTGATGTCTCCCTCTTTATGTAGACCCTGAATGACTTTCTTTTGGGGATGGTAAGAGAGTCACCTTCCCATACATCTGGATCTGATCATCTTGAATCATCCTTTCCAGTTCATGGACTTCATAATGGTCTCCTCATTTTGAAAAGTGGGGGGACCAACACCTAGGCAACCCAATGAGTAGGCAGGTATCTTTCCCCAAGAATGAATGAATTCTTCCTTTTTTTTCCCCCAACAAATTCTGTAGAGCTCTTGTGCTCAAAACTGCGCAGCATCAGAATCAGTTGGGAACTTGCTAGAAATGAAGACTCTTAAGTCCCACCCTAGACCCCAAGTCAGACACTGTATTTTAGTAAGAATTCCCTGGGCCATTCCCATGCACATTAAAGGATGAGAAGCACTGCTGTAGAAACTGCTTCTCCATCCTCCACATTGCATTTATTTGATTGCTTCTCTGTGTCTGGGAGAAGGGCCAAGGTCATGTCTACTCACCTGTACATCTCCATCTCCTATGTAGTGCCAGGTGTCCAG
Organism: Homo sapiens; assembly: GCF_000001405.40. Classification (NCBI taxonomy): domain Eukaryota; kingdom Metazoa; phylum Chordata; class Mammalia; order Primates; family Hominidae; genus Homo; species Homo sapiens. The sequence goes on from NC_000016.10 coordinate 9,324,910, forward strand.
GTGGCACTCAGTAGCCATTTGATGACTAGATGGATGGAGAAAATAAGTTTCCCTGCTTGTCAGGGAGGCTACAGTCCTAGTGGGAGAACGCTGGGGTCAGGAGGGAAGAGAAAGGTCACTAAGCAGTTCTGTTGCATCCAACATTTCTTCAGCATCTAATTTGTGTGAAGTGGTTTACCTACATTATACAACTTACTTCCTTCAAAACTTTCCCAGGTAGGGATCAGCCCTATCAGGTTACAGATGAACAAGTGGTGCAACTGCAATTTGCAATTTTTCTATTTTGAGACAGAGTCTTACTCTGTTGCCAGGCTGGAGTGCAGTGTTGCAATCTCAGCTCACTGCAACCTCTGCCTCCTGGGTTCAAGCAATTCTCATGCCTCAGCCTCCCGAGTAGCTGGGATTACAGGTATGTACTACCACACTTGGCTAATTTTTTTGTATTTTTGGCCATGTATTTTTTGTATTTTTCACCATGTTAGCCAGGCTGTTCTCGAACTCCTGGCCTCAAGTGATCTGCCCGCCTTGGCCTCCCAAGGTGCTGGGATTACACATGGGAGCCACCATGCCTGGCTGCAATTTAAATTGCAATTGGCTGCAATTTGAACCCAGCACAGTTGTTTTGCTTTCTTTCTACACAGGCACTCCGTGTTTGTGTGAGCGTGGGCTTGGCACCTAACCTTCCTGGACTCTACTGTCTGAATCTGCAGCAGAGGCTTTGGTGCCATGCTCATATCCCCCCTCCTCTCAAACTCACTGTTCCTGCCAACCGCTTCTGTCTGCAAGGAGCCTCTGACTATGCCTGAGGGCTTCTGCTGGCTCTAGGAACATGTCTGTCCCACGCACAAGCAAGCTAGAAGTGCCAGGGAGTTAACACCCCCAGGAGCAGTCTTCAACCAACAGCAAATGGGAGTTGATGAGTAAACACCCTGTGGGTGGGATAACTGGGTGCATTGGGTGGGATAACTGGGCGCATTGGGTGGGATAACTGGATGCATGTCCTACACCACCTCCAAGATTCTCTCTTGGGATGAAGCCCCTGGGCGCCCACAGTGGTGACCTGCTCATTGGTTTCCTTCCCTTCCCTGTCTCACTTTCTTACTCTCCTTCTGGTGCTTCCTGGTATCTTCTGGTAAATACATTGTTTACATTCAAGGCTTTATTTTAGGGTCTTCTAGGAAACCAAATCAAAGACAGCATCTGTTAAATAAAAACAACGGCAGCCAATGAGTTCTGATTGCCTGACACTGTGATGAGCCTCTGTGTGCATTACCTTCTTTAATCTTCATAGCAGCCCTCTGAGGTAGGTGCTGGTAAGGTCTCCAGATGAGGAAAATGAGGACCAGATGGGTGAAGGAATCTGACAAAGTTTGTACATGGTAGAGTCAAGGTTTGGATCTATTTCTGTTTGATGTCAAACCCCATGGTCTTGAAATACTTGCCCTCCATGATCATTTGGATTATTGGATTATTTGGATCATTATTTATAAAGAAAAAGAGGTTTAATGGACTCACAGTTCCACATGGCTAGGGAGACCTCACATCATGGTGGAAGGTGAAAGGCACATCTTACATGGCAGCAGCCAAGAGAGAATGAGAGAGCCAAGTAAAGGGGGAAACCCCTTATCAAAACATAAGATCTCATGACACTTATTCACTACCATGAGAACAGTATGGGGGAAACTACCCCCATGATCCAGTTATCTTCTACTGGGTTCCTCCCTACAACACATGGGAGTTATGGGAGCTACAGTTCAAGATAAGATTTGGGTGGGGACACAGCCAAGCCATATCATTGCCTGAAATCCTGAATGTGAAGGTTTTTTGAAAAAATGAGAAGTTTAATTGTCATCATTATGTTTTTAGAATGGGCTAATTTTGTCAAAGTCTTTCTTGCCAAAGGGGTTAGGAGAAGTCAACCATGGCTGGGGTTGCAAGGGCTCTGATAGGATACTTGGAGCATCCTCATGTTAGGATTTGATGGGACTAGAAGGAAATGGAAAAATGCTAAGTCTAGGGACTGGAGATACCTTGACAGTGGAATAGGATGAGAATGAATAGATGCAAGGACAAGCTGGGAAAATGCAGAAATGATCTGGGTCCCCCTAGAGACAGTCCATGTATGTATGGTGCTTGGGGTCGGGGCATAACAAAGGACTGTAATAGACAAACCCGTAGAAGTAGAAACAGAAATTATATGTCAGCATGGCAGTCAAAGATGACCACCTGACATCCACATAAATAAATTCTAGGTGGCAGAATGGCAAACAGCTTTTATCTTACATGCCACTCTTACTGACTGACAGTGGTTCCTGGAGCCCTGTTTGGAGGCTTCTTCCCACCTTACAGCAAAAGAGAGTCATGATTGATTAGTAATGTCTGTTTGGGGCACAGGAGTGGAGAGTGTTGGTGCACATGCCACCTGGCGGAACAGACTGAATTCCAAATATGAGTCAGAAGAATTCTCTCAGTCAGGATTGAAGCAGCGTTTACATTTCAAGTAGGCGTTCACTTTCGAAAGGGATGATTTCCCTTTGAAGACAGCTTATCTTTAATTTGAACATATGTGGCAAACCTAGGCAATATGCAAAATTACAGCTTGATTATAACTCCCTAGGGGCAAGGAAGAGAAGAATTGGCAATTTACTGAGTGGAATACACATAGAAGAAGAACCCCAGGCTTCCATCTTTTGGTAGGGGTGCCGTCTGTGTTGGATGGGCTGTGGTGATGCTCAGTTTTATCATAACCTTTTCTGAGTCTGATTTTTCACCTCTGGGAACTCAGGCTGCTTGGTCTCATCTAAGCATCAGTGACAAGCTCTGATGGTTGGAGTTTTGTTTTCTTGAGTTACTGCAGATGGGAGAGGGAGGCAGGGAGCCCCACACAGGTCACAGTGAATGGGTGCATCCACCTGTGAGCAATGCTGAACACAAACTATTAATAATGCAGCAACTTCTGCCTTTGTGTTTGGAGCTCGTGTAAGATTTGCTGAATCACAGAACTTACCGATGTTCAATGCAGACCTGTATGGCAGGAGGATTCAGACTCACACTTTGAGTTCAACCCATAATTTGTACCCTTGATTTCAAAATGCCCTTGGGAATCACCTTTTATCTCACAAGGTGGTGTGAAATTCTCTTCAGATTTCCAATGGAAATTCAGTTTCAATTTGCTTTAATTAACAAAGTGCCCAGATCACTTAGGTGAAGTCTCATGGAGTCAACTTGTCATGAAATTACATTGGGACAAATTCTGTTCGTGTTTAATTAATAATTGCCAGGTTAAATGGTTTAACGGTGTACACTGAGATTCTATAGTGAGAAGTGGCTTTTCTAAAATGGGCTGTACATTCAGGGGATTAGTAGAGGGAGGGGAGACATAATTCCCTTAGTACAAAAGGATGATTTGGAAGCTGTTAGGTGGAGTACTGCTAGAGAAAAAGGGTGAAAAGCAGATTTTTTTTAGGTTAGTAGTGAGTGCTTGAAATTTAACGAAATAGGATTGATGCTGAGGCTAGGATGGGTGAGATGGAATGCCAGCATTGATTAGCAATGTCTGCCATGGGTAAGGGAGGAGAGGAAACAGCACACACACATATGTGCTATCCCTTCTCCAGGAGAAAGCTGTTTAGAAACACAGGGCCGTAGAGCAGACATTAACTGTCCTGGAAGTGAGAGAGAATTGGACAAAGTCCATTCTGACTGCCGTTACTGGAGGAGAACTTTTGATTTAGACATTGGCAGACTCCAGAAAAAGCTCGCCTCTCCGCCCTCCTCTGTTTCCTAAGAGGATGAGCCAAAGATATTGTTTAGGAGCTAATGCAAATGAGGTTTTCAGGCAGAGGAGTGACAAGTGAGAGAAAAGCAAATGTCTCCTTTTGGCACTGGGCAATGACTAGTAGGACTATAAAAGAAATTGCTTTGTGGAACCACGACAAGAATGGTGCTCGATTTTCCTTGGAATTTCCACTTCTTCCAGAGCTATGGGATGGAAAGTGTTCACTCAGCTTTGAATAGGGATTCAAATGCCGGCTCCACCAGGTATTACCTAAGTATGCTTGGATAGGTCATTTGAACGTTCTGAATATTATTTTCTTCATGTGGAAATTAAGACTAAAAATACAAAACCCATTTAACTCACACGATTGTGCCAGAAGTGGAATATTAATGTCTCCAATTTGGAAACTACATGTGCAGCTGTGACTAACACACTGTCAGGCACATAGTACATGTTCAATAATATGAATTCAGAAAGGAAAATTCCATTTAGGTTTAGACTCTCCTGGTGTTTGCCCCATCTTTTGCTTCTACCCTTAAGGTTCTGGAACCTTTCTTTTTGGAGATCATGCCTTCCAAAATGTTTACAGAAAAAAAAAAGAAACTTCCAGATTCTGGTGGCTTTGGACACCTTATCACCTCTGTGAATTCAAGAGATGCTGCAGGAAAAGGCAGTGTGATTGTTCAAGCTCATCCCAAGTGAGAGGACTTGGCCAGCCTGTCTAGATGATTGAATCCCTTTCTTGATGAATGCCCTGGATGTTGGGGTTTTATGTACTTCATTTTATGCGACTGGAGGAGGGAGCTAGGGACACTCCCTGCCCAGGTCTTCATGAAGCTCCAAGGTGAGAATCACTGCCAGATGATTTCTGACCATCTTGTTCTTTTAGGAGCTAAGCTCTACCTCTCATTTGTATGGTTCTGGACTCATGCAACCCTTACAAATCCAGGGAGGATGAATTTTCCATCAGAGTCATAAAAGACTTCAGGCAGGAAGGACCTAGGGGATTGGCAAGACAGTCCTTACCCATGGAGCTCCACTAGCAGAAGGAAAGTCTACTCATGTCTGATTCTACAATCCTGTCTGCCTTAAGGTGATTCACAAATTGTTAGCAGTGGATGGGTGGAGAATTCAAGGGTTTCTGCTTGTGTTTTTACCACCCTCCATTCTGGCTAAATATAGTTGAGCTTCTGTGATAGTAATACATCTAAATACCAGATTTTTCTGCTATTACTGTGCCCAGGATCAACCCATCATTACCCTATCCTTGGCCCTAACTGTGCAGACACCAGGTCTGCCAGGGTCCTTCCTCACTTTGGAATTTAAACCACAGTAATTGTTTCTTATTTATTTTTCCTTGCGTGGATTAAGGCTAACATCATCTGCTGCCTCTTGCTTCTCCTCTTGCACACTGAGAAGGTCGGAAGTCCGCATCCAGACTCAAGCATCGCTGGGCTTTTGTGTTGGGAGTATTTGAATGTCTTGCCCACGGAGAAAGAAAGGCCCCGCTCTCTGGGTCTCTTTGAGAGCACTGAGACACGAAGCCCTGGAGGCATTTCCTCATGGGCAATCAAGGGAGAAGCAAAAGCCGATTTTTCTGTTTTCTGGCAGCAGCCTTTGCTTTCCCTCTCTCTCTGGGGAAATTAGCTTGCTGGCATGGACAGAGGGAAAATAAACAAGCCTAACCTGAAATATGCATTAGAGTTGAGCTATTTTTGGAGATTCCCAAGATTGAAAATGGCTGAAGGCTGACCAGTTCCCATCTGCCCTGAATTAACTTTCTGAGGTTTTGTGGGGAGAGTGAGGGGCCTGGGCATATCAGGACACTTAGCTGAGATTGGCATTGATTTGTGGATCTGAGCAAAAGAAATATGGCCATGAAGCATCTATTCCTCTTAGAGACTAGCTCAGAGATGAGATGGAGAAGGAAGCTGTGTCAGGATGGGTACAAGGGTTTGGAATTCAAGGGGAGCCTGGGACTTCCCTGTTACAATGTTGGTTGTGTTTTTTCCTGAGTAGCAAAGAAGTCTCAGTGCAGAGAGGGGAATGCAGGAGCCTGCTTCATGGGCATGGGGTTTCCTTTTGGAGTGATGACAGTATACTAATCGCTGTTGATTTGCTCACTTTAAAATGGTTAAAAGAAAAAAGAAAAGAAAGAAAAAAGAAGGACATATGACAGGACCATCCAGTGGTCCTTATGCACTGAACGCACGTTTAGATCACCAGGGAGCTTTGAAAATACTGATGCTGGGCCCCACCCACAGAGATTCTGATTCCATGGGTAAATTTTAAAGGCTGCTCAGTAGATTCCTACCTGCATCAAAGTTAAGAATCATTGAATAGGCTGGGAATGGTGGCTCATGCCTGTAATCCTAGCACTTTGGGAGGCTGAGGTGGGAGGGTCACCTGAGCTCAAGAGTTCAAGAGCAGCTTGGGCAACATAGTGAGACTTTGTTTCTACAAAAAATAAAAAAATAATAACATAAAAAGTTAAAAAAGAGAATCATTGAATAATCTCAACGTTTCTGCGAACTCCATGCTTTTCTGTGTAATGAGAATTTGTCAATTCTTCTCCCACAGCATTTTTAATCTTTGCTAACTGTGGAGTAAAAGCCCGACTTTTTAAAATTTTTGGCTAAAGATATTCTAGGCATGGGCTTTTAGGAAAGATAGTTTTTGAAGTGGGGGTGCTAAGAGGAGACTTTCCAGGAACCTTTGAAATCATCCCTGCCTCCCGTGATCCAGCCTCTCTCAGCTACAGGAAAAGGCCTTTCCCAGCAGCATGCTTGGTCTCAGCCCATTCAATATTTAAAATTACGTGCACAACATTTAACATATATAGGTACTGAACTTAAATGGATTCAATTCAATTCAAATGGTTATATTGAGGAACTACTGTGTGCTGGGTGTTGTACTGGACCCTTTTAAAGAGGGGAGGAAGCAACATGAATCAGACCTCAGTCCAGGACCTCACCACTGAATTGCAGAAGACAGAATGTTATAAAGAAAACAGTCATGCTTCAGTCAGTTGTTAATCTGGACAAAGGATCTACTGTGTGCTGTGCCCTTAACATGGGCCATCTCATTCTGAGATAGCAATTGTTTTATTTATGTATTTATGTATTTATTTATTTATTTTTTATTTGAGTTGGAGTCTCACTCTGTTGCCCAGGCCATAGTGCAGTGGCTTAATCTGGGCTCACTGCAACCTCTGCCTCGCAGGTTCAAGTAATTCTCATGCCTCAGCCTACCAAGTAGCTGAGATTACAGGCACCCACCACCATGCCTGGCTAATTTTTGTAATTTTAGTAGAGATGGAGTTTCACCATGTTGGCCAGGCTAGTCTCGAAGTCCTGACTTCAAGTGATCTGCCCACCTTGGCCTCCCAAAGTGCTGGGATTAGAGGTGTGAGCCACCGCGCCTGGTGTAATTGTTTTATTTCTAATTTATAGTGGAGGACACTGAGTCACAACAGGTCAAGTCACCTGCTCTGAGCCTCGTGGCTGAGAAGCGGTCGGGCCAGGGCCGCAGCTCCCGACCACTGTGCTTGATTGCTTGTGTTTTGAGAGACAGCTCTGACCTCGCTACCAAAGAGTCATGAGAAGAGTTATGCTGGTAGAGGGGAGGGGGCGGTTCATTTTACAAGAGGAAGATCTTTCTCCATACCCTGTCCAACAAGACAGCATAAGCCATGGGGCTGTGCTACGTAACATTGAATTATTAATAGTTTAAATAAAATTTTAATATTTAATTTCTCATAACACCAGCCACATTTCAAACACTTAGTAGCCACATGGGACCAGCGGCCCCCCTACATCGGACAGACCAGACATAGAACATTTCCGTCATTTCAGAAAGCGCTCTTGGAGAGCACAGATCTAGACCTTTTATCCAACCTCAAGTTCTCGGTGGGTTCAAGCTCAGCTTTCTGTTGGTTCTTTATTCAGATGGTAACTGCAGTGTGACTGCACCTCTTATTTACAGAGGTGTTTGTTGTTGCCCGGGGTCTCTTCATAGCTCGCCATTTTTTCCTTTATAGTACTCTTCATTATGTATATTAGTTTTATTTCTTTATTGCTGATGCAACAAATTACCACAAATGGGGTGGTGTAAGATGCAAATTTACTATCTTACAGTACTGGGAGTCAGAAGTCTGAAAAGGATCTCACAAGTCACATCTGGGTTAACATCAAGGGGTAGGCAGGGCTGTGTTTCTTTCTGGAGTCTCTGGGGGAGGATCTGTTTCCTCCCTTTTTCAGCTTCCAAAGGCCACCCACATTCCTTGGCTCATGGCCCCTTCCTTGGACTTCACAGCCAGCAATGGGCAGTTGAATCCTTCTCTCCGCTCATCACTCCAACTTACTCTCCTGCCTCCCTCTTCCACATTTAGGGTCCCTTCTGATTACATTGGGCCCACTTTGATGATCCAGAATAATCTCTGTATTTTAAGGTCGGCTGACTAGCAAACTTAATTTCATCTTAATTTCCCTTTGCCATATAATGCAGTATATTCACAGGTTCTGGGGATTAAGATGTGGATGTCTTTGGGAGGCCATTGTTCTGCCTCCCATACCATCTAACATTCTAGGAGGAAGCACAGGAAAATAAATAGAACCCATGGATGTGGGGGAGGAGTGGCAGGTGAGAGGCCAGGCTTTGTGATTTGAAAAGCTGTGGTGGATGGTGGTGATAAGAGGAGGGGCTTTCTGGAGCTGACTGCCTGGCTTGGAATCTCCCATTGTGCTCTTGCATATAGACATCTTCAAGCCTCAGTTTCCTCACCTGTAAATGGAGAAAATGCAGGATGCCTCCCTCACAGAGTCATGGGGAGGATTAGAAAAGATAATGCATGTGAAGCTTTGGCAGATAGTAAATCTTCAAATGTCAGTTACCATTTGGAAGCTAAAAATGCCTTCACATTATGGCATATATGCATTCTAGCTTTGAAAATAGATCCACATTCCATTTTTGTCAGGAAACATTCTGTTCCCCATCCCTGTGTGTGTGGTGGCCCCTTGGAGTGGGGTGGTTGTGAACGCTGTGTGGTAGGAAGCTCTACCTGTTCAGAAGGCGTGATGGAAGGCAGATGACCCAGAGAGTCTCCTTCTGTAGTATGCTAATAGGCTTGAAGTCTTGAAGGCCAGAAGCATGTTATTCTTCTACAAACCTAATAGAAATACTTTTATCATTCTGAGCACAATGAAATGAGCTAGAATGGATGTATTTCAATAAATTCCTAGAATTCCAGGGTCAGAAGGGAATCTATTTGGATTATTGTAATGATGCTTGTGTACTGTCTGTAATAGCCTGCTAAAATAGTTACCCATGTTTAAATGACCTAAAGATAGCAATTTCACTATATTTTAAGTAAAACATTTTCATTGAATAGGCAATAAATGTACATGGTGCAAAATGTAAAAGAATATATAGACCCAGCCATGCAGTTTTACTCCAGTTCCAACTATTGGTCTTGGCTTCTCCTGTGTCCTCCAGATGTATCCTGTGATATATCCTGTGCACTTACAGCCTATGCACTTCTGCCTTGCCTATACTTCTCCCTGCCTCCCTGCACCAGTGGTAGCCCACTGTATTCATACTCTGTATCTGCCCTGCCATCTCTCCTCCCTTTTGCCAATTTCAACATTGTGTCTTGGATGCTGTCCAATATTGCTACAAACAGAAGTATTTAATTGCATGGAGGTACCATAATGTATTTTACCAATTTTTTTTTTTTTTTGAGTTGGAGTCTCATTCTGTCACCCAGGCTGGAGTGCAATGGCATGATCTTGGCTCATTGCAACTTCCGCCTCCCAGGTTCAGGGGATTCTCCTGTCTCAGCTTCCCAAGTAGCTGGGATTACAGGCACACACCACCACACCTGGCTAATTTTTGTGTTTCTAGTAGTAGAGACAGGGTTTCACCATGTTGGTCAGGCTGATCTCAAATTCCTGACCTCAGGTGATCCACCTGCCTCAGCCTCCCAAAGTGCTGGGATTATAGACATGAGCCACTGCGCCTGGCCCCAATTTCTTATTTATAGTTTTTAGGTTGTCCCCACTGTTTGACTATCACAGTGCTGCAAATAACTTTTGTATCCATAGCATTTCTCACAAGTTCAAGGATGATGTTTTTTTTTCCAATGGAATTGCTGGGTCACATAGTATGTGCGTTTTTAACTTTAAAAATTTGTGCCAAATGGCTCTTCAGAGATGTTTATCAATTTATCTTCCCACCAGCAAATATGAGAGTGACTGTTTCCCCACAATCTCAGTGCCACAGTTTGTTATCAGACATGTTGATTTTTGCCAATTAGAAACTAAAAATATGTTGCTATAGTTTTAAGTTGTATTTAACTTATAATTAGTGTGGATGAGCATATTTTGGTATGTTTAGATATTCTTTTTTAGACGAAAAAAACTTGGTCAATTTTTCTATTGAGTTGTTGGTCTTTTTCTTACTGATTTATAGGATTTCTTTATCTTTAGCAAATGACCTTTTTTTCTGGTTTGTACAGATATTTTCCCCAGCCTTTTAGATCTTTTTAAAATTTCCTTTGTGGTTTTTAAAGGTAGAAATTGCTTATTTTTATTTGTTTAAATATACCCCCATTATATATGGGTTCTGAATTTTAAATGGTTCTTAGTGTTTTCTCTCCATCAATGTTTTGGGAAAAAACACCTCCCATCCTTTCTTTTAGTATTTTAATGGTTCCATTATTTTATGTTTAAATCTTTGATCCATCTGGAATTTGTTTTAGTGCAATAAGGATTTGAGTTTATATCTTTCCAGATGGTTTTCCAGTTGTTACCATTTATGGAGTAATCTGTCTTTCCCCAGTGGTATGAAAACACTACCATTATATACTAATATCATGTATGTATGTGGGTCTATTTCTGGATTTCCTATTCTGTGATTTTCCACCCTTTGAGATGCCTCATTTTGTTTCTGAGCTCTAATACTCTTTGTCCCAAGTCCTCAAAAGCATGAAGAAGGAAGCTCCTGTTTGGTTGACAGGATTGTAGACTTTTCAGTGGCTTCTATTTGGGACCAAACTCATGCTTGGGATGGTGACTTATTAGAAAGAAGGGAATGAGGGTTAGAAAATTTCTCCCGATCATTAAGCCCAATCATCTTCTTTCAGAATTCAGAGGTTTCAAATTGCTGCATTAAAGAGATAGAATGAAAAATGAGTTGAACTCTGTAATGGAGAACAGGTTGATGGTAATAATGATAATATTGGTGATCGTAAACCACCATCCTGCTGGTGCTGGGCAGCTTAAATATGTTATCTTATTGATTCTTACACCAAGTGATACATTAACATTTTTTATTTCCATATTACATAAGAAGGAAGTGGAGATGATACAAAGTAGAGAAGGGATTACGACCCATGTATAACCAAATTCAAACTCAGGATTCCTATTTACTCTGTATTGTAGGATCTTTGGCACAGTATAACCAATGAAATCACATTTTGTTCACTTATTCTCTCCTTCATTAATCATTTCATAATTCCTTTGCAGCCTTTGGTTATTATTAATAGGAATGAGAAAATTACATACTTTCAGACACAGGCAGGTAACATAAATGAATAAAGTTGCCCAGGTGGGATATGGAAGGAAGTGGTGAAGGCTGTGCCAAATGAGAGAGTACATGACATGTCTTCAGTTGACCCTACTCATTGTTGCTGGTGGAGAAAGGTGAGCCTAGTGTTGCCCAATCTTGAGATTCTTAAGATGCACCAGACATCTATATTTTTATATGAAACCTTCCATTTTTTGCATGCCAACAAATTATAAAGACAATCAATGTATATTCTTTAAAGCTTGCTACTTAATTCTGAAAGTCTTTGTAGATAATACATTAAACAAATGGATATTTATTCAACTGAATATGACTCTGCAATGGCAAGGAAGGAAATTACTGATACCTACACAAAGCATGAATGAATCTCGGAAGCACAAGGCTGAGCAGAAGAAGCCAGACACAAAGAGCACATATGACAGGTGTCCATTTACTTGAAGTTCTAGAACAAGCAAAATTGACCTATCATGAGACCAGGGATCAGCTGGGAAGAAGGGAGTGAGGTACCTTCAGGGTGCTAGTAATATTCTCTAGCTTGATAGAGGTTTAAATTATACTGTTACATGCATTTGTCAAAACTCAGTGGATGAATACTTAAAATGTGTATATTTCAACCTGTGTAAGTTGCATACAAAAAACCTGCAAACAAATATTGGAGTCTAGTTACTGAAAATCATGCTGAAGTATTTAGGTGGAAGTATACTGACATCTGCAATATATTTTGAAATGAACCAAAAGTAAGATGGATTGATGGATGGACAGATATGTGATACACCAAGTTCAGTAAAATGTTAATGATTCAATGTTGCTCTGTGTTGAAAAGTTTCATAATAAAATATTGGGAAAAATTAGCAAAAACCCAATTAAAAAACTATGTATGTGTTCACCACACACACACACACACACACACACACACACACACACATACACACATACACACATACACACACACCCACCCCTGTGGAACTAGGTCTGGTTTCTGGGAACCAATTTTCAGTAGTCTTTAACTTTTGCATTATATCATCATACTTCTCTGCCACTCTATTACATGGTGTAACCTCAGAAGTCGATTATAAGGGGATTGTTCCTGCAGCTCCAAGCTCTTTGTTCTTCCATCCACTTTGCATGGATGGATCTGGCATGCATGATAGATCTGGCATGGTTTAGTGAGTGAAGGTATGAGAAAATCCATCACCTGATGACATCATTAACATTTCTCCAACATGACCTGTCTGAGATAAAAGCACAGCCTGGCCTTCTTGTCATTAATCAAGGGAAAAGACCAAAACCATTTTGGCCACACAGCTCCTTAGCCCCTTCTGGTAATCCATCTTGCTGCATCGACACTCTCTTTCCAGTCAGCATTTAAATTCAGAGGGAATGAAGATTAGCCCAGAGCAGTCTCTTCATTAGAGAAGAGGGTTTATGAAGAGTGTTTGCAGCCTTTAAAACTGTTCCCTGTGTCGGTTGAGCACACACAACTTTCACTTATTAGTAGCATTTCAGAGCAAGTGGCCATGTCTGAGCTGAATACCCACCGGGTGCCCTTGGCTGGGCTTAGAATTATGACCAAGCAGTGTCAGAGTCTTGGTGGTACTGCCAGAACTGCAGGGAGAAAGGAACAGGGGGAGTGGTTTCTCCTCTAAATACACTCTCTAAAAGTGGCACCTTTTCAATAATTTTAAAAGGCAATTTATTATCATAGTAGTTAAGACTATGATGAATACAAATTAGAGAAAGCAAAGGTCAGTCTTGTAAATATATCATTGATGCATCAGAGGTCAAACCTGGAGACATTTACAGATTGCAATAAAAAGGCAGCACCTTTTAAAATGGGCTTTTCCCCATGTTAGCTGAATTATTACTGGAATGCTCACTCCTTCTTCTTGGAAAATAATAATGCTTTAGTTCCCTGCATGATGTCATGATTTTGACTTGCTTTGGCCAACGAAATGCAAGCAGAAGTGACAGGAGTCTCTTCCAAGTAGCTGATTTAAGAGCCATGTCCTCTTTTCCCTCTGCCAAAGCAATGTCCCAGATTGTGGCTGCTCCAGCAGCCTATGTCCCAGGGAGAAGAGATGTGGATCACAGCCACAGCTGACCCTGATGGACGTGCAGTAGGAGCAAGAAACAATTACTTCATATTGTTATATCACTGAGTTTTTGGGGTCATTTGTTGCTGCTGCATAACCTGCCTTTCCCTGACTGATACACTCACTAGCCAGCAAAGCAGTTCTCCTCCTATCCAAGTCTCCCAGAGACAATCCTTTTGACATGACAACTTCTTCATACAACTTCGACCAGTTTTGAAATAATGAGAATTACACAGTGTAAACTATCCTAGATAAAGCAATTTAGGTGTAATGACGTGTGGGGAGGGTGGTTGTCAAAAGAAGCAGCTATGTGGACTAGTGGCGATGAGGGTGGCTATTAGGGTCAAGGGACCACAGGGCAGTATGGAGCAGTCATCTAGAATTTGACAGACTGAGCTTGAGTCCCGGACCTACTCTTCACTAGCTGTGTGGCTTTGAACAAAACCTTTGGCCTCTCTAACATTCCCTTTGTAGCTAGTAGATGGGGTTGTTATGAACTGAGTTATATGAAAGGATGAGGTCAATTGTAAGGCCTACTGTTGGGGTGGTGGTTGTTAATTTCTTTCTCCTCCTCTTCTTCTTTCTCTTTTTTCTCCTCCTCTTCTTTTTCCTCCTCCTCTTCCTCATTGGCTTGAATAACAGTAGGGAGGAAGGTGGGAGATTGGAGGTATAGCATGAATAAGACAGGGTGCACCTAGTGACTCAGAGGGCTCCAGCCTCTTCCAAGGAGGGGCCATGTGTTTGAAGTTTCTGGGGGACATATTTAGATGACAACTCTGCCACTTGCTAGCTGTTTTCACCTTTCTTGAGGGCATGGGCCAAAGGGAAGTTTGATGAAGACATAGATCTTGCTTCAAAAAAATTGTTTTAAAGTCACAGTATTTTGGGAGGCCAAAGTAGGTGGATCATTTGAACCCAGGAGTTTGAGACCAGCCTGGGCAACATGGCAAAACCCCATCTCTACAAAAACTACAAAAAATTAGCTGGGTCTGGTGGTGTGTGCATGTAGTCCCAGCTACCTGGGTGGCTGAGGTGGGAGGATTGCTTGAGCAGAGGAAGCTGAGGCTGCAGTGAGCCGTGATCATGCCCCTGCACTCCAGCCTGGGTGAAAGAGTGAGACCCTGTCTCAATAAAAAAAAAATGTAGAATTACAAAGGGAATAAATTATTTTGTTGGCAAAATATTATAAACAATAAATATCTGATAGAATGATACATGTACTTCCTTAATAGTGCATTAAATAGATCCAACAGCAGGTCTAATAACTATCAATATTTCAACATTGTGCTAAGCATGAATAGTATTTTGTGATGTCTACAATAATTGTGCTGTGATGGCAAAGTATCTGTGGTTTCTCTTGGTGACAAAATCATAATGTAAGTATCACTGTGCTTGACTGTCTACATTCAGCTGAAGGAAATGAAAACTTTCAGCTAGAGGTTACTAAAAAGTCTTCCTCTAATGTTTTCCCATTGAAGTTGATGGACTCCCTAAATTCTATCCAGGACCCTTTGAGCGTTTGTGGACCCTGGGTTAAGAACCCCTGCACCAACTTAATTTTCTTGAGGAAGTCACACTTCTCTGAGCCTCAGTGTCCTCATTTGGAAAGTGGGTGCATAGCCTTTGATGTTTTTCCTAAGCACGGGACTCCGTTACTCTACAGTGAGCAGTCCTTATGGGGCCTTGATTCATTGGATAATAAGGTTTGAAGAAGACTGAGCACATCTTTCTGACCCCTTCTCACTCCAAATCCCATGAAATAACAAGAGAGGGAGGGGAGACAGAGGATATGAGAGTGAATATACAGCAACAGACTGGAAAACAAGAAAAAGTAGCAGAATAGCATCAACAAACCAGGATTCTTGAGGAATCCCTAACAGATCAAAACCAGATCATGCATTTGGAGAAAGAGCCATTGCAAACCACAGCCTAAAACATATTTAAAAGAATATCTAATTTTAAGGAGCTCTTTGTGCCAAGCACGATGTTAAGCTTTGTACTTGCATTATCTACTATAATTCTCACAATATCCCTCTGACGTAGTTTTTGCTAGTACTTCCATTTTATAGATAGAGAAACTAACGCCCAGTGGGTTGAGGTATTTTGCCCAAGATCACACAACCAGAGAGCGACAGAGCCAAGATGTTGGGCTGCCTGGCTTCAAAGCCTGTAGTCTTGTTCACTGCACTCTCCCAGGTTAGTTAATTGCTGCATTTAATTCTTACGCAAGAAGGAGCCTTTCTTTTTTTTAAAATCCTGCTAGAATCTGTAGGCTTAAGAAACTAGGACAAAAACTGTTCTGGCACCACTTCTAGGTTTGGGAAGAGCTTAAGCTGCACCACGCCATTTTGGGGCCAATGAAGTCTTCATCACCCCCGGCTCTGGGTTAGCAATGCAGGCGGGAGCTGTCTGGCTCTGGGGGCTGTCGGGAAAACCCACGCTAATCCGTTCAGGAATATCTGCGCTGGAACACAATTACCTCACCGTTTCTCTTCAGTTCTTTTCTGAACACCATTTGCCCTAAAAATACTCTTTGACATTATGCACAAACATTGAAGAGACATTTATTTGGCCCTGACCTTTGACGGTTCCTGTTAAAAGAGATTCAGTGACACACAAATGGGACTGAATTATTTATAGATCCCAGGGGAAATCAACGTTGCTTTTATCCCTATTGAAAGTGCATGGAAGGCCAAAAAGTGCGAAATTAGCTTTGGCTCCTTACTGAGGGACTCCAGCTAGACTCGAGGGTGCTTATGAAAGTTATGGGCGCTCTCCATGGTTAGATCTTTGGAAATATGCATAACCCTGGGCTGTTGTTCCTTTCAAGTATTTTGAAGACAAAGGTCTATACCCTTTTCGTAAGAAGCTACCATGATGAGCAAGGTGTAAGGAGTATCTGGAGGCTTAAATAACCCATGAGATTCACTTATGAATTTATTACATCAACTGAATACAAATTGGACACTGCTTGATGCTGGGCACTGAAGAGAAAGGGATAAATTCATTAATGCAGTTGTCCAAAGATTCAACCCATATTTAGTGTCTTTCTGGGCAGGTTGTTTCAGGCATTGGATGCATGTAACAAGACTGACAAGGTCCTGTTTTCATGATTAAGATACCCTTCCTATCCTGAAGGAACTCAGCATAATGAGTGCCTGATAAGAATAATAATAATAGGCCAGGCACCGTGGCTCACGTCTGTAATCCCAGCACTTTTGGGAGGCTGAGGTGGGCGGATCACCTGAGGTCAGGAGTTCCGTACCAGCTTGGCCAACATGGCGAAACCCCGTCTCTACTAAAAATACAAAAACTAGCCGGGCGTAGTGTTGGGCGCCTGTAATTCCAGCTACTCAGGAGGCTGAGGCAGGAGAATCACTTGAACCCGGGAGGTGGAGGTTGCAGTGAGCCGAGATCTTGCCACTGCACTCCAGCCTGGGCGACAAGAGTGAGACCCGTCTCAAAAAAAAAAAAAATAATAATCATCATCATCCACATTTATTGAACGCTTACTGTTTGCCAGGCACTGCCCTAAATGTTTTTCATGTATTAACTCAATGAATCGGCCTAAGTACTCAATGAGATAAGAATTGCTAATATCATTCCCATTTCATGGTTAAAGATAATAAAACACACAGTGTTTAAATAACCTGCTCAAAGAGTCAAATTTCAGAAGTTTTAAGGCTGTAATTCAGACCCAGGCAGTCAGCTTGCATGTAATCTGTGCCATTGTAGAGGTGTCTATGAGAGCTGTAGGGCTCAGAGGCACAGGGCTCTCTGTCAGTGAAGGAAGAGGTGTCTGAACTGAGTCTTCAAAGATGAGAAGTTTCCAGGTACCCAAAGTGGGACAGAAAGAACAGGCCATTTAACCTCTCTGAACTGCATTTCCTCACCTTAGGATGTAAGGTTTTTAAGAGGAATGAATGAGAAATCATAAGTATAGGCCTTCTTTGAGGTGCCCAAGGGCAGAAGCTGAGCAGCACAGCTCTTTCTCTCTCTCTCTCTTCCTTCTTTCTGCATTTAGAGCCCCTAGTCTGCTGCCCCAGAGAATCTCCAACCTCAACCCAAGGTGTCCAGCCCCTCAGCTTTCAGGGCTGCCAGGCATCTGATGAAGATATACTTTTCTGCATGAGCTGTAATGTGAAAACCTACAATGGGAAAACAGAAGGCACTCAATGCCTACTTTTCAATTGTTTATTTATCTTTATGTGCAGGATGGGGCAGAATTTGCTCCAGAACCAAGTTCTTGAAGCCTCTATTTGGGGGTTGGGAGGCCATAAACATGGCCAGACCTGCACATCACCAGCCAGTTTTATCAACCTGGGGTAATTCTCCGTGACACCAAGTTTAGGTTTTATTCTCTTTGACTGTCTGGTGAATAAAAATTAGAAGGTTGGGAGTTTCCTTCTGGGGAAGTGTGCTACCTTTCTAACCATTTTAATATATAAACAAGATCTTCAGTGGGAGAGAAGGGAGCCAGCTCTGAGCTTCAGAGGGGCCCAGGGAAGTTGCACAGGGGGAGGCCATATTTGCATTGACCTTAAAGACCATTTTATAGCAGACAGCAAGTACTCACCCTGGGGTTCCACTTCCTAGGAAAGCATTCTTCCCCTATGAACAGGGCAGAACGTGTGTCTTTTCTCCCAAAGAAGGAAGAGAATCCATGTTGTTTGTGTGAGTGTGGGGTACCTACTGAGATAAAATCCCAAGTCATCTTTACTGGGACCCAGAGATAAGTTCCAGATCTCCACGGTTGTAGGCAGAAGGGATTTATCCTGGCTTTTGAGGTTGAGGGTGTGAAAATTATGCTTGTTTTGTATCCTTTCTTGCAGCTAAAGTGCTGGAAGTGGAATGTGTGGGAGAAGGTGCTTTCTCGGGGAGGGAGGGCATTGTGGAGGGGAAGGAGGCTATTTTAGTGCCTCTGATTCCGGTGGACCCAGGGCATCAGAAACTCTACACCCAGGATAAGGGATAATGACAATAGCAGGATTCTGGAGCTATCGTTGCTGCCCATGTCTCATATGGTTGTTACTTTTCATCTGATTTTCCTTAAGGATTGGCAGAGAAACCCCTACTGCCTTTCAAAACAGCTGGGACACCGTAGCAAGCACGTTAGTAGAATTCCAGTGGAAAGGAGAATGGCCAGGGAATAATAGAGTGTGTGTGTATTGGGGCGGTGACAGTTCTAAAATAAATAAGGATAACACACACCAATCGGTGGATGAGAAGCACTTTCTTGTTCTTCCCTGTCACACCAGGGCCTGCCACAGTTTCTGGTATATAGGAGGTATTTGAAAATACTTTTTTGAAGTGTGAATTCAAACAGAGCAATGGGATTATAATAACATTAGTGACTGGTAGCTATTGAATTATCAGTATGTGCTAGGAATGGTGAAAATGCTTTATCATTAACAAACCTGTGAAGTGTTATTATCAATCCCATTTTACATACGTTAAAACAGAGTCCCACAGGTTTTACAGAACATGCTCAATGCCACAGAGCTCATAAATGGCCTGAATTCCCAACCTTGGCTTGTCTGATTCCAGAGTTGGGCTCTTCACTGCCAGGCTACAACATAGAAAAGGTAGAGCAGAAACACAGTATATGAAACACACAGCTGACAATATTTAAGGGAAAGTGAAAAGGAGTAAAGAAAAAACAACTTCATTCACATAGTAATGGACGTTTTTTTTTTTTTGGTAGAAAAAATTTTGAACTCCATCCTGTTGTGTATAAAATAAATTGGAGATGGATTCAAAAGTGACATGCAAAATATAAACCTTTATAAAAGCTCTTATATATGAACAGAAATGCAGGAAGGAATTACGGAAAAAAGTGGGTAAAAATTATGAGTGAATTTATTTTTTTCTTACTTTATTGTACTATTAAATTTTTCTCCAATAAGAATGTGATATTTTAAAAACTTGGAAATACACAATAAATCAATCTGCTTTCCATTCTTTTTTTCCTCAAGGGAAAAAAAAGATGGAAATAATGGAAAGTGGATAGAAAAAAAAGATGGAAAGAATGGAAAGGGGATTGATTTATTGTGTATTATTTATTCCAATTGTGTATTTATTTACTGTATATTTATTCCAATTTATTGTGTATTTATTCCAATAATTTAGTTCCATCTCCGTGTTTGATTCGAATCCCCATCTCTTTCTCCTCTCCTCCTTCCTTTTTGCCCTCCTTTTTTCTGTCTCATTTAAGCCCAGGTCCACTGGCCCACCCAGTCTACCACTCTGTCCAGTCCCTCTAGAAAGATTGTTCTGCTTTAGTGCCACAGCTCTCAAGTGTTTCAAACGTTGCAGAGCCTCTCAGTTTTGACTTCTGAAAATTGCAGTGAAGTTCCTCTTCTTAACACAGCCACATGATGTTTTTCACATTTTTAGATCACTCTTGTGGACTTCTCAGAGACTCTTAAAATGTAGAAAGCCCCACTTTGCATTCTTGAGCAATGGCCCTCGTTAATTTTATCAGATAGTTTCACCATTAATATTTACATCTCCACTAAAAAGAAAAAGCCGCAACTCTCCCAAAACACATGCTTGGCCTAGATTCACCCAGGCAGGGACAATTCCATCTAGAAGTTGCTGTCATACAGTTGGACCCAAATGGGAACAGTGGAAAAGCAGAAGGAAACTGCTGGGTGGGTGTGGGGCAGTGGCAAGTGAAATTTCTGTAGCAACACGGGAGAATATCGATGTATTCTACGTATGCTCTTGACTGCATATTCAACAAGAAATCATTAAACACCTTCAATGGGCCAAGCACAGGTGAATGCAACAGTGAACAAAATCCAGCACCTGCCCCCGCAGAGCTCAAGGTCTGGTAGAGAGCCTGTTAAGTCCACAGCCCATCATGACCCACGATGAGAAGAGCAATACTAGGGGAAGTACAGCACTTGGAAGTTGAGGGGAGGACTACGGTCACGGAAGATGTGTGGAGGAAGTGATGCTAAACTAGGGCACGGGCAGAAAGAATTAGCTCGTGCAGGTAACACTCTGAGTTCAGGGAATTGGAAGAAGTTTGATGAGAGCAGAAGAGTTAAGTCAGGAATTGAATTAACCCAGTAAAGGAGTGTAGGTCCGAAGCCACTTCTATGCGGCATTTGCATGCATTTTGGAGGGAACATAGTTTCCTAAGAGTCTGTTGCAGCTGGAGAAAGAGACCATTTCAAATGAGAGTGGAACCAGGATCAAGTCACGATGCGCAGCAATGTTTGATAAAGTTAGTTTTCCCCCTGTTACTTCTCTTCCCCTTGTTCTCTGGGATTGTATATGCTGTTAGATGACTCTCTGCTTCTTTAATGGTAGATTTCTAAATATTTTGGCCCCAGGTGGAAAATATGGTTGGAACCACAAAGTCTTCATTTGTATCACACCCCATAGCTTTGCCTATTCTTGTGATTAAGATCCTTTGGAAGTTGGCATCTCCAATCCACATCTTTAGCTTCCTGTCAACATGAATTCATCTTCTTCTTCTTGTCCTGTCCATTCATGAGTATTCATCTTCTTTTTCCTGTCCTGTTGCCATTCCACCTTCCACAAAGGGGACCAGAGGTCTCCTGTGGGCTTACTTGCAGAGTCAAAAGAGAACTTAGAAGCTATTGGGTTCCCTTTCATTCTTTGGGAGCCTCTGTACAAGGCTTCTCTTGGCAGACCCAGTCCTGGACTACAGAAGAGGCGTGAGTGCCAAATATTACTGTGTTTGACTTGACTAAGCTTCTGTTTAGTTTCTTACTGACATTTTCAGGCACATATATTACTAATTTTAAGCAAGCAAGTTTCATGAAAGTTTGAGCATAAGGAATTGATGGAGTAGGCTCTAGAACTCTTTTTACACATATTGAATAATTTTTGGGGACTGGAGTACATTTAAAAAATTTACAGAATGTTTATGGGTTCATAGTAGGTGTATGTATTTATGGGATGCATGAGATATTTTGATAATAAGCATCCAATGCATGAGAATCACATCAGGGTAGATGAAGTATCCATCACCTCAAGCATTTATGATTTCTTTGTGTTACAAACATTCCAATTATACTCTTTTAGTTATTTTAAAATGTACAATAAATTATTATTGTCTGTAGTCATCCTGTTGTGCTATCAAATACTAGATTTCATTCATTCTATCTAACTATATTTCTATACCCATTAACCATCCCCACTCCATCCCCAGTCTCCCACGACCCTTCTCATCCTCTGTTAACCATCGCTCTACTCTCTTATCTCCGTGAGTTCAACTGTTTTAATTTTTAGCTCCCACCAATGAGTGAGAAGATGCAAAATTTGTCTTTCTGCACCGGGTATATTTCAGTTAATATAATGTCCTTAAATTCCATCTGTGTTGTTGCAAATGACAAGATCTCATTCTTTTTTTATGGCTGAATAGTACTCCATTGTGTATATGTACCACATTTTCCTTATCCATTATCTTCTGATAGACACTTAGGTTTCTCTGAAATCGTGGCTATTGTGAATAATGCTGCAATAAACATGGGAGTGCAGATATCTCTTCAATACACTGATGTCTTTTCTTTTGGGTATATACCTAGTAGTGGGATTGCTAGATCATATGGTAATTCTACTTTTATTTTTTTGAGAAATCTCCATACTGTTCTTCTTAGTGGCTGTACTAATTTACATTTCTACCAATGCCATATGAGGGTTCCCCTTTCTCCACATCCTTGCCAGCATTTGTTGTTGCCTGTCTTTTGGATAAAAGTCATTTTAACTGGGGTGAGATGATATCTCATTGTAGTTTTGATTTGCATTTGTCTGATGATCAATGATGTTGAGCATATTTTCATAGACCTGTTGGCCATTTGTATGTCTTCTTTTGAGAAATGTCTATTCAGATCTTTTGCCCATTTTAGAAATTGGATTGTTGGATTTTTCCTGTTGAGTTGTTTGAGCTTCTTATATATTCTGGTTATTAATCCCTTGTGAGATGGACAGTTTGCAAATATTTTTTCCTTTGTTTTGTGGCCTAACGTATGATCTGTCCTTGAGAATGCTGAGGAAAAGAATGTGTATTCTGCAGCCGTTGGATGAAATGTTCTGTAATTATTATCAGATCCAGTTGGTCTACAGTGCAGATTAAGTCCAATGTTTCTTTGTTGGTTTTCTGTCTGAATGATCTGCCCAATGTTGGGAGTGGGCTCTTGAAGGCTCCAGCTATTAGTGTATTGGTATCTGTCTCTCTCCTTAGCTCTAATAATATTTGCTTTATATATCTGAGTGCTCCAGTGTTGGGTGCATATATATTTACAATTGTTATATCCTCTTGCTGAATTGACCCCTTTATCCTTGTATAATGACCTTCTTTGTCTCTTTTTATAGTTTTTGTCTTGAAATCTATTTTATCTAAGTATAGCTACTCTTGCTCTTTTCTGGTTTCCATTGGCTTGAATATCTGTTTCCATTCCTTTATTTTCAGTCTATATGTGTCTTTATAGGTGAAGTATGTTTCTTGTAGGCAACAGTTCGTTGGGGCCTTTTTTCAATCCATTCAGCCACTCTATGCATTTTGATTGCAGAATTAAGTTTATTTACATTCAATATTATAATTGATAAGTAAGGACATACTCCTGCCTTTTTGCTGTTTGTTTTCTGTTTGTTTTGTTGTCTTTCTTTTTTTTTTCTGTCCTGTCTTCTTTTTTGGGAAGATGATTTTCTCTGGTGATTTGTTTTAATTTCTTGCTTTTTATTTTTTGTGTATCTGTTGTAGGTTTTTTGATTTGAGGTCACCATGAGGCTTGTAAGTAACATCATGTTATCTATTATTTTAAACTGTTGATAACACTGATTGCAAAAAAAGGACAAATAAACTAACAAAAAGAAAACTAATAAAAACTCTACACTTTAATTTTACCCCTCCACTTTTTGTTTTTGCTATTTATATCTTACTCTACTGTCTATGTCTCGAAAAGTTGTTGTTATTATTTTTGATAGGTTCATCTTTTGTCTTTCTACTCAAGAAATAAGTAGTTTACACATCACAATTATAGTGTTATAATATTATGTGTTTTTGTACTTACTATTAGCAGTAAGTTTTGTACCTTCAGATGATTTCTTACTGTTCATTAATGTCCTTTTCTTCCATATTGAAGAACTCCCTTTAATATTTTTTCTAGGACAGGTCTGGTGTTGATGAAATCCCTCAGCTTTTGTTTGTCTGGGAAAGACTTTATTTCTCTTTCATGTTTGAAGGATGTTTTTGCTGAGTATACTATTCTAGAATAAAAGGTTTTTTTCCCTTTAGCACTTTAAATACATCATGCCACTCTCTCCTGGCCTGTAAGGTTCACACTGAAAAGTCTGCTGCCAGATGTATTGGAGCTCAACTGTATGTTGTTTGTTTCTTTGCTCTTGCTGCTTTTAGGATCCTTTTTTAAATCCTTGACATTTGGGAATTTGATTATTAAATGCCTTAAGGTGGTCTTCTTTGGGTTAAATCTACTTGGTGTTCTGTAACCCTCTTGTACTTGAATATTGATAGCTTTCTCTAGGTTTGAAAAGTTCTCTGTTATTTTACCTTTGAATAAACTTTCCACCTTGATCTCCCTCTCTCTACCTCCTCTTTGAGGCCAGTAACTCTTAGATTTGCCCTTTTGAGGCTATTTTCTAGATTTTGTAGACATATTTTATTCTTTTTCTATTGTTTCCTCTGACTATTTTCAAATAGCCTGTCTTCAAGTTCACCAATTCTTTCTTCTGCTTGATCAGTTCTGCTGTTGAGAGTTTCTGATGCATTCTTCAGTATGCCAGTTGCATTTTTCAGCTCTATAATTCTGCTTGATTTTAAAAAATTTCAATCTCTTTGTCAAATTTATCTGATGGGATTCTGAATTCCTTCTCTGTGTTACCATTAATTTCATTGAGCTTCCTCAAAACACAGAAACTTTTGAATTTTCTGTTTGAAAATTCACATATCTCTGTCATGCTGGGATTGGTCACTTGTGCCTTATTTAGTTCATTTGGTGAGATCATGTTTTCCTGGACAGTGTTAATGCTTATGGATATTCATTGATATCCTGGCATTGAAGAGTTTGGTATTTATTGCAGTCTTTGCAGTCTGGGCTTGTTTGTATCCGTCCTTCTTGGGAAGGCCTTAAAGTACACAAAGGGAATTGAGTATTGTGATCTAAATCTTTGGTCACTGCAGTTGTATCTGCATTAGAAGGCACCCTAAGCCCAGTAACACCGTGACTTTTTTTTTTTTTATTGATCATTCTTGGGTGTTTCTCAGAGAGGGTGATGTGGCAGGGTCATACGATAATAGTGGAGAGAAGGTCAGCAGATAAACACGTGAACAAAGGTCTCTGGTTTTCCTAGGCAGAGGTGCCTGTGGCCTTCCACAGTGTTTGTGTCCCTGGGTACTTGAGATTAGGGAGTGGTGATGACTCTTAACGAGCATGCTGCCTGCAAGCATCTGTTTGGCAAAGCACATCTTGCACCGCCCGTAATCCGTTTAACCCTGAGATGACACAGCACATGTTTCAGAGAGCACAGGGTTGGGGGTAAGGTTATAGATTAACAGCATCCCAAGGCAGAAGAATTTTTCTTAGTACAGAACAAAAGGGTGTCTCCTATGTCTACTTCTTTCTACACAGACACAGTAACAATCTGATCTCTCTTTCTTTTCCCCACGTTTCCCCCTTTTGTTTTTGACAAAACCGCCATCGTCATCATGGCCCGTTCTCGATGGTTGCTGTCTCTTCGGAGCTGTTGGGTACACTTCCGAGACGGGGCAGCCTGGCAGAGGCGCTTCTCACTTCCCAGACAGGGCGGCCGGGCAGAGGAGCTCCTCACTTCCCAGATGGGGCGGCCGGGCAGAGGCGCACCTCACTTCCCAGACGGGGTGGCGGTCGGGGAGAGGCGCTCCTCACCTCCCAGATGATGGGTGGCCGGGCAGAGGCACTCCCCACCTCCCAGATGGGGCGGCCGGGCAGAGGCGCTCCTCACCTCCCAGATGGGGCGGCCGGGCAGAGACGCCCCTCACCTCCCAGATGGGGCGGCCGGGCAGAGGCACCCACTTCCCAGACAGGGCAGCTGGGCAGAGGCGCTCCCCACCTCCCAGACGAAGGGCGGCTGGGCAGAGGTGCTCCTCACCTCCCAGATGGGGCGGCCGGGCAGAGGCACCCACTTCCCAGACAGGGCAGCTGGGCAGAGGCACTCCCCACCTCCCAGACGAAGGGCGGCCGGGCAGAGGCACCCCTCACTTCCCAGTCGGGGCGGCCCGGCAGAGGCGCCCCTCACCTCCCAGATGGGGCGGCCGGGCAGAGGCGCCCCTCACCTCCCAGACGGGGTGGCCAGGCAGAGGCGCCCCTCACCTCCCAGGGGGAGTGGCTGGGCAGAGGCGCCCCTCGCCTCCCAGACAGGGCAGCAACACAATGGCTCTTGTAGAGTTTTAGAAGTACTGCCTTGGTCATCTTGGGTAAGATCTGAGAGAATTCCTTGGATTACCAGGAAGAGACTCTTGTTCCTTTCCTTTACTTTCCCCCCAAACAAACAGGGTCTCTCTCTGCTGAGCTGTCTGGAGCTGGGAGAGGGGTGACACAAGCACTCCTGTGACCACCACCACTGGGGCTGTGCTGGGTCATACCTGAAAACAACATAGCACTGGGTCTCACCCAAGGTCTGTGGTGACTACTGCCTGGCTACTGCTGATGTTCACTCAAGGCCCAAGGGCTTTTCAGTCAGCAGGTGGTGAGTCCAGCCAGGCCTGTGTCCTTTCTTTTAGGGAGGTGAGCTCCTCTGCTGGCCCACAGCAGGTCCAGGAATGCTGTCCAGGAGCCAGGGCTTGGAGTTGGGAACCTTAGGAATCTACCTGGTGCTTTATTCCACTGTGGCTGAGCTGGCACCCAGGCCATAAGATAAAGCCCTTCCCACTCTTCCCTCTTCTTTCCTTAAGCAGAAGGACTCCCCTTGGCCACCACTGCCCCAGGCTCCTGGTGAGTACTGCCTGACTACCACCATTGTTCAATCAAGGCCCAAGGGCCCTTCAGTCAGCTTGTGGTGAATGCTGTCAGGCCTAGGTCTCTCCTTTCAGGACAGTGGGCTCCTCCCTGGCCTAGGGCCAGGTCCAGAAATGCCATCAAAGACAAAGCCTGGAAATGGGGACTCCAATAGCTTGCTTGGTGTTCTACCACACCGTGGCCACGCTGGTGCCCAAGTTACAAGACCAAGTCCCCTTTATTCTCTCTTCTCCTTTGCTCAAGCAGAAGGAGTCTCTACCCATGGCCACCAAAGCTGGGAATGTGGTGAGTCACACCTGAAGCCAGCATGGCCCTGGATCGCATCCAAGTCCCGTGGCAAGTACCTGGCTTGCCTGGCTACCGTTGCTGATTATGCCGGGGCCATGGGCCCTTTAGTCAGCAGGTGATGAATCCTGTTAGGATTGTATCCTTCCCTTCAAGGCAGCAGGTTCCCTTCTGGCCCAGGGTGTGTCTAGAAATGTTGTCTAGGAGCTAGGGCCTAAAATAGGGGCCTCAGGACTCTGCCCAGTGTCCTATCCTACTGTGGCTGAGCTGGTATTCAAGTTGAAAGACAAGGTCCTAAAATAGGGGCCTCAGGACTCTGCCCAGTGTCCTGTCCTACTGTGGCTGAGCTGGTGTTGAAGTTGTAAGACACGGTCCTCTTTGTCTCCCAGCTGGTATCTCACTAGGTCACATATACCCCAAGTGCACTGGCTCTGAGCCCAGCATAGCACCAGGACTTGCCCAGGAATTGCAGTCCTTGTGGCCTGGACTTCCTTTCAAGTCTGTGTAGGAACCTAGAGCCCTTTAGCCAGCAGTAGTGGGGCTAGCTGGAACTGAAGTCCTGGCTGCTGTGATGGACAATGTGTCTCTGGCTAGGGTTGATCTAAATCCTTCCTCTGGGGGCACTGGCTGAGTTCTGCCCTGTGTTGCTCTTCATGGTGACAGGACAGCACTGAGTTCCAATGCACAGCCCCACAATCACTGCACTCTGTCTTCCCCAAACACACAAATCTTCTCTCCACACCACAGTGCAGCTGCTGGGGGTTGGGAGAGGAGTGGTGTAAGCAATTTGAGAATGTCTTTTCTACCCTCTTCAGTGTCTCTTTCCTTAATATGATGTGAAAACCAGGTATTGTGATAGCTCCCTTGTTTTTGGTTTTAATGAAGATGCTTTCTTGTGTGGATAATTGTTCAATTTGGTGTTTCATTGGGAGGTTGGAGGGTGGGGAATGGTCACTGGGGACTTCTATTTGTCCATATTGCTCCCTGGAGCACATTTTTACATGATGGTCATTACTGGAAAAATGTAATATGGCAGCCCACCTCCAGTAGTGCTATTTTTATAAAAGTGAAAAAATAGAGCTGAACTTCAAAATTTGAAAATTGAGTGCCAGGAGATTATGTAGTCTGGAAGATAATTCTGTTGCCTGAAGAAGATAATTCTTGCCTGGCAAGAGAGAAAAAGGGAGCTTAGAATTCATGCAAAGTGTGCTGCAAAGCTCTGGACAGTTTTAAAAAGTCACCCGTTTTATTAGCATCCACAAAAAGTCTTGAACCTGGCCACCCACAGCACTTTAAAAAAATGTTAAGTTGGGTATTTTTTTTCTCCAGGACAAATATATTTATAATTTTATAAGAAAGTCAATGAAGAAGTTAGATTTTCTTTTCATATCACTTTCCTGAAATATATCTACTTGCAAAGGCAACGAGATGCCTGTTTTGGAGATGAATAAAAATCAGTTACTCCAAAGTCAAAATGACTGAAATTGTCTAAAGTAGTGTCTTTTGCTCGTCACTTCTTCTCCAAGCTGTTCTGGAGACCCCGTGTGGGTACCAGGGCAGACTTCAAGGAGACATCCCATTGTGAACATGAAGGAAACATCTGGTTGCGTTTGGAGATCAACTACTAAAAATTCCTCCATATGTCAAGGCCAGTCACCTGCCCTGGAAACTCATCAGACTTCTCTTCAATAACACACCAACTTGAAGCGTGCACTTGACAACTCCTGAAATTCTACTACTGGTGCAAGAAATAAGAACCAGAAGGAAACTGAGACCTTCATCTCTGGTGTCTCTGGGTAGATAGGATGCAGTTCTGAAAATCAGATATTTGGTCTCAGGTGTTGCTCTATGTTTCTCATAGCTCCCTTTTTAGAGTTCAAGTAGAGTTTGATGATATTACTGTGAGCTAAAGAGCCTCATTGGGTTTTTGGCATCATCTTCAGCTACAATTCCACTGTCCAGTGGCTGCTAACTATTTGGGTACTGTACATAACAACTTAGACACACCATCACATTTAAATGCACATTACCCCAAAGGATTAGGTGCTGGTGTTACTTTCGCAATACAGATGAGAGAACTGAGGCACTAAGAGATTAAAACAAATCCTCCATTTCCTCTGTGAATTACTGGTGCAGTTGGAATTAGCACTAATTTGTTTGACTTTAGGGTGTGCACTGTTTTTTAAAAACAAGAATAGTAACTTTATCTTTTTTTGTAAAAGTGATACATGTGTATTACAGAAAATTCAAGCCACCAAAGGAGGACACAGAAGAATGGAAAATAATCTACCTTATTTCACGCTCTCCAGAAAGCCATACTTAATATTTAGTGACTATCATTCAGGACATCTTTCTATACATATATGCAGACATAAGAACAGAGAGGTCAGGGCAAAAATAGATGGGAATTATTTTAAAAACTGCATGCATACTCTTCATATTATTATTAATAAAATAATTAATTTAAATTTTGCCTGGAGAAAATTAAATGGTAATAAAATTTGAAGAAACTGTTAAAGTTTAGATAACAACGTATTTACCATAACTGCTGCTCATTCTAAAGTTATTCCTTTAAAGTTGAGGGAAAAATTATGAAATCATTTAGAGGCTAGAATCTGTTTTTTAGTAATTTGTTTCAAAGTTTAGCCTTCACTTGATTTTCTTTTCTATAAAATTTGAAGAAATTATGTGTTCACATTTCTTTTGTCTATCATTCTCAACTGGGACTTGGTTCTGTAACCAGAATTCTCATGGTTATTTAGTCTCAATTTTTTATTTAAATGACTCAATGCTTTCCCCAGGCTTGTCCTGTGTGGAATTCTTTTGATTCATTCTTATTTCAGCACATTTCATTGTCAAGTATTTTCTTCAAGATGAGGTCAGGAGTAGTGTTATCCTCTGAGTTCTTGCCTGCTTGAGGTTTTGTGTGTGACTTTTTAAAACAGTATTTTATTGAAATGTAATTTTAGTACATAGAATGCACAAGTACAATGTGCATAACTTTTTTTGGTTGTGGGGGGAGCTTTTGTCAAACTGCTTTATTGAGATACAGTTGACATAAAATAAACATATATTTAAAGTGTACCATGTGATAAATTTTGCTGTATGTTTACACCAAAAGTCATAACTGCATGAAGACAGTGAACATATCCATCACCCTCAAAGGCCGCCTTGTACCCCTGGTAATTCCTCTTTTTCATTTTCTCAGTTCCCCTCTTTCCTGGCAACTACTAATTTATTTTCTGTCACTTTAGGTTATTTTAAAATTTCTAGAGTTTTATATAAACGGAATCAGAGGGTCAGTATTCCATTTTTTTCTGTCTTCTTTCATTCAGCATAATTATTTTGAGATTCACCCATACTGCAGTATGTATTGATAGTTAATTCCTTTTTATCGCTGAGTAGTATTCCATTGTAATGGATGTACCAGCGTTTGTTTATTGGTTTACCTGCCGATGACATCTACACTGTTTATAATTTTGGGCTATTACAAATAAAACTGCTACTAATATTTGTGTGCAAGCTTTGTATTGACATGCTTCATTTGTTTTGGTTAAATACCAAGGTGTGCAATGGCTGAATCATTGGTGATTGATTTTTAGAGAAACTGACAAACTGCTTTTCAAAGTTGTAGCATTTTAAACTCCTACCAGTGGTGTATGAAAGTTTGTTTCTCTACATTTCTTGCAAATCCTTGGTATTGTCAGGCTCTTTAACATTAGCTATTCTAATAGAAGTATAGTGGTATCTCATGGTTTTAATCTGCATTTCCCTAATGAGTAAAGATATTGGGCATCTTTTCATGTGCTTATATGCATTTGTGGTATCTTCTTTATTGGTGTCTGTTTAAATGTTGATATGGTTACGCTTTGTCTTCCCACCCAGATTTAATCTTGAATTGTAATCCCCATAATCCCCATAATCCTTAATTGTCAAGAGAGAGACCAGGTGGAGGTAATTGAATCATGGGGGCAGTTTCCCCCATGCTCTTCTCTCGAAAGTGAGTGAGTCTCACAAGATCTGATGGTTTTATAAGGGGTTCCTCCCCCTTGGCTCAGCACTTACCCTTCCTGCCGCCCTGTGAAGAGGTGCCTTCCACCATGATTGTAACTTTCCTGAGGACTCCCAAGCCATGCAGAACTGTGAGTAAATTTAACCTCTTTTCCTGCATTACCCGGTCTTAGGCAGTTCTTCATAGCAGTGTGAGAATGGACTAATACAAATGTTTTGCTTATTTTAAAAAGTGTGTGTTTTTTTCTTAGTTTTGGGATTTGAGAGTTCCTTATATAATCTGGGCACAAGTCCTTGATTAGATATCTGTTTTGCAAATATTTTCTCCTAGTCTATGGCTTTTGTTTTTAATTTTTTTTTAGGGGGAAGAAGGAGAGGAGAGAGCCTGTTTTAATTTCTTTTAACAGTGTCTTTTGAAAAGGCAACATCTTAAAATTTGACTAAGTACAATTAATGCATTTTTTTTCTTTTATGACTCATGCTTTCAGTATCATATCTAAAAAATCTTTGCCCAACCCAAGGTTACAAATATTTTATCTTGTGTTTTCTCCTGGAAATTGTATAGTTTAAGGTTTTACACTTAGGTCTGTGGTTCATTTTAAGTTGGTTTTTGTGTATGGTGTGAGGTATGAATCAAAGTTTATTTTTCTTGCATCCGGCTACCCAGTTTTTCTGTAAATGTCAGTTAAGTCAAGTTGATTGATGGCACTGTTCAAGTGTTCTACATGTTTGGTAATTTCTTGTTTATTTGTTATATTAATTATTGAAAGAATCTCTGACTGTAATTGTGGATTTTCTATTTCTCCTGGCAGTTCTATCAGTTTTTGTTTTATATATATTTTGATATTTTGAGCTTTTATTTATTTTTTTTGAGATGGAGTCTCGCACTGTCACCCAGACTGGAGTACAGTGACATGATCTCAGCTCACTACAACCTCTGCCTCCTGTGTTCAAGTGATTCTCCTTCCCTCAGCTACCCGAGTAGTTGGGATTACAGGCACCCACTATCATGCCCAGATAATTTTTGTATTTTTGGTAGATATGGGGTTTCACCATGTTGGCCAGTCTGATCCCAAACTCTGGACCCCAAGCAACCCACCTCCCTCGGCCTCCCAAATTGCTGGGATTACAGGTGTGAGCCACCATGCCTAGCCTTCAGTTTTGTTTTATGTGGTGAAACTTTAGTATTGTTATGTCCTCTTGATGAATTGATCTCTTTATGAGATAAACTTCTTTCTTTTTGGTAATATGTTTTGCTTTGAGATCTACATTATATGATATTAATATAGTCACTCTAGCTCTTTTTTGATGAGTATTAGCATGGTATGTCTTTTTCCGTTCTTGTACTTTTATATTTAAAGTCTGTTTTTTTATAGGGAGCATATAATTTGTGTGCCAGACATCATGAATTTTGTCTTATTGGGTGATGGATATTCCTCCTGGTCCTATGTGATCACCAAGTACTGTTTCCTCTAATCTTTTTGGATGATTCTTTCTCTAGCCTTGGTTAGTCTCTTCACGATAATGTGCTAAACAATATTTTGCAGACTACTTGAACGGTAGCCTCCATTTTCCTGAATGTATGGTGTCTACCCCACCCCTGCTTTTAGGATTTTTCTCATTCTCTTTGGTTTTCAGCAGGATGACTATGATGCACTTAGATGTGATTTTAACTATACTTTTTCTCCTTTAAGTTTATGTTTCCTACCAACTAAAAATATTTCATACCCTTCAATATTTTTTTCTATCCCATTTCCCTGCTCCTCTTCTGAGACTCCAAATTGTGCTGGATCATTTGATCTTGACCCAGGGCTCTCTAACATTCTGCTATAAAAATTCCTTTTCTCTCTTTGCCTCAGTTTGGATAATTCCTATTGACCACTCTTCAAATTCACTAATTCTTTCTTTCACTATGTCCAATATACTGTTAAGCCTATTCAATTAATTTTCCATTTCAGGTATTGTATTTTTCAGCTCTAGAATTTCCATTTGATTCTAATTTTAGAGGTCACATTATTCTTTTGGATTTTTTCCCATATTTTCACCCATATTAATATTTTCTTTCAGTTTCTTTCACATACTTTATAATAGTTATTTCAAATTCCATGTCCACTAATCAGCTGTGTCATCTCTTGGTCTGTATTTAGTCACATGTTTTTTTGTTGATTTTTAAATTTCACAATCTCCTACTTTTTAACATATTCTGCTATTTTTATCATATGCCAGAATTTTCATGTAAGAACTAGAAACTGAAGTTGATAATATTTTTTTTCCCAGAAATGGCTCGAATTTTTCTCTTTCAGACAGCTAGCGTAAGGGTTACTTTCTTCAGTCTGATCAGAAGTTGGACTGATTGGGGCTGGTTTACTGTTTTAGTTTGTTTTGGCTTGCATCTGGTCTTAATGTCTTGAAGGTGAGACCAGGCCTCTCCCTCCAGCAGATATTTGTGATTTAAGAACTGCAAGACTGCAAGATCTACTTCTGCTTTTCAGCCAAGCCCCCACCTTCTTCTACCATTTCTTAACTTGGAAAATGTCCAATGGGTGGGAGAATTGGTGTGGGGGAGAACTAGCTCTGGCTTCTGGCTCCAACAGATTCTAATCCTCATGCCTGCCCACATACAGATTTTAAAGTTTTGGCAGGTTTCTCGTCCCATCAAAGTTCTCTTTTACCTCCCAGACTTCATTTCCAGTCACATTGTTTTACAAGTAGCTTTTAGCACTGTGACATTTTATCTTGCATTCCTTTGCTGCTACATAAACTTTTCTTTGAACTTTTATTGTTTTGTTTCTGATATTAAGAGATCTCTTATGCCCATGATTTCTTTGTGGTTATGGAGAACTCATCTTTTTCTTGGTTGATTCCTCTTGCAATTAATATTTTATTTTATTTTGTTTTATTTTATTGTTATTATTATTTTTTGAGATGGAGCCTTGCTCTGCACCTAGGCTGGAGTGCAGTGGTGCAATCTTGGCTCACTGCAACCTCTACCCCCTAGGTTCAAGGTATTCTCCTGCCTCAGCCTCCTGAGTAGCTGGGATTACAGGCGCCCACCAGCGTGCCTGGCTAATTTTTGTATTTTTAGTAGAGACGGGGTTTTGCCATGTTGGCCAGGCTGGTCTCGAACTTTTGACCTCAGGTGATCCACCCGCCTCAGCCTCCTGAAGTGTTGGGATTACAGGTGTTAGCCACTGGGCCTGGCTGCCATATATATATATATATATGTTTTTTTTTGAGACAGGGTCTCACTGTATCACCCAGGAGGAGTGCAGTGGCTCCATGTCAGCTCACTACAACTCTCCACCCTCACCCCCTAGGCTCAAGCTTCCCACCCCAGCCTCCCCAGTAGCTGGGACCACAGATGCAGACCACCATACTCTGCTTTTTTGTTTTGTTTTGTTTTGGAATTTTTGGTAGAGATAGAGTCTTGCCATATTGCCCAGGCTGGTCTTGAACTCCACAGCTCAAGCCCTCTGCCCACCTCAGCCTCTCAAAGGGCTGGGAGAACAGGCATGAGGCACTGCACCTGGCCACAATTGATATTTTAAAAAACGTACCTTTTCATCACATCCTATTCCTCTCTTCCTCACTTTTTTGGGGGATAGGTCTCATGTGTTAAACTTTTTTTTTTTTATCAATGATAAATTTTGAATCCACCCAATTCATTCACTGAAGAGTCTGGACCACTCCACGGCTTTGATTTGTTTTGTTGTTTCAAACTCTCTAATGCAAATATCTGTTTCATTTTATTTTATTGTTTGCATTGTGGGCCTATTCCCCATCATATTTTGTGCTCATCGTGGCTCACAGCAACACTTTTTCATTCTTAACCTTTTTGTGCAGTGCCAATGTCTAGCCCTCCTGTTTCACCTTTCTCACCTCTAGTTCAGTCATCTCTCTGGCTAGGTCATGAAGAACTAGAATGATTTGTCCGTGAAGTTTCACCTTCAGCTCCATTTTCCCAACCATTCTGAGGGGTCAGATTGGGTTACCACGGGGCCTCTCCCATGGCCTGACTATATCCCTGGATTTTGTCCTGATCAGAGATTATTTATTTATTTTTGTAGGCCTTTTATATCTGTGACATTTATTTGCAAGGAAATTGGTTTCCTGCTTGATGTCCTACAAGGTATTTGTTGGGATTCAGCCTCACCCAAAATAATGATTATGATGACAATAGCAGCTACTCAGTACCAGGAGCACTGCTTACCTCATCTCTAATCCTCCCTGCAGTCCTGAGTGGTAAATATTATCTCTATTTTGCAGATACATTTTATTTATGCCCCACCATGTTCCAGGATGGTTTATAGGAGGTTTTATAATAATTTATAAAATATAGCATAGTCATGAAAGGTAAAGGCAAAGAAAATATCCTTTCAAAAGCAGTGTGGAAATAAAGTCTCATAGAGCTTCAGAGCCTTGCCTGTGCCCATGGAAGTATGAAGTAGCAGAAGTGCCGTTTGAACCTGGGTCTTCCAGCTGCTAAGAGCTGTGACCTTTGTACTAAGCCAGACTGACTCAGGCTGGTGAATAAGATGAGACAGGTAAGTGTTGGAGGGAAAACGTCATGTCCGACAGGCCGTCCAAAGTTGGGCTTTGACCGTCAATGCCAGGCTGGGCTCCGGTATCACTCCAGTCATGAGGACCACAGTCGGGGTCAGGAGAACCACAATGCAAAGTGCTGTACTGGGACTCAGGACACCTGGGTGCTTCTCCCAGCACCACAACTCATTGCAATAAATAATCACTGAGTTCTTTACAAAGCCATTCTATGGTATTTATTGAGCACCTGCTGTGGACAAAGCAAGCAAGGGTGAGCAAGGGCTGGGGAGTCCAGATATAAACAAGCCAGGCATCATCTCTGCCCTCAAGGAGCTCAGAGTCTAGTGGTTAAGGCAGATATTAAAGAAATATACAGTTAGCCATGGATTCGACCAACCATGAATTGAAAATATTCAGAAAAAGAAGTGTCTGCACTGAACATGTATGGACTTTGTTTCTTGCCATTATTCCCTAAACAATGCAGTATAACAACTATTTACATAGCATTTACATTGTATTAGGTATGACAAGAAATATAGAGATGATATAAAGTATACAAGAGGATGTGCGTAGGTTATATGCAAATACTATGCCTTTTTATTAATATATAAGGAACTTAAACATCTAAGGATTTTGGTATCTGTAGGGCATCCTGGAGCCAGTCCCCTATGGATACCAAAGGACAACTATACACACATAAGAAACAAATTATGAGTTTTATGAGGGAAAATAATTAAATCCATGAAGGAGACTGTCATAGGGCTAATTTGGGTTGGGAAGAGAGGTCAGGGAAGGGCTCTCTGAAGAAATGCCATATGAGTGGAGACATTTTAGTTGACACCCATTATTATTTATTTCTTTGATAACACAGCACGGATTCTTTTGGATAAATCCATTCCATGTGGATTGGATGAGGTTTGCCTATTAGTCTGGGAAGTGGGCATGTGACTCAGACCTGGCCAATCACAATGCTGTAATCCTCTGGCCGCAGCGATGATTCAGGGGTAGGCAAGGGCCTGAGAGAAACCAGAATGCTGTAGGTAGGATGCTGTGTTTCCAAACAGTTTCACTCATAATCACATGAGTCCAGGCCTGGACCCACACAGAGCAAGACAGAACAGCAATGGCATACTTTAAACCCCAACCCAGCCTTACTTGAAGCCTGACTTTTTAGTTACATGAACCAATGAGTTTCCTGCTTTGGGGGCACTAAGCTACATTGGGTTAGGTTTCTGTTACTTGTAGCTGTATAGATCTGAAAAAGAGTAGAAATTAGATGCACAGACATTGGGAGGGAGTGTTGCACACAGAGGTACCAGCCTGTGTGAGGGGCTGAGGAAAAAAAAGCTGGACATCACCGAGTCAAAGGCCAGTACAGCTGGAGTGAGTGGATGAAGGAGACAGTCAGTGGGCTGTGGGCTTGTGCACTACACAACGTTGCTTGAATAAAGGGTGAAGGGAATTGGGCTGAACTGTGTTGAATAGCATCCCCCATGCTGCCTCAGAAGGCAAGGAAAGATTTTTTCTCAGAGCCTTCAGAGGCATCATGGCCCTGCCGACACCTTGATCTTGGACTTCTGGCCTTCAGAACTGTGAGCAAATAGCTGTTGTTTTAAGCCATTGGGTTGGTGGGACTACGTTACAGCAGCCCTAGGGAATGACTGTGGTGGCAAATAGCTCAGCTTCTTTGGCCCTGGATGGGACAACTCTGAGGCACTACAAAACTCAGGTTGCAACCTTATTTGGAAATAGAGTCTTTGCAGGTGCAATTAGTTAAGACGAGGTCATACTGTCTTAGGGAAGGCCCTAAACCTAATGACTGTTGTCACTACAAGGAGGCCATATGAAGACACAGAGAGACACACGAAGAAGGCCATACAGCAGCCAAGGCAGAGCTGGAGTGACGAACCTGGAACCCAAAGAACACCAAAGAGTGCCAGCCGCCACCGGAAGCCAGGAAAAGACAAGGAAAGATTTTTCCTAGAGCCTTTGGAGGCAGCGTGACCCTGCCGAAACCTTGATCTTGGACTTGCAGCCTTCAGAACTGTGAGCAAATGTTTACTGTTTTAAGCCACCGGGGGGACTTCATTACAGCCGCTCTAGGGAATGACTATGATGGGAAATATCCCAGCTTCCCTGGCCCTGGATGGGACAACTCTGACACATGCTTCTCATAGTCCCTTGCCATTTCCAGCAGGACTGAGCCCCAGCTGTCCACAGGGTAACCTGCTCATTAATGTGCTATATTAGTCCATTTTCACACTGCTGATAAAGACATACCTGAGACTGGGTAATTATAAAGAAAAGAGGTTTAATTGACTCACAGTTCCACATGGCTGGGGAGGCCTCACAATTATGGCAGAAGGCAAGGAGGAGCAAAGTCACATCTTACATGGTGGTGGGCAAGAGACAGAGCTTGTGCAGGGGAACTCCTCTTTATAAAACTGTCAGAGCTCGTGAGACTTATTCAATATCAAGAGAACAGTATGGGAAAGACCCGCCTCCATGATTGAGTTACTTCCCACTGGGTCCCACCCATGACACGTGGGAATTGTGGGAGCTACAATTCAAGATGAGGCTTGGGTGGGGACACAGTCAAACCATATCATGTGCCTTATGCTTTCCTCTCCTGCACTCTCCCACTCCCTCACTTTGCTTCCTGGAATCATCTTCCAAGTAAACTACTTGTTCCCAGATGCTTGTCTTAGGGTCTGCTTTTGGAGAATCCCAGCTAAGACAGATGTCATGTAAGCTGGTGGAGAGAGGCTTAGGATGTAGCCATCATGGTCTATTTGTTTATTTATTTATTTAGAGATGAAGTCACCCAGGCTGGAGTGCAGTGGTGTGATCTTGGCTCACTGCAACCTCTGCCTCTGGGTTCAAGTGATTCTCCTGCCTCAGCCTCCTGAGTAGCTGGAATTACAGTCATGCGCCACCACACCTGGCTAATTTTTGTATTTTTAGTAGAGAATACAAAAATTTAGTATTTTTGTATTCACCATGTTGGCCAGGCTGGTCTCGAACTCATGATCTCAGGTGATCCACCTGCCTTGGCCTCCCAAGGTGTTGGGATTACAGGCGTGAACCAGCATGCCCAGCCCTCATGGTCTTTTTAGATGGGTTAATGAGTTTGGATTTAATCCTCAGTGTCATGGGAAACCATAGGAAGGATTTGAGCAGGGAGTGATGTCTGATATTCATTTCTCAAGGATCCCATTGGCAGCTGTTTGTAAAATGGCTTGTAGGGCACTAGAGCCCCGACAGGGAGACCCGTTGCAGTGGTCCTCCTTTTTCTAATTCATAATCTGGGGCCAAAGACTCTAGTGGGAATGGGGTAAGATGCACATAGGCTCGGCAAGATGCAATTTTCTCCCCATGAATCTTGGGGACCTCTTGTTATGCTGCAGGCTCTCTTAGTTAAGACTCAACTGCTAAGTAATTCTCATTACCTCTCCTCGCTGACAGGCAATGAACAGCTGTCAAGCATGTCTTACAAAACAAGACAATTTTCCCCCCATTAATGTAGCTCAGGATTGAGAAGAGCAGAGGAGCACACATCGCGGTAACCGAGCTTCCCGGCAGTGTCTCGGCCAGCCCCATTTTCCAGTGAGCAATAATTTCTCCTGCTGCCCTAGGAGGTAGGAGGTAGAGGTGCGAACAGGGAACTAGGAAGGGGTGACCTTTGGGATCTCCCTCCCATTTGGGTTCCCGTTGACCTTTCGGAAAGAAACCTTCTAACTGCAACACCTTTGGAATTTGTGTGTAATTTGCATCTGCAATTGGATGGGATATGTGGAGCACACTTTCACCTGAGACTGTAAAATAATTGCAATTAGAAGGAAGATTCTCTGATCCAGAGTCTAAACACTGAAAGGGCGATGAATGATGATCTAGATATAGACAACTCCAGGCCCACAGTAGGTGCTCAGTAAATCCACCCATCTGTCATCCTTTCTCCATTCCTTTCTTTCTTTCTCCTTTCCTTCCTGCCTTTCCTCCCCACCCACCTTATTTGCAATGCTGGAATCACCTCTTCTATATGCCCATTAAGTGGTGTCCTGTCTCATCTTGAATACTGCCAGTGACAGGGAAGTCACTCCTCATTCCATTCCAGTTCAGCTCTGGCAATGAGAAAATTCACTTTTTAGTTTTGTATTTTTATTTATTTATTTGTTTGTTTGTTTGTTTGTTTTTGAAACGGAGTTTCAAAACTCTTGTCTCCCAGGCTGGAGTGCAATGGTGCTATCTTGGCTCACTGCAACCTCTGCTTCCTGGGTTCAAGTGATTCTCCTGCCTCAGCCTCCCAAGTAGCTGGGATTACAGGCACCCGCCACTACACCTGGCCAATTTTTTTAGAGAGACAGGGTTTCACCATGTTGGCCAGGCTGGTCTTGAACTCTTGACCTCAGGTGATCTGCCCGCCTCGGCATCCCAAAGTGCTGGGATTACAGGCGTGAGCTGCCACATCCGGCTGAAAATTCACTTTTTAAATGCCAAGATAAACTTACCTCCTTGTAGCTCCCTCTTACTGGATCTAATTGTGCTCCCCAGTGGCCTCACAAAGTATGTCTTGTCTGTCTTCTACCTAAGTGTCCTCTGAACATTTGAAAAGAGTGCTCAAATTCCTAACAGTCTCTCTCTTTCTCTCTCTCTTTTTTTCCCTTTAAGCTAAAGGAAAACAGTTTCTCAACCTTTCTGTTTGCTCTCCTACCAACAATTTCCCATAGTCTTTATCTCTTTTGAAATGGTGGCCTTGACTGCAGGTGTGTGATCTCACCAGTAGGAACCAGGCTTGGCATGTCACCTCCTTTCCCTTGAACAATGCACCTCTATTGATGCAACCTGAGGTAACATTAGTCTTTAAAATTTTTTTATTTTTAGTTTTCTGGCAGTTCCACTTTACACTGCTAGCTAGTGTTTAGCTTAACATTGATGAAAAATCCTTAAGTCAGCGGCTGAGGAGCCAAATGCTGTCACAGGCAAGACAGGTAAGGCAAATAAGTGAAACATTCTGGGTGAGGCTTGTTGTGACATAAAGAGTTCATGCCCTTTTCATAGTGGGCAGCAGCTCGCAGCTCTAGCAGATTGTTGCTATGCAGAGTGTAGGCTCAGTGTTAAAAATTAGAAGCTTCCACATAAAAATCCAGACTACAACTTCTTTAAAAAAAAAAAAAAAGAACCCAGAGATCTGGCAACCTTGTGTTCATATTCCAGCATAGCTGGAGATGAGTTGTGGTTGCCAGAAACCCTTGGGCAATCCTGCAGAAGAAGCCAAGAGGGCACAGGGCCACCTTCCATGTGACAGTGCTGATCTAATCCATGAGCAAACAGCGTGGACCAAAACAGTCCCCAGGAGAGGCTGGTGCAGGAAGGCTCAGACACTGTGTTCTCTGACATAATTTATGTAAGTTATAATAGGGGGAGAGGCTCAGTCTGGGTTGTTCTGGAGTCTCAGCATCTTGCACTTTATTATGAGAAATTTTGCAAGCTTATTACTTTGTAGTAATAACTATGTTCTGGCAGAGAATGGAAGGGGAGATGTGATAAACAAATGTATGAAATATATGCTACAGAATTAGGGAGAGAGAAGGGCCAGGATAGAAGGTAAAACAGGAAGAGGGAAGAAGACTAGAGGTGAGGATGGGGTGGGGAGACCTGATTTAGATACAGAGGTTAGGGCATCTGACTTATAGCTAGAGGTCTGATTGGAGGGAGTGAATATGAGTATTTAGGCAGTAGAGCCAGGCGTGGTGGTGCACACCTGCAATTTCAGTGCTTTTAGGAGGCTGAGGATCGCTGGGGGCCAGGAGGTCAAGGCTGCAGTGAGCTGTGAATGAACCACTGCACTCCATCCTGGGTGACAGAGCAATACCTTATCTCTTAAAAAAAAAAAAAAAGCATGTTTAGGCAGCAGGTGCGAAGGCCCTGAGGTCAGCATGCTCTTGGTGTATTTGCAGGCCGTGAGGAACCTTGACCACAAAGCATGGTGAGGAATGGGGTGGTGCTGGCACATGAGGTGGGAGGAGAGGGCAGGGGCCATGTCCAGTAGGATCTGGGTGCTTGTGGTGAGGAGTGTGATGTGAGGTCCTTGGCAAGGTTGGGCAGCAGCAGAAGATAATCTAACACTCTGTCTTTTGCGTGTAAAATAACATACAGATACACATGGAAGGGAAAGATGGGTCAGGAGCTACCGTGATGTGTCCAGGTGAGAGGTGATGGTGGCCTGGACCAGGTGTGGAGGTGGGGGTGGAGAGACATGGTTGGATTCTGGATGTTGACTTGCTGATACGTGGGACCTGGGATACCAAAGAGAGAGAAGGAAGAGTTGAGAATGACTGCAAGACTTTTGGCCCGAATAACTGGATGGAGGAGAAATAACAGATGAGGAAGACTGTGGGAAGAGCAGATTTGGGGGCTATGGGCATTTTGGGGGGCAGCGGGGGACTGAATTGGGGAATTTAGAGACAAGGAAATGTGGTCCTGGGACATCATCACTGACAGTTGGGTATTGCAGAGGGAGAAAGAGTGACTCAGATATGTCCCTGGATGTCAGTTACAGACTTGTATCAGTTTCCTGTTGGTGCTGTAACAAGTCACCACAATCTTAGTGGCTTAAAACAATATAGATTTGTTATCTCACAACTCTGGAGAGGCAGGCATCCAAAATGGGACTCACTGGGCTAAAGTTAAGCTGTTGGCAGGGTTGGGCTCCTTCTGAAGGCTCCAGGGAGGGTCTGTGGCCTCAGCTTTTCTGGCTTCTAGACGCTGCCTGAATTCCTTGGCTCTCCTTCCATCTCCAAGGCCAGCAATGCAGGTGGAGTGCTTCTCACTCAGACTTGGACCATCTTGCCTCCCCTCTCCATTGTAAAGATCTCGTGATCACAGTGGGCCCACCTGGATAGTCCAGGATTCTCTCCCCATCTCAGGATCTTTATCTTAACCACATCTACAAAGTCTCTTTGCCACGTAAGGTGACACATTCAGGGGGTCTGGGGATCAGGAAGTGAACATCTTTGGGGACATTATTCTGTCTACCACACAGATAAACCTGTTTCTTCATGCTGCTCCCTAGGATGAGGTAGGAGTGCAGCTGTGCGGTCTCCTATTCATCTCAGACCTCTAAAGCACCTTAGGGAGGAAGATCTCACTGCAGTAGGCTGATAACCCAGTGTAACAAAAACCTGTTTAATTACAGAATAACACTGTCTTTAGTAGAGAACAAAAGGGACATTATTGAAAAATCCCTTGACTAACCTGTACCTTTTGGAGCTACACATCATGAGGCTTTTTACAAAATGCCTCATAAAATTACCTATGAATTAAATTGAGATCTATCTGGGAGAAGGCTGTAAATTTCCCTCAAACAAGCAGCTATCTCTTTCAGCTGAAACTTGTCTTTCTAGGTTGCCCCAGTCCCCACCACTCCATATTGTCTCAGCCCTGGTTATGCATTTATGTCAGCTGCTTGGCTCTCAAGAGCATTTGTGTTCATGACTCCTCGCTTAAAATTATTCTGCACGGAAGTTGATGATGGAGTTGTGTTTAACCTCAAGATGTGACTTAGCTGTGTGATCCCAGCAAATCAGGAATCATCTCTGAGTCTCAGTTTCCTTGCTGGTGAGATGTGAACGCTGCTGTGGTGGGGAGTAAGGGGGAGGGAGGCAGGCTTTATGACAGCTATGAGCATTTACTCATTTACTATGAGTCAGACAAGTAAGACTGAATCTCCATGCTATAGTTTGCTACCCACGTTCTTTTATTTTTATTTATATATTTATATATTTATTTATTTGTTTATATGTTTTTAATTTCAGTAGGTTTTTGGGGGAACAGGTAGTGTCTGGTTACATGAATTTACATGAATAACTTCTTTCATTTTTTGAGATGGAATCTTACTCTTGTTGCCCAGGCTAGAGTACAGCGGCACGATCTTGGCTCACTGCAACCTCCATCTCCCGGGTTCAAGTGATTTTCTTGCCTCAACCTCCCCAGTAGCTGGGACTACAGGCGGCCACCACCATGCCCGGCTAATTTTTGTATCTTTAGTAAAGATGGAGTTTCACCATGTTGGCCAGGCTGGATCTGCAAGCCTCGGCCTCCCAAAGTGCTGGGATTACAGGCATGAACCACCGTGCCCGTCGAATAAGTTCTTTAGTGGTGATTTCTGAGACTTTGGTGCACGCATCGCTCAAGCAGTGTACACTGTACCCAATGTGTAGTCTTTTATCCCTCAGCACCCCCGACCCTTTCCCCTGAGTTCCCAAAGTCCAATCTATCATTCTTATGCCTTTTTGTCCTTATAGCTTAGCTCCCACATATGAATGAGAACACACAAAATTTGATTTTCCATTCCTGAGTTTCTTCACTTAGAATAATAGTCTCCAGTTCCATCCAGGTTGCTGCAAATGCCATTATTTCCTTTTCTTTTTATGGCCGAGTAGTATTTCATGGTGTGTTTGTGTGTATATATATATGTGTGTGTGTGTATATATATATGTATATATGTGTGTGTATATATGTATACATGTGTGTATATATACATGTATATATATGTGTGTGTTTATATATATATAAATGTGATATATATATATCACATTTTCTTTATTTACTTGTTGATTGATGGGCATTTGGACTGGTTTTGTATTTTTGCAATTGCAAATTGTGCTGCTATAAACAATCCAAATCGGTAAAGAGGAAGTCAAATTGCCGCTGCTCGCTGATGATATGATTGTGTACCTAGAAAATCCCAAACACTCATCCAAAAAGCTCCTAGAACTGGTCAATGAATCCTGCATTCATTCATTCATTGTTCAACAAATACTCGTTGGGTCCTTTCTAAATGTGTCAGGCACTGTGCAGGGTGTTAGAGAAACATCAGTGAACAAAAGGGATAAAATCTCTTCCCTCATGGGACTCACACTTTAGTGGGATGTG
Source organism: Homo sapiens (assembly GCF_000001405.40). Lineage (NCBI taxonomy): Eukaryota > Metazoa > Chordata > Mammalia > Primates > Hominidae > Homo > Homo sapiens. The sequence continues at coordinate 9,369,126 of NC_000016.10, forward strand.
TGTAGTGCATGATGACATAATTGTAGCACCCATTGTATGCAAATAGGAAAGGAGGCTGGCATGATGTCAGGCCAGTGTCACAGCCCCTCTGAGTCTGTTTCCTTTCCCTTAAATGACTTTGATAGGTCTTTCTCTTAAATGACTTTTTTTTTTTTTTTTTGAGACGGCGTCTCGCTCTGTCGCCCAGGCTGCCACGCTGGAGTTCAGTGGCAGGATCTCGGCTCACTGCAAGCTCCGCCTCCCAGGTTCACGCCATTCTGCTGCCTCAGCCTCCCAAGTAGCTGGGACTACAGGTGCCCGCCACCACACCTGGCTAATTTTGTTTTTGTATTTTTAGTAGAGACGGGGTTTCACTGTGTTAGCCAGGATGGTCTCGATCTCCTGACCTCGTGATCCGCCTGCCTTGGCCTCCCAAAGGGATTAAATGACTCTTGTAGGCCTTTCCTCTTACCGACGTTGTAAGCATTGAATAAGAGGGTGTTGTGAGTTGAATTGTATCATCTCCAGATGCATCTACTGATGTTCTAACCCCTGGAAATAGGACCTTACTGGAGATCTTGTCTTCACAGAAGTAATGAAGTTAAGTTGAGGCCATTTGGGTGGGCTTTAATCAGTAAGACTGGTGCTTTTATAAGAAGTGGAAATTTGGATACAGAGACATGCACAGAAGGAAGTGAAGAGATCCAGGGAGAAGACAGCAATCTACAAGCCAAGGAGAGAGGCCTGGAACAGAGTGGAGTCTCCCCCATAGCCCTCAGAAGGAATCACCCCTGCTGACACCTTGATTTTCAACTTCTGACCTCCACAGCTGGGAGAGAATAAATTTCTGTTGTTTGAGCCACCTTGTTACAAAACTCCAGCAAACCAATACAGAGGGTTTCTGTAAAGTGTTGATCTCAGTGTCTGGCAACTATGAAGTATTGCACTGGACAAATGGAGGTTGTAAGAATAACAGAGGTAAATGATTGCCTGGCCCCTAGCCAACCCTTATTCCATGCTACTCCCTCCCTCTCACTTTAACAAGGTTTGTTATAAAGGAAACTCCCAGTCAAATCCCTGTGGTCACTCCTCCGACCGCTCCCACCTCTTTGCCGCCTTTTCTCAGATAGGTTGCTTCAAGCCAAAAGCACTTCTCCCAGCAGTTCTGACTTGATGAAGTTATCTTGTTTCAGGGCTGAGCAGAGCTTTCCATGACAATAGCTCTCTGGGGGAAACGAAGCCAGCTGTCACATCGCTGCCTGACACTTTGCTATCACACATTTTCTTCCAGGTCTCCTTGTCCGACAGCTTCTTCACAAGTGGCTCCGTGCAGGGCCTCCATGACCTCGAATGACTGATTGCCACCTAAGCGGGCAGTTGGGCTGCATTATCACAGCTGTTACAAGGAAAGAGAGGGTTGTAATCCCTCTTCCCCAAATGACAGACTGCTTGTTAGACACAGAATGGTCACTGTGGCTTGTAAGATGTGGGTGGGGAAGAATAATCCATTTATAGAAAACCACAGACTGACAACCTCTCCTTCTTGCTGTTCCCTGTCTCCTTAAACCTGTTTTCTCTGCCCACTTATCGGATCATACGGATTCTGAAATGTGTCTGACATCCAATGGCAACTAGCAATGTGCAACCAAAAGTTATTTCTTGGCCTGGCATGGTGGCTCATGCCTGTAATCCCAGCACTTTAGGAGGCTGAGGCAGGCGGATCACCTGAGGTCAGGAGTTTGAGACCAGCCTGGCCAACATGGTGAAACCCTGTCTCTATTAAAAATACAAAAATTAGCTGGGTGTGGTGGTGGGTGTCTGTAATCCCAGCTACTTGGGAGGCTGAGGCAGGAGAATCACTTGAACCCAGGAAGCAGAGGTTGCAGTGAGCTGAGACGGTGCCATTGCATTCCAGACTGGGCAACAAGAGTGAAACTCTGTCTCAAAAAAAAAAAAAAAAAAAAAGTTATTTCTTGCCTGGCCAGGATACCTCAACCACTGCTTAAAACACCTACTATATACCAGACATATAAAACCATTTATTGATCTATAAACATTTATTGAGTTTGTATGGTAGTGATTCGAATGAGTGAAGGTGTCAATAAGAGATACCAACTAAAAGCAGCTTGACGAAGTCATTATATGAAGAAGACACTTGCACATGTGTGTTTACAGCAGCGTAATTTACAATTGCAAAGATGCGGAACCAACCCAAGTGCCCATGGATTGAGTGGCTAAAGAAAAACGTGGTATATATACACCACGGAATATGACTCAGCCATTAAAAGGAATGAAATCATGTCTTTTGCAGCGACTTGGATGGATCTGGAGGCCATTATTCTAAGTGAAGTAACACAGGAGTAGAAAACCAAAAACCGCATGTTCTCACTAAAAGCGGGAGGTTGAGCTATGAGTACGCAGAGGCATACAGAGTGGTATAATGGACTTCAGGGACTTTAAAGTGTGAGAGTGTAGGGGGGCCAGGGATGGAAAAAACCTACACGTTAGGTACAATGTACACTACTTGTGTGATGAGTGCACTAAAATCTCAGAATTCATCACTATATAATTCATTTATGTAACCAAAAACCACTTGTACCCCAAGAACTATTGAAAATAAATAGATAAAAAATTAAAAAGTGTGCTGTAAAAGAAATTAAAAGCAGCTTAACTAATGACACATTATTTCTCACGTAACAGAACTCGAGAGGAGTTGGATCCAGGGTTGATTCCATGGCGCCTGGGCTCCGCATCAGCCTCTCTTAGCCTTTTTTGCCTTCTCCCTCTCGGAGCCAAAATAGCTGCTGCTGCACCGTCATCACGTCTTTCATGTCAGTGTCCAGAGCAGTAAGGCAGTTCGAGAATGGCTGTTGGGTGGCAATCACAAATGTCTGGGGCATGTGCCATGTGCTAGTCATTTTTCTAGGTGCTGATGTTTTGCTTCTTCTAATCCTGAGCAACATACTCTGGGAAGGTGTCATCTTTGAGATGTTAAGTGATTTGTCTAAGGCCATAAGCTAGTAAGTGGCATGATGGGAATTTAAGTCTAGGTTTACCTGACTCCAAAAAGTCTGTGTTCATTCTACCAAGATCTAGCAGTGTCTAGATCAGGGTTTCTCAATCTGAGCACTATTGACATTTTGTGCTGGACAGTTCCTTGTTGTAGGGGGCTGTCCCATGCATTGCAGGATGTTCAGCAGCTTCTGTAGAACCTATCTATTAGATGCCAGTAGCACCCCCTCAGCTGTGACAATCAAAAATGCCCCCACACATTGCCAAATGTTCAGATGCTGCAAAAATCACCTGCAGTTAAGAGCCATTGCCCTATGGAGTACTCTTTCTGTCAAGGCTCAATATAAAATTGCATAAAGCTGGACGCGGTGACTCACACCTGTAATTCCAGCAATTTGGGAGGCTGAGGTAGGCACACTTGAACTCCTGAGTCCAGGAATTCAAGCTGGGCAACATGGCGAAATCCTGTCTCTACTAAAAATACAAAAAATTAGTCAGGCGTGGTGGTGTGCGCCTGTAATCCCAGCTTCTCAGGAGGCTGAGGTGGGAGAATTGCGTGAGCTCAGGAGGGCAAGACTGCAGTAAACTGAAATTGTGCCACTGCACTCCAGCCTGATCAACTGGAGTGAGATCCTGTTAAAAAAAAAAAAAAAAAAAAAAAAAAAAAAAAAAGCCTGAGTCCTGAGCCTTTAACCTGGTGACCAACATGCTCCCTGCTCTGGCACTCAGTATGGAGTTTTCAAAATACATTCTCTAATTTGGTATGATTGATGGCTGTAGAGGGGGTGAGTGAGAGATAAATGGACCACAAACAGGCTGGCTATTGACACTATGTCACAGTGACACTGCTGAGGGATGTTTTATAGGTTAACTCTTAATTTTAACCTTCACATCAATCTCACGACACAAGTACTATCCTTCCCCCCGATCTTTAGATGAGGAGAATGAATTGAGAGCCATGAAGTTACTTGCTCGAAGCTACACAGCTGGAGTGTGGCCCATGGCAGAGTCTGTCTGCAGAGGGCCCCCTCAAGCCTTGCTGTCTCCATAGCACCTCTGTGCGTGAGTTACTGTCAGCTCTGATTTTCAAAGAGGAAACATGCGAGAAGACACTCAGTCCCAAATTAGTGCTTTGAATAATTCACAAGGCACTTTCAGGTGTTCAGGCCCGGGGACTTTCAGGAGACCTGGTGTTATGGACTGAAAGTCTGTGTCTTCCCAAAATTCATAGGTTGAAGCCCTAACCCCCAGTGTGATGTTGTTAGGAGGTTGGGCCTATGGGAGGTGATAAGGTTTAGATGAGGTCATGAGTGTGGGGCCCCCATGGTGGGGGGGGCGGGATTAGTGTTTTCATAAGAAGAGGAAAAGAGACAGACTCTTCCTCTGTCTCCACCACGTGAGGACACAGCAAGAAGGCGGCTGTCTGCAAGCCAGGAAGAGAGTCTTTATCAAAACCCAATCCTCCTGGCTTCCTGATCTTGGACTTCCTGCCCTTCACAATAAGTGCCTGTTGTTTAAGCCACACATTCATGGTGTTTTATTATAGCAGCTTGAGCTGACTAGGGCAGTTGGTAACACAGATGAGTGACTGCAGGAGATTGGTTAATGCCAGGGCAGTGCCACACCTCATGGTCCAGGAGGGAGCAAAGGCAGAGGTGCCCCTGCTATGATGCCTGCTTGCTTACAGATTGTCTTCTTCAATCTATTCTGCACACGACTATCTACAAACAGAGAGCCCGCCAAACCAGGCGGCTGCTTAAAACCCTTCAGCGGATACTCAGTGCCGCCTGGGTAAAGCGTCTAGAACCTATCACACTCATATTTTTAATTACTTGTTGTCCATTTGTTTAATAGTGTAATGGGCATCCAGGCCCAGGGACTGGACCATACCTACGCCTCCAGCTCACTCACTTGCACCATCATAATCGTTGTGTTCCTGAGAGCAGCCTTGTTTCTCTTGGTGCCTTTGTGGATGGATGGTGGTGCTGCTGTCTGAATGCACAGCCCTATCAGTCCACCAGACAGATCCCTATTTGTCCTTTAAATATTTGCTGAGTCTCTCGTGTAGACTTCCCGGAGTCTCCTCTCCCTGATAGTTAATCTCTTCCTCCTCTGTGATGCATGCTTTCCTTGTACACGCATCTGTGTATTTTCTTTTTCCACGTTGAGTCACTCCACTGTTTCCGTCTGCCATTTGCCTGTCTCCTCCAACATGCATGCCTTCAACAAGTATTTGTTGAGCTCCTACCATTCCTGGGTACTGTGCTGGGGGCTAGAGATGCAGCTGATAACAAAACGGAGATGGGAGGTTGTCTCTGTTTTCGTGAAAACTGCAGCCTATTTGGAGGAGCCAGCATTAAACAAACAAGTAAAAAGTAATTAAAACTATGAATGTGATAGGTTCTACAAAGGAAAAGCTTACTAGGAGTGCCTCCAAATTTCCTTGTATCACTGTAGTCCAGTGGTTCTCAGCAGAGGGCAACTTTGCCTGCCAGGGAATATTTGGCAGTGTCTGAAGATATTTTGGGGGAATAGGTGCTCCTGGCATCTGGTGAGATGAGGCAGAGCTGCTGCTAAATACAGTGTATAGGACCGCACAGGACCACAATGATCTGGCCCCAGATGTTCACAGTGTGGAGATTGGGAGACCCTGCTGTAACCCCCTTCCCCAGCATAATGTCCTGTAACAGATACACCAAAAATGCTTGCTGAATAAATGGGTGAAGAAAGGAAGTCATTCAGTTGTGGTGGCCAGAGATGCCAGTGCTTCTTAGATGAGCACCTGTGAATGATTTCTCCAATCTTTGCATGGTGGGGCAGGACTTGTGTCATCGCAGGTATGGGGCTGGGTCGCTTGCACAAATACCCATGCTCAGAAAGGCCCCAGCTTGGTTGAATGCTCTGCAAAGGCCATCTTGAAATTTGTAGTAATTTTTGCGAAAGGGTCCTGCATTTTCACTTTGCACTGGGTCCCATAAATTATGTAGCTGGTTCCAGGGTGGGGTGTGTGAGGAAGGGGGCAAATAATGAAACCTCTGAGCAGGAGGTTAAAAGAGGGAGGTGACAGTGAAGCCTCCAATGAGAGTAGCGGAGGTGTATAACCCTCTCTGTGATGTCTCAGGTCTGAACCCAGAGTCTGGAGCTTAAAATTTTAATTTAATTTTTTATCTTTTTTTTTTTTCTTTTTTTGAGACAGGGTCTCACTTTGTCACCCAGGCTGGAGTGCAGTGGCTTGATCTTGGCTCAGTGCACCCTCGACCTTCTGGGCTTGAGCAATCCTTCTTCCTCAGCCCCCCAAGTAGCTGAGACTACAGGCATGCACCACCATGCCTGGCTAATTTTTCTGTATTAATTGTTTAAGTTGGCACATTATAACTATACATATTTGTGGGGCACACAGTGATGTTTTGATGTATATAATGTATAATGATTACATCAGGGGAACTAGTATATCCATCATCTCAAGCATTTATCATTTCTTTGTGTTGGGAAAGTTCAATATCATCCTAGCTATTTGGAACTTATGTTATAGTCATCATACAGTGCTATAGAACACTAGGACCTACTGCTCCCTTCTAGATGGAATTTTTAATAAATCTCCTTTAATAAATCTCTCCCTATTCCTCCTCTTTCCCTACTCTTCCCAGCTTCTAGTATCCTCTGCCCTACTCTTTACTTTTATGACATCAGCCTTGTTAGCTTTAACATATGAGTGGGAATGTGTAGTATTTAACTTTCTGTGCCTGGCTTATTTCACTTAGCATAATATCCTCCAGTTTCATCCATGCTGCCATGAATGACAGGATTTTCTCCATTTTTATGGCTCAGTAGTATTCCATTGTGTATAGGTACCCCATTTGCTTTATTCATTCATCTATTGTTGGACACCTAGGTTGATTCCACATCTTGGCTCTTGTGAACAGTAGAGTCCAGTTTCGACATCTATAGGAAGCTCTCTATCTGTCATCCTAGACCTGCCCCTTTCTCAGGCTTCTGCACCCTGGAAATGGTGCCTTCTTTTAATGTTTGTTAAGGAGAATTTTAATCGTAGATTAATACAACCTTGGAGTGAATGGTGCAATGAAAACCCATGGACCCATCACTCACCCTCAACAGTGATCAACGTGTGGCCAATTCTTTTTTCATTTCCAGCTCCCAAAAGGCTTCCCCTCCCATACTATTTTAGATAAATGCCAGAATTATATAATTTCATTTTATTTATAGTTATTTAGAGACAAGTTCTCACTGTCATCCAGGCTGGGGTAGAGTGGCATGATCATGGCTCACTGCAGCCTTGACCTCCTGGGTTCAAGTGATCCTCCCGCCTCAGTCTCCTGAGTAGCTAGGACTCTAGGCACGCATCATCATGCCTGGCTAATTTTGATTTTTCGTAGAGATGGGGGGTCTCATTTTGTTACCCAGGCTGGTCTCAAACTCGAGCACTCCTCCCGCCTCAAACTCCTGAAGTGCTGAGATTATTACAGGTGCGAGGCACTGTGCCCAGCCCTCATGCGTTTATTAATGTTAAATAATTGGGTGACTTTATTATTTTTTATTTATTTATTTTTCGTAAGGGACAGGACCTTGATCTGTCACCCTGGCTGGAAGGCAATGGCATGATCATAGCTAACTACAACCTCAAATTCTGGGATCCAAGCAATCCTGCTGCCCCAGCCTCCAAAGTAGCTGGGATTACAGGTGTGCACCACCATACCCAGCTAATTTTTAAATATTTTTTAGAGACAGGGTCTCACTGTATTGCCCATGCTGGTTTCACACTCTTGGGCCCAAGCAATCCTCCCACTTTGGCCTCCCGAGTAGCTGGGATTAGAGGCAGGTGGCACCATGCCTGGCCATTTCATTTTTTAAAGTTTTGGCATGTATCTCTACAAGGTGAGGACAATTAAGAAATAACCAATGGCAATACCATTACCACCTCTAAAAAGTGAATGATTCTTTTATATTATGCAATATCCTGTCAGTGTCTAGGAACTAAAATAGCTTCCTCTTTCCTTCTCCCTCCTCCCACATCTAATCCATCCATGCGTCCTGCCAACTCCACACTCATCCTGAATCCATCCACTCTGCTGCCTCTCTGGGACTTCCATCCTAGCCTAGCCTGAGATGATCTCTGACCTGGACAACTGCACGTCCCTACATGGTCTGACCTTGCCTGTCTCTGACCCTACCTCCCACTAGCTTTCCCCTCCTCTCCCTCCCTATCTTCCCCTTCCAGACCAGCCACACTGGCCTCCTTGCTGGTCTATAAACATGCCCGGGACCCTGATGACCTGGGCCGCATATTAGCTGCTCCCTGGTGCAGGAATTCTCTTCAACCTGGTAGTCCCATGGCCCATCCCTCAACTCATCCAGGTCTCTGGTGTCTGTCACTTTCTCAGAGAGACCCTGCTGGCCAGCTTATCTCAACTGGCCCTTCCATGACCCCACACCACCACCCTCAGCCCTGACCGCTCTCTGAAATCAAGCCATATCATGTCGTGCTATTGGTTGTTTACTGTCTTTCTTTCCTACTGAAGCAAAGGCCTTATAACTGGGGCTTGGTCTGTCTTGTTCACTTCTGTATTTAGCACAGCCTCTAGCATCTTTTCTTTTCTTTTCTTTTTTTTTTTGAGACAGGGTCTTGCTCTGTTGCCCAGACTAGAGTGTAGGGGTGTGAACATGGCTCACTGCAGCCTCAACTTCCTGGTCTCAAGTGATTTTCTCACCTTAGCCTCCCAAGTAGCTGGGATTATAGGCATGAGTAACCACATCCAGCTAATTTTAACTTTTTCTGTAGAGACAGTGTCTTGTTGTGTTGCCAAGGCTGGTCTCAAACCCCCGGACGCAAGCGATCTTTCCACCTTGGTCTCCCAGAGTATTGGGGCTATGGGTGTGAGCCAGGCCCCTAGCATATATTCAGTTTTCACTGAATATTTGCTAAATGAATGGATTTACTTAGGGGTAGGGTGGGTTTTCCTGCCTCAGGTAGTACTGGCAGCATTGAGATAACACCAACACAAAAACAAAAATGAAGACAAATGCTGAGAACTCTCATCAAAGAATCAGCCAGGTCTGAAAAGCAGACTTAGGGGATGATTGTAAGGATGGGGCAGAGGCATTCTTTTGGGGTCAGAGACCCTACCCCTTGAAGGGAAGCTGGGAAGGAACTGAAGATGTCTTGCCTCAGTTCACCCACTCTCACCCCCTCTACCTCATCTGAATAGGCCTCTATCTTCCCCATGTAAACTAGGCTGAGAAATTCCAAGATGCGCCTGAGAACAGCCAACCCCAGTGCCCACTCCAGGACAACTGGGAAGAGGAAAAATAAAATAGGGAGAATTCTCTCTTCCACAGGTTCATTAGCTATGGCTGGAACCCAGACCCTCATGCTTGGGAAACTCTGTGGATAAAGAGTTAACAAGGTAGTGCTTTAGCAAACACCAGAATATCCTGGTACACCTGCTGAAAATGCAGGTGCCTGACCTCTCCCCCTAGACTGGTTCAGGCTATCCTTTTAGGGATCTCCAGTTTTGACCAGTGCCCCAGTTGCTGCTGGTGCAAATCGTCCCTGGCCCCACCTGGGGAACCGCCAGACTAGAGTCTGGTCTGGAGCTGGAGTCCCCTCCTTTGTTTAATGCTGGCTTCGAGAACACAGGAGATGAATTATGCAGGTCTGTGGAGACTTTCAGGAAGACCTCAGCCACCTTGTTAATTGGAGCTCAACAGAACCGAGATTGGAGGTTGGAATAAAAATAGCTGCATGCAGGTTGAAAGGTAAAATTAGCTTTGGTGTCAGGAATTTGGTTTCAAGGTTGTGCGGGAGATGGGGTGAGGAGTCAAGGAACTGCATGTTTGTGTTCTAGTGTTTGTGTGGGTCATTTGGAGCAGCTGAGGGGTAGCTCACACAGAAATCCGAACAATGAGGTCATACTAACATCCTGCATTTGTTTCCCAGGGCTGCTGTAACAATGACCACAAACTGGGTGGCTTGCATCATCGGAAATGTATTTGCTCACAGCTTGGGAGGCCAGAAGTTCAAAAGAAGGGTTGGGCAAGGCCATGTTCTTTCTGAAGGCCGTAGGGGAGAATTGGTCCTGTGCCTTCCTCTTAGTTTTGGTGTTGCAGGCAATCCTTGGTGTTCCTTGGCTTAAGGATGCGTCACTCCAGTCTCCACCATGGTGTGATTATTGGGTGTTTGTGTCTGTGTCCAAATTTTGCATTTTCCTAGGGACACCGTCCTATCAGATTAGAGCTCACCCCAATGACCTTATCTTAATTTGATGTCATTTGCAAAAAGCCTATTTCCAAATAAGGTCATATTCACAAGTCCTGGGTGTTAGGGCTTCAATATATCTTTCTGAGGGACACCATACAACCGGGAACACGTGCATTCCACAAGTATCCATTGAGCACCTACTGTATGCTCAGTGCTAGGCACTCAGGGGACATAAGAGTGTGAACAGGGCAGCCTTACCAATCTCACAGGCTAATGCCATGCCTGGTGCACTCACGTACATGAAAACATGTGCTTGCCTCAGCAGCTTATCCCTATTAAAGATGGGCAAAATCACCTGTAATCCCCACCCAGGCTTGTAGCCACCAGGGTCCATCCTGCCTTATGGCTCTGGTTCTAAGACCCTGGAGTCTCAAAAAATGAAGACTATTTTGCTGGTAGAATCTAGGAGTTTTAAGTGGTTACATGATGAAGCCCTCACCCAGAGAATCAAAGTAGTTCCTGGACTAAACCACAGAGAGAGGGAGGCTTGTCTAAAGACTACAATTTTTTTTTTTTTTTTGAGACAAATTCTTGCTCTGTCACCGAGGCTGGAGTACAGTGGTGCGATCTCGGCTCACTGCAACCTCTGCCTCTTGGATTCAGGCAGTTCTCCCTGCCTCAGCCTCCTGAGTAGCTGGGATCACAGGCGCCTGCCAACATGCCCGGCTAATTTTTGAATTTTTAGTAGAGAGAGGGTTTTGCCATGTTGGCCAGGTTGATCTTGAACTCCTGACCTCAGGTGATCCGCCTGCTTCAGCCTCCCAAAGTGCTGGGATTGTAGGTGTGAGCCACTGTGCCCAAAGACTACACATTTTAAAATCACAATCATTTCCTAAATCCTCTCCCGTTTCCCATACCTTTCCCCATGCAACATCCTTTTAGTAAGACTGGGAGGAGATGTATGCAGTGGGTACGTTCAAACTACACCTGTGCAATCCTGCATAATCTAGCCTTCTTTAATTCTGTTACTCCCTGTTTATTGCTGAATGGAGTCATTCAAACATTGGCTCAGAAAATATTTGAGCTTCTGTTTGATGCCACTTGCCAGAGATGGCAGCAGACAGAACAGACCAAGTCTTTGTCTTATGGAGTCTACATTCTTTGGAGAAGGAAAGAAAAAAACCAAGGAATGAAGGAGCCCCCTCTGTTGACTATGATCATCTCCTTATATCCTAAGAAGTCTGGTGTCCCAAATGAGCCATAACTGTCTGCCTCGTACCATCTATACCCGTGTCTTAGTCCATTCAGGCTGTGATAACAAAAATACCATACCCTAGGTGGCTTATCCACAACACAAATTTGTTGCTCATGGTTCTGGAGGCTGGGAAGTCCAAGATCAAGACACTGGCAGGTGCAGGGTCTGGTGAGGGCCCACTCTGTGGTTCACAGGTGGCAGCTTCCAGCTGTGTCCTCACATAGTAGAAGGGGGCTAGCTTGCTCTCTGGGGTTCCCATTATAATGATATTGTTGTAGTCCATTTGTGTTGCTATTGCTAAAGGAATTGTATTGCTAAAGGAATACCTGAGACTGGATAATTTATAAAGAAAAGAGGTTTATTTGGCTCACAATTCTGCAGGCTGTACAAGAAGCATGGTGCCAGCATCTGCTTGGCTTCTGGTGAGGGTCTCAGGCAGCTTCCACTCATGGTGGAAGGGGAAGGGGAGTCCATATATGAAGAGATCACAAGGCAACAGAGGAAGCAAGAGAGGGAGGGAAGAGGCGCCAGGTTCTTTTAAACAACCAGCTCTTGCAGGGACTAATAGAGAACTCACTCATTATTGTGAGGATAGCACCAAGCCATTTATGAGAGACCCGCCCCCCATAACCCAGACACCTTCCACAAGGTTCCACCTCTAACACTGGGGATCCAATTTGAACACAAGTTTTGGCAGAGACAGACAACCAAACTATAGCAGGGACTAATACCATTCATGACAGAAACATCCTCATGACCTAATCATTTTCCAAAGGCTCTACCCTCTAGTACCATCACATTGGGAGTTAGGTTTCAACGTATGCATTTTTAGGGGGCATAAACATTCAGATCATAGCAACCCGAGAGGGAAACAGGTGCTTGTGCCTTCTGCATAGCCTTCACTTAGGGAGAACTGTGCTGTGCAACAGCCACGTCTACCAGAGCAGAGGAGAGCTGTTAGGCAGGAATGGCTGCTCCAAAGCCACCTTTTCTTGAAGCTCCTAGCAACAAACTGGGAGCAGGGAACCAGGGATGAGTGTTTTCTGCCCCCTCTAGTTTCAACGTCAATTCTATTTTCATACTAGAACTCAGTGTGATTATTAAAATTATATCTCTACGCCCAGGCCTCTGTGACTCCAAGCCTATGATCTTTCCCCTAAACGGAGTTAGCTGTGCTTAACTGAGAGGCACAGGTAGAAATCATAGCCCCAGGGAGGACCAGGGCATAGCGGGATCCCCCCACCTCTCAGGCACCCACCTCCTCCCTGCCATGAATCGAACCGATCCTCCCTGGTACCTGGACCACCAACCTGCAAGTCACCCTCTGCCCCTCCTTTTTCCTTATACCCAGATTTACGTGGCCATCAAGTCTATTGCTGCAGAAATGTCCCCAGAAACTGTGACTTCCCCATTGTTCTTTTGCCACCAGCCTCTCTGGGCTGCTTGTGTCAGCTACAGCCTTCTGTCCCTCTTCTGCAATCAGCCAGTGATTCTCCCATCACACAAAATTGACCTTGGGGTTAATATAGTAGAGTCACCGTCACTGTGAGTCACTGTCACCGTGCTGAATGAGAAGCTTGTCTAGAAAGAAGGGAGAATATATCCAAGGGGCATTGAGCTCCGAAAAACCAGGGAAAGGAGCTTTGAAGGGAGGTGCCTACAGAGTAGACAGCAGGCAGGGAGGGGGCTGGGGAGGCACAAGGAGTGGACCTGAATTTATTGTGCCTTTCTCAGGGCTGAGACTAGGGTGAGGTGAGTGAGGCCTTGGATGCAAAACTTAAGGGGGTCCCTCAAACTCAGCAACCAAGATGAATAATGTTTCAATGCAATATTTTAACAAATCAAAATTAATGCAAAAAACCATGATGAGCAACATATCAATTTTAAACGAGATCATATAGGCAAAAGCTCCTAGCTCAGAACCTGGCACTTAGTAGGTATTCAAGAAATCAAAAAACAAGAATGGAAAAGTAATAATAATGCCGAATATGGCCAGCATTCTTTGAGGGACTTTGCATGTATCAACTCAATTCATCTAATCTTTACAACAACCCTACAAGGTGGATTTCATTATTTCCATTTTTAAAAAGTTCATTTTTTTCCCCTTTTTTTAAGAGACGTGGTCTTGCTCTGTCACCCAGGCTGGAGTGCAGTGGTGTGATCATTGCTCACTGTAGACTTTAACTCCTGAACTCAAGAAATCCTCCCATCTCAGCCTCTTGAGCAGCTGAGACTATGGGTATGCACCACCACATCTGGCTAATTGTTAAATTTTTTGTGATTTTTTTTTTCTGTTGCCTAGGCTGGTCTCGAACTCCTGGCCTCAAGCGATCCTCCCATCTCAGCCTCCCAAAGTGCTGGGATTACAGATGTGAACCATTGCATCTGGACTTTATTATCCCCACTTTATAGATGAGGAAAACAAAGGCATGCAGAAGTAAAAGGATTCCTTACAGTCCATACAGCAAGCAAGGGGTGGAGTCAGAAAGAAAACTCAGATCATTTGATGGCATTCATCCATAGGAAAAACCATGGATGCCTTAATGCTCATGGTGGAATAAAAAGAATTCAGAGGTTTCCATTGTTTCTCTGAGTCTTCATTTTGGATTGACCTGAACAGAATAAGGCCAGTGGGAGACATTTCCCACTGCTAGTAAATAAATAAAATTATATAATATAAGGAGTCTCTCTGGGACCCAGTGGCTACATAATACCTGTTAAAAGTGGAGGAAGAAAAACCATCTCCTCTAGGGTTTGACATCAGTCTAATAGGTGACACTATTGATTTGATTCACTGCTCGCCCCACAACAGCAGCCATCAGGGAGGAAGACTTTATCAGGCGGGCAGCAGGAGACAGCAGGAGCAGAGGGTGTAATCAGTTTAACCTTCTTCAGCTGCCAAGTCCTGGGAGGGGAAGCGACTGTCCCTTTTCCAGGAGAGAGACTCATGGGTAGCAGACCCTCAATGACAGCCCCTTTTTCTGGTGGGGAGGGTGGCCCACAAAGAAAGAGGATAGAGGAGGGATTTGTCTGCTCCTGTAAATCTCCATGGTAAATACTGGAGCTTAATTTGGACTGAAAAATCCTCTTTGAAAAGTAAAGAGTTGTATGCACGACTCTTAGCTTAAAGGCAACTTCCCCATCTCTCTCTGTCCTAGCACCCTGTTTATTTCCTTCATAGAACCAATCAGTGATTATTTAATTTGGTTTCCTCACTTGCTTGCTTCTGTCTACCTCCCCAACAAATCCATAGTGTGCTGGAAGCAGCCCATCTTCCTAACTCCATTTTGTTGCTGGGTAGCTTGAAGAGGCTGCTGAGTATGGGGGCACCCCTTTGGTTTTACATCCAAAGCCTCACTCGCCTCACCCTCGTCTCAGCCCTGAGAGAGGCACAATAAATTCAGGTCCGCTCCTTATGCCTTGCCAGCCCCCTCCCTGCCCACTGTCTACTCTGCAGGCACCTCCCTTCAAAGCCCCTTTCCCTGGTTTTTCAGAGCTCAGCGCCCCCTGGGCATAACCTCCCTTCTTTCTAGATAAGCTTCTCCTTCAGCACTGTGACGGTGACTCTACTATATCAACCCCAAGGTCAATTTTGTGTGTTGGGAGAATCACTGGCTGATTCATGATAGGAATATTTACACCATGGCAACTGGCAGATGCTAGAAATCAGGGCCTCCTGCCTCTTCATCATACCACTAAGCATCTTGAGGAGGGACATTTTGTCTGCTTTGTCTTCCATGTGGTGCTCTGTCTCTGGCTCAGGGCCAGGCTCACAATTGTTAACTGGTAAATATTTCCTGACTTGATGAATGGATTCAGTTGTTGGCATTGCTTGTACTCTGAAGAAATTGTTTCAACTTAAGTCCGTAATGGTGATTCATTCCCTACCTTGAATCAGATACAAGATGAAAAAAAATCATGGTTTTCTGTCCTCCAGAGGCTCACGGTCCGGGTGTGGGGTTTGGGAGAGGATGCAGGACAGATAACCAGTACAGTGCAGTGCAGTAATTGGCAAGAGGAGGTGCTTACAGATGCTGCTGATGAGATGGTAGGTTAGAGGATATCCTTGTTTATATGCTGAGGGATTATAACCATCTATGGTGTCAGTCCTCTGTTTTAAACATCATGGAGCCAAGCAGATGTTGACTTAATTCATGCCCTGGAAGACACAGATCTGTCTAACTCCCTGCCCGACTCTTAACTGAGCTGTGGGATACAGGGTGCGTTAGTTCTCAGAGTCCCAGTTTGCTCATGTGATAAGATGAAAATAATAAAACCTACCCCATGAGTGTTGTTTAGAAGGATAAATTAAATGACAGTTATAGACTGAGTAGACACTCAATAAAGCACTCACTGAATCAAATCAAAATGTAATCAACCAATATGTTGGAATATTTGTTTTTCCTCAAAAGC